>NC_000007.14:105006779-105631779 GCF_000001405.40 Homo sapiens
AGACTAAACTTGAGGAACAGGTTCTCTCTTAACCTAACAACATTAAAGCTTGTCAGAAATCCAATAGGGGCCAGGCACTGGGCATAATGTACAGGCAATTATGTGTGATGAAGAGGTGCACAGGCTTTACAGTACAGTATATTCACTTTTTTTTTTTTTTTTTTTTTTTTTGAGACAGAGCCTCCCTCTGTTGCCCAGGCTGGAGTACAGCAGTGTAATCTTGGGCTCACTGCAACCTCCACCTCCCAGGTTCAAGCAATTATCATGCCTCAGCCTCCTGAGCAGCTGGGATTACAGGCACGTGCCACCATACCCAGCCTGGATTCACTTTTCTATGTAAAAAGGAAGTTTACAAATTTCTGAGAGTTTAGTTGCCAAATTCTGACCTAGCATATAAGAATTCAAGTGTTTAATAAATCAGTAGCAATTTTCCCAAATCCAGAGTTTGATACGGAGCTAAACCATGTCATGAGCTCACCCATCATTCGAGTTACTTTGCCCCTTATCAATGAAGTCATTGGAAGTAGTAGCAACCTGGTTTGAGAGGGTTATGTGGTACATCGTTTCACAAATTTCAGAAATAATTTATACTACTCTACTTTCTAAGGAAGGTGGAAACCTAAAGTGGGTGAATAGCTGAACACTTGGAACGCTCGGATTTATTTTCCTATAGGTGGGGGTCTTGCTATGTTGCCCAGGCTGATCTTGATCTCTTGGCCTCAAGTGGTGATCCTCCCACCTAAGCCTCCTAAGTAAATGGGACTACAGGCGTGTGCCAGACACCTGGCTAATATTTTAAAAAAATTATTTGTAGAGACAGGGGTTTCATCATGTTGCCCAGCTTGGTCTCAAGTGATCCTCCTGCCTCGGACTCCTAAAAGTGCTGGGATTACAGGCTACTTGCAATTCCTTTTTTTTTTTTTTTTTTGAGACAGGGTCTCACTCTGTCCCCCAGGTTGGAATGCAGTGGTGCGATCTCAGCTCACTGCAACCTCCACCTCCCCAATTCAAGCAATTCTCATGCCTCAGCCTCCTGAGTAGCTGGATTACAGATGTGCACCACTACGCCCAGCTAATTATTTTGTATTTTTAGTAGAGACAGAGTTTTGCCACGTTGGCCAGGCTGGTCTTGAACTCCTGGCCTCATGTGATCCACCAACCCTGGCCTCCCAAAGTGCTGGGATTATAGGCATAAGCCACCATGCCTATAATCAGCCAGCAATTACTTTCAAATGCTATCTATCATTTGTGGGCATTACATAATAATCTAACAATAAAAGGTATTGCTTAGGATAGTTATGAATAATTTAAAAATTATTATAAAGCTAATCAGACTTAGGTTAAATATGTTATGCACTGGCGTATAATCTATCTTAAAAAACAAATGCAATCAGTTCCTTTTCCTTGGCCTAAAATGTAGACCGACCCAAGATCTCAGCTTTCTTGCTAAATTTGTCTCCTATTAAGACTGAATCTACCCTGTTTTGGCTTTTATCTGTGAAGACTATCAAATGTCAATTATTTTTCTTGAAAGTCAATTCCTTCTTCTTCCTTATACCCACCCAGGCAACAATTACGGATGTTTCTGTAATAACTTAGATTCCTTCTTTATCACTCCTGCTCTGATTCAGGCTCTTCTTGCTACATTGAGGGCTCTAAAAGCCAGTCTCTTCTGGGTTGAAGACAGGTATGTTTTAAAGTAAGTCTTTCTCTGTCCTGTGCCACACCTCATGCCTGTAATCTCAGCACTTTGGGAGGCCAAGATGGGCGGATCACCTGAGGTGGGGAGTTCGAGACCAGCCTGGCCAACATGGCGAAACCCCGAAATACAAAAATTAGCCAGGCGCGGTGACAAGCGTCTGTAATCCCAGCTACTGGGGAGGGTGATGCAGGAGAATCACTTGAACCCAGGAGGTGGAGGCTGCCGTGAGCCGAGATCGTGCCACTGCACTCCAGCCTGGGCAACTGTGCAAGACTCTGTCTCAATTAAAAAAAAAAAAAAAAAAAAAAAGGCCAAGTCATCCTTCAGACAGTGTAAGTAGGGCAAAGATTATGAACTCTGGTGAGGTCAGGGAGACAGATGTTAAAGTTAATGCTCTGCCACCTTGGGTAAGATTATATATAAAGTATATACAACAGCATCCAACAGTTCGGTGTATTACGAGAGCATTCTCTTTTGTGGGGAGGGAAGTCACACTAGCAGTTAAGGATTTCTCGTCTGGCCTTAAGTCAAGACTTTCCAATAATTCCCCTGTTCTCTCATTAATGTCACTAATGACCTGATGTGGCATTACCTTGCTAATTAAAAAAACAAAAATCCCAAACTCTTGTTATTCCTAAATCCTTACTTCCAACTGTTATTCTTACATCAAACTATACATAAAGAAATGGAAGTAGCATTAAAACTGAGCTAAGTTTAGGATGGGCACGGTGGCTCACGCCTATAATCCCAGCACTTTGGGAGGCTGAGGCAGGCAGATCACCTGAGGTCAGGAGTTCAAGACCAGCCCGGCCAACATGGTGAAACCCTGTCTCTACTAAAAATACAAAAATTAGCTGGGCGTGGTGGTGTGCGCCTGTAGTTCCAGCTACTCACGGACTGAAGCAGGAGAATCGCTTGAACCCAGGAGCCGGAGGCTGCAGTGAGCTGAGAACGTACCACTGCACTCCAGCCTGAGTGACAGAGCAAAGCTCCTTCTCAAAACCAAAAAACAAAACTGAGCTAAGCTTAAACTGGTAGAATGAAGTCTGGGAGAAAATAAATTAGTAAGTAAACATTTACTTGCTAAACAACTGTAAGGGAAAAACCAGGATATAGTTTTAAATTTGAGACAAATATTAATCGATATACTTTGAGAGGGGCACTTAAGAAATACTCTTTTCAGGATAAGAAATATTAAGGCGATATATTCTCTAAGAATAAGTTTCTACATAATCTAATCTAGTTTAGGCTTAAGTTGTATGAAGTACCGTTTGTATTAGGTTGATAACCAATTTAGTTTATTAGGAATGGTACTATATACAAGATATTTGCTGACTGAAAGCACGTTTGATACCTCAAAAGACAACGCTGACAACGCCGCTTTTGCAGTGTGCTTACAAAGGAACAAAAAACAAAACAAACCCCAAAGGCCATTTCTTTTTCAAATAAGAAATACAAATGCAGGATAAACTTCAGTGCTTGCAGCAAAACTAGGCATTAAAGAAAAATGCTATAAAATATATTTCCTTAAAAATATCCAGCTCAGTTTTTTTCTTCTTCCCACCTTTTTGGGGCAGAACTATCTCTGGGCCATCAGCAGTCTTCTGCCTTGCCTGGAGCCTCCCTAACCTTTCATCTCTTATCCAAATTGTTTATCAAAAGAGCTCCTTTAAAAGAGTTTAAAAGCCAGTATTTACAGTTTATAGACTGCACAGTTAATCTTATCAATCTCTAAAAAACCATGTATACCTGAATGCCCATCAAGTGTCAAGCACTAGGCTGGGTTATCAACATAAAGAATGACACATTTACTTGCGAGTAGGGATTTTGCAGTTTCAAGAGGCAAAGAAAAGGTTCAAATTGTATTATCCAGAAGTGAGAAAGACGCACTCCAGGTAGCAGGACAAAAGCACAAAGGTATGAAATGGCATAGCACTTTTGAGATGGTGTGCATTTTAATTTTAACACACCAGAAGATATGCTATGTGAACCTAGTAAGCTTACCGCAACTGCAATGTTCCAAAGTTAAGAGACAATAATTTCAACAAAAACAAGGAAAAGGAGGTTGGGGTGTAATTTACTCAAATAATCTTTGTGAGGGGATGGGGGAAGAAAATTCTTAAAAAACAAGTACCAAGCTTAGTATTTTTATTGAGCTCAGAAAGCCTGTGGTCCCCAGTAAACTTTTACATTGCCTACCTGTGGCACTGAAGCTGGCAGAGCTAAGATGGAGGTGAAAATTGGAGAGGTATTGGAACATAATAGGCCCAAATGAAATTGCCCAGGCAGAATATATGAATGTATGAAGGCAGTCAAAGAAAAGTAATTCCAAGTATGAACAGTATTTAAAATGCCATAGGAAAGTCAAGAAAAATTGAGAGCTCAAGAAGTTCGTGGATTTGGCAATCAGGAACAATGAAGGTACACGCTGATTAAAGGCACAAAACAAGGAAAGGGTGTTTCCATTCGCTTGGAAAATGGCCTTTTTTCCTTATTAAGGCACGGTGAAAGTAGAAACATTCTGAAAATTACCTTAAAATCTACTGACTTCATATTTAGTTCCCTTTTTAAGCAGGAATAAAAACTGCTATGAAGGAAGGGGAGACATCTTACACGTAACAAAGTAACCCTTGAAGACATTCAAGAGTTCTTAATGCTTACTTTCTATTCAGAGTGGACAAATTACATTCTTTGTACTAAATATTTATAGCTCATCCACATTCAGTTGCTTATAACTGAAAAAAGAAATCCACAAAAACTAGTGAGGATTTAAGGATACACAAATGAATTAAAAACCCAATCTTGTTTTCAAACTACCAAGAGCCTACAACTAAGACTTAAGGAAATAGCACAACCTTGACCTCAGGTTCTTTTCAGGTCCAGCAATCATTTTCTCGTAGCACCAAGTATAAGCGCTCTGCCAAGAAGTAGGCCAGATTTTGGCTGCAAATGTGTTTGTTGAATAACTCCCCACCCTCTACACCACCCAAAAGGAGAAGCCCTTTAAAAATTATTTGCTAGTTTTGACTACTTTAACTAGTTTGGCTAAGTGGGAAAAACGAAAAACAAACTTAGTCTACCTTAATGAATATGCCAAAATAGCCCCTAAAACTGCTGGATATTTTCTCCTATCGAGATTTCAAAAGCTAAAAGTATAGTTTGTACTACTATAAAAGTGCTTCAAATTTCATGATGATGCAGGAACCTTAAGGAATAATATTCACCGGAAGTGCTTATAATTGCATCTTTTATTTTTAAAAACTACAAAAGGGCAACAGAAAGAAAGCAGACTTGAAAGTACTGAAAAGTCTTACAACTTAATACAGTTTAAAACACGGCTTTTATTCCGTATTACTAATGCCCAGTGCAAAAAAAAAAAAAAAAAAAAAAAGCAGGCCCGGCGCGGTGGCTCATGCCTATAATCCCAGCACTTTGGGAAGCTGAGACGGGCGGATCTCGAGAGTTCGAGACCAGCCTGGTCAATGGGGTGAAACCCCGTCTCTACTAAAAATAGAAAAAATTAGCAGGGTGTGGTTGTGGGCGCCTGTAATCCCAGCTACCTGGGAGGCTGAGGCAGGAGACTCGCCTGAACCCGGGGAGGCGGAGGTTGCAGTGGGCCGAGATCTCGCCTCTGCACTCCAGCCTGGGCACAAAAGAGCGAATCCCACCGACAAAACTATATTCTTAAGGGATGTACAGACAGAAAACTGAAATAAAGAACAGGAATCACAGGAGGAAGGAAGAGTCTGAAAAGGGCCCTTAAATTCAGATGGCTGCTTATGCCTTTTCAAAGCAATTAAAGTGTTCCTGGGTGTTATTTACACCTTTAAATTTGTTTCCAAACTTTGGAAATACTTTTCTATTTCAATCTGAGAAACTGTTTCCTCAGAAAGTAATCGATCCTCCTTGACGTTGTACCCCCAGAAGCTGGTCTACCCCTCGCTAGGCCTCCCAGAGGCCCTCAAGGACTCCTAGTTGATTCCGAGTCCCACGTCAGGGAACTACCACCTTACATAAGTATACTTTGCGGGGAGAAAGGCAGATAAGAAAATAGGGCGCCAAACCTTCTCCACCAACAGCCGTCACACCCCACGAGGACTGTCCTGCGGGGGCTTTCCCCTGGGAGCCGCAGCTGTTCTGCCGTATGGGGGAGGGGAACGCTTTCCAACAGTCATCTCTTCCTCTTCAGGCCGCCAACGCCGACCGCACCACAGTCTCCTCCGCCCAAGCCCTGTCCCCTCCCCCGCCCCGGCCTGGGTCGGAGCCAAACCCCACAGGAATGCAGCCCGGTCACATGCGCTGCGGCGGTGGACGTGCCTCTCCCCCCGCGCCCCAAAGAGACCCAGCGCCATCTTGCCCTGACGCAGTTACAAAAGTCACGGGAGAAATCCTGTCTCCTCCTCCGCGCCAGCGCCCCAAAGTTTTGCAGAGGCCGAGCCGGGGCCCTCACCTCGCGCAGGGACAGTAGAAAATGGTCAGGGAAGAGCCTTGCGATTCCCTTCGCCACTGCTTGGGTTCCATATCGGCCGCGGCAGCAACGATCACCATCGTCACTTCTCCCTCTCTACCTTTGCAACAGCCTCCCCCTACGGCTTTGGCCCCACCCGCTGCTGCAGGATGAGGTCATCGCCAGCCAACCACGACGCGCCCGACAGGACACATCAGGCGCTGATTGGCTGCCGAGACCGCCTCTGCCTCTCCCCACTCCGCTTCCCCCAGCGCTCTGGGTCGCTGCGGGGCAAGGGGAAGACGGAAACCATTTCGGGGAAAGACCCCCAAAACAAGAGCCGGAATCGCCGTGTCATTTTAGTGGGGAAACCCTTCTTTTATTCTTTGGTCTCCCCCTTTTTTCTTCGAGATCACTGTCTGTCCCTCCCTCGTTTAATCACCGCCATATAAAGGAATTCCCACTCCCCTCCCCGCACATTGTCCCACCGGTGGGGAAATCCTTCCCCGAGGCCAAGAGAAGTATAGGAGGCAGCGACGGCAACTGCACCGACGGCAACGGCAGCTTTTTACCCCGAAGCACGGTGGCAGGGAGGCGGCGTTGACGGTGGCTGCATTTTTCCGGCTGCTTCTCCCCCCGACCTCTTCCGTTTCTTGCTCCTCCATCGAGACAGCACTAGACTCGCCAGCTCCGCTTTTATCCGGTGCCCGGAGCCTGCGCACTGGAGCCTCCTCAGCCCCTAGTGGGCGTCGAGTGACACCCCAACCGGGTTCACCCAGCGCTGGAGGCCAGACTGGGCTGGGGGAGGAGGGGGAGAGGAACGGGGAGACGGGACTGGGGTTGTTTGGGAGGGGGAGAAGGTGTATCGCTTTCGGAGGGTGACGGGAGGGAGTTCGTTCCCAAGCCCTGCTGTCCTTGTTCGTGCACCCAATACTGGCATGCCCAAGCTCACCTATATCCAGACTTGAGGGCCACTGGGGGAAAGGGGGAAAGAACCAGTCCCACCGAATACCGACACTTCCTCAAACCTTCGGTGGATTGTTGAATGCATCTGTTGTCAGAAAGACAGAGATTCCGTCCCCCTCACCGCCTCCAGTTTGCTATCTTCGAGCCTCCGCGGAGAGGCAACGGCGGGCGGCAGCCCACAAGCAAAATGGCGCCGGGCAGCTTCATCCCCTCCCCCTCTGCCCCTGCGGAGCGGGACGGGCGTACCCCGTGCACTTGCCGCCGCCGCCGCCGCCGCCGCGGCCGCCGCCGCCGCCGCCGCCATTTTCCCAGAGCGAGAGGCAGTGACACTGAGCGGGCGCAGGGGGCCGAGTCGGAGACCGTGCCGGAGTTCGGGAGCGGCAACAGAGTGGGCATAGACACTCCGAGCAGCCTCGCCGTCGTCTCTGCGTTCCTGTTGACTGCCTGGCTGCCCCCTCCCCTACTCCTCGGTTCCTGGTGAAGAGGCTGCGCGCTGCTGTTTGGGGAGGGGGTGTGTGGAGCCGGGTCCTGTGTCCGCAGTGGCTGCTGTCGGGGGGTCGCCTGTTCGCGGAGGTGCGGAGAGACTCCTTGGGGGTCGAGCACATAACGGGGTTCGGGTGTCTCGTGTGTGAACATCACAGGTTAGTGCCTGTCGTCTCCATGGGAGTTCCTGGGGCTTGCGGGGTTGGGGTACTTGTGTTTCAAGGGGGAGGGAGGTCTCTCATCTTTATCCTTAAGCTGGGGGAGCCGACGTTGACTCTCAGGTGTCTTTGCCGGCGCAAGACGTTGCTTGCTTAAATCGAATTTATTCTTTCTTCTCCCTGACCCTAGAAATGGAGCATTATGGCGGGTTTTAGGGTTGGGAAAGGGGTAACTGGCAGTTAAACCCCCTTGAGAGTGGGGGAGTTAGGGAGGGGGCGCACTCCTCATTGGCAGCGGGTTAAGGCCGCTTGAGTGAAGACGGAGGCTTGTGACTGTTAGTAGGGTTTGTGTCGAAGTGGTCCCAGGAGCTGCCAGCGCTCCCTTTTCTCAACCGCGTCTTGTTCAGGTGCTGAAAAGCCATATAGGCCCCATTTTCTTCTTCCATTTCTTGACGGGCAGTCTCTGGTATAATGTGCACATGAATACGAAGGGGGTAAGAAGAACGCCCTGGGCATCTCTCTTTGTGGGAGAGCGAGACAGCTAGCTCCTCATCCTCTCCTGGAGAGGGTAAACCCGCCCCTGAAGTGGTCACCCCAGTACCCAGCCTTCTCAGTCTCCTCCCCCACTCCTTTTGCATTACCGCCGTCCTTTACTGTGCCGGAGCCTTAGGATCTACAATATGGCTCATTTCAGAAAAGCTTATTTTGACCAAGGGATTGGCACAAATTCTATGGCAGCAGACACAGATGAGAAACAAACGGTTCACTGTGCTAAACGGGGTGGGGGTGAGAAAAAAACAATCCAGAGTGCTCTCTTCTACTGGCCTTAGTTCCGTATAGATCCGTCCTTGCTGGGCTCTGTCTTAAGAACGATACAATTTAAAGTCAAAGAGGAATCGCTAGAGTTAGCTCTAGAGTAAACCTCGTTTTGCCTATTTTGTTCCCTTTTTAGAGATGTGAATAAGGTAAGGTGTTTGGAGTTCTGGAGACCTTGGAGAGAATTAAGTGAGGTGCATTCAACTCGAGGCTGGAGACATGAATACCTATTTGGAAAATAGTCTGTTTTTTTCCTTCAATTTCTGAGATGGGGAGTAAAAACTGAAATTTCCCTCTTTTGTCCTTTACAGATTCTAAAAATGGCGGCCCCAGGCTGATGTTGTGGTAATCTAATCAGCTCGGGTCCTCCACACCCCATGCAGTGCGTTTGTCTGCAGCATATTACAGGCTTATTATGTTTACATGAAAAGACTGGGCTGTTTTTCCTTCCCCGAGCCAGTTACAAAAATGTGTTGATTTTTTACTGCAAATTACAGTGCTGTGTTTTAGCTGATTAATTTGATTCGTTTTTCCTGAAAGGCAAATAAAATGTCTCCACTTTTGAAAAAAAAAAACAGCCTTGCAAATTTCAGTGGTGATGATGGGTGCGCTTCAACATTAAAAAAAAATTATTTGGGTACCAATAATAGTTTTTGTTTGGTTTAATCCAACCATCTTTTATTCAATATGCCAAAGTAGATTAAAATGTTTAGTAACTGTATAAGTATCATCTATTTTATATGATTAAATGTTTCAATCTAGAGTAAGACATTTCCCAACCACCTCTTGACCCATTTTGTGGATTTTGGTTTTTGTATTGTGTTTTAGCTTAAATTTTAGGGAGCTGTACAAACAAGCTTAAACCTGTTACTTCATTGGGTGTAGAGATGCCATTATATTTTGCCATCCATTTTTCCCATGTATTTAAGCTTTCCTTAAGAATTTTCAAAGTTTATTGTGTATTTGGTAAAGTGAAGCTTCATGCTGCCTTTAACAATCGTCTTACAGCATACTATCATCATTATGTAAGTTAAAAGTAAGGCTCCGATTCTGGATTTTTTTCCTCTTCAAATATGCCCATTTACCTATTATAGGATTGTGGAATTTAGTCTGTTTTAATAGACCTTAAATAAAAACATTACCATAATAGGGTCTTGAATCCATTTTATGCTATTTTCAGAAACTTACAGACTGAGACTGAAAATTAAATGGTGTCAGGTGTCATTTAACTGAATTTTTTAAAGTGTGAAAGATTAGAATTCACTTTCGTAGTGGGAGTTCTTTTTGGGTTGAACTAAGCAGTGAGATGTGAGTGGGCCATTAATGACATTTAATGACCATTCTGATTGTGGAGCAACGGAAAGATGAGTGCTTTTCAATCCAGTAGTACTTTAAAAGGTTGAAGAGTATACACTGTTTCATGATTCTTTTATTCCATTGTAAATATTTTAGAGCAGCATTTACTTCATATGGTGACTGTATCAACTAGGTTGATAAGGTTCTAGCCTACGAAATAATTAGAGAAATAACTGGCTCAAGGATTTTCTACATACCAGTGAGCTTCATCATGGAAGACTGAGCACACAACCTTACTTAGAATATTTGAAATATTTTATTATAAAGTGAAATGTTGGTGGGTAGTGGGCGAAATTTGTGTAGGGTTTTGGGGTCAGTACTCATTTGTATTTTGATCTGAGCAAGTATTTAAGTCCAGATCATTCACTGCTGTGTAAAGATTGTGCATTTATTTTAAAGGCTGGGTGATTAAGGTCTGTGGTTCAGAAGCTTGGTACTTTAAACTTACTATTCAATATACAAAATCAGTGTATTCTTAAAAATTTGATTTATGTGGCCATAGGAGGGAACACTGCCTGTGCCCGATGGTTTTCTTCATAGAGACCTTGGTCAGGTCTAGACAGACAAAGCAATTGAACTTATTTGGCTTCAAATGAAAAATACCAAGTTAGAAATTATAGGAAAAGCTGTCTTCAGTTTACTAGCTTTCTTCATATTGGCTTGCTTTATTGCTTTAGGTTTTGTTTCTTTTTGGTGGTGGTGGTGGGTGGTTTTTTTTTGTTTTTTGTTTTTTTTTTTGATGTTTTAGTTCCTGTAAAATGATACTGGCTTTTTTTTTTTTTAAGTATTGTACCTTATTTTGAATGGTTACTTTATAAATCACGAGGCTATAATTGTTTGTTTTTTGTTAATTTACTATGTGTGTTTTAAGTTAGGATTGTCTAGGCAAATTTATTAGAAGGTTAGGCATAATTTTTGTTCCCAGAGAGTTTTGAAAGAATTTGGTTCCTTGGGGGAAACTAGTCAAATGGTCTTTGTTCTAGGATAGCTGAGTTTGAAGGATTAGTTGTTTATCTGTTTAAGTGGATTTGTAGAGAACTATAATGTAATTGGAGAGTTAATTTTATTTTTAGAGCCTACATTTTGATCATACATCCTTTCGTTGTCAGTGTAAATGAAAGGATCTCTCTGATTCCAGTTTAAGTGTAGAGCCTTGACAGGTCTCCATTTCCCGTCAACTCTGTAAGACTGATAACTGCCCTACAATTTTGGCTCGTCTGACTTCCTCACAGCTTCCAGAGAGAAATCATTGCCATATATGCCCCCAGTAAGCTCTAGGACTTCTTGAGTCTATTGAGGCAGTAGGGAGAAAAGCTAATTAATAGGAGAAAAATTTCCCCTCAGTACATATCTTAGTGGTCTTAGGGAAATTATAATTTCTTAAATTGGCTTCTTAATTTCCAAGAATAATGTACTCGTTTTCATTCATCAATCTTCTAAAGAAACCTGTGGTTTAATTTTTAAAGGTGTGTTTTATGTAAACCCTAACAGCTCTGCATTTCTGGAAGCTACTACTACTGGGACTTAAATGTGTACAACCATAGTGTGTTTAAAATGTGTAAAACTAACAGAACTTTGAAGAGCTATCAAAACTGGTTAGGAAATACTAGTATGCAGTTTTCTCAACAGATGCTATTTTATGTTTACTATTTTAAAAATATTTTAATAATGTGTAAAAGCTTTTATCTCCAAAGGATTTGTTTTTAGCAGATGGTAGGTGCTTAATTATTTCTTGGATGTGAATCTTTTATTGAAGCAAACACATTTACATCTCAAATATGTAGGGTGATCAGGGACTGTTCCCTGTTATGTGTTAGAATAAATGTTAAATACTTGTATTCTGTGAGACTTGTTTCCCCCAATTTCATGATAGATTATCTATGAGACTTTTTAATATTGAAAATATAATTATTTTATGGTAAAATTAATTTTTATGTTGACTGGCAAATTAACGAGTGGAATACTATTTGAAATATTACTCTGTGAATGTTACTGGCTTTTAGGCTGGGTTTAAAATTGAAGTGGCTCGTATTTACTACCTGTTCTGTAATGTGCAGATGTTGGGAGGAGCCTTATTTTTTTCTTGACATTGAAAGAATAATTTTTTGTATTACCTACAAATTTACTTAACATGGAGGAACAGTATTTGTTGTTGAAATTGTTTTCTACACTAAACTGGAAGTGGATGGTATTTAACTAAAAATCTTGCAATTGCTATTAAACAATGAGTATTTTGCATTATATAAAATAAACAGTATTTTACTTTGTATAATATAAAATGAGTATTTTACTTTATATAAAATACTCTGTTTAATAGCAATTGCAATATTTTTAATAGCAATTGCAAGAGATAAGAATTAACCATATTATGATGCAAACAAATTGTTTTTTTGTTATTGTGAACTTCCATGCTAAGTGCTACATTAAAAATCAAATGAAGGTGACCCAGAGTAAGTTAATTAGATTTTAATTCATATCTTTAAGGATAAAAGAAGTTTTTATTAACCATTGGTAACTAGGATGCTTTTTACTTAAATCAGAGTCAGGAAAAGCAGTTGGTCTTATATTTCACGAGATAACATGTTTTCACTTGATATGAAATCAGTTCTTTTTTTCCCTCATGAACAGCTCATAATTGGATTTTATTTTTGGACAGAAAAACTTTTTTTATTGTTAGGTGAATTTTACAGTTTTATTGGAAATCTCGTTTGGTTATTTACCAAAACTATTTAAGCTTTTTGGGATGTTGGACATTTTCAATGCAACAGGTCAACAAAGAATTCTTTTTTGATGTGTTGCATTAAGATGCCATCAAAACAGACACTACGTCTTTTAATGAGTAAATAATTAACCTATAATATGTGTAAACTACTTGTTCATCATTTTTAATTAAAATATTTTGTATTTCAAAACTGTTTCAAATATGAAATCTGGGTTTAGAAAGGATCTGCATGCAGGTCAACGTGATAAGCAATGATCTATGTAGCTTTATTTTTACGACAATTGGACAGAGGTAATTTCTTAGCACCTCTTAGGCTGCTTAATTTAGAGTTAATCCAAAGGAAGAAACATTCCTTCAGAAGACTAGGACATATCAGATATTAATTATTAAAAATAGGCTGGGCACGGTGGCTCATACCTGTAATTTCACTACTTTGGGAGGCCGAGGCAGGCGGATCATTTGAGGTCAGGAGTTTGAGACCAGTCTGGCCAACATGGTGAAACCCCATTTCTACTAAAAATTACAAAAATTAGCCGGGCGTGGTGGCAGGTGCCTGCAATCCTACCTACTCAGGAGGGCGAGGCAGGAGAATTGCTTGAACCCAGGAGGCGGAGGTTGCAGTGAGCCGAGATTGTGCCACTGTACTTCAGCCTGGGCGATAGAGTGAGACTCTGTCTCAAAAAAAAAAAAAAAGTAAATAAGTAAATTAAAAAAAAAAATTCTTGGTCCTGAATTTTAATATTGAGAAAGATGATATTGTGTAATCACACCTGTGTAATAGCCAACTTGGTTGCAGCATTTAAGGTCATGCCTGTCTAGCATACGATAGTGGATTGAGTTAGTTTTGGTTTGTGGTACTTACAACTTTAAAGTTCACTTGGCCTGGCATGGTGGCTCACGCTTGTAATCCCAGCACTTTGGGAGGCTGAGGCAGGTGGATCACCTGAGCTCAGGAGTTCAAGACCAGCCTGGCCAACATGGTGAAACCCCATCTCTGCTACAAAAATTAGCTGGGCTTGGTGGCGGGTGCCTGTAATCCCAGCTACTTGGGAGGCTGAGGCAGGAGAATTGCTTGGACCTGGGAGGCGGAGGTTGCAGTGAGCTGAGATCGTGCCAGTGCACTTCAGCCTGGGCAACGAGCGAAACTGCATCTCTAAAAAAATAAATAAAGTTTATGTAATTATGCTGTCTCATGTTTTATCTGAGACCAAAAATGTTTAAATTTTTTCATTTATGTTGACTTTTGTTTTCATAGGGTATTTAAAATAATTTCCATTTAAAGTCTTAAAAATTTACACTTATAAATTATTTTAAACTTATTTGAGTTAAATAAGCTTAAAGATTAAATATCTTTTCCTTACCGTTTGGCCTAAGATGAAGCCTAGTGTCAGTGGTTTTTAGTAAAAAGTGAGGAATATGGTGAAAAGAAAAGAATTAACCATTACCACTTAGGATATTGTCAGGGAAACATAGTTTGGGTCTTTCAGAGAATGTGTATGAGAAACATACACTCTTCTAATATTTTTGTTTTCTTATTTCAGAGACTAATATATGTAATCGTTTCTATTTTTGAGTTTACAGAGAGATATCTCCAGTTCCTCTTACCATCTTGCTTTATGTAACATTTAAAGAAAGACAGCGTTCAGGAATTTGAAAACCCCATTTCCTCTTTAATGAAGTGGCTGAGATGGGAAGATTCATGATGTGACTAATTTGAATGGTTAGGACTGTGGTCCAGTAGCCATAAATAGGGGTCTCAGGTTGGTCTGATACATAGTAACTCTTACCCAGAAAATAAGTCTCTGCTTCTTCTCTTTAAATGAAGTTGCTTAATTGGTTGCCTTGACACAGGCTTATTACATCTTACATCATTAAGCCTTCGCTGTAACAATATTTTTGAAGCACAGACAAAAGATGAATTTGAGTAGCTATTATTTTCCTGGCACCACAGATGCAGAGAGAGATGAGACTGTCCCTGCTTTGAGAGAACCCGTAGTTTATTTCACCTTCTTAAAAGCCTGCTGTTTTAGAGTTTTTTGGATGCAAGGAACAGAAATCAGCTCTAGCTAGCTTAAATAAAGGATTTGTTATAAGGCTATAGGGAAATCTCACATAATTTATTTGAAGAAAGTACAGATGGGCCTCACAGGAATTGGCAAGGTGTCAAAGAGCCACTATTCACCATCTTGATCCCCTCTAATTATCTGAGACTAGTTAGAGAGATGGTGGTGGGGTGGGTGTTCATGGTTTGTAGAGTGGCGTTTCTCAGAGTAAAGCAAGAGAAAGACACGTTTAATTCTCCTGAAAACAATTACCTTTTTCCAGGAATGTTCAAAGGTACTTGGGAGGGCTTCCAAAACTAAATAATTGATATATCACACTGATGATTCAATTTTTAATTAAAAAATTGCCACACACACATGATGAGGAATGCTAAAAAACCAAGATATTTTTGGTTTTAACTTAAAAATAATGTAAAATTTACTGAAAATTTACTTGAATAGTACAAATAACTCTCTTATACTGTGTACCAAGATCACCGGACTTGTGACATTTTGCTGTTTGCTTTATTATTCTCTTTATATATACACCTGGTATTTTTCCTGAACCATTTGAGAGTGGGTTTCATTGCCAGTAGTACTAGCCCCCTTACAGCCCTTATTACTGAAGTATGCATTTCCTAAGAACACGCATGTTTTCCTAAGTAACAGAGTAGTTGTCAAATTCAGGAAATTTAACATTGATGTAATACTAAATAGTCCATATTCTAGTTTTATCAGTTGTCCCTATTATGTCCTTTATTAGCATTTTTTTCAGTACCATTAGCCGATCCAAGATCACAGATTGCATTTAGTTTTGTTGTCCCTTAAGTCTCTTTTAATCTGGAACAGTTCCTCCATCTTTGTCTTTCATGACATTGGAAGGCTTATTATTTATATATTGCTCCTCAGTTTGGCTTGGTCTTAAGGTTTCTTCATTATTCAGGTTATACATTTTTGGCTAGAATACTAGATTAGAAATATGTGTTTTTCTATCGTCTGGAGGCATATGATGTTTGTTTGCCCTTTACTATTATGTTCATTTTGATAGCTTAGTTAAGGTGTTGAGTAGTTTCTCTATTGTATAGTTGATGTTTTTTTGACATTACTAATTAATTTTTGGGGAAATACTTTGAGATTGTATAAATATCCACTTCCTCATTAAACTTTCCTCTTCAAGATGTAGCGTCTGTTGATGATTCTTGCCTAAATAAAGTTTTTACTGTGTTGGTTGTAAATACACGAAGGTTTTTCTTTTCTTTTGCTTAATTAAAAAAACTAATTTTCTTCTTTTCTTTACTTGGGTACATACATACACATATACACCAGGGTTTTTAACTGATTTGTTTCTGGATAGTTGGGATTGTGGGAGTTTCGTTTTCTTGTTTTTTCTTTTCCAGTTTTTCTGTAAGGCATATGGGCTGCTTTTTAAATCACAACAAATAAAATAAATTTTAAGGAAGAAAAGTATAGATAAGATAGACAGTAGTATATGTATAATATTCCTGTACAGTTTTCCACCGAAATGGGATTTAAATAGTTTCCTGGATGCTGATCTAATTTGAAATCCAGAACACACACACAAAAGATGTGCTTCTAGTTCCTTATTTAGTCTTTAAAACTATTGCTAAATGAGTCTTGAGTTACAGTTGTATTGTTTAGGCTTATGATTTGCTAATGCCAGCAGCTTAATTTCTAAGGGCCAAAAACATCTTCCAATTTTGATACTCCCCTTTCTCCAATAAAAAAATCCATTACCCCGTCTCTACTAAAAATACAAAAAATTAGCTGGGCGTGGTGGCGGGCCCCTGTAATCCCAGCTACTTGGGAGGCTGGGGCAGGACAATCGCTTGAACCTGGGAGGCAGAGGTTGCAGTGAGCTGAGATTGCACCATTGTACTCCAGCCTGGGTGACAAGAGTGAGACTCTGTCTCAAAAAAAAAAAAAAAAAAAAGAGAGACAAAAATTCATTAAGCAATTTTTTTTTTTTTTTTGAGATGGAGTGTCGCTCTGTCGCCCAGGCTGGAGTGCAGTGGTGTGATCTCCACCCACTGCAAGCTCCGCCTTCCGGGTTCATGCCATTCTCCTGCCTCAGCCTCCCTAGTAGCAGGGACTACAGGTGCCCACCAGCAGGCCTGGCTAATTTTTTTGTATTTTTAGTAGAGATGGGGTTTTACTATGTTAGGCAAGATGGTCTGGATCTCCTGACCTTGTGATCCACCCACCTTGGCCTTCCAAAGTGCTGGGATTACAGGCTTGAGCCACTGTGCCCGGCTCCGTTAAGCAATTTTTAAAAAGTAAAATATTTTTTGGAAAACATTAAGATAGGTTATTTTTCACATACATGCAAATTAATGCTTTTTAAAAGGGGGTTGGTGAGATGGTATATACACAGATGGTAATACAGCAGAGCATGAAACATCTGTAATTCTAGGGCAAAGCGGTATATGGTTTCTAGAACTTTGTAGTTAAAGAAATATATACTCAGAAAGGTTAAGAAGGACAAGTAAAGGAAAAGAAACAGAAAAACACTTAGACTTTCATTACATTATGATAATACTCATCAGTTTTATGTATTTTCAGTTATAGCAAAATGTTGGTAGTGAATTTGGATGATAATTTAATTTCTTTGGAAATTTTCAGACAGGAGAAGAAAATTTTGAGACTTACAGAGTACATATTCTCTAAAACTTAAAATTTTCTTCTGAGAAAATTAAGATAATCATATTTCACAACAATGAAGATTAATGAAATACAGTGGATACTTAGCATTTGGTAGGTGCTTTAAAAAATAATTTGAATTGACTGTGTGCCAATATGTCTTAACAGATTGATGGAAGTTCAGTTTGTAGTACTACTAAGTCTTAATTCGGTGTTTAAACAAAAGGTATGGCGGAAGGTACAAAAACAAGCCCCATGATGAACGAAAGGATTTTCTTTCAGGCCAGAACTCCCATCCTGGACGTGTAAAGGAGTACCTTAATTGACTGAAGTTAAGAATCTACATTTAGAATTGACTTAAGAGAACTCTTTGTTATTTTTTTCTCACTGTGGCTCAAGGACCTCATGTATCAATTATATTAAAATGAACATTCTCAGACCAATCAAGTTTTTAGAGTAGGGCCTTGAATTTGCATTTTAGTACTGGCTCCAGCTCATTTTTATATTCCAGTTCTCTGCTTTTATTTTATAAGGAGATTGAGCTCCAGAGAGTTTAAATGATTTTCCCAAGGTCGTAAAGTTACATAGTGGTTAATCAAGGTTTAAAATTTAGGTCCTGATTCTTGGTGCTTTATACTTTTCCAAGAAATCATGCTGGACATTTCTTTTTAAAAGGCAGGCCACTATTTTCAGAGTCTGAAATAAGCAAATACTGGTCTTTGTACAGTGTCAAATGACAGACTCTCTGTCTACTGCTTGTGTATATTCCAGTTCAAGATGATTCATTGGTTTCCAGAACCTATAGGCTATTTGGATAAGGAGCTTGAATTAAAATCACAGCAGTACAAATTGGGATCAAGTTGTGGTTGAGCCTTGAATGCCAGATTAAAAGCATGTGTACTTAAGAGGAGTGCTACTGAAAAATTTGCACTGGAGAATGACATGTGGAACGTGGCTTATTTACCTCCAATTCTTAAGATGTAAAAGTAACATATGTTTATTAAAAGGACTCAAAACAGTACTTCTTTAGAAGCTGTATTGTATAGAGTAGAGATTCCAGAACCATACCACTTTGGTTTGATTGCACTCAAACCAGGTTGTACTTCTTTGGGCAATGTTTTCTACCTCTTTGTGCTTTTGTTTCTTGGTCTGCAAAATGGAGATAATAATAGAGCCTATTTCATAGTGTGGTTTTGAGAATTCAGTAAGTTAATTTGGGTAAAATTCTTAGAAGCTCTGTAGCCTTTTCTGTGATAGTTGTTTCTGGAAAAAAGTAAAAAAGTAAATCTCTGACTTCTGTGTGTAAGGTCTATCATATGCTAAGGTGATCACTATTTATAGTTTATGTATTTTTTTCTAAAATGTTTTATGTAGGTACTATAGATGTTTCCTTAATCTTCATTTAACCAATGTGCAGGATTAATAATTCTTCTTTTAAAAATACTAATGTCCATGTATGTTGAATGAATGTAAACTACTTTCTGCTGCTTCCACCAGTTGAGATGAATGCTCATGGAAGTTATAGGTTTCTTCCCAAATTGGCTAATTCTATTGTACTTGTAATGTGTTTATATTATTCTACTAAGTATTACGTAAACCAATGATAAATGAATGTGAAAAGAGAACTGTTTAAACGCAAACTAAGTTAAATGCTTTGGAAAACTTGATAAAGGCAAATTAATTGCTGAAGAAAATTGTAGTCAGTTTAGGTGTGGGCAAGATGACTAAAAGATTACAGGGAAAAAATAGAAATCTAGAAGGAAGTCTACATTCAGATTGCCCCACAAAGATCTAGGTAACTTATTTTGAAATATGTTGAACCAAAAACTGTGGACAATGCATTATTGATCTGGTTTATGTAGGAACAAGAAACCAGAATTCTAGTCAGGGGAGCTATACTCAAAGAATACATTTTGGCTTGAAACTAAAAAATTGATAAGGATATTTTAAATTACAAGTACAGTATTTAAGATACATGTATTATAATTCTCCATGTTAACTTTGATGAACTCGCAAACATCTAGTCTCCTGTATATATGTAAATTTAGATTTCTGTAATTCAAAAGGGGATGGATCCAATTACATACTGTAACTCTTTTGATCATTTAGTGTCTTGGAAATCTAAAAATGGGACTTCAGGATCTGACTCTGGTTTATCCAGTGGGGTTTATAGGACTCTGCTAGATGAAATAAGAGATTTCAAGTGGTTCTGGAACATATCAAGATCCAAAGACCTTTGTTGTCGTGTGAGATTTAAATTCTTTTTTAGGGACCTTTTGAACTCTGATAATACTATAGATTAATTTAGTGGCAGATAGTTGAGTGCCTTCCTATGTAAAAGCATCATAGTAGCTATTAATTTTGTCTTGTTCATCTTGCACATACTGCTTCCTAAGGGAAATAACTGATGATTGTGTTGGTTAACATCGCTGGAGTCAGATTGTGTGGTTTTTTCAAATGTAAGCCTGTAATTGGTGTACAGTAACCTAGTTGCTGTATATTAGTATTAATCGTTAGCTATACAGTAATCTGTCAACCATTTGATCTTTGAATTGTATGTTTAAACTGGCAAATCTCATGGATGTGATATGGTTGTACCAAAAGACAAATGCTGTTTTATTGTGTGATTACTTTGAGAATAATTGTGAGAAACTGGTAATTATCATTTAAATTGATCTACAGTGATAGTGGAAGTTATATGTCAAAGGAGATTTTGTCGACATAGCTTAAAATTTCACTTACAGAAGTTTAAAATTGGTACCTCTTACCTCCTAAAGTAAATAGTTCATTAAGGATTTTGGGAAAAGCAATTCTAGTTCAATCCCCAGCTACACACAGCAATTTCCTCATGCTTAAATGGTTTTTATGAGTGACTGATGAGCTCACTATATGTGGGTTATTTTTCATTTATATATAAAATCCCTTTGCAGAAAGGCCCCGCCCTCTTTTTTTTTTTTTTTTTTTTTTTTGGAGACAGGGTCTTGCTCTGTCACCCAGACTGGAGGGCAGTGGCATGATTATGGCTCGCTACAGCCTTAATCTCCCAGGCTCAAGTGATCCTCCCACCTCAGCCTCCCAAGTAACTGGGACTACAGGTGCCATGTCACCATGTCTGGCTAATTTAAAACAAATTTTTTTTTGTAGAGATAGGGTCTCACTAAACAGCCCATGCTGGTCTTTAACTCCTGGGATCAAACAGTCCTCCCACCTCAGCCTTACAATGAAGCTGGAAGGTGAAAGTGAGTGTAGTCTGTCTCATAGCAAAGGTACTGGTCCCTTATAGGACTCATTGTATCCACCAACCTCATTCTTGACATTTCATTTTTGCCTGTATTCTAAATTTTTTCAGAGATTGTGTGCTTTTTTTGAAGTTCAAGGCAGGCTACTCTAAAAGCTCATGTGTGTTTGCATACTGAGTATTTTTCTTATTGGATATGTGGATCTATTAATTCCATAATTCATTTTTGTGTGTAAAGTGCACAGACATTTTCTTTCCTTAAGCTTCAACTCTCTAGTTGTATTATACTAGTCTTCCCATTTCCGGGTTTTTGTTTTTCTATTTACATTACTGTATGAAGAGGAGGAAGCTGATCTTGGGATATCGTAAGTCTTGGAATTAAAAGACAGGAAAATGCTGTAGAAGTAAAACTGTTTAAACTTGAAAGTATTTACATATATATTTATAATTAATTTTGGTCCCTTGCTGATTTTATGGGTTTGGTAAGTACTTAGGAATTAAGTCTACTCTTAGTTTAGTCTTAAGATTTTTATAGTAAATATTTTAAATACATCTGAAATATTAAGATAATTATTCAAATATACTAATAGAGTTGCTGTTCTTTCACCATTTGCTTAGTGGCCAACAGTATTCTGATTGGAATTGATTATTATCATTGGACTGAATAATACAATTTTTGTATATTCTAAGAGACAACTAACATTAATAAATAAATATCTACACTGTGTCTACATATCGTACTCTGAGCAAAAAGATAGATATTTTGCTCATTTTTTCCTGAGTGGCATAGAGGAACTGAGACTTTTTTTTTTTTTTTGTGAGACAGAGTCTGGCTCTGTCGCCCAGGCTGGAGTGCAGTGGTGTGATCTCAGCTCACTGCAACCTCCGCCTCCTGTGTTCAAGCCATCCTCTCACCTCAGGCTCCCGAGTAGGTGGGACCACAGGCATGGGCCACCATGCCCGACTAATCTTTGAATTTCTTTGGAGACTGGGTTTCCCACATTGGCCTTGCTGGTCTTGAACTCCTGGGCTCAAGTGATCCGCCTGCCTCAGCCTCCCAAAGTGCTAGGATTACAGGCATGAGCCATCAGCCCAGTCGAGACTGAGACATTTCTGTTTTCTTTTTCCTCTTTCTTGCTTTTTTTTGAGGGATGGTCTCATTCACCCAGGCTGGAGTGCAGTGGCATGATTTTAGCTCACTGTAACCTCCACCTCCCAGGCTCAAGCAATTCTTGCACCTCAGCTTCCCTAGCTTACCTCAGGTGTTCAGCTTCATCTGCAGCACCACACCTGGCTAATTTTCATTTTTTGTTTTTTGTAGAGATGGGATTTCACCATGTTGTCCAGGGTGGTCTCTAATTCTTGAGCTCAAGTGATCCCTCCACCTTGGCCTCCCAAAGTGCTGAGATTACAAGTGTGAGCCACCGTGCACGGCCTGAGACTGAGACATTTCCTAGGGTCACATAGCTAAGGAGTGGCTGTTCAATAATTTGAATTAAAGTCATTTGAAAATTTTTGTAGCTTTCTGTTGATCCTTATAAAGGACTAATTCTTGACAAGGTATTGAGAATAAACATCATTAATCAAAGGCAGCTGCTTAAGAAAACTACTCTAAGGCCGGGCACGGTGGCTCATGTCTATAATCCCAGCACTTTGGGAGGACGAGGTAGGTGGATCACTTGAAGTCAGGAGTTCGAGACTAGCCTGGCCAACATAGGGAAACCCCGTCTCTACTAAAATACAAAAATTAGCCAGTTGTGGTGGTGCACGCCTGTAATCTAGCTACGTGGGAGGCTGAGTCAGAGGAATTGCTTGAACCTGGGAGGCAGAGGTTGCAGTGAGCTGAGATCGTGCCACTGCACTCCAGGAAAAAAAAACACTACTTGAAGGTACCCTTGATTATATTGGATTGCCATAGGTCATTTCAGGTGTCATAAGAGCAATATAATTTTGTTCATTGCCCATTCCCAAGAACCTAGAGCAGTATCTAGAACATAGTATATGTTCAATAAATATGTTAAATGAATGAATTTGATTTGATTTGGTTTTAAAATAGAATAGTTGTACTCTGAGGGAGGAGGGAAATGCTTAAACAATACTAAGAATTCCATTCTTTAGAGACAAATTACTTAGAAGTTGATAGTGACATATTGAAAGGGTTGTTGATTGTTGGATTATTCAGGTGATGAAGATGATGGTAGGGGCCATGGCGGCTGAGGGAGAATGAGTCTTAAACACTGAGGAGGCACAAAAGATTGGGTGGCTGGATATAATAGGAAACTGGAACGAAAGAAGGAGAAGAGAATGGCGATACTGATAAAAAATAGAATGAAAGAAGATGTGTGGAAAAGAAAGTTTCACTTTGAAGGCTTGATTTTTGAAGTGATGGCAGATATAGATATACATCCAATAGATGAGTGGGAAAAGTAAATCAAACAGAAATGAAAAATTGAGTCCAAGATTGATGGGAGACTAATAATGGGGAGGACTGAGCCTGGGGGCAACTACATTAGTAACAGTGGCAGGTTTTGTTTTTTCATGTTCATTTAAAGGAAGGAGGAGAGATTTATGTGTTAGAAAAAGGGAAATTGTGGTTTAATCAATAATAATTTAGGTGGGTATCCTAGCCACTGAATTACAGGCTTTGAGGTAATATAGAAATACCTCAGTTCTTGCTATGGAGTCAAATAGATGATCTAATTGTGGAAGCTATACATTTAGCAGCTGTTCTAGAACAATGTCTGTCAAAATATAAACCAGTAGTTAATGTAAGTAGTGCATTCTTTAGGAGGTTAAGAAGGGAAGACATTAGTGTAGAACAAGTTTTATAGCTGGAGAAGTCTTTTGAGATAAAGTCTAGTCAAATTGTTATTTACAGGTGAGGAAACAGCCCTTAGGAGGTTGATTTGCCAGATATCTTAAAACTATCTAAAAAAATTGGGAAGGCTTCAAGGAAGCATTGGTTCTTGAAGGTCTAATATGATTTTTATTGGGTGGGAAAGAAAAGGAAAAGAAAATTAGTGAATTTGAAGAGGAATGAGCAAGGATATGCCAACAATAGCAAAAAAGACTTGCATAATCAAAGGAGTTATAGATTGGATTATTAGTATGGAACAAGATAACCTGATAAAATGTCAACATTAGGAACTTGACTGGAATTACTGTGAACTACACTTTTTTTGAATAGGTCAAAGTTATGAGGAAACTAGTGGCTTTTGAAGTATAATATTCTGTCCAATGTTGTAACCAGTACTAAAATAGAGCACTGGTGTGAATGCCCTTTTAGTTTTTTGATAAGGCATTCAGGCCACATCTCAGACCTACTACATGAGAATCTCTAGGGTAAGGCCTAGGAACCTATCATTTTCTACTCCTATCCCCAGGTATATGAAAAGTAACAGTTGTGGATCTATGTTTGGGAACCAGTGGTTTAAAAGCCACATTAGTATAGGGAAAGAAACTACTTAGGGAAGTATTCATTGCCCAGGTCTGAGATAATAAAATGTAGACAGTATCATCAGAAAGATTTGTTTAAATTCTATTAATTAGATTTTATGCACGTTGTTTTTAGAGAGGGAAAGAAGAAAAATCTCAAGTTTTCTAGTATGAAAGAAATGGATTCAAAATAGTGATAGAAAGCATACTTAGAAGGAGATAGAAGGAGAGTGAGGACACTGTTTTACTTGCGATTAAAGAATGACAGAATAGGCTGGGCACGGTGGCTCATGCCTGTAATCCTAACACCTTGGGAGGCCAAGGTGGGTGGATCACTTGAGGTCAGGAGATCGAAAACAGCCTGGCCAACATGGTGAAACCCTGTCTCTACTAAAAACATAAAAAATTATCCAGGCGTGGTGGCAGATACCTGTGATCGAGGTACTTGGGAGACTGAGGCAGGACAATCGCTTGATCCTGGGAGGTGGAGGTTGCAGTGAGCCAAGATGGCGCCATTGCATTCCAGCCTGGGCAACAAGAGCAAACTCCGTCTGAGGATTGGGGGGGTGGTGGGAGGGTGGGGAAGAAAGAATGACAGAATAAAATAATTGCCAACTTCATTTTAATCAAAAACCTGCTCTTATTTGGTTATTTAATGGCTGAAAAAGGTGAGGCACGGTGGCTCATGCCTGTAATCCCATCACTTTGGGAGGCCAAGGTGGGCAGATCACTTGAGGTCAGGAGTTTGAAACCAGCCTGGCCAATATGATGAAACGCCATCTCTACTAAAAATACAAAAATTAGCTGGGCATGGTGGCGGGCACCTGTAATGCCACCTAATTGGGAGGCTGAGGCAGGAGAATTGGTTGAACATGGGAGGCGGAGGTTGCAGTGACTCGAGATTGTGCTACAGCACTCCAGCCTGGGTGACAGAGTGAAACTGTCTCAAAAATAAATAAATAAATTAAATAAATAAATAAATAAAGGCCAGGCATGGTGGCTCATGCCTGTAATCCCTGCACTTTGGGAGGCCAAGGTGGGTGGATCACTGGAGGTCAGGAGCTTGAGACCAGTGTGGCCAACATGATAAAACTCTGTCTCTACTGAAAATACAAAAACTATCTGGGCATGGTGGCGCGCCTGTAGTCCCGGCTACTTAGGAGGCTGAGGCGGGATAGTCTCTTGAACCCAGGAGACAGGTTACAGTCAGCCGAAATCACACTACTGCACTCCACACTCCAGCCTGGGCGACATAGCAAGACTCTTATCACAAAAAAAAAAAAAAAAAAAAAAAGGCTAAAAAGTAATAATGATCAAGTCTAATGGTCTATATAGGTTAAGTAAGTTAAAGATAAATGGGGCTGGGCGTGGTGGCTCAAGCCTGTAATCCCAGCATTTTGGAAGGTTGAGGCAGGCAGATCACCTGAGGTCAGGAGTTCGAGACCAGCCTGGCCAACATGGTGAAATGCTGTCTCTACTAAAAATACAAAAATTAGCTGGGCATGGTGGCAGACACCTGTATTCCCAGCTTCTTGGGAAGCTGAGGCAGGAATATCGCTTGAACCTGGGAGGTGGAGGTTGCAGTGAGCAGAGATCGCACCACTGTACTCCAGCCTGGATGACAGAGCGAGACTCCGTCTCAAGAAAAAAAAAGCGTTTGCAGGATTTTAAAAAAAAGTTATTTACTTATTTTTGTTTTACTTATTTATTTTTTTTAGAGACAGAGTCTTGGTCTGTTCCCCACGCTGGAGTACACTGGTGCTATCATGGTTCACTGTCACCTCAGACTCCTGGGCTCAAGTGACGTTGTCACCTCAGCCTCCCAGTTAGCTGGGATTACAGGCACATACCACTACCCCTGGCTAATTTTTAAAAATTTTTTTGTAGAGACAGGGTCTTGGTTTTTTGCCCAGGCTGGCCTCAAACTCCTGGCCTCAAGCAGTCCTC
Organism: Homo sapiens; assembly: GCF_000001405.40. NCBI lineage: Eukaryota > Metazoa > Chordata > Mammalia > Primates > Hominidae > Homo > Homo sapiens. Next base: position 105,032,750 of record NC_000007.14, read on the forward strand.
CTGCCTTGGCCTCCCAAAATGTGGGATAACAGTTGTGAGCCACCATGTCCATCATAGGATTTTGTTGTTGTTTGATTATTAATTACAATAAGCTTTAACACTATTTTTTGCAAGAGTAAAAAATATTCTACTCAATATGTCCTTGGGACAAGTAGAATATACCAGTGAAACAAGTTTTTCCTATCAGATTTTAAGTCAGCATTTTCTTTTAGCTATTGATTTTCAAACAGTTCTTCAGGAAGCCATAGGTGAGAGGGTGTACAGGTGTGGACATTCCCCTGGTATTTTTTTAAACCACAGATGTAGCAAACATGAAGTACAAATGCCTACTCTACCCATTGGCAGACATCACTGTGGCATTCTCCCATTATATTTGGCTTTCTTAGTACAGCACTTCAAGTGGACACTAACAATTATTGGTTAAAGCACAGGAGATTAAAACTATTTTTTCATGTTACAATCAAAAAGGATGCCTAGATTTCTGTGTTAATATTTCATGTGTAGGCAAATTGCTACCAATGCTTAAAAAGAGTTTGAAGCCCACAATTTTAATGTCATTTTAAAACATTAAACTTTTAATTTTGTGATAATTATAGAGTTGCATATGGTTGTAAGAAATAATAGAGAAATTCTATGTATTTTTACCCAGTGTCTTAGTCCATTTAGTGTTGCTATAACAGAATATCTGAGACTAGGTAATTAATAGAAGGTTTTTTGTATTTTTGTTTGTTTTGCTTTTTTTTGTTGCTTTTTGTTTTTGCTTTTTTGAGACGGAGTCTTGCTGTGTCGCCCAGTCTGGAGTGCAGTTTCATGATCTCGGCCCACTGCAAGCTCCACCTCCTGGGTTCATGCCATTCTTCGGCCTCAGCCTCCTGCGTAGCTGGGACTACAGACGCCCGCCACCACGCCTGGCTAATTTTTTTGTATTTTTAGTAAAGATGGGGTTTCGCTGTGTTAGCCAGGGTGGTCTCGATCTCCTGACCTCGTGATCCGCCTGCCTCGGCCTCCCAAAGTGCTGGGATTACAGGTGTGAGCTACTGCGCCCGGCCCAAAGGGTTTTTAGTTCACTGCTCTGCAGGCTGGGAAGTTCAAGAAGCATGGTGGCATCACAACATGGAGGAAAATCAAAAGGGAAATGGGCACGTGTGAAAAAGCAGAACTCAAAGGGTGTTCTGGCTAAAGTTTTTAACAACCCACTATCTCAGGAACGAATCTATTCCTCAGAGAACTAATCCAGTCTTGCCAGAGATAATGCTCTCACTACCACAAGAGCCACCCACAGAGTCGGGGCCCTCATGATCCAGACACCTCCTGTTCAAGGCCCTACCTCTTAAAGGCTCCACATCGTAACCTTGCTTCACTAGAAATTAAGGTTTCAACATGAGTTTTGGCAGGGACAAATCTTATTCAAACCATAGTACGCAGTTTCCCTCAATGGTAAAGTCTTGTAAAATTGTGGTACAATGTCCTGACTAGTGTGTGTGTGTTTGTTTGTTTGTTTTAAGAGACAGGGTCTCCCTTTGTTGCCCAGGTTGGAGAGTAGTATGATCACAGCTTGCTGTAATCTCAAACTCCTAGGCTCAGACGATCCTCCTACCTCAATCTCCTGAATAGTTAGGACTACAGGCTTGCACCACCATGCCCAGCTAATTTTTTTATTTTTGTGGAGTTTGGGTCACACTCTGTAGCCCAGGCTGTTCTGAAACTCCTGGCCTCACGTGATCCTTCTGCCTCAGCCTCCCAAAGTGCTGAAATTACAGACGTGAGCCAACACACCTGGCCAAGACCAGAATATTGACATTGATACAATCTTCTCCTTTTATTCAGGCTTCCCAGTTGTATTTGCACTCATTTGTTTGTCTAGATTTAGTTCTGTGCATTATGATCACATGTGTGGGTACCTGTACCCACCACCACAGTTAAGGTATAGAACAATTTTATCACCACAAGGATCCTTAATATTGTTCTCCTATGTAACCATACCTATCTTTCTCTACCCCTTCCCTTCTGAATAACCTATCCTCCATTTCTGTAATTTATTACTTTAAGAATGTTATATAAATGGAGTTAAATAGTATGTAACTTTTTGAGGTTGGCTTTTTTTTGGGGGGTGGGGGGGTGGGGGGATGGAGTTTTCGCTTTGTCACCCAGTCTGGAGTGCAGTGGTGCAATCCTGGCTCACTGCAACCTCTTCCTCCCAGGTTCAAGCAATTCTTGTGCCTCAGTCTCCTGATTAGCTGAGATTACAGGTGCCCACCACCACACCTGGCTAATTTTTTTTTTTTTTTTTTTTGAGACTGAGTCTTGCTGTGTTGCCCAGGCTGGGGTGCAGTGGCACGATCTCGGCTCACTGCACGCTCCGCCTCCTGGGTTCATGCCATTCTCCTGCCTCAGCCTCCCAAGTAGCTGGGACTACAGGCGCCCACCACCAAGCCTGGCTAATTTTTTTTTTTTTTGTATTTTTAGTAGAGACGGGGTTTCACCGTGTTAGCCAGGATGGTCTCGATCTCCTGACCGTGTGATCTGCCTGCCTTGGCCTCCCAAAGTGCTGGGATTACAGGCGTGAGCCACTGCGCCTGGCCTAATTTTTTTTATTGTTAGTAGAGATGGGGTTTCATCATCTTGGCCAGACTGGTCTCGAACTCCTGACCTCAAATTGTCCACCTGCCTCAGCCTCCCAAAGTGCTGGGATTACAAGTGTGAGCCACTGTGCCCAGCCAAGATCGGCTTTTTTTTTTTTCCACTCAGCATAATTACCTTGGATTCACCCAAGTTGTTGCCTGTATTGATAGTTTGTTCCTTTATATTGCTGAGTAGTGTTCCATTTAATTTTATTTTCTTGCTTTATTTATTTATTTATTTATTTTGAGACAGAGAGTTTTGCTCTTGTCGCCCAGGCTGTGCAGTTCAGGTGATTCTCCTGCCTCAGCCTCCTGAGTAGCCAGGACTACAGGCATGTGCCACCGTGCCCGGCTAATTTTGTATTTCTAGTAGAGGTGGGGTTTCACCATGTTGGCCAGGCTGGTCTCGAACTTCTGACCTCAGGTGATCCACCCACCTTGGCCTCCCAAAGTGCTGGGATTACAGATGTGAGCCACCACACCCGGCCATAAACACAAATTTTAGTCTTTGAGACTGTATTTGCCCACGTTTGTGGTGTTTTAATGCATTGTTACAGATTAAATGTAAGTTTGTTAACTGGATCAGGTTTGAGGGAGGAGCAAGGTCGGTTTTGTTAGTGCAGTTTCATTTAATAATCAGAGGAAACGCAATTCAGATGTTCTGGAGTGAGATACTTAAGTATTTAATTTCCCTTTTTGAGAGAGGCAGCTGTCAATTTTTTCTTCCTTAATTATAAATTCTAGATTATTTATTTTACCTATCATCTGGCAGGGTTTTTTGTTGTTGTTGTTGTTGTTCTTTTGGTTTTTTTTTTTGTTTTTTTTTTTGGCAGAGTCTGTCACCCAGGCTGGAGTGCAGTGGAGCAATCTTGGCTCACTGCAACCTCTGTCTCCTGGGTTCAAGCGATTCTCGTGCCTCAGCCTCCCAAGTAGATGGGATTACAGGTGTATCCACACCCAGCTAATTTTTGTATTTTTAGTAGGGACACGGTTACACCATGTTGGCCAGGCTGGTCTTGAATTCCTTACCTCAGGTGACCCACCCGCCTAGGCCTCCCAAAGTGCTGGGATTACAAGTGTGAGCCACAGCTCTCAGCCATCTGGCAGTTTTTAATTTCAGGCATACTGATGTGTAGGCTCTGGAATCAGACCACAAGGGTTCAGATCTTGATTTGGCTATTTATTAGTTATGAACTTTGGACAAGTTTAACCTCTCTACCTCATTGTAAAATGGGGATAATAAATGCACCTATACCATAGGCTTATTGTGGAGATTAAGCATTGTAAGCACTCAGAATTTGCTATCATTATTATTATAACCACTAGTTGGGGAAGTTTGAGTATCAGATAAGTGCTTCTAGAGCACTATCTGGTAGTAATGCTAGCTCAGTTGTAGAAATGCATATTCATTTTGTTATCACATTTATATTTTATAGTTTTTTAGAATCTAAAATTCTGTCATTTTGATTATTTGGAATAATCTGTTAATGTAATTGTAAGATCATCAGCCTAATCAACTTCCATTTATAGTTGAAAGTCAGAGCAGTGAAATGACTTGCCCAAGCATTCGTAGGTAGTAACTTGGAATGGATCTGATTGACTAGTATTCTTTTCATTTTACCTTAGTCAGCTGCTGTAAATTAAATGTTAAATGACTAATAAGGGCTGTTTAATTTCCAGTCTCAGTTACATGTCTCCTCAAAATTTCTTTCAAGTTTCTTTAATTATTTCCATTAGTAATTAAGCCAAAAATTTACCTAGTCTCTTAGTGATACACATCCAAAATATATACATTAATTTAAAATATTTATTGAGCACTGTGCCAGGTGCTTATAAAGGACAGAAATATAATAAATGGCTCTTTCCTCAAAGAGATTGTTATATTGGGCTCTTTTATTTGTAATTTTAGAAAAATATTTTTACTCATATTTTTTATTCTTTCTGCCTTTTGGGTATCATATTAATCTTTAAAGTGTTACTTTTTGTTTTCTTTTTTTTGTTGTTTTTTTTAAGACAGGGTCTCCCTCTGTCAGCCAGGCTGGAGTGCAGTTGTGCAATCGTGGCTCACTGCAGCCTTGACCTCTTGGGCTCAAACAATCCTCCCATCTCAGCCTCCCAAGTAACTGGGACTACAGGTGTGCATCACCACATCCAGCTAGTTTTTGTATTTTTTGTAGGGATAATGTCTCACTATGTTGCCCAGGCTGTTCCTGAACTCCTGGGCTCAAGTAGTCTGCCTGCCTCAGCTGCTCAAAGTGCTGGGATTACAGGTGTGAGCCACTGTGCCCAGCTGTTTTCTGTTTATTTTAACACGGTCTTAAAGGCAGCTTCAGTCTTCCAGTTTTTCTGATAAACTGTTTTCTACTTTAATTGCTTTTTTTGCCTTTTACTTCATTTTTCCTACTTGAGAGTCTTGTTTGTTTTTATTGTTTTTGTTTTGGTATTGTTGCCTTTGCTAAATCTGTTTTTAATATTGTATTAAAATTTATTTTTCAGTTAAACATTTTTAAATATTAAATTTAATATTGTATCCCAGTGTTTCTTTTTCCAGTTTGATTTAGTATTTAGCTTTGATTGTTGCCTTTACTTGTGTTTACATTCATTTGTGTAAAAAGGGAAGAGTAAATTTATCCTTTTAAGAATTGGCTGCTTTGTGTGAGTCACTTTGGTTTTAGGTACCATGTCAGTTAGAAGTAATTATAATTTTATGCCATTTAAAAATAGCTCAAAACTCCTATGTTCACTTGGTTTCTAGGTCTATTCTGGATAAGCAGGTTTTGTGAAGACATTTATTCTTTCTTGGACCTCAGATTTACCAGACATCTCATGGTATTTCCTTTTCTATTATTTCTTTAATGGCTGCCATTTATTCTCAATGTATTTTGTACATATTTTACTTGTCAGCTGGATGACCAGTTTTTTGATTCACACATAAGATGTGAAACATTGTGTTAATTGTTAAGGTTGTGTTAAAAACCTTTTCCCTTTATTTATAACTTTTTTTTTTTTTTGAGACGGAGTCTCGCTCTGTCACCAGGCTGGAGTGCAGTGGCGCGATCGCAGCTCACTGCAGCCTCTGACTCCCTAGTTCAAGCGATTCTCCTGCCTCAGCGTCCTGAGTAGCTGGGATTACAGGCACATGCCACCAAGCCCAGGTAATTTTTGTATTTTTAATAGAGACAGAGTTTCACCATGTTGGCCAGGATGGTCTCAATCTCCTAACCTCATGATCCACCCGCCTCGGCCTCCCAAAGTGCTGGGATTACAGGCTTGAGCCACCATGCCCGGCCAGTTTTTGACTGTTTTTTAAACTCACTGTGTTAAAGGTCACATCTTTTCTGCTTGCTACATTGGCTTTCCCTTTTTAAAAAAACTATGATTTGACCCTAACGAATTCATCATTTTATTAAATATCAACAACATTTTTAAGCGATGCGAATTTTCTCATTATAAGATTTTTTATATTAATGCAAATAGTGAAATACTTGCCTTAATGTCTTAATACATATGACCTCTTGTCTTCTGACCTCTTGTGAGTAAATTACTGAGATCTGCTTTTCCTGTTGAATCAAATTCAGAGTCTGCAGTTCTGTTTCAGATGTGATGATGTATCTTTGTCCTGAGGATAAGCTTCTGTGTTTTTAGGGAAAGGCAGTTATGGGGATGTCATGTAGTCGTTTTTAATGACACTTGATTATACAGGGTGATAGTTCATTTAGTTAATTAAGCCAGAGCTGCAGTTTCATCTCAAGTTCTCTAATGCATTCACCAATTCTTTGTAGAATGCTGTTATGTCCCAGGCACTGTGCAGTTTGGAAGACAAGCAGCAATAGCACAAATAGAAGTCATTGTCTGAAGGAAGTTTGTGGCAAGCTCTTTACTGAAACATCTCAAGTGTGGTGTGTACTGAGGATGGCATATTTATATAAAAAGGGACATACTAGTAAATAAATACCTAAGTAGATTATTTTAGATTGGAAATATCACTCAGTACTTAAAAGACTTTAATAATGACTTGATTTCCTTTCAATGTTTGCCTCTGGTAAATAAGTATACCACTAAATATAGTATATACCTAAAATACAAGACTTTTGTGAGTCTAACATAAAAAACAGTGTTTCTTCAAGTAGCAATTCTTATATCTGCCTGTAATATTTAGTTACATTTGAAAATATCTATTTAGGTTAATTCCTGTTTCACAGATTATACAGATTGTGAGTTCATACATTATGGGGGAAGATTACCAAAGCGGGTTAATAACATGTTAATAGTGGTTTGAATTCTCCAAGAAAACTAGCCTTGAACTTTTAAACTATGTGTAACTGGGAGAGAGCTACCAGATTACTAATTATTATAAGATAAAAATATACAGTAATAGACAATTGCACACTGCTTTTCAATATTTCAGGTATTACATTACAGAGACAAGGATAATGACTGTTGCTGTTTTCTAATTTATAGGATTATCTATATTGGTTTTGTTCCTGAGTTGCACCTGTATAATTTTTGAAAAGACTTTGAGTAGATATTTTATAAACATACCTGTAGCCACTGTTATGTAGTGAATTTAAATTAGAAAAATTGATGTTGAAGCTAAGTATCTTTTAGTTGCTATTGTAAATTTGTTTAAAAAAAAACTTCATTAGTTTTTTCTACTAATTGAGTTAGGGAATATTAACTCTTTAATAACTGAACAATATTAATGGAAGAAAAAGAGAACTCCTTCAACAGTATACCTAGATTTACCTGTTATAGAAAATGACAACTACTGTACAGTAATCAAATTTTTACAAATAACATAGTTTCCCTTACATACAGATGCAAACAGTAGAGTAGAATTGGTTCAGATCCTGGTTTCATCTCTTAAGTGGAGTAGCCTTGATTAAGTTATTTTTAAACCATGTGTTGCTGGAGGAGAGCTACCAGATTACTAATTATTATAATATGAAAATATACAATAATAGACAATTACACAGTGCTTTTCGGTATTAGCCTGTTTTGGTTTTCTTTTCCTCAGTGGTAAAATGGAGATACCTACCTTAGAATTAGGAGGATTAAATAGACCATCCATGTAAAAAGCTGATTATGGTGCTTAGTCCATAGTAAGTACTCAGTATTTGGTAGTATATTGTTAGATCACTCACTGAACAAAGAAGACTTATTTTTGCATACTGGCACTTTAAGAAATTACATTTTATCTTTTAAAATGAATAATTTTTGGTTCTTCACTAAATATGCCGTAGTAATCTTCTTGTGGCATTCTAAATTCATTCCCTCAGAAAGATTGTGATTTAGAAACTTTTCTTTTGATCATGATCACATAACTCAATTCCAGAAAAATTAATGAGAGAGACTCTAAGCAAATTTCAATTTATATTGAGATTTTAATAAAGAATGTTTTCTTCATGTTATTTTACTTACTGTTATAGTGTGACTGTTGCTTTTTTGTCTCCTTTTCTTTTAAACAGGGTTTGTGGATGCACTTAGATGTTTGCAATGAGCACTGTGGCTGGCATGCCCCAGTGTTTTGGATACCAATGCATAGGACTCCATAGTAATCGAATTTACCAGAGGCGAACGTCATGAGCATAGTGATCCCATTGGGGGTTGATACAGCAGAGACGTCATACTTGGAAATGGCTGCAGGTTCAGAGTAAGTATTTAAATTGGTTACATAAGCAAAAAAAAAAAAAAAACCCTTCTGGAGCTAGAAAGTAGGAAGAAGTATAAGTGGAAAATATTAAATTTCTTCTTTCCTAGCCATTTTTTAAAGTAAAAAAAAAAAAAGCGAAGTTACCTTTCTTTCTCAAACACTGAGAACGTGATTGCTATCTTTGTTTTCCTTTTAAATAGCATTACCACTAATATTCATTATTGGATTGAGGTATTGACATGACTTATTTTGACTCCAAATTTCTGAGAAGCGATACATTTTTTACCAACTGTATTTTCCTATAGTATTTGATATTGTTATTCCAGTGTCACTAGAGCCACCTGCTGACAGGAGTCATTAATTTGTTGGTGCTTGGGTTCCCCCCACCCCCAGCAACAGATGGAGTTTTGCTGTGTCTCCCAGGCTGGAATGCAGTGGCTCTATCTCAGCTCATTGCAACCTCTGCCTCCCGGGTTCAAGCAATTCTCCTGCCTCAGCCTCCCGAGTAGCTGTATTACAGGCGTGTGTCACCACGCCCAGCTAATTTTTGTGTTTTTAGTAGAGATGGGGTTTCATCATTTTGGCTAGGCTGGTCTCGAACTCCTGACCTCGTGATCCACTCTCCTCGGACTCCCAAAGTGTTGGGATTACAGGCATGAACCACTGCGCTCAGCCGGTGCTCGGGTATTTTTAGTTTGAATTTGTATAATTGAAGATTCTAAAATATTTTGTATATAATGAAACATTTTCAGAAACTTTTTACTTGTTCTTTTTTCATCCAGTGCTTAACATTTTTGCTTGTGATTTCTTGACACTTAATCGACTATGAAGAAACTATTTTTTTTTCTGCTGCTTTTAAAGTGAGTGTTGATTTGTTTGTACTAATTGGAGGTGCTTTCATTTAAGCGTGGCTTTGTTTTTGTATTCAAAAGCCTGCTTTAAAGTACTGTCCTTGCATTGTTTACAACTGTTCTTTTTTTGTTGTTTGTTTTGTGACAGAGTCTCACTCTGTCATCCAGGCTGGAGTGCAGTAGGGCAGTCTCAGCTCACTGCAACCTCCAGGCTCAAGGGATTCTCATGTCTTAGCCTCCTGAGTAGCTGGGATTACAGGTGCATGCCACCACACCCAGCTAATTTTTGTATTTTTAGTAGAGACAGGGTTTCACCACATTGACCAGGCTGGCCTCGAACTCCTGGGCTCAAGCGATCTGCCCACCTTGGCCCCCCAAAGTGCTGGGATTACAGGCATGAACCACCATGCCCAGCCATGTTTACAGCTGTTCTTAGGGTAATGCTGAATTTTTCATTTGTTTCGTACTTAATCATAAACAATTTTTTCTTATAATTTTTTTCACTTGTAATACATACAGAGCTCATTGTATTCATATAATGTTCTGTAAGTGTTAAGCAGCTCCCCTACTTTGAGCAATGTGTTTTATATAAAATATCTTAATCATCCCAGCAAAAAGGCAGGTATTATTTTCATTTTATAAGAAATGCAGCTCAAGGAGATTAACACATTTGCCTATGGCCACATAATTAATAAAAGGTAGAGTTAGGTTTGAACCCAGAGTTGCTTGGCTCCAGATTCATGCTGCCACATAGGTCAGAAGAGTCACATTTAGTTAATAGAGGAGTAAAATGAAGTGAAATGCCACATGTGATGAACTGAGGACAATTGTCATACCAAACTTCATTTGCTCTTTATTTTTAAATTTCTTACGTATTTTCATACAAATATTTAAAAATAATAGATTGTAAGAGAGAGAAAAGAAATGGACAGATTTTGATCGCAAATCTGAAGGAGTATATTGAGAAGTCATGGAGATTTTTTACACCTATTAATATAACAATTAGTATAACCTATTCATGTTATGCCTTCAATAACATACACTGGCTATGGTTATATTATTGAAATGTATGTTATTGGAGGTCTTAACACTCAAAGGGAAAATTAGAGGTTTTACCTAAGATCTAAGATGCTGGTATGAGCTTCTCATCAAAACCCACTTGCAGTTTGAGAGTTTATACAGAGAAGAAATTAAATTTTTAATTGGGAAGAAGAACATCCTTTAAGTCCAGTTTCTGAGGAATTAGAGCTTATTTATTCCATCATTCTAAACTGTTCTTTTTCTCTAAATGCCTCCTCAATTTAATGATTGGCATTTTTCCCTTTTTAGATTTTCAGTTCTAACTTACTTAAATTTCTTTTTTTCTTTTTTTTTTTTTTTGAGACGGAGTCTTGCTCTGTCGCCCAGGCTGGAGTGCAGTGGCGGGATCTCGGCTCACTGCAAGCTCCGCCTCCCGGGTTCATGCCATTCTCCTGCCTCAGCCTCCCAAGTAGCTGGGACTACAGGCGCCCGCCACTACGCCCGGCTAATTTTTTGTATTTTTAGTAGAGACGGGGTTTCACCGTTTTAGCCGGGATGGTCTCGATCTCCTGACCTCGTGATCCACCCGCCTCGGCCTCCCAAAGTGCTGGGATTACAGGCGTGAGCCACCGCGCCCGGCCACTTACTTAAATTTCTGCATTAATAATATATGATGTGGCTTAGGTGATAATTTGTGATGGTTTTTTAATGAATAAGGACATTTTGGTATAAAACAAATAAGATTTTAAATTTGTAAAGTGGTTCCAGAAAAATGTGGCAATATCAAATAGATTATTGCAAACAGAGTAGTGGTTGTTCTTCCTTTAAAGTTTTTGATGTTAATTTAGAATTACAACACATTTGGAAATAGCGTTTTTTCATTTTTAAGAATAGAAATATTACGTAAATAATTCAGCTCAGTGTGGTGGCTTATACCTGTAATTCCAGTGCTTTGGGAGGCTGAGGCAGGCAGATCGCTTGAGCCCAGCAGTTTGAAACCAGCCTGGGTAATACAATGAGACCCTGTCTCTACAAAATAAAAATTTTTTAAAAATTAGCTGGGCATGGCAGCGCATGCCTGTAGTCCCAGCTACTTGGGAGGCTGAGGTGGGAGGATCACTTGAGCCCAGGAGTTCCAGGCTGCAGTGAGCCATGATCGCACCACTGCGTTCCAGCCTGGGTGACAGAGCAAGACCCTGTCTCAAAAAAGTAAAACAAAATAATTCTACTTCTGATGACCAAAAATGTTCTCTATATTTGTAAAGTTAGTGAAGCAATGAAAATTAAAGTGGTATAAATTTAGGACTACCAGAATTTAGGCTTTGGGTAACTCTAGTCTAAAATAATATCTAGTACCATTTTGTAACATAGGCTGTTTGCTTCATTAAGTAAATAATCAACAGTCATAAATAGTACTCTGGTAAATTTCACAGGGATAGTAGGGACAATGCAGTTTGATGGGAAAAATGCTAAACCAATTTAAGGACTTTAAGGTATTTTTTTCTTTGCTATTATAATACCATGTTGACTTAGAATTAAGAGTTAGTTTATTTTACAGATATGGGCACTGAGACCCCAGAGTAGTTATGTGGCATGTCCCAAGGATATATAGTGACTTTAGTGGTAGAGGTAGGACTTGGAGGTAGGGTTTGTGACACTTAGATCAGTCATCTCCTGGTCTGTAAAACTGGAGATTGGATTATCTGCTCTATAAAATACCTCCTAGGATAGTGCCTGATTATCAGTTTGGAGCAGCAGTGACCCTATTTCCAAGAATAATTCCAGTCCCACTGCACTCAATCCCATACCAGGCAGGACACAGTAGCTGATCTACCAGTAGTTTTGTGACAGTGTTGTTGGGGGAGTCAATAAATTGCCCTCTGAAGATCCACTATCACCGATTCTAGGCCAGGAGAATGCTACTTTCAGTCTTTGATATCTCTGAGGGAAAGGAAACCACACCCTGATACTCCTTGGAGCCAGATGCAAACCAGCCTTACCACACTATTTGTTCTACCTGCTTTACTTACCAAGGCTTAGGAGCAGCATTTCACCTTCTCCAGGCTCCCAGTATCACCTGAAGGGGTCAAAGGTAGGGCCTGGGTGACTCATTTGGATTAAGTCTTGACCCTTTGTCAATTTTATCTGTTCCTCTAATTCCTGTAATTGGGCACGGTCTAAAATGTAGGTCCATTCAGATGTCCAAATCCTTATGGTGTTCTTCCTTTTATTAATTCTTCCACCTGCTATGTATAATTTAGTTATTACAGTGACCATGCTACCATCACATTAAGGCCCATGCCTAGTTCTCAGATCTTCTTACATTGCCCGATCTTGCAGCAGAATTTGATACTATTGACTCTCTTTACCTTTGGCTTTAGTGAAAATATATATTTTTAAGTTGTGGTAAAATAGATACAACATTTATCGTGTTAACCATTTTTAAGTGAACAATTCGGTGGCAGTAAGTACATTCACAGTGTTGTGCAGCCATCACTACTGTTTTCAAACTTTATCATCCCAAATAGAAACTCCGCATTCACTAAATAACTCCTTCTTTCCCCTTCTCCTAGTACCTCATAACCTCTATTGTAGTTTCTATCTTTATTTGCCTATTCTAGATACCTCATATAAGTGGAATTATAAAATACTTATTCTCTTATGTCTGGCTTATTTTACTTAGCATAATGTTTTCAGGATTCAACCATGTTATAGCATATACCAGAATTCCATTCCTTTTTATGGCTGAATAATAGTCCATTGTATAGATGTACTATATTTTGCTTATCCATTCATCTCTTGACGTACACTTGGGTTGTTCCTACCTTTTGGCTATTGGAAATAGTACTGCTATGAACATTGGTATACAGGTATCTGTTTGACTCCCTGTTTTAAATTCTTTTGGTTTTATAGCTAGGAGTGGAATTGCTAGGTCATAACATAATTCCACATTTAACATTTTGAGGAATCGTCGATCTCTTTTTTCCATCTGGTTTTCTTTTTATGGCATGATCTCCTTTTTAAATGTTTCTTCTTTTTCTTAAATATTTGTGTTTTCTAGGGATCTGTACTTCCTTACTTTTTAAACTGTCCTGGAGATGTCATCTACTTCTATAGCTTTCACTGTTTTTGCATGCTCATGACTTCCAAATCATCCTTACCTAATTCTCTCGTGGGCTCTACTCACATAGCCCTCTGCATTACTAGACCACTTAGATGTTCTGTGAGTAGTTCAAACTTAATAAAATTAGTACTATACTAATTCTCTCTTCTTTCCCTCGTCCTCTCTAATAAATTCACACCAAAAAAGCCGTCTTATTCATATATTCTATTTTTCACTCAAAGACAGCAATACACATAAGCCATAATTTTTCTAAAAACACATAAGTCATTTAATTTTCCCAGGTTTTTACATCACTGCTTCTTTGTTGCCTTTAAGTCTAAATTCAGACTCCTTTTAATAGTATGCAAAGGCTTTCTTTTTTTCTTCCTTTCTTTCTTCAAACTCCTGTTTGAATGGTTTCATGGTATTCCAGTCTAGAGGTATACCAAAATTAAGTTTTAATCAGTCTCATTGAATATGTACGTTGTTTGAGCCAAATATTGCATTGAAATTAGCATTTTGGCATAATTTTTGTACATGTCTTTAATGATTTACTTAGAATAAATGTGATCTAGAATTACTAGGTCAAATGGAATGCAAGATCTTTTTAAAGGCTACTGATATATGTTGCCAGATTGCATTCCTGAAAGTTTGTGTCTACTCAGAAGAAGTCAGTGCCCTGGCAATTTGGGACATTTAGTATAGGAGAAAGTAGGTTTATAGAATTTAACCCTTGAGAGTATCACATTATGATAGCATGTAAATACATCAAAATTTACCTTGCCATCTAATTTTAAATGTAATATATTCTGAGAAGTTAGGACTATGTACAATACAGTTTAACAAAATTGCCATTAAAATAGTTGTATTTTAAAAGTTGATGTGTCAAATGTGATCCCAAGACCGTCCACAGGCTCAAAGATTTGCTGGAAGGACTCACAGGATCCAGAATGTAGTTGTACTTATGGCTAAGATTTATTACAGCAAAAGAATCCAAAGCGAAATCAGCAAAGGGAAAAGGTACATGGGGTGAAACCTGGAGGAAAGCAGGTGCAAAATTCTATGAGGCTTCTCCCCATTGAGGCACATAGGATGCACTTAATTTCTTCAGCAATGAATTGTGACAACACATGTGAAATGTTGTCTACCAAGGAAGCTCATTAGAGACTGAGTGCCCAAAGTTTTTCTTGAGGGATGGCACGTAGGCATCTGCCTAGAATGTACCAAAATTCCAGACTCCCAGAAAGAAAATAAGTATACAACATAAACCATATTGTTTGTATAAACAGTGTAGGCAGAGTAAGCTGCCCTTATCATTTGAGGAAAGTTTCTTATCAATGTAGGGAACTGTTTACCAGCTAAATTCCCAAATGCCAGCCAAGGGCCACCCTTGTAAGGCGGCCTTTCTACCCTCTGGTAACTCTTGTCTGCACAGCTGATTTTTGCAGGATTAAGTTGAACTATATGAATGCCATTTTTATAGGTCAGAATTGGTCTGGTATCAGTAATTCTGTATTGTTAAACTTAATAGTAAGAGAAGAAGGAGTGAATTACAATTTGTTGAGCGCTGCTGTGCCAGGTAAATGTTTTACATGTGTTACTGCATTATTTTTATACTGTGAGTCCAATGTTAACTTCTTCTCAAAGATGTGAAAACAAAGTTTCAGAAGGGTTAACTAACTTCCCTGAAGTCACGGATTGTAAGTTATCAGAACTAGGGTGATATTCCTGGTCTATTTTAGATCCATGTCTTGCTTTTTCTCACTAAACCAGTGCTGTTAGCTATTGGCTGAATTTATGACTACCTGTGCTTTTCAAATACTTCTGCAAAAACAAAATATATAAAACAGATAAAAGGAAAACAACTCTGGTTGAAATGGAAGTGAAGGGCTTAGAACACTTTTAACCCTTCTCCTACCATAAACATTCCCAAGGATTCTAAGAGCTAGCACAAGACAATAACTGCTCTTAGGAAAAAGAAATGGAAATACCGTTTGTTTCAGCAGCTATGGTAGACAATTGTGTGAAATCCTTTTTTTTGGGGGGTGGATAGGGACTCAAAAAAGGACCTCAAGGTCGCACAGACTGGAGTACAGTAGTGTGATCATGGGTCACTGAAGCCTCCACCTCCCAGGCCCAAGCAGTCGTCCTATCACAGCACCCCAAGTAGCTGGAACTACAGGTACACACCACCACACTTGGCTAATTTTGTATTTTTTTGTACAGATAGGGTTTCATCATGTTGTCCAGGCTAGTCTTGAACTCTTGGGCTCAAGTGATCTGTCTGCCTTGGCCTCCCAACGTGCTGAGATTATAGGCATGAGCCCCTGTGCCTGGCCAAAATCCTCATTTTTTAACACCAGGAAATCTCATGATAATTTTATTCAGCCAAATGAAGGATTAAATACTGAGTTTTAAAAAAAACCCTATTGTGACTTTAAAATTTGATTATTTAAGGGGATAGAGTTTTAAAAACCTGGGTCAACATGTGACATTTAATACTAGATTTTATAGCTAGCTCAGTTTCTCCATACATTTTCTCATTTTTAAATTTAATTTGGTTCCTGATTGTTAAAAAAATACGTGTGTGTTATTGAAAATCCTCTTTTACTTGCCTAATTATTTTGGAATTTAGAATTAAATTTAGAGCAAGGATCAGCAGAACTTTCCTGTAAAGGGCTAAAGAATAAATATTTAAGACTTGCAATGATATGGTTTCTGTTGTAACTACTCAGCTCTGGTCTTGCAGCTGTAAAGCAGACTGTGTGTGTAAATGAATGGACATGACAGTGTTCCGATAACACTTTGTCTACAGAATCAGGAAGCAGGCTGGATTTGACCCAGGGTTCTAGTTTGCCTACCACTTATTTAGAGCAAAGGAATCTTGATAATATACTGTTTCCAACGAAGAGTACTATTTTTTCTCTGATTTTATTGGCTTAAGCAAGTACTATTTCAATGGTATGACTTTCTTTAAATATAATTAGGTAGAGGGAACAGCAAGTACACAAGCTCCAAGGCAGGAACAAATTTAGATTGTCCTAAAGAACAGGGAAAAAATATCAAACATGGGAGTAATAGACCAAGGGAAGAATATTAAGAAGAGATGAGAGGAGTAGGGCCTAGGGGCCATAAGAAGTTAAGATTTTAAGTGAAATAAGTGCTGGCCAGGCGTGGTGGCTCACACCTGTATTCCTAGCACTTTGGGAGGCTGAGGCTGGCCAGTTGCTTGAGCCCAAGAATTCAAGACTGGCCTTGGCAACATGATGAAACCCCATCTGTACAAAAAAAATACCATAGTTAGCCAAGTGTGGTTGCTTGTGCCCGTAGTCCCAGCTACTTGAGCTGAGGCGGGATGATCGCTTGAGCCTGGGAGGTCTAGGCTGCAGTGAGCTGAGATCACACCACTACATTCTAGCCTGGGTGACAAAGTGAGACCTTGTCTCAAAAAAAAAAAAATAAAGTTCTAATTCAGTGCTCTAAATTAGTAAATATTTATTGAGGGCTTGTTATATGCCAGCTACTGTTTTGGGTCCTGGGGACACAACTTCAAATCTAAAATTTTGTATTTATATTCAAATTCTGTTTTTTCTCTTACAAAACAGAAAAATGGCCAGGCGCGGTGGCTCACGCCTGTAATCCCAGCACTTTGGGAGGCTGAGGTGGGCAGATCACCTGAGATCAGGAATTCGAGACCAGCCTGCCGAACTTGGCAAAACCCCATGTCTACTAAAAATACAAAAAATTAGCTGGCTGTAGTGGCGGGCGCCTGTAATCCCAGCTACTCGGAGGCACACGCAGGAGAATTGCTTGAACTCGGGAGGCAGAGGTTGCAGTGAGCTGAGATCATGCCACTGCACTCCAGCCTGGGCGACAAGAGCAAAACTCCGTCTCAAAAAAGATAAAGAAAAAAGAAAAATGTCACTTTTAAAAAAATTGGAGTCCTGTTCCTCCACTTGCCCTCTGGATCTTACCCCTTCTCACCTTTTCAGAATCTTCATTCTTCCCTCTTGCCTGCAGTCATCCCATGTCTCTTGCATCTTCAGTTTCTCTATTAGATCATTCCTATCACATGTAAATATAACAGAATTATTTCCCTTTTTTATTATTTCATTTCTCTAATCCTCTTAAGAGCAAAACTCCTTGAGAAAGCTGTTTGTATTCATTATCAGGTTGCACAACACTACTATAACCTCCTGTGTTGTCAAACTAATTGGTAGTCTTCTATAATTTATATACATTTTTTCAGATTTGATGTAAATAATCATCCCTTCTCTTTCTTCCTACTAGGAAGGTTCAACTTTGGATTTCTAGGTACCACACTTAACTAACCACTATTGGTCATTTTTTCCTGGCTTATTCTGTTATGCCCAGGTGCTTTAAATGTCTAAGACTCAACTGCAGTCCCCTCTCCTTTTAAAAAACTTGGTTTTTAGGTTATTACCTGACTTTAAATATAATCTCTGTGTGTGGTTACCCTCAATTTTTTATGTCCAGTCATAATCTTCCTAAGCTCCAGACTTGTATACCCAAGTTGACAGCTTCACTTGGAATTCTTGATGTTCTTCTGCCCCCAACTATCTACTTTTGGTTATTGTTTTTTAGGCTCATCTATTTTTTTTCCTTTTCTTTTCTTTTCTCTTTTCTTTTTTCTTTCTTTCTTTCTTTTTTCTTTCTTTCTTTCTTTCTTTCTCTTTCTCTCTTTCTCTCTCTTTCTGTCTGTCTGTCTGTCTTTCTGTCTTTCTTTCTTTCGACAGACTCTTGCTCTGTCACCCAGGCTGGAGTGCAATGGCATGATCTCAGCTCACTGCAATCTCCACCTTCAGGATTCAAGTGAGCCTTGTGCCTCAGCCTCCTGAGTAGCTGAGATTACAGGTGGCCACCAAGCCTGGCTAATTTTTTTATTTTTATTCGAGATGGGATTTCACCATGTTGGCCAGGCTGGTCTCAAACTCCTGGCCTCAAGTGGTCCACCTGCCTCGGCCTCCCAAAGTGCTGGATTTACAGGCATGAGTCACAGCACCAGGCCTCATCTATTTCTTTCTTTCCTTCTTTCTTTCCTTTTCTTTCTTTCTTTCTTCTTCTTTCTTTCTTTTTTCTCTCTCTCTCTCTTTCTTCCTTTCCTCCTTTCCTCTCTTCCTCCCTCCCTTCCTTCCTCCCTTTCTTCCTTCCTTCCTTCCTTTTTTCCTTCCTTCCTTCCTTTTTTAGATGGAGTTTCGCTCTTGTTGCCCAGGCTGGAGTGCAATGGCACGATCTTGGCTCACTGCAACCTCCGCTTTCGAGGTTCAAGCGATTCTCCTGCCTCAGCTTCCCAAGTAGCTGGGATTACAGGCATGCGCCATCATGCCCAGCTAATTTTGTATGTTTACTAGAGGCGGGGTTTCTCCATGTTGGTCAGGCTGGTCTCAAACTCCCGACCTCAGGTGATACGCCCGCCTCGGCCTACCAAAGTACTGGGATTACAGGTGTGAGCCACTGCCCCTGCATCATCTATTTCTTTAAATGGCTACATCTCTATCCAGTTGCTTAAAACTCTAAGCTGTCAGTCTTGATTGGTCCTTTCCCCTTAACCCCTATGTCTAATTTATTGGTCTGTACTGGGTCCTCCTTCAAAGTATATTTTTGTTTTGTTTTGTTTTGAAATGGAGTCTTGCTCTGTCACCCAGGCTGGAGTGCAGTGGCACAATATTGGTTCACTGCAACCTCTGCCTCCTGGGTTCAAGCAGTTCTCCTGCCTCAGCCTCCAGAGTAGATGGGACTACAGGTGCGCGCCACCACGCCCAGCTAATTTTTATATTTTTAACAGGATTTCATCGTGTTGGCCAGGCTGGTCTCGAACTCCTGACTTCACAAAGTGCTGGGATTATAGGCATGAACCGCCGCGCCTGGCCAAAAGTATATTTTGAATCAGTACACTTTTATCCATTTCTACTGTTGTCCTCATCCAGGCCCTTGTAATCTCTTGACTAGACACTGGAGTGGAATACTCTCCATGTTTCTCTTTTGCCTTCTATCATTTATTTTCTGTAGAAGCTACTATGCTTCTTCTGAAGCATAAACCAGATCATACAATTCTCCCACTTAAAAAGCTTCCAGTGACTTTCTGTTTTACTTAAAATATTAACTTTTTATGACCATAAGGCCCTCCTTCCCTAATCTCGTCTCACTATTCTCTTATCTCACTATTACTTCCATATTGATTTTTTGTTGTTGTTCTTTTGAATATTTTACATTTGTTTCTGCCTTAGGGACTTTGTACTCGTGATTTCCTCTGCCTGGATCATTCTTATGTTCTTGGCATAATCTTAGCTAAACTCAAATATCACATACTAGTGAGGCCTCCCCTCTTCCATTATCTAAAATAGTATCTGAAATACTTGTTTTATTTCATTGCTGCCGTGCTTTATATTTTTACTAAAACATAAGCTTTATGACTATAAACATCTTGTCTGTTTTATCACTAATATCATTGTATCTACAATGGCTAGCACAGGGTTTGGCATATAGTAAGCATTGAGTCATGAATCATATTGCTTGAAGGTCATTTTTTATTTTTATTTATTTTTTATTTTTATTTCTGAGAAGGAGTCTCACTCTGTCGCCCAGGCTAGAGTGCAGTGGCGCAGTTTTGGCTCACTGCAACTTCTGCATCCTGGGTTCAAGCGATTCTCCTGCCTCAGCCTCCCAAGTAAATGGGATTACAGCTATGCACCACCACACCCAGCTAATTTTTTTTTTTATTTTTTTATTTTTTTTATTTTTAGTAGAGATGGGGTTTCACTATGTTCGCCAGACTGGTCTCGAACACCCGACCTCAGGTGATCTGCCCACCTTGGCTTCCCAAAGTGCTGAGATTACAGGCATGAGCCACTGCACCCAGCCTGTATTGCTTGAAGATCTAATAGTTAACCCTGAAGTTTATTATATTAAGAAGGATTATTGAATGCCCATATCCTAACTATACTTCAGTTGTTAAGAAGAGATAGAACTACAGCTAAACGTATTTTATAGCCTCTTCATTGTAGAAAGATGTACAAAAATACAGCACCTGACGGTGCTGTATAATTGAATGAAAAGTCCCTCATATATAAATAGTCTTTAAAAATTGGCATGATTTCAGTATATTGAATGCTAAGTTTTTTTAAGTCGCGGTTTTGGTTAATACCTGTTTTGGGAAGCTGGAAATTTTTTTAAAGGCATTAGGAAACTGGCAGAATTAAAATAGTGATGAGAGGGAGATTGAAATTTATTATTAATATCTATGTTATCTAAGTGATTGTTTACTGACCATGATATAATAAATTGAGACATAACGTAGGAAGAGAAGGGATGTAAAATTATTCAGTATAAAGAATTTTAACAAGTACTGGTATTTTTTGAGTGATAGTATTTTTACTATGAAATTTTTTGCATACTGTTTAATTGATGAAGGATTAAAGATCTAGTTTGCAGATCATATAGTTATAAGAATTTACGGACTTAAAATATATAATAATTTTATTCTCTCAACTCTAAAGTCTATATAAAGATTGCTTTTCAGAATTTATAGTAATGTGCTATAGATCAAAGATAGGCACTTGAAGCTGATTCTTGCTGGGCACACAGTGGCTCATGCCTGTAATCCCATCACTTTGAGAGATCAAGGTGAGGGGATCTCTTGAGCCCAGGATTTTTGAAACTAGCCTGGGCAACATAGTGAGACCCCTGCTGTCTACAAAAATTTTTTTAAAAATTAGCCAGGCATAGTGGCTCATGACTGTAATCTACTCAGGAGGCTGACATGGGAGGATCACTCAAGCCCCGGGAGTTTGATGCTATAGTTAGCTATGCTCACACCACTGCACTCCAGCTTGGGTGACAGAGTAACGCCTTCTCTCTTCAAAAAAAAGAAACAGGCGAGGCATGGTGGCACATGCCTGTAATCTCAGCACTTTGCGAGCCAAGGTGGGCAGATCACCTGGGGTCGGGAGCTTGAGACCAGCCTGGCCAACATGGCAATACCTGGTCTCTACTAAAAATAAAAAAACTTACCGGGCATGGTGGCACGTGCCTGTAATCCCGGCTACTACGAGGCTGAGACACGAGAATCACTTGAACCCGGGAGGTGGAGCTTGTAGTGAGCTGAGATACATCACTGCACTCCAGCCTGGGTGACAGAGCAAGACTCTGTCTCAAAAAAAAAGGCTGCGAAATTTTTTTTTTTTTTAAAGAAAGGCTGCAGAGAATTAAGAATTACTTTTGTTGATAGTGTAATTGATAGATTCATCAAAGTCTTTTATTTTCACAGGTCATTGTATCAGATGAACCTAATGATGGTTGATGTACCCTGTGTTCTGTACCTCATAAAAAATGAAGGCAAATCATTAAGACACTTGGCTCTGTAGTTGAAGGAACTCAAGGAAAAAAAAAGGAAAAAATTGGGGAATTATTTGTTGTAAAAGCAAGTTGCTCTGTCTGTCTGTCTATCTATCTATCTATCTATCTATCTATCTATCTATCTATCTATCTATCTATCTATCTGTCTGTCTGTCTATTTGAGATGGAGTTTTGCTCTTGTTGCCCAGGCTGGAGTGCAATGGTGCAGTCAGCTCACTGCAACCTCTGCTTCCTGGGTTCAAGCGATTCTCTTCCCTCAGCCTCCCGAGTAGCTGGGATTATAGGCATGAGCCACCATGCCTGGCTAATTTTGTATTTTTAGTAGAGTCAGGGTTTCACCATGTTGGTCAGGCTTGATCTCGAACTCCTGACCTCAGGTGATCCACCTGCCTTGGCCTCCCAAAGTGCTAGGATTACAGGCGTGAGCTACCACGCCCAGCCCGCAAGTTGCACATTTTAATATCTCTTTGTTAAATAAAAAAGTTACCACTTTGGACTCTGGATGCCATGCAGTCATGAGGATCACTTTGAAACTAGACATAGTGCCAAGTGCTTTTCAGAAAAGTGAAGAATTAGATTGAGCAGAGGAAATTTACCTATTTGTGAGTGAGGATGATGGAAGGAGTCTTGGAGAGGTAGTACTTTTTACCTTCTCTGATCAGTTTCAGGGCTTCTCCTGAGCCTACTGAATCTAGGAGAATTATTTACAGATTACCCAACCTCACATTTGAAGCTCTTAGTTTTATTTTGTCATACTACTACTCCACTTACATCATTAACTTGCTTGGGAGAGAGACAACCCATTAGTGGCTCTGTGTGTGTGGTTTTTGTTTTTCTTTTTAGGTTTTTTTTTTTTTTTTTTTGAGATGGGGTCTCACTATATTGCCCAGGCTGGACTCAAACTCTTGAGCTTAAGTGATTCCTCCTACCTCAGCCTCCCAAAGTGCTGGGATTATAGGCGTGAGCTGTTGTGCCTGGCCCTCTGTATAGTTTTTCAGGATAAGAGATCATATTCATTTCTTAGCTGGATACGCAGGGTTCTTCTTGAACTAGTCCTTGTCTATTCTCATCTCTGGCACATCCTCCACTCCTTTAACTGTTCTGAATTTTAGTAATTCTTTTTCAGTCTGTTCTTCGTAAACTTCAGTGAACATAAAATTGAAGGTGTTTATTAAAATGTAGATTTCTAAGCTCAATCTTTAAACATTCTGGTTCATTACATTTAAGTAGAGCTGTGAAAAGTAACATCTTGCACTACAGGTAATTGTGCTGCTGGTTGTCTGTAGATCATGCTTAGAGAAACGTGCTTAAATGTGTCATGTTGTTGTTATCTCTGACTGCATGTGTGCTTTCTGTCTGGAATACTTTCTCCATCTCTTTGCCTTCTCTATTTCATGGACTTGTTAAATTGCCATTCTTTAAAACTTGCTTAAATGTGACTACTATTATGAAGGCTCCTGTGCATACCTCTGATGGCACTACTGTAATTATTGTTACACTTGTTTGTTTGCCTGTTAGTTTCTTAAGAAGAAGGATCACTTTTTTTTTTTTTTATTTCCAGCATTTGGTACAGTATCTCACTGCCTGGTGCTTACTGTGTGCTCAAATGTTTATTGATTGAAAGAAAACTATATTATTGTAAGTTCCTTGAAGGCAGAGACAGTGTCTTATCTTTGTATCTCTGATGGTTGCTAGTGAACATTAAGCCCTCAATATTTGTTTAATCAGTGCTATCAAAGTGGTTTAAATGGATGTAGTCTCCAGGGGTCTCTGAGCTTTTTGATGTTTTAAAAATTTGCTATTTAATTTGGAGCTAGGAAAAAAAATTAAGTATATTTAGAATCATTCCGGATGACTACCATTTTATACCAAATGTTGCCATGAGATTTCAGTGCAAGTACTTGAATTTGTGTCAGATGTTTATGTTATAAACACACAGAGAGGTACAGTTTATTGTGAAGTTTTTCTAAATCCAAACCTCCAAAGGAAAATCTGGCTCTATCTATTACAAGGGTTTAGACATTACTTGCTTTTGAGAGACTGCTTACATGAATAAACACTATTCCTGAAGTCTGACCTTTACATGCTACTTGAAGATTCCACCTGCCATGTTTTCTTGTCTTTTTGCATATGCATGGGGTATTGTCTTCCTCCAGCATTACTGGGTTTTTCCTATATGTTATTTGTAGTAAATTTCTTTTACTAGGGTGATAGGTTCTGTCTCCTCTAGCAAAATTAGTGATTTATTTAAAACAGGTGTCATTGGGCTTGTACATAGAACCACTCTATTGGAAGTTTGAATTATTGTGAACTAAAGTTATAAAACAATTTTTAAGGAGCTTCAGACAGAGTATTTGTAGTTGTACTTGAGAACAAATTCTGAACAAGTAAGTAGTGTAATGTATCTGTGTAAGGCATTATAGTTGAGAAAATGCATTTTCACATCCTTTATAACATTTGAACTTCATATTGCTGGGAAGAAGGTAAAACAAATATCCTTATTCCCACTTTACATATAAAAAACCTCAAGTTCAAGAGAGGTCAATATGGCATTCTTTCTACTGGAGAAAATGCCTCGTTATAAAAGAGTTTGGAAGAAAAAATAATAGATGCATGACAGAAGATTGTTAGCAGAGCACAAAAATAATTGTGTGAAAAGTAATAACAATACAGTAAATAAGTGCTTCATGAATCCTAAAATTATGGAGTTGAAGCAGTCAAGAAAGGACTCTTAAGAATACTTGAAATAAACCTTGAAAAATGTGTTGAAATTAAGGAGTAAGGGTTAAGAGTTATTCTACAAATAGGGGTTTAGAAATGCCCAGGACATCTTTGTGAGTGGGAGGAAAAGCGATAGACTACTATTCTTGCTGGCACCCAGTGTATAGAGATTCTAAATGTAAGATAAAAATGCTTGGAGAACTTTTTTATTTCCACTTTTTAGTATGGAAATGCAGATATATACATGACAGTATGTAAAACAGAATAGTAATCCCAGTTGGCCGTTACTTAGCTTCAACAGTATTCAAAGTTTTGCCAATCTTGTTTCATCTGTCTTTGAGTTGTTTTTTTTGTTTGTTTTTGTTTTGATACAGAGTCTCACTCTGTCAACCCAGGCTGGAGTACAGTGACATGATCATAGCTCACTGCATCTTCAACTTGCCTGTCTCAGGTGATCCTTTTGCTTCAGCCTCCTGAGTAGCTGAAGCCTAGGACTATAGGTGTGAGCCACCATGCCCAGCTAATTTTTTCATTTTTTGATAGAGGTGGGATCTTGCTGTGTTGCCCCGACTGGTCATGAACTTCTGGCCTCAAGTGATCCTCCCTTTTGGCCCCCAAAAGTGCTGTGATCGTAAGCGTGAGCCACTGCGCCCAGCCTCTTAAGTATTTTAAAACAAATTCCCATTTCTCTCATGTATTATTTCACCCATGTATTATTCAGTATCTATCACTAACAGTTGAGGACTTTTTTGTTCTGCTACAGTACTATTATATAACAAAATTAACATAAAGTATCCAGTTCATCTTCAAATTTTCTCACTCGTCTCAAAAATCTTTTTGTGATGTGTTCAAATTGGGATCCGATCGAAATTCACACATTGCGTTTGCTTGAAATGTCTCTTGAATCTCTCTTCATCTATAACAACCCCCTCTTTTAAAATTTGTTTTCCTTTGTGCTGTAGACCTGGTGAAGAAACTGGAAAATTCAGCCTATAGAAGTTTTAACATTCTGGAGTTGGCTGATTGCCTCCTTCTGGTGTCATGTAATATTCTACTTCCCCCATATTTCTGATAAACTGGTATTTGGATTTAGAGATATAATTAGCTTCGAGTTCTGTTCTTTTCCTTTTCTCTTTTTCTATTTTTCTTTTCAGTATGATATTTTATAGGTGGGACTGTGTGCTTCTTATCACATAGCATTAGGAGAGGCAAATAAAGCTTGGTTGTCTAACTCCTAATGATGATATTAATGATCAACAGATTCAGGTGTTGTCATCTTATCTACCTATCAACCTTCTACCTAAGACTCTTAGCATCCATGGTTATTTGTTGCCCAGATATATAACCTCTTAAGGGTTGCAGTTTAGTTATTTTTCTAATTTATTTATTCCTTCTGCATTTTTTAGCTGTTGGGGAATTTCTAAAAGAAGCAGTCAGCACCTAAGTATTGGCTTATGTATTAACAAGAGAATATACTTACATTTTAGTTTTAGAGCTGAGTTGCATGTTAGAATCCCCTTTTATGCATTTCAGTTGTTCTACTTGTTGGAAACAGAATTCAGAGTTTTGAAAAGGTGACTTCATCTACAAATTATGGTGGTTTTGACCATACCTTATTGCTTATATATTGGGAATAATTTCATTACCTGCTACTAGGTTGGTGCAAAAGTAATTGCAGTTTATTTTTGACCATTTTGAAAATTTTGAACATTTTGAATTCTTGGAGTATGCAATGAATATCTTTTGGGAAATTTCCCATGGATAAAGAGAAAATCTTTTTTGGATTCAGTGATTTTAGAACATATACATACTTCCTGCTGACAGGCTAAAAGAAAAAAAGAACATACAAAGCAGTATATGAATGAGTATAAACCACTATATAAGCTCTTCACTCTCTAACTGAAGAGTAAGATATCAAAATTATGTATGTGAAATCTCATTTTTCTATAGAATGAACACTGCATCATGGATTATGTTTTGATACATAATTATATAAACACTTCTGTAAATAATTATGAAGTATAACACTTAGAAATGTAACACTTCTGTCCTTACATTTGGGAAGAAGGAAAAAGAAATTCATGCTAGTTTTGCTGTTGGACCTCAGACTGCAAAAGTTATGGCTGCTACTCCAAAATATCCAAGTTTTGCCCACACCTTTTAGTAACATGTTTTGCAGAGTTTGATCTAAATTTTTAAGAGTGAATCTTTGTGCTCTGGCCACAGTTCCTGCATGTTGCTTTAATAATAGTACTGTAAATCGTTGCTAAAACTTCACTTCTTCCTTCTGTGTAATTTTTAAAGAATTTAAAAAGTGTCACTGTTGTAATCAAAGGCAGTTTGGTAGTATCAGTTTTATGTACATTTACCCTTTTGTTCAGCAATAGTAGCTACAGGAACTCATGTTATAGAAATACTACCATTTATGCAGAAAAGATAAATGGATGTACATTTGCAGTAGTACTTTTAATAGTGACAAATAGAAATAATGTCAATATTTACCCGTAGGGGAAATTGTTAAATAAATTTATATTCATATAATGAAATAAGCAATTATTACCAAGAATAAAGTATATATGTTGACATTTAAAGATGGAAAAAGTAAATCATGAATACATATATTTTCGGATTTTAAAAAGCAAAAATTGTGTAGATATAATGATGCATAGAAAAGTTTAGAGAAAGATACATGGCAATATTAACATGAGAATGTTTGGGAGTTGGGTGGAGACATAGTCTTACATTTTCTTATTACTGCTATATTTAGATTTTCTACAATCAGCATGTATTAATTTTGAAATTAAGAAACATTTCTTTTAAAATAATGAATAATTCTTAATGTAACAGCATAGACATTAGCTGAATATTGATTTTCTTGTTGTTGTTTTTTTTTTTTTTTTTTTTTTTTTTTTTTTTTGGAGACAGAGTCTTAACTCTGTCGCCCAGGCTGGAGTGCAGTAGCGCAGTCTCGGCTCACTGCAACCTCTGCCACCTGGGTTCAAGTGATTCTCCTGCCTCAGCCCCCAAGTAGCTGGGATTACAGGTGCCTGCCATCACCCCTGCCTACTTATTGTATTTTTAGTAGAGATGGGTTTTCACCATCTTGGCCAGGCTGGTCTTGAACTCCTGACCTTGTGATCCACCCGCCTCTGCCTCCCAAAGTGCTGGGATTACAGGTGAATATTGGTTTTCAAAGTACAGTCATGCACACATAACAACGTTTCAGTCAACACCAGACCACATAATACAATGGTGGTCCCATAAGATTATATTGGAGGTGCCGTCTACACGTGTACCATTTTTTATCTTTTTTATTGTTTTTTTACTGTACATGTTTTTTTCTCTTTTTAGAGACAGAGTCTCATTCTGTTGCCCAGGCTAGAGTGCAGTGACATGATCATAGCTCACTGTAACCTCAAACTTCTAGGCCCAAACAGCTCTCCCACCTCAACCTCCCAAGTAGCTAGGACTACAGACGTGTGCCAACACGCTTGGCTAGTTTTTTTTTTTTATTTTTAATGTCTGTAGAGAAAGTCTTGCTATCTTACCCAAGCTACTCCTGAACTCCAGGCTTCAAGTGACCCTCCTGTCTCAGACTCCCAAAGTGTTGAGATCATAGGCATGAGCCACCACACCCAGCCCTTATTTTCTATGTTTAGATGTGTTTAGATACAGAATACTTAGCATTGTGTTACCTACAATATTCAGTGCATTGTGTTACCTACGATATTCAGCGCATAACATGCTGTATAGATTTGTAGCCTAGGAGCAATAGTTATGCCATTTAGCCTAGGTGTATAGTAGGCTATACCATCTAGGTTTGTGTAAAGTACACTCTATCATGTTCACACAACGGTGAAATCACCTAATGATGTATTTCTCAGAATGTATCTCCAATGTTAAGCAAAGCATGACTATATTCAGAACATAATGGAGACTCTTCACAATCTCCTTTAGAACCATTAGATAACCTCAGTTTGTATCTCCTCTTTTTGCTGATTCTGGCACACAGCGCTTACAACAGCAGCCACTGAGAGCTAAATTGAGACTTCGTGAAGGGATGACAGTATATTAAGAAGCAGTTGACTGTAAAAAATGTTTTTTATGCTGCTAGTCTCATGACTAATCAGAATATAACCACTAAATATCCTTAAACTAAATAATAGTGCAAATAGTACTAAGTTCTAATGTAAAGTTTTAATAGGAGGTAGGATAAAGATTGTCATGAAAAATTTTTCAAGTGATGTTATAGTTTTGTAAAATAAAGGCACAGAAACAAATCATGTTATTGAGTATTTGCAAGGGAGAGATTAATTTTAGTGTGAACTGACCTCAGATGTAGGTTCACAACCTTGTTGATCAATAGGAATTAACCAAGTAGAGCTCAGGAGGATTGGTAAGAGTAAAGAAGTTGGGAAAGTGATGTATGTAAAATGCTAGGCCAGGGAGCTTGTAAGTCAACAACAGTGGGCAAATTGTATCAGTAGTTGATCAGTCTCCATCATCTAAGACCAGAATTGCTCATCTTACAGATAGCTGTTTATGTTTTTTTTCAGGTATAAATCCTGGTTTATTTTGAAACTTCCTATTACTTAAGTTTACTGACATTTCCAAGGCTTTATTATATTAATATCTGGTCACACTCAACACATGCATATATTTTTGAACACTGAAATGCATACTTCAGTTCCATTTGAGGTCCATATAGATTCTGTGTGTTTTAGTCTTGCTTAAATTATTTCTACTACTTCTTTGCACCCCTTTGCTAGTTTTCTCAGTGCCGTAGGGTTTATTAAATAATAATTGGACTCTAGTAATTTTTTTTAATGAGAGAGAGGGAAACTATATTTGAAATTGGATTGGGACATTTATTTTACTTAAACAGAAGTTTGCTTATGACACATAATCTAGATGGGATATATCTTATCTATAGTGTATCCACCTGCTGTAAGTAGATACTGTATTTGTATAGCCATTATTTTGCTGTAAGTACTTTATCATTTTAATTAAATTGATTAAGAGGAAAAAAAAAGAATGGAATTCTCTTTGATGCAACTTTTTCCCCCCAGACCAGAATCCGTAGAAGCTAGCCCTGTGGTAGTTGAGAAATCCAACAGTTATCCCCACCAGTTATATACCAGCAGCTCACATCATTCACACAGTTACATTGGTTTGCCCTATGCGGTAAGTGTTAAACACTTCTTTGAAAAAACATTTTTAAATTTAGAGATTGAAAGTAGATGCATGTGATACTGTGCTTGAAACGGCATGTTTGAAAAGCATGGTTGTTTCATACTATCAAAATAATTAGGCGTTTAATTTTTCATTAACCATTAAGCGATTAAAGTTCTATAAAAGTGAACTGTTTCTCTTATTATTTTGCAATTTATGCTGTTAATAGTTTGATATTATATTTCTTTACTTCCTAAAAGAATGCAGATAAGGTTGTATTGTACTACCTACTATTAATTTTGAATTATATAGTAATTAATTTTGTTTTAATTTTTTGATTTTTAGTTTTTGAATTATATAGTAATTTATATAGTAAATTTTATAGTTACCATTTATTGAGCCCTTGTTATGTGTCAGACATATATTATTTAATCATTAAAAACAACTTCATGAGATGTAGTTTTCATCTTTTATTTCATAGGTGAGAAAATAAAAGCCTATCTAACTTATTAAATATTGCATATCTAGTAAGAGGCAGCATTTAGATTCAAACGTAATTACATAACAACACATTTATGATACTATGGAGGTAGAATTATGAGATACTTACTACTTGGACCAGAATAAAAATTACTAAATTTAAAAAACTATATTATATGTTTTATAGTGATAAATATGTCTTGTTTTATTATTCTTTAGGCTCCATATTTCTGAGATGTGTGTTTTTCTTTTTCTTTTTTTTTTTTTTAACACTTCTATTCTCACATCTTAATACCTTCTTTCATCTTGGAGGTGGAGCTATGTATGTGACCATAGGAACGTGAAGATATGATTTGGTAGGGAGGGAATGAAATTTGGATGTGAATGTGACCACTCCCACTTTGTAGATAGATATATTCACTTACTGCTGTGGTTTAATAACTGGCTTCACCAAGTCATTTTTTTAATGGTATTAAGGAAGGAATGAGCCAGTCTCATATCTCTTGAGTATTGAAATTAAGGGTTGAATTTTATTTAAGTTGCTTGGTTTATATCATTGTTGAAATTAAATAATATTGTGCTATATTTGTGTTTAATTATTCAGGACCATAATTATGGTGCTCGTCCTCCTCCGACACCTCCGGCTTCCCCTCCTCCATCAGTCCTTATTAGCAAAAATGAAGTAGGCATATTTACCACTCCTAATTTTGATGAAACTTCCAGTGCTACTACAATCAGCACATCTGAGGATGGAAGTTATGGTACTGATGTAACCAGGTGCATATGTGGTTTTACACATGATGATGGATACATGATCTGTTGTGACAAATGCAGGTAAAATATTTTACACCATTATTTTATTTTTCTTGAATGCTGATAACCTTTGGTAATGTTGGAAAAGATAACTAAAGTCACTTTCAAGGGAATTAATGGATACATATTTTAAGTGGGACTTCTACTATTGATGCAGTCCTAGAAAAAGCCTCCTATGTGAAAAAAGAGTTTACTAGAAATCCCTGTTGTTAACTGAGTAATAGACAGTCAGTTCTGAACTTTTTTTCATGTAGGATCACATTTTTCTGTTCACTTAGTTCAATAGTAGTACAAGTACATAAACATAGCAGTAGACAAGATAGAAATGAGAGAATTTAGTCTTTTGTATTTCCTTTGGAATAATTTGTGCTTAGTCAACTGTGATTTTCCAGTTTGCGGAAATTAAACATTTTCATTGATGTTTGTTTGACCTGACTCTCTCACCTCCTTTTGACTTGAACCTTGCAGCACTCTGGAGTCTCCTTGAACCAGAACCACAGTCTCCCCTCCCCCAACCCTGGTTCAGCCACCAAGAAAGGCCTCCTCCCCTAGAGAAGGTGTGATTGGGACAGAAAGTGGGGTTTTGTATCATTTTTTTTTCTTGGTTTTTTTTTTTTTTTTTTTTTTTTTTTTGACTGGGGGGAAGGATTTGGGGAGGATGAAGAGGGAACAGTAGGATTTCAGCCTGAAAGTTACTGAGTTTATCCCCTGCATAGGGTGGGAAGCGCAGAGTACTTACGCAGTGCATTGTAGAGAGCAAGAAAGTTGGGGAGCTTTACAGAATTTCCTGGGTCTGGTCATTATGGTGTTGCTTAATTATTTGATGTGATGCAGTATGGCATATACCCATATTTGAATGTAAGTATAAAAATGGACCCTAAAGCCAAGTATTACTTTGAATTACTTGTAATATTATCCCCATCTATTAGATTAGGTGATTAGGAGTTGAATATTATTGATACAAACATGCAGTTAGCATTATGTTTCAAAAAGTTTGTTTACTCTTGCCAAAAAATGAGAAATTCAAATATTAAGTGGAATGTAAAATTTGATATTTTTATGGAAAGTTGTAATATTAACACTGAGTTTATCTTAATAATAAAAACATATTGTAGTACCTTTCCAAATGTAAAAATAAACTTTCATAACCTGTAATACATTCTACCATGAATAATGACTTCAGTAAATTTATTTAGGAGGTAAATTAAAAAACTAAAAATACAGTGACACTTTGCTTTCCTCATAGTAGAAAATGTCAAATCATATTGTAGCCAGTCATATAGAAAAGCTTTCTCTTGGCTGATTTTGTCTAATGTGATAAATTACATACTTTGGTATGTAATTTTTATTTTAATACATAATCTTAGCAGTGTTCTTCTTTTGATATAACGGCGATGGTCTATATATAAGATACAGTTATCTCTATTAGAGAATAGTAAAATTGTCCTTAGGAGTTTTTATATCCATCTACAAATTATTGAAGGACCAGTTCACAGTTTTTGGATTATTCAAGTTATTTGCTTCTCAGAGAGTACTTTTTGTTATGACTCTAATATTTGTTACTCTGTTTTTCTGTTGCTCAGCCTGTAGTCTCCTGGAAGGCTCTATTCTAACTTTACGTTGGCTCATTATTTTTACATGTTCCTACTACTTATACTCATCTCTTTGAAGTCTGACATCCACAGCTCTGATTATTTATTCATATTCTAGCTTTGTTTCTTCTGTTGTCTGCATGACATCATTACTTGCCCCACAAATTTAGTTTAATTTGTTATTCTAACCCTTGTCATTTGTGCTACTTTTCTTTTTCACATCTTTTTTCCACTTTGATATATATTTCACATTCTGTCAGTTCTTGCCCCAACATTCTCAGTTGAAAAGTAAAGAACAACACAGTAGCAGTTAGTTTGGTACAGTAGTCCCTCCTTTCCCTGGGGTATATGTTCCAAGACGCCCAGTAGATGCCTGAAACTGCAGAGAGTACTGAACCCTACAGTACTTTGTTTTTTCCTATACATAAATACCTATGATAAAGTTTAATTTATAAAGTAGATGCAGTAAGAGCTTAACAACAATTGTAACAGCATACTGTAATAGAAGTAAATGTGGTCTTTGTCTCCTCTCTCTTTCCTTCTGCCCCCCTCTCTCCCTCTTCCTGAAAATATCTTAATATTTTCAGACTGTGGTTGAACACAGGTAAATGAAACCACGAAAAGCAAACCATGGATAAGGGGGAAGCTACTGTAGTTATATATTAGAAGTAGTTTATTCTTATGTAAGGAATAACTAAGACTTTTTGGAGTCAGGCATATATATCAACTTCAGACAAATTAGTCTTGGCAATAAAATACAATAGTAACAAATTGAGAAATTTGCCTCAAACTGGTCCATGTATTCTATTAAAAGTAATTAGGTTTAATCTCTGTCCTCATAGAATGCCTCTTACATTCTTTAACTTATTTTTCTCTGGCGTTAATTCTGGTTCTGCCCTCCTTTAACTCAAGTGTGGAATGTTGGAAATGCCTCTTTAGTTGGTCTTTCTGCTTGCAGTTTCTTCTTTGAATTAATACTACATGCCACCAAAGCACCTGTAAAAAATTGTTACCTGTTGACAGAGGAAATTTACACATGTCTGCACATTCCAAGTCCTAAGTAATCTGACTGTACTTCATTAATCCAATTTTAACCTCCTTCTATTTCTCAAAATGAATATTTCTCTTCATATATGTTGAGCGCCTTGTGGCCACTTTCTCTTCATATCTGATAAATGATATTTGATAAATGTTGCTACACTGATAGCTTACTATTTCCCAAACGAGGTTCGAGTCAAGTTCATTATTCTCCAAGGTGCTTTTCTCATTAATTACAAATAGTGTGGCCGTCTCTACATTGTGATTTCTAATAATATTTGTAGAATAAATTATACATTTTATATTTTAAAATTGTATCTGCTTTAAAAATTTATGTATCCTATATTTATCCTCTTGCTTTTGCATCTCAAAATTTTATCGCCTTGAAGACACGTTTCTATGAATTTCTCAGAGTACCTTTTAGGAGTACTAAGCTCAAAGTAGGTGCTTATTAAATGATAGTTAAATGGAATATCAAATCTTAATTTAAGGATGACTTAAATAATATTACATATGTTCTGCTTTTTTTTTTTTAAGCGTTTGGCAACATATTGACTGCATGGGGATTGATAGGCAGCATATTCCTGATACATATCTATGTGAACGTTGTCAGCCTAGGTAAGTTGCACATATCTGATAACATTGCCAGTAATTTTACTGAGGTAATACTAGTTAACAGAAATTCCTTTATGAATTCGAGTTAAAAAATTAATGAATCACAGCCGGGCATGGTGGCTCATGCCTGTAGTGCCAACTACTTGGGAGGCTGAGGCAGGAAGATTGCTTGAGCACAGGAGTTTGAGGCTGCAGTGAGCTTTGATTGTGCCACTGCACTCCAGCCTGGGTGACAGAGCAAAACCCAGTCTCTTTTTTTTTTAAAAAAAAAAAAAAAAAAGAAAAAGAAAAAAGGAGAATTAATGGATCACTGTGTTTCATCGATTCTAACATACGCTTTTCCATTTTTATGTGTATTCTTACTATTATTTTTGTATTCTGACAACTCTAAAATCAGGAAAATATCTATCAATAGTGTGTCATAGTTTATAGGGTTTTTACTTTATTAATGATGCATAAAATAATAGTGCATCTTCTACCTGATGGCATCTTTTTTAACTGGAATGCGCTATATTAAAGAGTTACTAGATGAATACTCCCTTAGTTAAAGAATTTAGTAGATCTATCATTCTTCTTGTTTGTAATTTTTTTTTCCACATTTCTTTTTTGTTTTTTAAAATCTTTTTATTATGGACATTTCAAACTTACGTAAAAATAAAATAATACATAATAAACTCACATTTCCACCACCCTACCTCAGTAATTATCGACATTCTTGTCCCATCTATACTGCCATGTGTTTCTTCTCCCTTTACATGTTGTTTTAAGGCAAATCCCAGATATCGTATTATTTCATCCATGTATATTTCAGTATATATGTATTTGTGTGTATATATATTTCAGAATATGTCTGTCAATTCTTTTTACAAAAATAATTACAAACCGTCTGGGCAAGGTGGCTCAGGCCTGTAATCCCAGCACTTTGGGAGGCCGAGGTAGGTAGATCATGAGAGCCCAGGAGTTCGAGACCAGCTTGGGAAACATGGTGAAACCCTGTCTCTCCTAAAAATACAGAAGATGAGCCAGGCGTGGTGTCACACATCTGTAGTCCTAGCTGCTTGGGAGGCTGAGGTGGGAGGATAGCCTGAGCCTGTGAGTTCGAGGCTGCAGTGAGGCATGGTCATGCCACTGTGCCCCAGCTTAGATGACAGAGTGAGAGCCTGTTTCAAAAAAACAAAAAACCGCAAAGCCATTATTGTACATGGAACAAAATCTCTGGCTCACCCAGCCATTGTTATGATATTGATTGGTTGATATTCATCTCTCAAGTTCCTAAACCTACTCCTCCCTCCCTACCATCCCTGGTTACCATTACAGTGTGCATGTTTAGGGAACTCAGCTGTTTGTCCTGATGAGTTTTGCCAGTTGTATTCCCATGATTTCACAAGTTTCCCTGTTCTATTTCTGTAAGAAGGTGTTTATGTCTATAGGCTTGATCAGATTTAGGTTCAATTTCTTTTTTTTTTTAATAAGACTATTTTCATAGTTAGACTGTTTTGTCTTATCAGGTGGCACATGATTTCTGGTTGTCTTATGATGGAAGCCAGTGATAGTCCTTAGATCCACTAATTTATTAGGGGTTGCAAATTAGTGATATGTTAATTCTGTTGTTCATTACTTATCAGCTGGAATATTTTTATTGGAACAAACTTCTCTTTTTTTTTTTTAAGACAGGATCTCACATTGTCGAACAGGCTACGTGTGACCACAGCTCACTGCAGCCTCAGCCTCCTGGGTTCAGGTGATTCTCCCATCCTTCCACCTCAGCTTGCCAAGTAGCTGGGACTACAGGCATCGCCACCATGCCTGACTAGTTGTGGTTTTTTTTTTTTTTGTTTTTTTTTTTTTTTTGTAGGCACAGGGTTTCACCATGTTGTCCAGGCTGGTCTAGAACTCTTGGGCTCAAGCAATCTTCCCACCTCGGCCTCCCAAAGTGTTGGGATTACAGGCGAGAGCCACCTTGCCCGGCCATGTCTCTATGTTAACTATTCGGTTCTCTTAAGATATATTTCATTGAGGAAAGGCTGGATAAATGCTTGTTGAATCTTAGCCTTTATTTACTGGTTTTCAGAATAATGAAAAATTAAGTATCATTGTGACCTCATGGATTTAAACCATAGTGGATGTCAGTCTCTTGCAGTTATTACCCTTATTGATGCTTAAATTTCATTCCATTTCTGGTCAGTAGGAACCTCTTCAAGCTGGTTATCAAGTCCTTTAAACAACACCCTAGTGGTACTTCATGGCAAAGAAGATATCTGGTGTGACAAGATGTCTCAGGCTTATCCTGCACTTCTGTGCCCCAAATTCAGAGTTGGCTTTCAAGACCAGAATTGGAGAGCTAGTCATGCCCTTTCCTACTAGATTGGTCACTGTTCCTAGTCTTTTTAGTAGACAAAGCTAGGAAGTATGTTTCATCTGTTTCTTTAAGATAAAATACATGAGTTTATACCGATAATTGCAATTGAAATTTAGGAATACAAGTTTTTATGTAGCTGTTTCATGTTTATCTCCTTTTATTCTAGTTGTCAACAATACAGAGAATAATGTAATTAGAATATCTCACAATTGGTTAACTGTTTAATCCTACACAAGAATATAATAGTCTTGGAGTAACAACACCAGCAACACTAGCACCAACAATATGATTGTGTAAAACAGTTTAGAACTTTCCCCCCATAGGGCATAGTGTACGAGGGTTTTATGGTCAATATTGTGTTTTAAGTCTCTTGAAATAATTGTGTGTTTATAACACCAACTGGATACACACTTATGTTGTTTAGGTCATTAATTTTATTGATTTTTAAAAAATTAAATGTTCTGAGTTGTAGATTCACATGCAGTTGTGAAATAATGTAGAGTGAGCCTAGATATCTTTTACCTGTTTTGCCCCAGTGTTAACATCTTGCATAACTATTAATACAATATCACAACTAGGATATTGGCATTAACACAGTCACTCTATAGAACATTCCTGTCACTGCCAGGAGTCATGCTACCCTTTATAGTCATACCCACCTTCTACCCCTGAACTTGGCCAACTGTTATTCTGTAATCGATTTCTATAATTTTGTCATTTCAAGAATGTTCCATAAATGAAGTCATACATTTATGACTTCATTTGACCCAGTATGTGACCTTTTGGCATTGACTTTTTTATCCAGCGTGATTCCCTAGAGAGCCCTCCAATTTGTTGGATGTATCATGATTTTGTTTCTTATTGCTGATAGTATTTCATGGTATATATGTACCATAGTTTCTTTAACCTATTCACCCATTGAAGACCATTTGGGTTGTTTCTACTTTTTTGGCTATTACAAATAAAGTTTCTGTGAACATTTGTTTACAGGTTTTTGTGTGAACCTAAGTTGTTTTTCCCCCTCTCTGGGTTAAATGCCCAAGAGAACAGCAGCTTGATTATATGGTAGTTGCATGTTTAGATATTTATGATATTGTCAGACTATTTTCCGGAATGGCTATTCGATTTTATATTCCTACCAGAAATGTAGAAGTAATCAGTAATTTTTGTTTTTTAAGAATTGTTGGTTGGGCGCAGTGGCTCACAGCTATAATCCTAGCACTTTTGGAGGCTGAGGCGGGTGGATCACTTGAGGTCAGGAGTTTGAGACCAGCCTAGGCAACATGGCAAGGCACCATTGCTACCAAAAAAAATACAAAAATTAGCCGGGCATGGTGGCAGGTGCTTGTAATCCCAGCTACTCAGGAGGCTGAGGCATGAGAATTGCTTGAACCTGGGAGGCAGAGGTTGCAGTGAGCTGAGATCACACAGCTGCACTCCGCCTGTGTGAGAGAGCGGGACTGTGTCTCAAAAAAAAAAAAAAAAAAAAAAAAGCAAAGATTAGCTGGATAAGATGGTATGTGTCTGTGGTCCCAGCTCTTTGGGGGGCTGAGGCAGGAGGATTGCTTGAGCCCGGGAGGTTGAGGCTGCAGTGAGTTATGATTGTGCCACTGCACTCCAGCCTGGGCAACAGAGGGAGACCCTGTCTCAAAAACAGAATTGTTTTTTGTATTTTATTTACCTTTATAATTATATACTTTATAATTATGTAAGAAGTATTCTATCATTCTAAACTCAAATATAAAGCAAGTTAGACTTGAAGTCAAATATATAAAGGAAAGTATTCTGTCACTCTAAAGTCAAATATGTAAAGCAAGGTAGACAAATATATAAAGCAAGTTAAGTCTAACTCATCCCTGCTTGCTTATTATATGTAGATATGTATCTATATATTTGTATTTCCTTCCTTATTTAGGTAAGCAGTAGCATATTATAGAGTCTTCACATTTCTTTTCTCTTAAAAATATATGCTGAAGATCACAGTAGTATGTAGACATTGACTGATAGAGCTTCAATGTACTGTATCTTTTTTTGTACTCTATTCAACTAGTTGCCTTTGTATGGACACTAGAGTTGTTTTGGTTCTTTTGTTATTATAGATAGAAGTGAGATTGTTCAGTATAGTGATAAATGTATATATAAAATTTTGTTAGATTGTCAAATTTC
Source organism: Homo sapiens (assembly GCF_000001405.40). Classification (NCBI taxonomy): domain Eukaryota; kingdom Metazoa; phylum Chordata; class Mammalia; order Primates; family Hominidae; genus Homo; species Homo sapiens. Next base: position 105,071,330 of record NC_000007.14, read on the forward strand.
CTTCCAGCAGGAGCTGTGCTGTTTTTTTGTTGTTGTTTTTTGTTTTTGTTTTTTTTGAAATGGAGTGTTGCTGTGTCACCAGGCTGCAGTGCAGTGGTACGATCTCGGCTCACTGCAACCTCCGCCTCCTGGGTTCAAGCCATTGTCATGCCTCAGCCTGCCGAGTAGCTGGACCACAGGCATGAGCCACCACACCCTGCTAATTTGTGTGTGTATGTGTGTGTGTATGTATGTATGTATGTATGTGTGTGTGTATATATATATATATATATATATATATTTTTTTTTTTTTTTTTTTTTTTTTTTTAAGTAGAGAACAGGGTTTCACCATCTTGGCCAGGATGGTCTCAATCTCCTGACCTCGTGATCTGCCTGCCTCGGCCTCCCAGAGTGCTGAGATTACAGGCGTGGGCCACCACGCCCGGCCTGCAGTTTTGAATTCCAAACAGTAATGGATAAGCATGCCCACTTTCCCAAGCCTCACAACAGAGTGTTTGACAGACTTGCATTTTTGCCAGTTTAATTAGGTGAGAAATGGTAATCTCAGCATAGTTATGGTGTGCATTTCTCTTACTTTGAGTGAGGTGTCTCTATGTGGTTTTGTTTCCCTTTGATAGTAGTCTTTTGCCAGATAATTTTTGATGGGGTAAATATCTGATGATGAATTCAGTAAAAGTTGGTTAAAAAGTTACCATTAGGAGGCCGGGCGCGGTGGCTCACACCTGTAATCCCAGCACTTTGGGGGAGGCCCAGGCGGGTGGATCATGAGGTCAGAAGATTGAGACCATCCTGGCTAACATGGTGAAACCCTGTCTCTACTAAAAATACAAAAACAAGAGTTAGCCAGGTGTGGTGGCGGGCGCCTGTCGTCCCAGCTACTTGGGAGGCTTAGGCGGCAGAATGGCATGAACCTGGGAGTTGGAGCTTGCAGTGAGCCAAGGTCGCACCACGGAACTCCAGCTTGGCAGCCTGGGCAACAGAGCGAGACTCCGTCTCAAAAAACAAAACAAAAAACAAAAAAACTTACCATTAGGAGGGCAGTTAGTTGAGAGAGATATGTTTATTATTCTGTGATAGCTAGGATAATTATCTGTGATGCTAGAATAAATATATTTCCTGGTAGACATTAAGGCAAGTCTGTAGAAATTCTAATAATCTAGAGCTCTTATTTTCCCACCTGAGAATAATATGTTATCTGACCTCTAAACTATATACAGTGAAAAAGTTGGGGGGGAATGTAAAAGAATTACTATGGATGATGTAGTTCATGGGTAGAGGTAGGGAGTGGGTAATGAAGTATTTCACTTAACTGTTAAATGCTCATGCCTATAATCCCAGCACTTTGGGAGGCCGAGGTGGGCAGATCACCTTAGGCCAGGAGTTTGAGACCAGCCTGACCAACATGGAGAAACCCCGTCTCTACTATAAATACAAAATTAGCCAGGTGTGGTAGCACATGCCCGGAACCCCAGCTACTTGGGAGGCTGAGGCAGGGAATCGCTTGAACCCAGGAGGCAGAGGTTGCAGTGAGCCAAGATTGCGCCATTGCACTCCAGCCTGGGCAATAAGAGCGAAACTCCATCTCAAAAAAAAAGCAGTATTTATTTCAAAAGTGAAAATAATTAAAGGCAATGGTAATAATGGAATAGATTCAATTCAGTGTCATACATTTGCTTTAAGAAATTTAATTTATGATTTTAATTACATGTTAACATTATGGGTTTTTTTTTTTCAGACTTTTTGCTTTAAATATTCTGTTTGAAAAAAATACTGGTTTCCTAAGTAAATTATTTTCTTGGCCATTCACTGTGGCTCACATCTGTGATCCCAGCTCTTTGGGAGGCAGGGGTGGGAGGATCACTTGATCCAGGAGTTCAAGACCAGCCTGGGTAACCCATCTCTACAAAAAATTAAAAAATTAGCCCGGCATGATGGTGCAGGCCTGTAGTCTCAGCTACTCAGGAGGCTGAGGCAGGAGGATCCCTTGAACCTGGAAGGTTGAGGCTGCAGCAAACTGTGATTGCATCACTGCACTCCAGCCTGGGTGATAGGGTGAGACCCTGTCTGGGGAAAAAAAAAAAAAAAAAAAATCAGAGTGAAATGGAGTCATCTATCTGGCATCTACTGCTACTATTAGATTGTATGTAAACTGTATTGCAAGGGATTTTGTATATATTTTATACTGTTGGTTTTTCACTGAGAACATTAAATAAATTAAAAAGTTTATCACATTTAAGACAGATCTGCTTCATGTATTTGATAAATAATTATGCTAATTTTTTAATGTAGGAATTTGGATAAAGAGAGGGCAGTGCTACTACAACGCCGGAAAAGGGAAAATATGTCAGGTAGGTAAAAAGGACCTACACTAAATTAAAATTCGTGTGATTGAGAGAATAAACGGTTCTCTCAACTTTTAGTTAAATGTAAATATTTTTAGTTAAATGTAAATACCTTGTTGATGAATGTTGATTGTACAGAGAGTATGCAATCTCTGGTATAGATTTCAAGTATTTTTTTTTTCACGTATTATAGAATAAATATGTACTTTGGGAAATAAAATGGAAATGAGAGGAAAATAAATAATTTAAATCAGCCATAATTTTCCTACACATAGCTAACCTGTTGGTTTAAAAAAGTAAAATATGTTTGTTCTTCAGAAAGATATGATCCATTAGTTTATCATGTAGAATAGTACATCTTTTATTTATAGGAACAGAATTTTCTAACTTCTGTGTAACATATGCCACAATTTTTATTTTATCTTAATCATGTTGATACCAGTACTCCTGGTTTTAAATAATCATAATTTATTCAACTATTCCTCTTTGATGGAGATTTGGATTGTTTTCATTATTTCTGCTTTGTTTTATTTTTGTTATTAAAAACAGTATCCTCAGCAAGACCCTCTTGCATAAGTCTTTTTGTACTTTTGCTGTTTTATCTTTGGCTAGATCTCTAATAATGAGATGGCTGGGTCAGAAGGTATGTACATATATAATTTTGCTAGATATGGCTGAATTGTCCTTTGTAGGGAATTTCAAATTTCCACTCGTAGTGTATGAGAGTGCTGTTTCCCACAGGCACACCACCAGAGTGTGTTATCAGGCTTTTGGATCCTTTCTAGTTTAATGTGTGAGAAATCATATTTGTGCTTTGCATGTAAATGTGTAAGTGAGGTGAGTGAACAAGTTAAAAAATGTGCTTATTTAGAAAGATGGAGACGACAATACTTTGTCATATGGAATGCTGTTTTATTTCATTGTTTAAAATAGAAGTATTAAATGTGCAATAATTTTTATTTTGTCTGAAGATGGTGATACCAGTGCAACTGAGAGTGGTGATGAGGTTCCTGTGGAATTATATACTGCATTTCAGCATACTCCAACATCAATTACTTTAACTGCTTCAAGAGTTTCCAAAGTTAATGATAAAAGAAGGAAAAAAAGCGGGGAGAAAGAACAACACATTTCAAAATGTAAAAAGGTACGTTTTTGCTTGTTTTTAGGTGAGTGGATAGGATAGCGGATAGGGAACTGAATTTTATAGGAGAGGCAGGAGAGTGAGAATAATCGATGATAGCTAAAAAGGATCTAGCAGAAGTTTTTTATTTTTAAACAATTAAACTTACTTGAACATTTTAACGTGTTTTAAAGATTGAAGCAGATTAGAGAAGAAACTTTGCAAACTGCTTTGAAATCATTTAATGAGATTAGTCACTATAATGCAGAAGCAAAAATAAAATAGAAAGCCTTCATAGTTTTCTGTACTACCAGGATTGTATTCCTTTCACTTGTCTGTCTGACATAATCCACTTAGCTTTTCTTCCCCATGTTTTACATAACGGTTCTTTGCCTCCTTTTTTTTTTTTTTTTAAACCTTGCTCTCTTGTAACGTATTGTCTACACACAAATTTATTTATTTGGATCTATATTGCTAGCTGTAGGTTTGTATTTGTTAGTCACTCTAAATGGAGTTCACACTTTTTAGGGGGTTGAGGGGGATAGGAATTAAGTCTTAAATACATCCTTCAGATCTGGCAGATGAGTGGGCTCTCGATACATGTTTATTGAGTAAATACAGCTCTGTTTACCACAGTGCATATTACTTAAGGCCCATTATGGGCTCAAATATTACTTGCTAGTTGCTTAGAGAATTAAAGTAATATCATTATTTTACTCCCTCCCAAAACATGTCTTATCACTTCAACAAAATTATATGTCTAACACCCTCCCAATTTTTATCAGAAATATTTTTCCACTGTTGTAATATTGAACACAGAGAATATTTGGAAATTTTTGTCTTTGTATTATATTATATACAGATTTTTATATTCTATATAGTCTATATACTTTTTTTTTTTTAAAGACAGGATCTTGCTATGTTGCCCAGGCTGGAGTGCAGTGGGTATTCATAGACTGGCATGGTGCACTATGGCCTCCAACTCCTGGGCTCCAGTTGATCCTCCTGCCTCAGTCTCCTGAGTAGCTGGGACGACAGGTGCCCGCCACCACTCTCAACCACATTCTGTTTTTATTAGAAAAGTATTTTAATAGATGCCTTTATTAAACATTCTCCTAGTGTCAGCTTTCTTGGTTACCAAATTTTTTGTTATGACACTTCAGTTAAAAGTTTCAATGAACCAATTAATTCTTAAATATTAATTATGTCCAGTTTTTTAGGAAACTAACTAGAATTCCATGTTTATTTTAGGCATTTCGTGAAGGATCTAGGAAGTCATCAAGAGTTAAGGTAAATACATTAATTTTAAGGTGTTGTTATCAACTGTCATTTATTCAGGAGCTACATGCTTGCTTGACCATATCTTTACTTAATGCTCTGTTTATTGTGTGTCATGTCTTTGCCTATTATCTTTACCAGGAGTGGGACCTTAGTTCTAATTGGAGTAATATACTACTCTTGTAGTTAACACTGTTAAAATATTAATCAAAAGGGGGAGGTATATAAGCAATTTCTAATTTTATAATTTTGGGCAATTTGAATTTCCTTTATTACTATAATCCATGTCTCTGATGCCAGTTAGTATTACTATACTGTACTTAGGAATGCAGAATCACATTTGGAACTTGAAAATTTGCACTTTTGCATAGTTGGGATTCTAGAGAGTTAGTCAAGTCAGTTGTCATACTATAAATTCACCATAGAACAACCATATCAATACAAACCAGTCAGAATGATCGATGGTAGCTAAAAAGTATCTTGAATTAATTAATGTATGTCCTCACTTTTTTAGATGCTAAAATTGCTGAGAGAAGCGAGGCTCCTCGCCTCTGTCTGACCCCAAAACATAAGTTTGTCTGGGGTCACAGAGGTCAGCTGTATGCTGTTACTATAGTTTTCTGGCTTAGGTAGAAAAGGATAACAAATTTCTAAAATTGTCACATTAAATAGGATGTGGGGAGCATGTTACAGTGTATCTTTTGTCCCTGTGGTATTTATTATTCCACATTTCTGGAAAAGAAACCGTTAAACAGCAGTTTCTAGTTTATATTATGTTCTTTTGTATAGATTGCCGTTAATTTTGTGTGTGTGTGTGTGTGTGTGTGTGTGTGTGTGTGTGTGTGTGTGTAAGTCCGTAAGTCCAGATACTAAAGCTCAGTTTATGATTTTAGGGTTCAGCTCCAGAGATTGATCCTTCATCTGATGGTTCAAATTTTGGATGGGAGACAAAGATCAAAGCATGGATGGATCGATATGAAGAAGCAAATAACAACCAGTACAGTGAGGGTGTTCAGAGGGAGGCACAAAGAATAGCTCTGAGATTAGGCAATGGAAATGACAAAAAAGAGATGAATAAATCCGATTTGAATACCAACAATTTGCTCTTCAAACCTCCTGTAGAGGTAAATACATCATTTGTCCAAAAATTGTAAAGCAGTTTTATATTGTGAATTTTTAGTTAAACTGAAAACAAGCAAGTTTATTTAATCTCAACATTTACTCTGATTTTAGAGCCATATACAAAAGAATAAGAAAATTCTTAAATCTGCAAAAGATTTGCCTCCTGATGCACTTATCATTGAATACAGAGGGAAGTTTATGCTGAGAGAACAGTTTGAAGCAAATGGGTATTTCTTTAAAAGGTATATTCATTTATTTTCCCATGTTCATTTTCTGTAGGTAAATATTGAACTTTTGGCTGTTTTACCTAGATGTTGTGATTATATGTACTTTTTTTCCTACATGATCATTTCAGTATTTAAAGCTGTAGTGTGGTTGAACAGTGACTGATGATAATTTTTGAACTACGATAAACTAAAACAACATAAAAAAATGCAAAGATATATTCCGGTCTCTTGCTCATGTCTGTCTTGCTGAAAATCCTAAAACAATCTACTTCAAAGATTAACCAACAGCAATATAGGTTGGATATAGAAGGATATCAGTCAGGAATTCTGATTGATTGAGATTACAAGGAACCCTTTCCATCTGGGACTCATGATAATTCCTCATAACGTAATAGCCGGAATGGAGAAAGACCATGGTAACCATAGGAGAAACCCCTTCCTCTTTATTAGACAGTGTTAGATTGGGTCCTACATTATTGCCACCACTTTCAACACCCACTTTGTTGGTATTGGAATGGTATTGGAGGTCTCTTCTTTGGTTTGAGATTTGTATGCAGAATTAATATGACCCTTTGATAGGCGTTGCTTCCCTGTAGTCTAGAAGTATGTTCATATCTGTAGGAGAACATTCCTAGTCTGTGTCCTACAATTATCAAAAACATTTATTGTTTATAACTTGAATATTTACTTAAGATATGAAAGATACACAGCAATTTCTCCCTATTATGTAGCAGATTTGATCTGAAACGGTATAAGACAGATACTTTTAAATGCACCAGGAAATGTGAACTCTAAAGACATCAAATTAATCTTGTGAATGCAGTAGTCACTCTCTTTTTATCTTTCTTTGTAAATTGGAATTTCTACCTTCCATTAATTGCCTTTGATTTAGGTGAGGTTATGGGGCAGGTAAAAATCTCATTAGCATAAACTAGCATAAGATAAGAGTGAATTGTGGAGTCAGACTGCCTATATTCAAATCTTGGCTTCACTATGTCTTTTAGAAGTTTCTTAGACTCTGTGTTCTTAAGTTTCTTCATCACTTTGCCTCTGAAGAGTAACAGATTATTGTCCTAAAATGTTGACTTTTGTTTGTTTGTTTGTTTTTGAGACAGTCTCGCTCTATCAGTGAGGCATGATCATGGCTCACTGCAGCCTTGATGTCCTGGGCTCAGGTGATCCTCCCACCTCAGCTTCCCAGGTAGCTGGGACTACAGGCACATGCTACCATGCCTGGCCTTTTTTTTTTTTTTTTTTTTTTTTTTTTTTTGTAAATACGGAGTGTCGCCATGTTGCCCAGGTTGGTCTTGATCTCCTGGACTCAAGCAATCCACCTGCCTCGGCCTCCCAAAGTGCTGGAATTACAGGTGTGAACCAGCATGCCCGGCCTAAAATGTTAATAGCTTATAATGTTTCTTTCTTTGTAGACCATACCCTTTTGTGTTATTCTACTCTAAATTTCATGGGCTAGAAATGTGTGTTGATGCAAGGACTTTTGGGAATGAGGCTCGATTCATCAGGCGGTCTTGTACACCCAATGCAGAGGTAAGCTTATAGAAATTTTTTGGGGAGATGTGGGTGCTGGGGGTGTGTTGGAATCTGAGCAATAAGCACAAAACTCAGGTCACTGACCTAAGACACTTTCCACCTGTTGGTGCATTTTATACTGCCCAGCCTGTTTTTTTGTGAAAATTTATGTGATAACTGGCTATGAAGTCTTTTTTTTTTTTTTTTGAGACGGAGTTTCACTCTTGTTGCCCAGGCTGGAATACAATGGCACGATCTCAGCTCATGTAACCTCCGTCTTCCGGGCTCAAGTGATTCTCATGCCTCAGCCTCCCGAATAGGTGGGATTACAGGCACGCACCACCATGCCCGGCTATTTTTTTGCATTTTTAGTAGGGACGGGGTTTCACCATTTTGACCAGGCTGGTCTCGAACTCCGGACCTCAGGTGATTTGCCCATCTCAGCCTCCCAAAATGCTGGGATTACGAGTGTAAGCCACCATGCCTGGCCGCTATGAAGTCTTAAAAATTACTTTGCACCTTGAAGAAATGATGATGCTCCTTATAAGAGGAAATATTGGACTTCCTTTTTTTTTTTTTTTTTTTTTTTTTTTTTTGAGGCAGTGTCTCACTGTCTCCCAGGCTGGAGTGTGGTGTCATGAGCACAGCTCACTACAGCCTCCGTGACCTCTCATGCTCAAGTGATCCTCCTGTCTCAGCTTTCTGAGTAGGTGGGACTGCAGGCGTGTGCAACCATGCCCAGCTAATTTTTTAAATTTTTGCAGAGATGGAGTCTCATTTTGCTGCCCAGGCTGGTCTCCAACTCCTGGGCCAAGTGATCCTTCTGCCTTAGCCTCCCAAAGGGCTGGGATTACAGGCATGAGCCTGCCCGGACTTTTTAAATCATTATTATTATTATTATTATTATTATTTTTGAGGCAGGGTCTTGCCTAGGCTGGAGTGCAGAGGTGCAATCATGGCTCACTGGAGCCTCAACTTCCTGGGCCTTTAGGAGGTAAAGTTATCTTCTCACCTCAGACTTCTGAGTAGCTGGGACCACAGGTGCGTGCCACCATGCCCAACTAATGATTCTTTAATTTTTTGTAGAGTTGGGTTCTCCCTATGTTGTCCAGACTGGTCTGGAGCTCCTGTGTTCAAGCAATCCTCCTGCCTCGGCCTCCCTAAATGCTAGGATTACAGGCATGAGCCACCAGGTCCAGCCTAATACTGGACGACTTTCCTTCTATCTTGGAAGCTCTATTTATGGCTCAATACATGCGATGATTTAAGTTAGATGACAAAGCTAAAATCTAAAGTAGATTTTGTATGTTCTACTGTAAAATTTTTAATAATGTTATATTTTAGTGTGGAGTAGAAAATCGTGTTGGTTTTGTTTTTTACATGTCAAAATGAAGCTTTTTAGTTTTGTAATTATATAATGTTGCAGCCAAGAATGTAGGTGTTTTTTTTTTTTCCTCTCTTTTCTTTTTTTAAAAGACAGGATCTTGCCATGTTGCCCAGGCTGGCCTGGAACTCCTGGGCTCAAGTGTTTGTTCTGCTTCAGCCGCCAGAGTAGCTGGGATTATAGGCATGCGCTGCTGCACCCAGCTAAGAGTACAGATTTTGGAACCAGACTTAAATTTATTTCTTCTCTGTGACTTACTAGCTTTTTAACCTCAGTTTTATCTGTAAAAAGGTGATATGAAGACTGAAGGAGTTAATACATATAAAGTATATAGAATAGTGTCTTGTCATAGAAAAGTAGCGTTTGCTCAACCATTATTGCACTCATCAAACCTAAGAAGGCCAGGCACAGTGGCTCACACCTGTAATCCCAGCACTTTGGGAGGCCAAAGTGGGTGGATCACCTGAGGTCAGGAGTTCAAGACCAGCCTGACCAACATGGTGAAACCCCATCCCTACTAAAAATTAGCCAGGTGTGGTGGCACGCACCTGTAGTCCCAGCTACTTGGGAGGCTGAGACAGGAGAATCACTTGAATCTGAGAGGTTGGGGTTGCAGTGAGCCAAGATTGCATCATTGCACTCCAGCCTGGATGGCAGAGTGAGACTCTGTCTCAAAACAACAACAGCAACAACAAAAAACCCTAAGATGCCACCAGTTATAAGACTCCTGATTTCAGAGATGCTAAAAGGTGAAAAAAAAGAATTGATGAGGCTGGGTGCGGTGGCTCACGCCTGTAATCCCAGCACTTGGGGAGGCCGAGGCCGGCACATCATGAGGTCAGGAGATTGAGACCATCCTGGCTAACACTGTGAAAACTCGTCTCTACTAAAAATACAAAAAAAAATAAGCCGGGCATGGTGGCAGGTGCCTGTAGTTCCAGCTACTCGGGAGGCTGAGGCAGGAGAATGGCGTGAACCTGGGAGGCGGAGCTTGCAGTGAGCCGAGATCGCACCACTGCACTCCAGCCTGGGCGAAAGTGTGAGACTCGTCTCAAAAAAATAAAAATAAGAAGAATTGATGAAATATAGTATTTTTATTATTATTATTATTATTATTATTATTTTGATGCCACATTGTGGGCTCTAGGGGTTGGGGTGGCAGTGGATAGCAGTATATGATTGAAAAACCTTCCCAGTTGATAACCACCAATAGATAGTTATAAGCCTTGTCATTAATGACATATTTTCCAGGTTGTGTTTGTGAAATAATTTGAAAAGAATAATTTTCAAAATTGTAAGCTGATGCTTCTGAAGGCAGAAAGTAATTTATGGTAATGTACAATTATTTTAACTTTTAGGTGAGGCATGAAATTCAAGATGGAACCATACATCTTTATATTTATTCTATACACAGTATTCCAAAGGGAACTGAAATTACTATTGCCTTTGATTTTGACTATGGAAATTGGTGAGTTCAAGTCTATAAATGTAATCTGTTGTTTGAAAATAGTTCCATAATGTCCCTGTAATAATTTAGGTATTGTCATTACTTTTATAGCTTTTTATTTTTATCTATCATGAATCAGTTAAAAGTACTTGAAAACCAGAAGTTTAGTATCAGCCTCTATTACAGCATTGCTACTTTTCATTTCTACATTTTCCTTAATTATTATTGTAATGTAAATGTTCACAGTAATTATAACAAGTAACCCTAATTCAGCCATACAACACTGACCTTGTTTATGTGAGAATTTTTTTCTTCTTCTAGGGGATATAATTTTAGTCATACAGTTTATTTGGTTAATCAGTATGAATGAATAATTTGTCTTTTGCCCCTCAAAACAAAAGAAAATTTTCTTTGCAGTATAAATTAAAAGGGTTTGTTGGAGATCCTACAAAGAAACTCTAAGAACTATTTTTCTGAAATACTAGTAAAAAACTAATGATAAATCTCAGTACAGTTGGCCCTTGCACAATGCGGGGTTGGAGCACCAACTGCCTGCACAGTCCACAATCTGCGTATACATTTTGACTCCCCAGAAACTTTACTAATAGCCTACGGTTGACTGGAAGTGTTACCAATGACAATTAACACATATTCTGTATGTCTTATACTGTATTCTTACAATAAAGTAAGCTGGAGAAAAGAAAATGTTTTTAAGAAAATCATAAGGAAGATACAATATATTTACTGTTCATTAAGTGGAAGTGGATTATCGTAAAGGTCTTCATCCTCATCTTCATGTTGAGTAGGCTGAGGAGGAAGGGTGGGGGTTGCTCTTGCTGTCTCAGGGGTGACAGAGGGAGAAGGGGTAGTAGAAGGGGAGGCAGGAGAGGGAAGCACATATGGTGTAACTTTATGAAAACATATTAGTAATTTCTGCCTGGCTTTTTTGCTTTCTCATTTCTCTAAAAATGTTTCTATATGGTGCCAGTCTTCCGTCATTTGCTTTAGCTTCAGTGCCCATATCATAGAAGAGTCCATATCATAAAAAAGTAAAAAATCAGTCTTGAAAACAATGGAGCCCTTCTGCCAGATTGTCTAATGTAAATTTGTTTTTTGGCACTGCTTTTTCTACATCTTCTTTCTCATCATCTGGCACTGGTTTGGAAGCAATCATCTCCATTAGGCATCTTCTGTTAATTTCTCTGGTGTGGTGTCTATTAGCTCTTGAATTTCTCTGAGATCCATATCTGTATTCTTCCTTCATCCCCACCTTTTTTTGTTATATCCATGATCTCTTTCATGATTTTTCTGATTGGCTCTGATGTAAATCCTGTGAAGTCATGCACAACATCTGGACACAGTTCACTCCAGCAGGAATTTATTGTTTTGGGCATGATGGCTTTCACAGCTTTTTCTATAATGATGGCATCTTCGATGGTATAATCCTTCCAGACTTTCATGATCTTCTCTTTCAGGGTTCTGTTCCATAGTGTTGACATTCTTTTCCATAGAGTACTGTGTGTAATGAGCCTTAAAGGCCATTATCACTCCTTGATTTAGAGGCTGAATTAGAGACACTTTGATGCCCTCAGTGTTGAACTCATAGGGTTCTGGGTGGCCAGGGGCATTGCCCAGTATCAAAAGACATTTAAAAGGCAATCCCTTCCTAGCTACCTGTTGTCTGACTTGAGGGACAAAGCATCAATGGTACCAATCCAGAAAAAGGGTTCTCCTCCAGGTTTTCTTGTTATACAACCAAAAGACTGGCAGCTTCCGTTTGTTTTCCCTTCAAGGCTTGGGTTTAGCAGCTTTATAGATAAGGGCAGTCCTGATCATAAACCCAAATGCATTTGCACAAAACAGTAGAGTTAATCTGTCCCTTCCTGCCTTAAATCCTGGTGCTTCCTTCTCTTCCTTACTAATAAATGTCTTTTTATGACTTTCCCCCCCCAGAATAGGACATTTGTGTCTGCATTAAAAGACTTTTCAGGCAGATACTCTTTCTCCTCAGTGATTTTCTTAATGGTGTCTGAGAACTCATCTGCTGCCTCTTATTCAGCAGAAGTGGCTTTACCTGTTAAGCTAGACCTCTTTTTAAAATCATCAAACCATACATTACTGGCATTAAATGCTCCAATTTTAGGTCTTTCATATTCCTTTTGTTTTATGTTATCATTTAATGACTTCACTTTTTCTAGAAACATATTAGGATCTATAGCTATGTCTTTCTTATATAGCACGCATGCACCCACATAAAAGCTTCATTTGCAATACAAGATAAAAAGGTATATTGCAAAAAGTGCATGGTTTTCACATTCTGCGGCCCAGCTGCGGTGATGGCTCCACAAATTTCCTTTTATTATTATTTTTTACAATGGTACTTATGCTGGATTCATTTATCTTGAGATGGTGGAGAACTACAACTGCACACCTCAATCTACCATACATCTTTAGCAATTCAACTTCTTCTTGCAATGTGATAACTTCTTTGCTTCTCTGGAGCACTTCCAGCATCACTAGTGGCACTTTGTATAGGTCACATAGGTGTTACTCAAAATTTACTGTATTGACCAGGTGCGGTGGCTCACACCTGTAATCCCAGCACTTGGGAGGCCAAGGCGGGCGGATTACTTGAGGCCAGGAGTTCAAGACCAGCCTGGCAAACATGGTGAAACCCCATCTCTACTAAAAATAAAAAAAATTATCCGGGCGTGGTGGCGGGCCCCTGTAATCCCAGCTACTCGGGAGGCTGAGGCAGAAGAATTGCTTGAACCTGGGAAGTGGAGGTTGCAGTGAGCCAAGATCGGACCACTGCACTCCAGCCTGAGTGACAGAGCAAGACTCTGTCTCAAGAAAAAAAAAAAAATTACTGTATTGCACTGAAGACTATGAAGAATTCATGAGAACCACAAGAGATCACTTTTTATTGCCATACACAATTTACTGAGAGATGAACTGCTCCTGGGCATGTGTCACATGGCATTTTACATAGACACTCCCAACACTTGAGGCACCACAATAGCAACAGGAGGTGGCTACAAAGTTATTATAGTAGTACAGAATGTACTACAGTTAGTTTTAAATAGTTATGATTTAATAATATGTCTTTACATGACTGGAGTGTGAATGGCACCATGTAAGGTCTGTATGTGTGTGCATAGGTTTTGATAAATTTTAACTTTTTATAATTTGTGTATATTTTATGGTAATAAATGATAGAATAGACTACTATCTACATGCATATGCATTCTTGACATAACTTTTTCTTTTTTTTTTAATATTTCTAGGCTATATAGTTCGTCTGTTTTTTCAAATTGTTGCAATTGTTGCAAATTTTCAAACATGTTTCCAATATATGTATTGAAAAAAATCCATGTATAACTATAATGTGCACAGTTCAAACTTGTGTTGTTCAAGGGTCAGCAGTATGGAAACTTGTTTCAGTTTTTAAAAATTTAATAGAAAAATGTAAACAATAATACAAACACCCAGCCAGGTGCAGTGGCTCATGCCTGTAATCCAGGCACACTGGGAGGCTGAGGCGGGTGGATCACCTGAGGTCAGGGGTTCAAAACCAGCTTGGCCAACATGGCGAAACCCCGTCTCTACTAAAAATACAAAATTAGCCGGGCATGGTGGCACATGCCTGTAATCCCAGCTACTTGGGAGGCTGAGTCAGGAGAATCGCTTGAACCTGGGAGATGGAGGTTGCAGTGAGCTGAGATTGTGCCACTACACTCCAGCCTGGGCAACAATAGCAAAACATCTCAAAAATAAAATAAAATAATAATACAAACACCCATGTACTTCTCAAATTAAGAAATTAAAACATTATCCATTGAAGCCCCTTAACGTTTAGCAGCCACATTGCATCTGTCTTCCTTCCTTCACTAACTGCTATCTTTAATTTGATTTTTTTTTTTTGGAGACGGAGTCTCGCTCTGTCGCCTAGGATGGAGTGTGGTGGCACAATTTCAGCTCACTGCAGGCTCCGCTTCCCAGGTTCATGCCATTCTCCCGCCTCGGAGAGTATAGGCACCCGCCACCATGCCTGACTAATTTTGTTTTTGTATTTTTAGTAGAGATGGGGTTTCACCGTGTTAGCCAGGATGGTCTCCATCCCCTGACCTCATGGTCCGCCCGCCTCGGCCTCCCAAAGTGTTGAGATTACAGGCATGAGCCACCACCACCGGCCCTTTAATTTGATTTCTTTAACATTTTACTATGTCTGTATTTGTTGGCAAATATTATCTAGAATTTTGTATATTTTTAAACTTTTATGTAAATTGTGACTTGCTGTATTCTTTAGCATTTTTTTCACATTTATTACGTGAGATTAACCTGCATTGTGTGTACCTATACTTCATTTATTTTCACTGCCTATGGTATTTATCCATTTCACTATTGACCTTTATATTGACAAAAGAATGCTCCTAGGGCTTTCTGAACATGTCTGCATGTGTGTACATGTCCTCTCCATGGTAGGAACATAGTATGTACATGTTCTCTCCATGGTAGGGACATAGGAGTGGAATTGCTGGGTTGTAGAATGCGCACAGCATGAGTTTTTGCCAGATGTGAGTGAATGTCTAAGAAGCTTGTACCAGTTTCCTAAGTAATTTATTGCCTTGCTGTACTTCTTTACTCCTAAGACTTTAAAAATATATGGTGGTTGCTATGACTCACGGCTGTAATCCCAGCACTGTGGGAGGCCATGGTGGGCGGATCACTTGAGGTCAGGAGATCGAGACCAGCCTGGCCAACATGATGAAACTCCATCTCTACTAAAAATACAAAAATTAGCCAGGTGTGGTGGCGCACATCTGTAATCCCAGCTACTCAGGAGGCTGAGACAGGAGAATCACTTGAACCTGGGAGGTGGAGGTTGCAGTGAGCCAATATTGCGCCACTGCACTCCAGCCTGGGTGACAGAGCGAGACTCCATCTCAAAAAATAAAAAAATATATAAATAAAATAAATTAAAAATATAAATATATATAAAATAAATATAATATATAAAAATATGATTATATATAAAATATATATACCACTCCACATGAGCTAGCATATATAGTATATATAATATATATTAGCATATATATGCTATATATTATAGCATATATATTATATATTATATAGCATATATATGCTACATATAAGTATATATAGTATGCTATATGTAATATTAGCATATATACTATATATTATACGCTGTATATGCTATTTGTTGGCAAATATATAGCATATAATATAATATATGGCATGTATAATATATATAGCATATATAATATATAATACATAATATATAGCGTATGTAATATACATTATAGCATATGTGCTATGTATGTGCTAATGTATATTATATATGCTAGGTCATGCGGACTGGTATATAATAAAATATATATTAGCATATACATGCTATATATATGCTTATATAATATATATTATATAAGCATATATATAAAGAGATACCATTCAACATGAGCATATATATAATATATAAATATGATATAATATATATAATATATAAATATAAATATAGCATATATTACATATATGCTAGCTCATGTTGAATGGCATCTCTTTATATTAATATTTTTATTTACCATTTTCCTTGATTATTCATGAATGCAGAGGTCTTTTTCTTTTTTTTTGTTTTTTTTTTGAGATGGAGTCTTGCTCTGTCACCCAGGCTGGAGTGCAGTGGCGCGATCTCGGCTCACTGCAACCTCCGCCTCCTGTGTTCAAGCAATTCTCCTGCTTCAGCCTCCTGAGTAGCTGGGACTGCAGGCGCACACTGCCACGCCTAGCTAATTTTTTGTGTTTTAGTAGAGACGGGGTTTCACCGTGTTGCCCAGGCTGGTCTCCAACTCCCGAGCTCAGGCAATCCACCTGCCTCGGCCTCCCAAAGTGCTGGGATTACAAGCGTGAATTACCACGCCCAGCCTCCCAGAGGTCTTTTTCTGTGTTGTCATTTGGATTTCTCTCTTGTGAATTGCCTGATCATATCATCTGTCCATCTTTCTTTTGGGTAGCTGTTTTCTTGCTTTTTTTTTTTTTTTTTTCCCAGAAGTTCTTTATATATTCTGTAGTCTTTTGGGTTATAAGCAATTCGATTCAGTTCCTCTTATTCTATATATTTTTAAACTTTGTGTGATACTCTTTTTAAATGAAGTTTTTAAAATGTTCATTATGTTTTCTCTTGGTGAAATCCCTTTTCCTTTAGTATCCCTTTCTACTGATTATTGCAGTCAGATTTATCATATCATTTTAGTCCTTTCTCCTCTCGAAGGTAGGAGATTTAGCATAGTTCTTTGCTCAGTGCTTTGTGGGATTACATATCCCATAGAGGTTAAGAATGTAATCTGTCTGGTTTCAAATCCCGGCTTGGTCACTGACTACGTAACCTTGGACCAATTTCTTCATCACTTTGTGCTGCATTACCTCACGTATATGAGAAGAAGAATAATACTCACCTAAAGTGCTTAATAAACAAAAGCTGTTGCCATCATTATTGTTTGTAGTTCTCTTGTCCTAAAATCAAACATCTAGAACGAGTTTCAAGCTAGTATCTGTTAATACCTGATTTGGGAGGCGGGAGGTAGGACCATAAATGTTTGAATTCTCTCCCTGGTTCACAGAATTAGGAAGTTGGATTTGAATCTTTCTAGCAGTTTTAAAAGTAAATGAGTTAGGAATATTAGACACTTAATAAGTAAATTGTTCTTATTGTGAACAAACATTCAACTACTTAAAACATGCAAAGTGGGAGATTTGTATTATTGTTTTAACTGAGGTTTGGGCATTTGGCCTGTATCATAGAGATGAACTACATCTTAGCAGCTGTGGTAAAGATAAAGTGGTCAGAGTTGAGAAATATTGAAATGAAAAGTACATGCGCCTGAGAGTCATACAGACCTGGATCTAAATGCCGTCCTTTCCACTTACTAACTGTGTAACATTGGACAAGATGCTAATCCTCAGTGAGTTTTAATCTCACTTGTAAAATGGGGGCAATATCCTTACTGTGAAGATGAGACAGAGTGCAGTTATTTCTCAGGCTTCCATTTGAAAGAGGGAACACTTAGTATGGTGAAAAGGAAACATTAAATTTTATCAAGGTAGCTTTTTAAAGAAACCCGGTTGTTGCTATCATTCTTTAAAGGGTAAGACAAACTAGTTGAGGTTCAGTATTTGTTATACTTAATGTTTCTTATGTAGGTCACATTTCAGTTCAGTATTTTATAAAGCACTCTGGGATACTGAAGTAATTATGGTTTCTGCCTTAATGTTTTGTGTAAACCACAGTATCATTTTGCTTTAAAAGACTCAAAGTTTTAATGTGTTTGTTTTTTTCTTCTTCTGTAATATATTACATGTTGAGCATCCCTCATGCAAAAATCTGAAATCCAAAATCCTAAACTTTTTTTGTTTTTTTTCTGGATGCAGTCTCACTCTGTCACCCAGGCTGGAATGCAGTGGCACAATCTTGGCTCACTGCAACTTCTGCCTCCTGGGTTCAGGCAATTCTCCTGCCTTAGCCTATCGCGTAGCCAGGATTACAGGTGCCTGCCACCATGGCCAGGTAATTTTTGTATTTTTAGTAGAGACGGGGTTTCACCATGTTGGCCAGGCTGGTCTCAAGTGATCTGCCCGCCTTGGCCTCCCAAAGTTCTGGGATTACAGGCAAGAGCCACTGTGCCTGGCCATCCTAAACTTTTTGAGCACTGACATGATGCCACAAGTAGAAAATTCTACACCTGACCTCATATGATAGGTCACAGTCAAAGTGCAGTCAGAACTTTGTTTCAGGCACAGAATTAGTAAATATATTATATAAAATTACTTTTAGCCTATATGAAACATGAGTGAATTTTGTGTTTAGACCTGAATCCCATTCCCCAAGATATCTCATTATATATATGCAAACATTCCAAAATCCACAACCCTTCTGGTCCTAAGCATTTCAGGTAAGGCATGCTTAACCTGTACCAGTTATACTTATGATTGAAGGCCTAATATCTGGTCAGAAATCAACATCTAATTATTATATTATTTTAATGAAAAAAATTTTTTGTGGTAGTTAACTAGGAATGTAAATTACTAAAAAGGATTGCTTATAATTAATAGTAATTGCATACAATTTTGTGGAGTTGCAGCTTAAAATGGATTAGAAAATTTCCAGTTTTGTTTTATATTTTGAAATAAATATTTAACTGGTTATCTTTCCAGTAAGTACAAGGTGGACTGTGCATGCCTCAAAGAAAACCCAGAGTGCCCTGTTCTAAAACGTAGTTCTGAATCCATGGAAAATATCAATAGTGGTTATGAGACCAGACGGAAAAAAGGAAAAAAAGACAAAGATATTTCAAAAGAAAAAGATACACAAAATCAGAATATTACTTTGGATTGTGAAGGAACGACCAACAAAATGAAGAGCCCAGAAACTAAACAAAGAAAGCTTTCTCCACTGAGACTATCAGTATCAAATAATCAGGTACTGAACTCTGCTCTCAATGAAATTGAATAAACAAAGGAAAATAATCTGTCATATTTTATCCTCTTCTTTGTTCTATGTATAATTGTTTAAAGTATTTTTAAGTCCATTCTGTCATTTAATGAAGTATTCATAAGTGTAAAATACAAGTTCTGCTAGAATTTGTACAGTATTTGTTGAATTATTAAGAAACAGCTCAGCAAGCAAATCCTTGCAGAATTGCAGACAAGATTTTCCTAAGACTAGATAACTTTTAAAAATCTTCTAGATGGCACTTTATGTTCATAATAAATGTTCTTATTTAAAGTCTTAAGCTGCAAAATTTTCTTTCTTTAAACATGTGGATGCTGGTAATCTTATAAATTCTATAAGCATGTCACAATAACAGCAAATAAAATTTTTGAGAGAAAATTCACTAAGAACATATAAGGTAATTTTGGGGGTAAAGTCTGGCCAAAGTCTACCTGCCCCACCAGTAAATATATTGTTATATGTCCTCTATAAACAAAAAACAGGAGGGATCATTAAAATGTGAAAATTAAGTAAGGTTTTGCTCATTTCCAGGGGCCTATCTTCTAGAAATGATTTCCCTTAAACTTTCAACTGAACAAACACTTTTTGAGCACTGGGTATTTGTGGGTTTTTCTGAAATAATTTATATGTTTATGTTTTGGGAACTTTATAAATGTAAGGCCATGCTACCATATTTGACCTATATTGATAAAAACTTGATTGGCTAAAATTTAAAAAGCGAAAGTATTTGATTGCATAATTTTGAAAAGTATCTTGAATTAGGAAACCAGTTTTAAATTTCTTAAATAATTTAAATAGGCTGTGTACATGTTGAATTTGTTGTGGTTGAAAGACATTAAAATAGTTTAATGTCACTAGTTGTATAGATGGAATAATAGTTTGTATAAAGAAGTCATTTCCATTTTTCAGGAACCAGATTTTATTGATGATATAGAAGAAAAAACTCCTATTAGTAATGAAGTAGAAATGGAATCAGAGGAGCAGATTGCAGAAAGGAAAAGGAAGATGGTAAGTTGGGAAGCCAGTAGTTTGGGCTTAGTGACAGCTGCTCTGCATATGGTAATTGTTGCTGCCTTTACATGGGCTTTTACATTATTCTTTGAAGTTAGCGAATGATGTGCCATTGAGCATTTTTATTTGGTTTGGTCATTGCCATTTAAATAAATTCCATTAATCTTGTATTTTTATTGGTTGTTCATTAGAGATTTAAGAATGTATGACATTTAAGAAATATGAACATTTTGGAAGTAATAATATTTTAATAATGCCACACTGAACTATTAATAAATTTTAATGCCACAATTACTGTTCAGAATGTCTTTTATTAGCTAAATGTATCCTCTCATGATTTGAAATATAATAAAAGTACAAATTTAAACCTTACTATAGCACCAAATAAATTGCTTATGCAAAAAAAAAAAAAAACCTACCACTGGTAGCTATTTCTACAGTCTCACACTGCTATCGTACAATAAGGTTCTCATTAAAATAAATTTAGGATATATATTCCTTGTACTATTTACAAATCTTTTATCTGTATAAAAATTAGGACAGGATATTTTCTTACAAATTATGGTAATTTAGCATTTGATCTGTCAGTGAAGGTAATTTAGCATTTGATATATCAGCCAGTTAAGAAAATATGGTATACTTTCCATGCCCTAAAATTTGAAAATGACTTTACAAACTGACTGATGGCCTTATGATAGGTGCTCCCCATTCCCCTTTACTTTGTATGGTCCTTTGTGTCCTGTTTTCAGGGTTTCTATGTTGTATTCCATGGACTCTCACGTCACATATTTAAGGGTGGGATGTTTGAAAGGTTGGTCATTGTTGGCTGGGAGCGGTGGCTCACACCACTCACTTTGGGAGGCCAAGGTGGGTGGATTACCTGAGGCCAGAAGTTCAAGACCAGCCTGGTCAACATGGCAAAACCACGTCTCTACTAAAAATACAAAAATTAGCCAGGCTTATATTCCCAGCTATTCAAGAGGCTGAGGTGGAAGAATTGCTTGAACCTGGGAGGTGGAGGTTGCAGTGAGCTGAGATCATGCCACTGCACTCCAACCTGGGTGACAGAGCAAGACTCCATCTCCAAAAAAAAAAGTTTGGTCATTGTTGACCTACTTAATATGTGCCTGTTTGTATCACCTTGATAGTTTTCTAATATTGATGAATTATTGATACTCAAAATTCTGAAAACTATAAAGAACTGTTTCAGAGCCTTAGGATTTTAGGAACACTGGTCTGTTGAGACAAGGTAGTATTAGAAGAAAAGCAAACAGAAAATATTAGAGGAGTTTATAAAGGAAGAATTCTTGTACCTAAAGGGATTATCTTGAACCTTTTTTGAGATTCAATTATATATAAGTTATGTGTGCCTTTTCAAGTTACCTATGGCTCTTTATTGAGTATTGATTTTTAGTATTGTTCTGTTTATTCTTCAACTGACACAGCCTTGTGCTGGGAATTTTTAGGAAACCAATTTAGAGTATTACTTATTTCTGTGTGTGGCATGTGTCTGGTGGGAGGAACCTCTTCTGTAACTGGCTTTAAGGGCTGTAGTGACCACTTTGGAGAAAAAATGAAATAAAAAAAAATCATAGGCCAGGCGTGGTAGCTCACACCTGTAATCCCAGCACTTTGGGAGGCTTAGGTGGGAAGATCACTTCAGCCCAGGAGTTAGAGACCCACCATGGGCAATATAGCGAGACCTCATCTGTACAAAAAATTTAAAAATTAGCCAGGTGTGACAGTGCATGCCTGTAGTCCCAGCTATTCAGGGTGCTGAAGCGGGAGGATCACTTGAGTCTAGGAGGTCAAGGCTGCACTGAGCTGTGATCCTACCACTGCACTCCAGCCTAGGTGATGACAGAGTGAGATCCTTGTCACAAAACAAACAAACAAACAAAAACAGAAAACCAGTGGGGGTTTGTTCTTTGCCCGTAAATACAGTAATTTTATTCAGATTGAATTCTCTTTAAAAACATTTGTATGGGGCTACTTTAAATATATATTCTTCTGTAAATGCTGACAATGTTAGTGGATCTTAGAACATCCTCATTTCCAGATGCCAGAAGAAAATTGGATATTTGCTGGGCGCGGTGGCTCACGCCTGTAATCCCAGCACTTTGGGAGGCCGAGACGGGTGGATCATCTGAGGTCAGGAGTTCGAGACCAGCCTGACCAATATGATGAAACCCCATCTCTACTAAAAATACAAAAAAGTTAGCCGGGCATGGTGGCATGTGACTGTAATCGCAGCCACTTGGGAGGCTGAGGCAGGAGAATCACTTGAACCTGGGAGGCGGAGGTTGCAGTGAACTGAGATCACGCCATTGCACTCCAGCCTGGGCAACAAGAGCGAAACTCCATCTCCAAAAAAAAAGAGAATTGTATACTCAATGTTAAACTTGGTGGAACTTAGAAAATATATATGTATATTGGCTTACTTACTTGGAATCCATTTTTGGTCCTGATTTTGCTTATTAGTATGCTATAGTAAGATGAAGAATACTTCAAAGTTTTTATATCCATTTTAATATATTCTGTCATCTGCCACTAAGGTGGATATGAAACTGAGTATTTTTCATGGGAATAAAATGTGGAAAACTTGCAAAGTATAAATGTCTTTAATTTGGTATTTCGAAAGGATATGAAATTAAAATCTAAAAATCCTTGGCTGCTGACCCATAGCTCTCCAAGTTATCACAATTGTTACTTCTAATTAGTTCATTTGCTTTGATGTTTGCATTACAGAATTTTTTGATGTAGTCAAATAAGCAGAATGAAAAATCATGCATCCTAGGATTCCTAAGCAATTAGTAGAGTTCCCCACCCCCAAGTATTAGTATTATATTTGGTTTTGAAAAGTTTAAAATGAATCACCTTTTATTTTCCTAGTCTTGATTTTTATATTGGTTAGATTAACATCAGTAGTCAGAAAGATAACGTCAAGTCAAAAAGTGACAAAGAGGGACAACTAATACTAGGTAGAATAAAGATGGTAGCATACTACTCTTGAGAAACTTACGTCAAACTGATTTAAATTTCCACCTGTGACAAGATAGACTTCCAAACCATTATGGAGATACAGGTTGAGTATTACTTTTCCAGGACCAGAAATTTTCCAGGATTAATATTTTGGAATATTTGCATTGCACTTACCAGTTGAACATCCCAAATCCAAAAATCTGAAATGCTCCAATAAGCGTTTCCTTTGAGCACCATGTTGGCCATCAAAAAGTTCTGGATTTCAGAGCATTTCAGATTTAAGATGTTCACCTAGACTCGGTATCATGTATTTATCAGATTGGAATACGACGAGTCAGTAATAACATCCTCCCAGATAAACTCCATGTAATCACCAAATTTAAATGTACAGTAGTCCCTCCTTACCTGCAAGTTTGCTTTCCCAGGTTTCAGTTACCCACTGAGGTTCACAATATTAAGATATTTTGAGAGAGATATCACATTCACATAACTGTCATTACAGTATATGGTTATAATTGTTCCATTTTGTTATAGTTACATATGTATAGCAAAAAACAGCACTGTATATATAGGGTTCAGTACTATCTGCAGTTTCAGGCATGCTTTGGTGGTCTTGAAATGTATCCCTTGTGAATAAGTGGGATCTACTGTACTTCACCCTATCCTTTTGTAGTACAGCTTGAAAAATACAAAATTGGCAATTTTAACCTGTATACATAATTTCATATACCACTGATTAAAATCATGCTGAATTTCCAAAAAGTGCACCAGGGTATTTATGTATTTTGGTTGTTGGCTTCATTTTTTTAAATGAGAATGGAAGATAAGGCAGTATCTCTGCTTTTAGAAGTATTCACAAAAATAAATACAACTCAGCAATAAGTGAAGGAAATATAAATATGATACATAGCTTATAGCTGGAGAGAGATCAGATTGTCTCATGAACTCTAGGTAATACATGTTTATATTTATGTATATTTAATATATTTTTGTATTTATATTTATGATGGACCTTTTGAGTAGGGTTTAACCAAATACAGGTTAGCTTATGACAAAGTTTCATGGAATGTATTTTTCCAGGGGGAAATCTTGGAGAGAGCTGTAAATATATTTGGTTGGGATTATAGGCTGTTTTTGGAGGAGGAGAGGGCTACTAGGGAGATAAAGTTGGCTATAGGTCACACAAAATACTCAGGGATGAAGATTTCATGAAAGAATATTTATGTGGCCAAGATGGAAGGCCTTTTCATTTCCAGTTCCATTACCTCTACCCCTTTTGGCCTTTTGGATTTTTCTTTTATGAACATTTTCTTTTTCCATCCATGATATTTTGTCTTTTTTATCCTTAAGAAGTCGTTACCTGCTTTTACAAAAGCAAATTTGTGGCTAAGTTATGTGGAACTGCATGGTTATTGTACGTTAGGAAAATCTTACCATAAGCCCAGTAGACTGAAATACAGTAGACTGTTTATACTCACTAGATTCCAAAAACCAGGGCACTACTGAGTGTCCTCCTAGTATATTTGTGGAGGTGGGGCTAGATGGCTGTAATCTTCTCATATAAACAGTACATGTGGAAGGGGATTAGATACTGGGGGGTATACCTGTAGCTTAAAGTGATCATTTTAAAAGCAGCAAACTTCTGAAAGATTTAAATACTAAAAGAGACTTGTTGCTGGGCTTGGTGGCTCACGCCTGCAACCCCAGCACTTTGGGAGGCCAAGGTGGGTGGATCACTTGAGTCCACGAGTTCGAGACCAGACTGGGTGACATGGCAAAACTCCATCTCTACTAAAAATACAAAAATTAGCCAGGCATGGTGGCACATGCCTATAATCCCAGCTACTTGGGAGGCTGAGGCATGAGAACCACTTGAACCCAGAAGAGGAGGCTGCAGTGAGCCAAGATGGCATCACTGCACTCCAGCCTGGGTGACAGTGAAAGGCTCAAAAAAAAAAAAAAAAAAAAAAAAGACACTTCCTCCCCCATTTATAATGGCATGAAAACTGTCTCCTTTGTAGTTTTAAAATATTTCCAAAATAATTTTTCATAACCCTCATAATGTACTTTGGGAATACAATCTTGGTAATATTTGATGGCCTATATTATCAGATTGCTTAAAATTGAGTCCACAGAAGATGATTCAGTGTGGTCTTCATATTTAAAAGGACGGACATTTGAGAAACGGTGAAAGGGTATGACAAGGAAGTCACGTAGGCAAGAGATTCCTGGACTTGTCAAGCAGGTATTATAGTCTAGTCTGGAATTTTTATACCACCACAACATAAACTTCATGAGGGAAAAAACTTTCAGTTTTATTCATTGTTGTAGCCCTAGCTCCTAGGGGAATAAAAAATGGTGGGCAAAAAAGTAGACCATCAATAAATGAGCTAACTGAATGTTTATAACAACCACTTGAGGAAAGATAGACAGACAGATACAGGCCCATGAATGTGAACTGAATGAAGCTTCCCTGTAGTTCAGGTAATGGATGATCTGGAGGCCTTGCCCTGAATTGTGCAGGATTCCCCACAATTTTCTCGGCTTTCATCCTTCACATCAAGTATTCCACGCAAGTATAATTTGAGATGCTTTGTGAAAAAGAGCCGTGACCAGTTTACTGTGATGAGCACTATACTATATTCTTCCTTTTCAGATTACCAGTGTACATGTGTTTAAAAACTTGACACAATTGTCAGATTTTCCTAAACTTGTATACCCTTGCAGTTTCTTGTGGATAACACCTTTGACCCCCACAGAGTGTTATTCAGTGGAACAGACTCTGTGGGAAAACACTGCAGAATCCATGCTGTTACTAAATGTCTCTAGGAAAACTTGACTGACTTCATTTAGAAAATCACTTTAGAATATGCAATGCTTTAATAATAAAATAGGATAAGTTTGTTGCCAGAAAAGTCATCTGGTGACAGGATTTGAGATGTTATCCAACTCCCTGTTCTGTCCTCCGTTGATGCTGATTTTTTTTGTAAGGTCCTGTTTTCTCTAATTGTAGAGACTGGGAATTTTATTTCTAAAGATAAGTAATTAATGACATTGTGGTGTTAGTGAAAGGGAACCTGTTTATTATTTTTTTCATTTTTTTTGAGACGGAGTCACACTCCGTTGCCAGGCCTGGAGTGCAGTGGCACAATCTTGGCTCACCGCAACCTCTGCCTCCCGGGTTCAAGTGATTCTCCTGCCTCAGCCTCCCAAGTAGCTGGGATTACAGGTGCCCACCACCACGCCTGGCTAATTTTTTGTATCTTTAGTAGAGATGGGGTTTCACCATGTTGGCCAGGCTGGTCTTGAACTCCTGACCTTGTGATGATCCACCCACCTCTGCCTCCCAAAGTGCTGGGATTACACGCGTGAGCCACTGTGCCCAGCCACCTATTTTTATTAGGTACTCAGTTCAAACAAAATGAGGTTAATCAGCTTTAACTGCCTTCTAATAAATTCAAGATTTCCAAAATTGTTGAAATGCTTCCAGTTAGTTACATGTCTTTAAGTAACGTGATACGTGCTTGACATAATGTACACATGGTTCTTACTCATTTAAAAACAATGTGAGTGCTTGCCATTTGAGATATCGGATGAGCAAAGAAGGAAAGGTCACTGCTCTGGAAAAGCTTTCGTAGAGAATGGGGTAGAGGAAATAACAAACGAGTATCAAAATAATAAAGAGTGCCATGAGTATAAATTCCATCATCACATGATAGAGGAAATGGAGACACCACACAAGCCATACGTGTTATTTTGGAATGATTTTTATTAGTAACAAATAATCTTACCCATCTTTTTAGATTTATAAGTTTATCTTTGTTATATAAAAGGGTAACAAGTTTTTTTGAGCAAGGAATCATTTAATTTCTCTATTTCAAGACCAAAGAAGAATAGGGTGATTTTGTAGGTGGGCTCTGGCTTTCCTTTTCCTATTTTTTTTTTTTTTTTTAGATAAAGACAGGGCCTCGCTCTGTTGCCCAAACTGGAGTGCAGTGGTATGACCAATAGCTTACTGCAGCCTCCAACTCCTGGACTCAAGCAATCCTCCTGCCTCAGTGTCTGGAGTAGCCAGAACTACAGGTGCATGCTACCATGTTCCACTAATTTTTTTGTTTGTTTCCTGAGACAGAGTCTTGCTTTGTCACCTGGCTGGAGTGCAGTGGCGCAATCTCAGCTTACTGCAACCTCCACCTCCCTGGTTTAAGTGATTCTCCTGCCTCAACCTCCTGAGTAGCTGGGACTACAGGCGCGTGCCACACCTGGCTAATTTTTGTTTTTTTAGTAAAGACAGGGTTTCACCATGTTGGCCAGGATGGTCTTGATCTCTTGACCTCATGATCCACCCTCCTCGGCCTCCCAAAGTGCTGGGATTACAGGCATAATAAACCACTGCGCCCAGCCTAAATTTTTTTGTGGAGATGGGAGTCTTGCTTTGTGATGGGGATATTATTAAGCAGACTGCTTATAGGAAATTACAATGCTTGGTATTTACTCTTGGAAAACCATAAACTAAGACATATGTCATAAAAACAATGTATAGATTTCATGGGAAATCTATCGAGTTTAGATTATATAGCACAGGTGTTAGGGGCTATGGAAAGTCTGCAGGGGTTAATTAGGAATCCTAATTTCTCTATCTCCAGAGTCAGCTCTAACTACCTCAAAGAATAAAACTTATTTTTCAGTTAGAGCTATAAAATGGGAGGCAAATTTTGTCTTTAAATAGGTACCATATACATGGCTGTGTCAAAGAATGTACTGTATGTAATGGTGACTAGAAAAGCTGAATGATGTATGACCTTTAAGAAATTAAAAATAAATGTAGAAAATCAGGCACGTTTATGTTCCAAAATATTTGTGTATTTTAAGATAAAGCTAGGTCTAAAGCTGTTAGGAAATGTTTAGTGCTTAAGCTTTATTCTTACCCAGCTGTAGTAATGTAGGAAGAGTTTTGCTTTATGTAGCGGCAGTAATTGGAAAGAAGAGTAATACAGAAACCAGGAAACCTGCATAACCTGCATAGTAATTATGGCTCTGCTTTTGAATGAGTCACTTAATACACATGGGCTTTGGTTTCTTCAGCAGTATTGGACCACATTATTTTTTAAGATCCTGATCAACTCTAGAAGATTATGAACCATCTCTAAATACAGGATTTTGCTCTGACTATAAATTAGCTGTAGTGTTTACAGGGGAGTTTGATTTTTTAATTGAATGTTTATATCATATAGTTTTATCTCTGACCAAAACAAGAAAATATTTCTTGTATCCCAAACAAGAAAATATTGGACTATGTCAGACTCTGTTGGCATAAATTCATATTTACCTTACAACACCCAGGATAATCATACTACAAAAAATATCTTCCTTGGGTGCCCACCTGTGGGTAGTTTTTTATTTTACACATACAATGATTTTTGCCAAGACAAGTTTGTTTCTTCTGGAAAAATGTACTTTCCCCAAATTTTTTATTTTAAATTTTTTGAAAAGAAATAACCATAGTAATTAATCCCTCCTCTCCAACCAGGTTCATCAGGTAAAGCGCAGTTTGGGAAAATGATCTTTTTAGTTACTCCAAATTTCTCCTCTTCTACATTCAGGGTTTTAGAGAAGCCCTGATAAAAACAGTTTTACAGAGAACCACAAGACAAAAAGGGGTAAAGGTAATTTAAAAGCCCAAAAATAAGGAATTTTGTAAGGAAAGAACTCAGCTGTAAAACTTTCAGTGCCAGTGAACAAGTAGAACCATCTTTTGCATGTGCTATTGTAGTGTTTGCCCGTCCCAGACTAGGAGAAGTGAGATACAGATACGTAATCCATGAACAAAGAACCTTACCTCTTTGGACCTCAGTTTCCTCAGAGTCATGTTTGCAATATGGAAATTTGCTGTAACAAATTAGAAACTTAGAAGTATTATTAGAGTACTTTTGTTGACATAGTATTTTGTTCCCTTGCTGAGTGTAACAACAACAACAAAAATACAGGAACAGGTAAACAGTAGTTTCCAAAGTGTAGGTATCTTGAGGCTTGAATCTCTGCTGGTAATTACTGGAACTAAAGCTCCAATATTGAGAAGACTGTGGCATCCAGACCTTGAGTTTCTGATCTTTCTTCCTCACATCGATGTGTAATAAAGGAGGAAAGACAAATGGATCTGAGCCTCAGGACCTGTGGTTCTTTTCATTTTAAGAACTGGACAGTTGATGGATGTGGTTCCTGGTTCTGGTTTAGAGCTGAAGCATCTGTCAAGGCTCTGGGTCTTACTCTTAATGTTCTCTTTGGATAGAGAACTGATGCTCAAAGGAACACTTGGCTGTTTCTCAGTCCCTGTCTTGAATTGTCAGTGAAGACAGGAAGAGCAGAAGGTAGAGGAATACTTTATAAGAATTACAATGGAGGGCAAGAGGACTAAAGTAGAAATAATAATTAACATACAGAACGCCCACCATTTTCCAACTACTGTTTGAAAACCTCGTATTTTCTGTTGGAACCAAATAACAACTCAGAGAAGTTCATCATAAATGAACTTCTTGCCAGACTTGAAAAGAGAGAAGAGAACAAGCTTTGGAAAGGATTTTATTACCCACATCTTACTGTCTCAGAAAGGTTAACTTGCCTGGAGTCACAGAGATACTTACCAAATGAGAATCATAATTTTTAAATGCAAGACTTTACCTCACAACATCCTGCTGCAGTATGCCAATAATATACTCACTCAAGTGCATATGAATTTTACCTTTTCAACATATCATTACCTTAGGGATTTTGGATCTTTTTTTAAAAGGCTGATTTCTGTATTATTAAGAGAAAAGATTTTCGGTTTGGTAAAACAAGGTAATTTTTGAGGCTTTTTTGTTTTGTTTTACCCTTATCATTAACACTCAGTCATCCAAGTGTTTCCTTCATGAAATATTTGCAATAACAGGGCTTACCAAGATGATGGGAATTCTGAAAGGTCTTCAATGAACAGAAATGTTTTTTCTCCCCATATCCACCAATAATAGAAGTAGTTTGCTGATAGTATCATAGCAATTATTTTTTACATTTATCACAAACATTTGGACTTAATTTTACTTTTGAGCATTGATATTTATGATGTCACTTAAAATTTAAATTTCATAGACAAGAGAAGAAAGAAAAATGGAAGCAATTTTGCAAGCTTTTGCCAGACTTGAAAAGAGAGAGAAAAGAAGAGAACAAGCTTTGGAAAGGATCAGCACAGCCAAAACTGAAGTTAAAACTGAATGTAAAGATACACAGATTGTCAGTGATGCTGAAGTTATTCAGGTATTATTTATTCAGGTCGTTTTATTTTCTTAAACACTTTAAAATAAAATGTCTATACTTGCATTAATTACTTATAAGGAATTTAAAATAATGTCTATTAGCTTTTTAATAGCATTTTTCAGATCCTATGGGAGTTTCAGCTTGAGATAAAAGACTATATATTATCTCTGTTCTTTATTATATATCAGAATTCAAAAATTCCAGAAAGTTGGCTTCTGAAGTAGAATAATGCTATTATATTTAAACTTTATATATATGTAGTATAAAAACTTCCATTCGCTTGTATTTTGAATTAGGAACAAGCAAAAGAAGAAAATGCTAGCAAGCCAACCCCTGCCAAAGTAAATAGAACTAAACAGAGAAAAAGTTTTTCTCGGAGTAGGACTCACATTGGACAGCAGCGTCGGAGACACAGAACTGTCAGCATGTGTTCAGATATCCAGCCATCTTCTCCTGATATAGAAGTTACTTCACAACAAAATGATATTGAAAATACTGTACTTACAATAGAACCAGAAACTGAAACTGCACTAGCAGAAATAATTACTGAAACTGAAGTTCCAGCACTTAATAAATGTCCTACCAAGTACCCCAAAACAAAGAAGGTATGATTCTAATGAATGTAAGAACTGTTTTTCTAACAGTTTCTTATATTAATTATATTGTTGTTTTAAAAATTGGATTTTTAAGACCTCATAATAATAAGAGGCAGTTTTTATACTTGCAGATTTTAAAACTAAGAATGAGAATTCCAAAACTGTAAAATTAATATAAATGTTTGCATTACTGTGAAGATAAAGTTACATTCAGTTTATCAGGACTTTTATGGTATTGCAATTCATGATTTCTTTAAATAAGTTTGTCTACTTTATGTACAAAATATATACTTCTCTGAAACTGGTTTTAGATGTGTTATCCTTTATATTTTTATAAATTTCATTGTATAGGTAGATTATAAGAATTAAATGTGAAGAAATTGATTTCCACAGAATGTACTATGAAAATTTGTAAGAAAGAGTAGTTTTAGGTGTAATTATTAATAAAAATCTCTGAAACACTACTGTCAGACTTAAGCAATTACGGTAAACAGCCTGAGCTTTTTCAGATCAGAAATAACAGAACATCCTAATGAAGCTGCTCTTTGTCTCCCACTCTGACTGGAGTACAGCAGATTGGGGCAGAGATACTAAAGTGTGGTAATCCTTATGCTGTTTAGGGGTAGATCATGAATGTATACTTCTCACACACTTTACTTTGAAATTTCATTTATTCTGTCTTTGTTCTTACCTAATTCAGTACAGTTTGTAGGCATGCTGCTAAACCATGACATGTACATTTAGTAAAATTCTAGTATGAACCCAGGATTATATTTTAATAGCACAAGTTAAATAATTTACTTGCCAAAGTCGCAGGTTTCATTAGAGACAATCTAAACACAGTTGTTTCTAATTAAAAGTCTGTACTCTCCTTACTGCACCGCCATAGCTTAAGCAACCCAATATTTGCCTGTAACAATGGACAAAAAAATTCTAACTTTGTAAAGTGAAAAGAAAAAACCTCAGGCTTAAAAGAAGTGAAACTACTTTCTCAATTACAAATATGACATAATCCCTACCTTTTATTAAACTTTTAACAAAGTTGTGGTACGATAAATTTATTTAAATCCCTGGTCTGAGATGTAGGCTTCTACATCCTATCTGATTCTCTTAAAAAGCCTCTTTTGCCTGCAGATTTTGTTATTTTAAACAACATACTGTTTGACAGAGTACCAAATTATCATGATTTCCCCTAAAGGCCTCATTCAGTTTAATAATACATGTCACTTTTTCTGTGCCAGATACTGTTCTAAGAGCTTTATGTATGTTATTGAACTTTTAATCTTCATAACAATCCTATTTATAGAACTAGGTTCTATCACAACCCTTCTTTTACAGATAAAGATTGAGATATAAAAAAGTTACTTAACTTGCTCATGGTCATAGTGTAAATGGCAAAGCCAGGATTCACCCTCCTGGCAGTCTGGCTCCAGACTCCATGTGTTTCACTACTGCAGTCCTAGGAATGGAGTTCTATATACAGAGAGGGACAGAAAAGATGCTAAAATGTTTACAGTGGTTACCTTTGGAAAAAAGGATGGGTAGATTTTTAAAATGTGTGTGTTTCTGTGTGTGTGTGTGTGTGTATATATATATACATATGCACATTTATATATACTAAGTTCTGTACATTTTCTTTTTCTTTTTTTTTTTTTTTTTTGAGATGGAGTTTCGCTCTGTTGCCCACGCTGGAGTGCAGTGGTGTGATCTCGGCTCACTGCAAGCTCCGCCTCCCGGGTTCAAGTGCTTCTCCTGCCTCAGCCTCCTGAGTAGCTGGACTACAAGCGCGCACTACCAAAACCAGCTAATTTTTTTGTATTTTAGTAGAAACAGGTTTCACCATGTTGGCCAGGATGGTCTCCATCTCCTGACCTTGTGATCCACCTGCCTCAGCCTCCCAAAGTGCTGTGATTACAGGCGTGAGCCACCACACCCGGCCATATTTTCTATAAGTTACATTTACGCTTGGAAATTAAAATATCATTTGCTAACTAGGTAACAATATGAATGGTTACTCGTTTTTTTTAAAGTAGTAATTTATACTTCAGGGTCAGGTATATTCATATAGCCAATAGAGACTGTATTATGTATGTTGTAGATCAGAGAATCAGCAGAATTAATGACTATGAAAAATTTCAAAGCACAAGAACCTTAAGAGATATTCCAAACCCCTTATATCAGGGATTGTCAATGGTGACTTTTAAATATATATGTATCGTGAGCCAGGTGTGGTGGCTTATGCCTGCAATCCCAACATTTGGGGAGGTTAAGGTGGGAGGATCACTTGAGCCCAGGAGTTCAAAACCAGCCTGGGCAGCATAACGAGACCCTGTCTCTACAGAAAATTAAAAACAAAAAAATTAGCTGGGCATGGTGGTGCACACCTGTAGTCCCAGCTAGTTGGGAGGCTAAGGTGGTAGGATGACTTGAGCCCAGGAGGTCGAGGCTACAGTGAGCCATGATCACGCCACTGCACTCCAGGCTGGGCAACTCACCCTTTCTCAAAAAAAGTACTGTGCACTGTCCTCATCTCCAGGAGATTCTGATGGGCAGCTATTGTAGGAAAACACTGCCTAAAATCAGATTTTTCTAACAGATGGAACATCTTATACCTATAATAGAAGCGGTAGTAAACCTAAATTTAGTGTGTTTAATAAAATGGTACTGACGTGTCTCTAGTTGTAACTATATTAAAAAGCTTGGCTGGGCACGGTGGCTCACACCTGTAAACTCAGCACTTTGCAAGGCTGAGGCGGGAGGACTGCTTGAGCCCAGGGGTTGAGACCAGCCTGGGCAATATAGCGGACCTTGTCTCTGCAAAATACTTTAAAAATTAGCCAGGCGTGGTGGTGAGCGCCTTGTCCCAGCTACTCGGGAGGCTGAAGTGGAGGGATCACACCTGAGCCCAGGGGGCGGAGGCTTCAGTAAGCCGAGACTGCACCACTGCACTCCAGCCTGATGACAGAGATATCTTGTCTCAAAAAAAAAAGTAATACAAATTTCATGTAATATAAATATTTAAAAAGCAACCATATGTTTTGTTCTACAAAATAATTGGGTAAAAAGTTTCAGAATAACAGTAGATAACTAAGAAATGTAAAAGGACATACTGATATTTTGATCACATATGAATGATTTAAATTACCCAATTTATCATTTTAGATAATACACCAATTTCAAATCTGGTATTAGAATATTCAAGGGAGAATTTGGAATTACATATATAATGATCCAATTTTTTTCTTTTCTCTAGCACTTGGTTAATGAATGGTTAAGTGAGAAGAATGAGAAGACAGGAAAACCTTCAGATGGCCTTTCAGAAAGGCCTCTACGCATAACTACAGATCCTGAAGTGTTAGCTACACAACTCAATTCTTTACCAGGTCTCACTTACAGCCCCCATGTATACTCCACTCCTAAGCATTATATTAGATTTACTTCACCATTCCTTTCAGAAAAAAGGAGAAGAAAAGAACCTACTGAAAACATTTCTGGTTCATGCAAGAAGGTAAACTTTTCTTTGGAAGTAAAAATGTAGAATGAGCCAAATGCCAACTCATTCCTTACTACCATCCATGGTAGTGAAATGCTTTTGGAATCGGCTCTGTATTTACAGGCTATATAAACAGCTACAAAGTGATTCCTGTTCATTCATGTATTCTGTTTTATTCAGCGATGGTTGAAACAAGCTCTGGAAGAAGAAAATTCAGCAATTTTACATAGATTTAATTCACCCTGTCAAGAAAGATCCAGAAGTCCTGCAGTCAATGGTGAAAATAAAAGTCCACTACTATTAAATGACAGCTGTTCCCTTCCAGGTAGAATTTTTTTTTCAGAGTTTTGGTTTGAGAAATGTGGCAGGGCATACATACAGCTTTATAACAGGCATATTTCTAGTTACTGGTATGCACTTTAGAAGAGAAGCACATTGGTGTATAGATTTTCTCTTTTCTGTCCTCTGTATTTTTTGGCTGAAGATACCAGTTCACAATACCACGTATGCTGGGGTTTATGAATATTTAAAGGCTTCTGGACTGGCTGCTTTTCAGACAGACAAGGACTCTTACAAATCAGTTAAAGTAACATCGGTACTTGTAAGATACTTTGAGACCCCTAGGCCTATAATCCCTCCAGGCAAGGTAATGCTTGCTAATTGGGGAGGGAAAGGGGGCACTGCTTCATGTTAGTACCATTTTTTTAAAACCGTGAAATTCAGTTTTGGGGTAAAAGTCATAACTGCCATTGTTTATATTTTATCTTTCCCAGAATGTGACACAAACAGATTTTAACAAATAGCAACAGTGTAATTTCTTACAGATTATTATTTCACCAACAGATTTAACTACACCACTAAAAAAACGAAGATTTTATCAGTTGCTAGATTCGGTTTACTCAGAAACCTCCACACCTACTCCTTCCCCGTATGCTACACCAACTCACACCGATATTACTCCTATGGACCCATCTTTTGCCACGCCTCCACGGATAAAATCAGATGATGAAACTTGTAGAAATGGTTATAAACCCATATATTCACCAGTTACCCCAGTAACTCCTGGTACACCAGGAAATACCATGCACTTTGAGGTGAGAAATTTTAATGGAGAAAAAAAAATTCAACACTTGGGGGGATGGAATTTCTTTTAAGAGCTCTTTCCCCTCCTTTAACAACTAGTGTGCTGAGAATACAAAAAAAAGGTTGTAAGAAACTAAAAATCAGAAAAATTCATTTATATGAATTTAGATGTTTTTATTTTTACTAAAATGAGCATAACTTTCATCTTGTTGATATACACAGTAGACTAAATGTGTGTATCTAATTGATCTTAAAGCAGTCTTATTTGGGGAATGGAAATAAACAGGAAACAAGATCTAAAACTAAAGTCTGTATATTTTTCATTTTGTTTTCATTTCTATAATTATTATGGATATACTTACGTATTTTTAAATTTTCAATTCTAATTCTTTCTTTATATACAGAATATTTCTTCCCCAGAAAGTTCTCCAGAAATAAAGAGACGCACTTATAGTCAAGAGGTAAGAAGTTAACTTAAAAAGGGTGAATTGGTAGTTTTTTTCCTATTACATTGTTTTCCTTAAATTACTGGTAAATTTTGAAATAAACAGTCCCAAGATGTGATTATTTGTGTAATTTTTTTTTTTAATTTGTAAACAGGGATATGACAGATCTTCAACCATGTTAACATTGGGGCCTTTTAGAAATTCTAATTTAACTGAACTGGGTCTGCAAGAAATAAAGACTATTGGTTATACGAGCCCTAGGAGTAGGACTGAAGTCAACAGGCAGTGTCCTGGAGAAAAGGAACCTGTGTCAGACCTTCAGCTAGGACTCGATGCAGTTGAGCCAACTGCCCTACATAAAACCCTGGAAACGCCTGCACATGACAGGGCTGAGCCCAACAGCCAACTGGACTCGACTCACTCTGGACGGGGCACAATGTATTCTTCCTGGGTAAAGAGCCCTGACAGAACAGGAGTTAACTTCTCAGTGAACTCCAACTTGAGGGACCTGACACCCTCGCATCAGTTGGAGGTTGGAGGAGGCTTCCGAATAAGTGAGTCAAAGTGCCTGATGCAGGATGATACTAGAGGCATGTTTATGGAAACAACTGTGTTTTGTACTTCCGAAGATGGGCTTGTATCTGGTTTCGGACGGACTGTTAATGACAATTTGATCGACGGGAATTGCACACCCCAGAATCCACCACAAAAGAAAAAGGTTACAAATTTAACAATTTATAGTCCTTTTAATAGTTTTTTTTTTTTTTTCATAATACTACTGAGGGGAATTGTTAGATGTATTATGTAAGGCATTCTTAATTTAGTTATTAAAGTTACATTTTTAATATTTTTAAACCTTTTGTAAATGCTGGCTTAATTAGAAAATGTTTACAGAAAAGTAAAAAAATTCTAGTAATATGGGAAATCCTTGTAAGCAGCATGGTTTCAGAAAAATCTCAAGATGATTTATTTCACCAAATGAGTATTTTTTAAAACTAGGAACTCCCCAACCAAAAACACAGACTTGAATAATATTTGTGTTATTACCTTTATTGTACATTGAGCAAGCACCCTTGTATAGAGGAAATGCCTCTTTCCTCATCTATAATATCTATAGTATTTAGGCCATGGATGTAAGAGTGTTTTTATTTTACTAATAGTTAATGTATTAAATATTAAGTTAGTTCCCTGATTTCCCATTATTTGGTTGGCAGACATACTGAGATAATTAGAATGCCTTATTTCAAAAGAAACTATAGCACTTATTTTGTTAGTAGGCTTATTGCTTTGCAAGTCCAAGAATTTTCGTGATGTGTGCTTTTAATTTTTATAACAGAGTCCAGTTGGCAACTTTGTGGGAAGCAATGTAGTATAGTGGAAAGAGCACGGGCTTTCAAGTAAGACCTAGGTTCGAATCCCGGCTCCAACACTCACCAGCTGTGTGACCTTGAGTGAGTGAGTTACTCAATTTCCTCATCTATAAAATGGGGATGATAATATACCTATTTCATAGGGTTGTTGTGAGGATAAATGAGATAATGTATGTAAATCATCTAAGTACAATGCCTGGAATATAGTAGGCATTTGGTAATTGTTAATTATTTGTTCAGAATCAATTAAAATAATTTTCCTAATGTAAATATAGTAATTCTCTTTAGACAAAAAAGAATGCATTGGTTCTGACATAAAAAACAAGAATAAAAGATTTGCTTTTTCTCATCTTTCTTGCTTAAGGTTTCTCTATTAGAATACCGTAAGAGACAACGTGAAGCTAGGAAAAGTGGCTCTAAGACAGAGAACTTTCCACTCATTAGTGTATCACCCCATGCAAGTGGAAGCTTGAGCA
This sequence comes from Homo sapiens, assembly GCF_000001405.40. Lineage (NCBI taxonomy): Eukaryota > Metazoa > Chordata > Mammalia > Primates > Hominidae > Homo > Homo sapiens. Next base: position 105,109,054 of record NC_000007.14, read on the forward strand.
ACAATGGTGATGGCTGTGCCAGCAGTAATGACAATGGGGAGCAGGTGGACCACACTGCTAGCCTACCTTTACCAACACCAGCTACAGTTTATAATGCCACTTCTGAAGAAACTAGCAATAACTGCCCTGTTAAGGATGCTACTGCTAGTGAGAAGAATGAACCAGAAGTTCAATGGTAAGCCCATTGTGAAGTATGCTACTCTGGAAAAAACAAGCTTTTGTTCAAGTATTCTTCCTATTTGTTGTTCTCCCAAGGCTAAGCTGATAGTGCTTCGTGGTCACAATTTTAAAAGATTCTCTCTGCTAATAGGATTTTAAGCCAGCTGTGTATGGCCTGTGTTCTTAAATGTCGATTGTATTTATTCCTTGGTAATTTATTCATACTTTACACACACATATCCTCTCCAAAGAATTTTTATCAGATTCAACAATTCTGCAGACTTCCTTTATAACCCCTACCAGTTACCTTGAAAGAACAACCAGGGTTAGTGCTTCTTCAGAAGGAATAGGAGCAGCTGCATATAGGATGGATCTTGGCAAATGGCAGGCAGCCACACTCACTTTGCTCCTTGGTCCCCTTTCCACCTGAAAGCATGCAATCCTGATAGCAGTTTGTTAGGGGCATGTTTTGGTACCTTTGGTAACCTGAAGTGACATTCTCAATGTCAATATATTATCTTCAACTCCTTGCCTTCTTTTCACCAATAAATTGCTGGAGACAAAGGAATTGAGTCCTTCAAATAAGGATAATAATCTCAGTTCTGGGAGCAGTCAGCAAAATAAGATTAACTTTTTTTTTTTTTTTTTTGAGCTGGAGTCTTGCTCTGTCGCCCAGTCTGGAGTGCAGTGGCGCAATCTCGGCTCACTGCAAGCTCCACTTCCCAAGTTCAAGCGATTCTCCTGCCTCAGCTTCCCGAGTAGCGCCCGCCACCATGCCTGGCTAATTTTTTTTTGTATTTTTAGTAGAGACGGGGTTTCACCATGCTGGCCAGGCTGGTCTCAGACTCCTGACCTTGTAATCTGCCCACCTTGGCCTCCCAAAGTGCTGGGATTACAGGCGTGAGCCACTGTGCCCTGCCAAGATTAACTATTTTCAAAGGTTAACACCAAAGTATTTTCCCAGTAGATCAAAAGCCTTGGTCTGACAGTACATGTTGACTATGAAGCAACAATGTAACTAGCAGTAGTTTCTTTCAATAGAGGATAATGTGATTTTTCTTTGAAAGGACTGCCTCAACTTCAGTGGAACAAGTCAGAGAAAGGAGTTATCAGAGAGCTTTACTTCTCAGTGATCACCGAAAAGATAAAGATAGTGGTAAGTGAGCTTGTTCCTTCACCAGAAAGTGGAATCAGTTAATCACTCTGCATCCTCGTTCTTTGCAGCTCTAATGTTCTCTTTGGGTCTGCTCTGCTTCATCTCTAGGGGGAGAATCACCATGTGTCTCATGTTCACCGAGTCATGTTCAGTCTTCACCTTCATCTCATTCAAATCACATACCCCAGTTGCAAGCTAAGGGCCCAGTCCCTTCTTTCAGTGAACTTATGGAAGGTCAGTAAGCAGATGACCGATAATGTTATTCTTAACAAATTTTAAAATCAGACAAGAGAGCCTTTATAAAAAGTTGGTTTGGATAGTAGAATGTATGTTGCTTTGTGGTGTTAAAACAGTGTTTATTGTGTAATTTTATACTTACTATAGGTTTCTTCTGCTTTATAGACCCTGATCCTGAAAATCCAGAACCCACAACTACGAATGAATGTCCATCCCCAGATACTTCTCAAAATACTTGTAAAAGTCCTCCAAAAATGAGCAAGGTAATAACATTGACCTTTCGATGGGTTCCAAAGGACTTTAGGTTGAGTGCAGAAAAGCTGATGGTTATAATATGCAGTGTTTTTCTGCTGTATCAAGTATCAACTTGTGACTTCTGGACACTTTTCCTGTCAGAAATACTCAATTGTGTTTACTACTGTTTGTTCTTCTTACTGAACATGTGATGGATAACTCTGACCAAACATTCAAGTTTTCTAAGCACACTTCAACAGCTTACATTTTCTTCAAATGTTCCACCTCTATTCTAGTGGTGTCCAGGAAATTCATAGCCTTGTCATGAAATTCTTAACCATCCAATTATCTAAAAACAAAAGGTCATTTTATCATTTAAAAGGAATGACATCTTCATCCTGGTTCATGAAGATGTAATAATCTAGTATGGCATGTAAATCATTGGAAACTAAAGACAAGGAATGTGAGATTTATCTTTTTTTGATGATTGACATTTAAACAGTCTTATACTTGGTTTATTTATATCTGAACAGTGTACAAGGAAAATGAAAAGGTATTAAAAATCAAAATGGTTTGAGGGAGCAAGTTCATTTACCCAAATCAATTTATCCTTAGGTTGGGTATAGAAATTTCAATTATAAAATTGAAACTTGCTATTGGAGTTCTTCAGAGTGAGGCTCAAAAACAGGTTTCATTGCTTAGGGGTAAAAAGGCAGAGTAAAGTGAAAGAAAATTATTTCCTCAACTTGTCTTCAATAAAAATTAACCCAGAGAATTCACTTTAAGCTCACGCTCATAACTTTTTGGAACAACTGAAAAATATTGGCCTTTTAACATCCCAAGCCTCCATAATTGACGTATCCAGGATGTTATTTCCTGCCCCCCATTAAAATTAATATTTAGGTAGTATTAAATACCAACAAGAATAAACCTCAAGGTACACAAAATGTTCCTTGAATGTATATAATTTGTTTTCTCTTCATAGCCTGGTTCACCTGGATCTGTAATTCCTGCTCAAGCACACGGGAAAATATTCACAAAACCAGATCCCCAATGGGACTCCACAGTTAGTGCATCCGAAGCTGAAAATGGTGTTCACCTAAAAACAGAGCTCCAACAAAAACAGCTATCAAATAACAACCAAGCACTTTCAAAGAATCATCCTCCTCAGACACACGTTCGTAATTCATCTGAGCAACTTTCACAAAAGCTGCCTTCTGTGCCAACAAAGTTGCACTGTCCTCCATCACCTCACCTAGAAAATCCTCCAAAGTCATCCACGCCTCACACACCTGTACAGCATGGTTATCTTTCACCAAAGCCTCCTTCACAGCAGTTAGGATCTCCCTACAGGCCTCATCATTCACAGTCACCTCAAGTTGGAACACCTCAGCGAGAGCCTCAAAGAAACTTTTATCCAGCAGCACAGAACCTTCCAGCCAATACTCAGCAGGCAACTTCTGGAACATTATTTACACAGACACCCTCAGGACAATCTTCAGCAACATACAGTCAGTTTAACCAACAAAGTCTGAACAGCACGGCACCACCCCCTCCACCTCCTCCACCTCCTTCTTCGTCTTACTATCAAAACCAGCAGCCCTCTGCAAACTTTCAGAATTATAATCAGCTCAAAGGTAGTCTTTCTCAACAAACTGTGTTTACATCAGGACCAAATCAAGCACTTCCTGGCACCACAAGCCAGCAAACAGTTCCAGGACACCACGTGACTCCAGGGCATTTTTTGCCCTCTCAGAACCCTACCATTCACCATCAAACTGCTGCTGCCGTAGTCCCCCCTCCTCCTCCACCACCACCTGCTCCAGGACCGCACCTTGTACAACAGCCGAATTCCCATCAGCAACACTCTGTAGCACATGTAGTAGGGCCTGTTCATGCGGTCACCCCTGGGTCGCATATTCATTCTCAAACTGCTGGACACCACTTACCCCCACCCCCACCCCCTCCTGGTCCTGCCCCTCATCACCATCCACCACCCCATCCATCCACAGGACTCCAAGGTCTACAAGCACAACACCAGCATGTTGTAAATTCAGCACCCCCACCACCCCCTCCGCCGCCACCTTCCAGTGTTTTGGCTTCTGGGCATCATACCACATCAGCTCAAGCCTTACACCACCCACCTCATCAAGGACCTCCACTTTTTCCTTCGAGTGCTCATCCAACTGTACCACCGTATCCCTCACAAGCTACACATCATACCACTTTGGGACCGGGACCCCAGCACCAGCCTTCTGGAACAGGGCCACATTGTCCATTACCTGTCACAGGTCCTCATCTCCAGCCCCAAGGACCAAACAGTATTCCAACACCTACTGCTTCAGGGTTCTGTCCTCATCCTGGCTCTGTGGCCCTGCCACATGGGGTTCAAGGACCTCAGCAGGCATCTCCAGTGCCTGGACAGATTCCAATTCACAGAGCACAGGTGCCACCAACATTTCAAAACAATTACCATGGGTCAGGGTGGCATTAAAATGGACTCCAAAAACATTTTTTTAAATGTTCTGTAAGATAAACTGTATATTTCATATGTACCTGTTAAGGTACTTTTTAAAGCTTGTACATGAACCTTTGTATAAAAAACACCAGTGCTCTTTCGTTGTATTTTTCTCATTTTTGCTTTTTAAAATTCCTTTAAAAAATGTGCTGTTAAGCCAGTATTAGGTATCTTTATTTTGTAAGTGAACATTCCAGCTGTTTTTTTCTGGCAGATCTGATGCTGATTTGATGCTGTATGATCTTTTTTTTTTTTTTAGTTAAATTCATTTAGTGAATGTTCTATTATTTTATACATACACATTAAGTACTCAGCTAAGTAATGGCACTATGAGGATTTTTTTTTTCTTTCCTGTCAGCAGCAGTTCTGTGAATGCATCTTAGGTATAAAAATGCAATACAGATTTTTATATTTTGGTGTGGACATGGCTCATTTTGTTTTACCAGTTATTTGCAAGCAAAATGTAATTTAATGTATAGATGATTTCTAATGTCTCCTGACAAACTGTAAATACTGCATTTCTTTTGCGTATATAATTGCTTACAGCTTTTCTCATTTGATATATAGCATTGTACATATGACAAGTCTTTTGCAAAACTGTGTGATCTTTGTGAAAGTAGTACAGTATATGACCTTTAATTTCTTTTTTATTTTAAATATACTGTCACACTGAAGCACTGGTTGGGCATTTTAATTCATGTTAATAAATCACAATTATGTCAGTTTTACCAGATTGTCCTGTACAACTTCTAAGATCGGGATCTGTGTGTTTCTACAGAAGTTCTAGTTTTCAAATATAGATTGTAAGGAGCCTTCAATTTTCTTTAGCGACTACTACCTCAGCAACAGGAGGCAGCAAGGGGCTGTTCCTGTGGTGGTTTCTGTTTGCATTTTTGCAGGAGCCATAGGAAACTACTGAAATGATTGTGCTGGGTAAATTAAGGATCTGGCATCATACAAAATGAAGCCAGACCACTAATGCATTACAGTAGTTCTTGAATACAAGGTACAACAACTGTTTGAAAATATGGGTAGTTTGCCCAAAACAGGAAAATTTGTCTTGGGTGTAAAAACTAAAGAAAAAAGGCATTATTCCTAGATCTCTCAGTGAAATGAAAATGGCCTCTTAAGTGAACGTTTTTATTGCTAAAATATAAAATGCTAGTTAGTTATTAATTATTAATCTTCAAAAAATTAAAAATTTCCCAGCCTTTGTCTTCTACCTCTGAGGATTCAGTAAGTACATCCAATAATAATGATACTGTTTTATCAATCAACATATTTTTCATCATCCAATTACCTGACATAATTTGGCACAGGATACAAATTCTGTGCATCAGAGAAAGTAAACACTAAAATGACTGCGTGACCTCATTCAGTCATGTTTTTACACTTTGAACCTCTATTTATTTCCTTTTGAAAATTAGCTAATGATGGTACATTAACGCAGCTCACTTAGGGCTCAATCCTAATCACAGCTTCAAATTTTAGAAGAACATATAGGCCAAGTTTGCCATCCTCAATTTGTCCAACAAAATTCTATTTATGGTATTTAGTAAAGAAACATTTGTCTGAGAAGAAATGGTTTTACATCATCTATCCTGATAGTTTCAAACAGAATAAAGGTAACTAGCATGTGAAATAAAAATATTCTTCTTAAAAGGTTTGTCCTTCTAAGCATTTTAAATTCTTCACTGGCTTGAAATGTGCCTACTACAGAAATATGCATACAGAAGCTTTTGTGTGAACTGCAGAATCTTATACATTTTGATTCCTTGATGAAGTATATACTCTAAAATACAGTCTTCTACCAAAATTTCATTCAAGTTATTTAAAAGGGGGAGAAAAAAGGAGAATTTAGGAAATAACCTGAACTATGGATAGAAACTGAAGAAGTTCTCTACTCCAATGGAAAGTTTCCTTACTTTATCGTGGTAACTAGTTATGTATGGTCCAGGTATGGGAAGAAGCAAGTTAGTAAATCGGTTTTCACCTAAGAAGTTTATGACTCGGAAGATCTTATATCCACCTTTTCTCTGCCTTTGGGCAGTTCTGTCTGCCAACTTCTAGATAGCCAGCTCCTGTATCTGCTATAAACACATATGTGATCCACTGCTTGTCATTTTCCATGAAGATTTCACATGGACTACAGAAAGGAAAAGATAGATAGGACATTCAATTGAAGTCAGAGAGCTAGTTATAATGTTTAGCATAACCAGTGGTTCTCATTTAGTTTTTGTGCATTCTTTATCAACAAGCCGCCAAGAATCTGATAAAGCCATATTATGCCTAATACAAATGTATATTCCTTCTAGAACAACCGTTTCTGTATTATAAACTAGTTAGGCTGTTTTATCATAAGGGACACACCTGTAAAAATTCATAATCTAGTTTATTTTCCAACATAAGCAAAAACTGCATTAGACAAATTTCATTCAAGTATACTATCACCCTGATAAAAATCCTTTTACACTTAGGGAAGATATAAATTATGCCCTATGGTTCTTGTAAGGATGTTTCTCATAGAAATCACGGATAGCATCACCAGTCTACAGCCACTATCTATCACAGAATTTACATGGAAACCTACAGCCTCATTAGAAAAACTTAGCATGCAAATTTCATAAAGAAATTAATGAATGATCCATTCTACCTCACAGTGGTAATGTGATATAATGGTAATTCCTAAGAGGATTATGTGTCTTGTTTCCTAACAGCAAATGCTGTTTTGTTTTAAATTTGCAATGATCAAACAAATGCAGTTAGTATGTTTTTGATGAACCATGGATGAAAAGGGATCATTGATATTCTAGAGAATCAATCTATACTGTAGCTTTTCTCCTAAATCCCTTCTGCCCTTAAAAAACAATAAATGATTTCCTTATAATACGCCTCAATGCATGTTCTACAACTACATCTGCTGCAACAGGAATGCTGGTATTTAGTTTTAGTGACACTACTCTGATAGCAAATGTTCATTGATTCTATCATTTATAGGGCAATGACCAAGGCAATGTCTGGAAAAAAAAAAACCAAAACACTTTAATTTTTAAGACAACTGCAAGCACCTCAAACAATGGATTATTGTTACAACACTTGTTAGCTTTTCACAATCTAGTTATTGCAAAGGCATATGGATAAATGTTAATGGACAAAGTCAAAAACGAGGCACCTTAATGAATGTAAAATTTAAAATAAAAAGACATTCAATCCACTGACTTCTAAAAGAGGCTAAATATACCTCTATATATTACATTCTAAAATTGTATTGCCTACTATGGTTTGTATCCTGGAGTCTACAATTAATTTTAAGGAAATGCATAAACAAAACTGTGTGCAACCTGCAAAGGGAAAATCATTTTCTCAACTTCGTTTCATGGAAAGACAATGAAAAAGCTAGTAAAATTTGTTGTAGCCACACGTAAAGCTACCTATGGAATGAATGTGATCACTGTTATCTTTGAGCTGTGAGAAGTATTCTGCCCACTGCACTGCAAATTGTATATACCATACCTTGTGTTCTAGACAAGCATGATCATGCTTTTCCAAAAATATATGTATTTTTTCATTCCACACAATTAACACGTTTCTCCAATTTAATCTATGTAGAGCTTAACTTACAGCGCCCAGAGGAGGCAACATGACATGGTACTGAGCCATCACATTTTTAAAGGGAAATTGCTCTTCTTTAAAAGTACTTTTAAAAATATGCAAAATCACAAATGGGACTGCTAAATTATAATGCATATTTTAGAATGAGAAACATATCTTTTCTTCCTTTAAAGTGCCATATAGAGAATGACATCTTATAACCCAGAGCCACTTTGTTTAAAATCCAATGTGAAAAGACTGTTATGGAATGAAAAGTTTGCACAACTCCTTGGAGCAGTTAAAGTCCGCTACATGCAACATAGGCTACAAAGCACTCAAGACTTGGTAGCTTTTCTGAAATTTGAGTCCCCCTCCCATATTTAATGGAAAGTAACATTTACAGGGTGCATTTACATACACTATAATACAGGAATGATGTCCCTTTGCCAGAAGATAAAATTGTACATTTCCTTGCTATTTCTTGGTTCCAACTTGATAATTTCTTAAGATTGTAAATTATATAGTACTCAGCTAAAATATTTCTTCATAAATAGTTACAAAACCTGCCAAAACACAAAGGGGAAAGTATTTTTCATTCAAAAAAATGACATTTGAATGTCACACAACACAAGAAACAATGCTTAGAGACATGTTATTGTTTCCAGAAGAAAATGGTCAGTAAACTACTTAGCTGAAGACAAAAGACTACCCTTCCCCAGGATCACAGTGCACAAAAAGCAAAATGTCAAACAACAGTACCTCAAAGCAAAATAAAGGTCTGAGGATGAAGCCAGCTCACTTGTAATCCTGTTAAAGAATGAGAGTCACCGTTTAGGTCCAATGTACTGGGAACATTTGCTAGCTCAGAATGCAATATTGGTAGAATTTGCTAAGAATTCAACCAAGGATGCCGAAGGCATTCGCCAGCTGAGGCTCGTTTTTCTGGAACCATTTCTAACATCGGGATCAGGAAATCTGTAAACTGTGCAGCATCTTCATGGGGCCAGCCATACTTTTCCACAAGTACATCAAAGAGGCTCCAGGGCTTCAGCTTGGTGATGTGTCGCAGTTCTCCTACAGGGGAAAAAACAGGCCAATGTCAAGAAAGCTCCAAATCTGCATTCCCCATTGTTGGTCCAGTCAGGTTCTTTTCAGTGAAGCGGACAACCACCTGCTCAACACTTGTACAGCAACAACAAAGAACACCAGCTTTTCCCCACTAAGCAATAATCATTACATGTACATATGACCAAGGCATATTTCAAGTAAGCCTGGTGGATCTAAATAGAGGTTAATTAATAGTTCATTCACATTAGTTCTAAGCTTCTTTAAGTAAGTGGAGTGGGCTCAGTTTGCCCAGAGTGTTTTCTTTTCCAAAGGTTGAAGCAAGCCACTCTCATTTCAACCTGGGATCTTCCGTAAAATTTGCAAACTTGAGGCCAACCCAAATCAAACACCATTCATGTCTACGCATTTGTTGTAAGATCTAAGATCCTAGGACATTAATTTGTAAACCTTGAAGTTATACTTCACAAACTGTGCTAGCTGCAGTATGAAAAGTGTCGGTTACAGGCAGCTTTGGTTGACATAACAGAATGACTAACAAGCTAGTAAATGGCCTACGAGCTGTAATGGTCATTTCATAAGAGAAAAAAAAGGTTATTTTTAAGTCAAAACTGCAATAAAGGGCTGAGGGCAGTGGCTCACTCCTGCAATCCTAGCCGTTTGGGAGGCTGAGGCAGGAGGATCCCTTGAGCCCATGAGTTTCAGACCAGCCTGGGTAACATAGACCAGACCCTGTCTCTACTTAAAAAGAAAAAAAGTAGCTGGGCACGGTGGTACATCCCAGCTACTCAGGAGGCTGAGGCAGGAGCATTGCTTGAGTCCAGGAGGTCAAGGCTGCAGTGAGTCAAGGTCATGCCACTGCACTCCATCCTGGGACAGAGCAAGCGAAACCCTGTCTCCCCATAACCTTTTCAAAAAGGCAATAAACTGTCAAAAGCTCCAGATAATTTCACTGTGAATAACTCGTTTTCTCTGCCTGTTTGAAGTTTTCATAGGACATCCCACCCCTGCCCACAGACCTCCTTAGGTGCCCCTCAGTGCATCCTGAGCAGCTTCTGCAGAGGAAACACCCCCCTGTGCCCACACCTCAGAGCAGCCAGGTCTCGGTGGGGGGAGAGAGGCATTCAAGCACCTGCAGGGCACACTTCATGCAAGGACTGACTTCTCTCCCCTTTCAACTGCTTTAATTTAAACAAGGTACATTTTTTTCATGAGATGCATCAATAGATAATCAGTGCTCTGCTCACAAAGGTGTTCTCAGGAGGCTTGTTCTGTTTCACCCATTTATTCGAGTCAACTTGGAAAAGCCCTCCCGTTTAAAAACACAATGAAAAGGAAAGAGCATTACAGAAAAGTATAAGAACAAAAGGGGAAGTAGCCTACAATCCTACCCACAACTGCTCTTCTTTTGTGTCTATTGTGAAGAGTGTTCTTACACACTAGTATGTCTACAAAGTTGCAATCATGCTGTGCACAGGGTTCCGTATAAAGAATCTTTTAAGAGGGCTGCTTGCTAAAGGGGCTGAGATGTAAAATAAGCTTCTGTTTCCAATATGAGGACTGGAGCTAGAGTAAAGCATCGCATCCAGACTAGACATCAGGTCTGTGTTGATGAAGAAATGAACCTGTAATATTAGAGGCGGGAAAGGATCTCCTGTTGAAGGAAACACAGTCTCCATAAAAACAAAGTCTGAACAGAGACTGCAGGTTTATCCCTCTAAGCCTGAAATTCCGGCTCTAGGAATCCAGCCCAAGGAGATAAACCCTGGTTGCACCACCCCAAATTCATGCCTAATATATGCTGGCACAAAATTATATGTACTCGCAAAATTACGAAGAGCCAGTAATAGTAAAATGGTGGTTAAAAGAAAACCAAGGTAGATTCACTTAATAGTATTTAATATTACTTAACAACATGGGAGAAGATCATGGTACAACATTAGGCAGTAAAAGAACAGTCAAACTATGTCCTACAGATAATCACAAGATTATTAAAATGCTCATTAAGATGGAAATCAACTGAATCAAAACATCAGCTTTTGTTAGTAGGTTATTTCAATTTCCACATTTTCTGTAATATGACTATATTGATTTAGACTGTTGATCTCACCACAGCAACAGTTAAAGCAAACTAAGAAAGCTCACATGTGACTAAACCAAGTTCTCTGGGAAAGGGAGCGAACTTTTATGACATGAATCTATTCTATCTCAGAAAAAATACTCTCCAGGTTTGCAAATATAGGTAACTACAGAGAAGCACTGTGTGCTGAGAATAGTAAAGGAACCTATTTCTGAGGCGCCAGGTGTTAAACTAAGATCCATCAACAAGGCATCTTTTAAGTACAATCTTCCATGAAAAGAGAAGTTTTACCACTATAAATGCTTAACAGCTGCATAGTAACAGTGAGCAAAACAATATAATAGTGAAAGGCCATGAGAAACTATTCATCCATAACTAGGCATACTATAAACTGGTAAAAATATTCGCAAGGAGCAGTAAAATATCTAACTACTTTTAACAAGGTAAAGACTGTGCAAAGAAGCAGTCTATAAACAACAGTATATGCAGGAGAGTCCTAAACACCTATGGTCCTGAGCACAGAGCAGCACTGCAATATAACAAAACACTGAACCGCCTCTAAAAAAAAAAAAAATGTGTGGACTTTTTTTGTGGAAAAAGTTTATAATATAATGCAAAGGAAAATCAACTCACCCAGATGCTATAATGATTATGTGTGCAAACCCTTAAGCTCAGTATAAGAAGTAACCTTGCCCTGGAAATAGTTGATAAGGTTACTTAAACACAAAGCCCAAGCCCCCAACTCTGTATCTATTGCTAGGAGACACAACAAGAGTGGGCTCACTGAATGAGTGAGGGTCTCGAGTCCATGAGCCAGCTCCAGCCCTGCAGATGATGCCCAAGAAATGTAGCCACCTCCATCACTTAGAATGATAATTAAGAATAAGAGGGGAAAGCATATTTTAAAAACACATTTTCACCATTTGCTCTTACTATAAAAGTAGCACCCTAACAAGTTAAAGAAATGTCATCGGCCGGGCACGGTGGCTCATGACTGTAATTCCAGCACTCTGGGAGGCCAAGGCAGGAAGATCACCTGAGGTCAGGAGTTCGAGACCAACCTGGCCAACATGGTGAAACCCGATCTCTAATAAATACAAAATTGGCCAGGCGTGGTGGTGCACACCTGTAATCCCAGCTACTTGGGAGGCTGAGGCACAAAAATCGTTTGAACCCAGGAGGCAGAGGTTGCAATGAGCCAAGATAGCATCACTACACTCCAGCCTAGGCAACAGAGTGAGACTCTGTCTCAAAAAAAGGAAAAAAGAAAATATATGAAGACGTAAAAAAAAAAAGAGAGAAAAGAAAATATATGAAGATGTGTTTCACTGAAACAAGTTTTGCAAATAACTAGACAACTGTGACAATTTTAGTTTCTTAAAGTTCCATTTCTAGCCTGTCCTCCTTAAAGAATGTGGAATATCACTTCACCCTTCCTGTGACTATCAGCTGTCAATCTCAGTATCAACTCACACACACACAAGCAAACATGAGCCTGGCAGCCAATTGTGTGGTCCCCAAGAGCCCCTTAGGCTTCTGAATTTGCTCTGAGAAACAGCTTGAAAGAGCCAAGGAAAACCAACAGGAAGCAGGCTCTGAGGAAGGGTTCCTCCTGCAGAGTAAAGGCTTTGTGACAGCAACTGTACTGGCCAGTCCTGGACTTGCAGAGTCCTTCTAAGGAAACAGGGAAGTTCTATTATACTTCTCTTGAATCTTAAAGTGGTTTGTGAAGGAAAATACATTATTTTATCCATGAAATTGTCATATTCCAGAATTAAATAAAGAAGCCCATGAGGTTCCACACTACATGTGGGAGGACTCTAAAGGCAAATCCTGGACTATATTTACATGAACACTGGTAATTACAAAGCAAACCATGATATAAAACTGATGAGCATCAATTGTGTACACGTAGAAAGTAAACCTACCAAGAAATACCAATACAAAGCAAGAGACAATGAAGAGATCTGAATGAATTCTTACACAAGTAGACAACCAAATGTAGGTAAATATTGGAGTTTAAAATGTGTATAAACCCTACCTCACATCCCATACAAAAATCAACTCAAAATAGGTCATATGCCTCAGAGCTAAAACTAAACAATTCCTAGAAAAGTAAATCTTCATGACCTTGAAGTAGGCAATGATTTATTAGATGTGACATCAAAAGCACAAATTGTAAAATGTATATAAATTGGACTTCATCAAAATTTAAAAATTTATACTTAAACTTTCACATGTGTATTCAAGAGAAACGGAAACATCTGCCCACACAAACTTGTACATTAATGATCATAGTAGCATCATTCATAATAGCCAAAAAGTGGGGGAAAACCAAACGCCCATCATCTGATGGAGGGATAAACAAGAGGAGTGGCAGTGACAACGCCCAGCCTGTGTAGCTGTCAAATGCCCACGAAAGAGCTTTCTTTGCTCTTTACAGCATCAAAAGAATCTGTTGCTTTTTAGGTATTCAGGAGATAATTTTAAAACACTGTGACAAGTTCAGCTCAGACACTAAATATTAAAAATACAGAATACAGTATCTCTTTTTAAAACTCAGCTCCTGGGTTTTAGCCCTCAGTTCTCACATTTCTCTTGATGTTGTCCCTGACTCAGGGAAACGTGGATTTTATGCTGCTGCACAGAAGCTTCTTGCTTTTGAAATTTTCAATTGTATTTAAGGTCTGTAGTCTGACACACACACATACACACACGCGCGCGCACACATGCACACAATCACTCTCTTTTATCCCAACACACTCGATGCTGTCATCTAGAGACCAGTTTTTTTTTTTTAAGTAAACTGTCTCATTTGATAATCCCATTATCCACGCAGCAATTTTTACTAAAATATGCCTGCTGAATGGTCAGAAAAATTCCTGGTGACCAGCCCAGTGAGGTCTGCTCCTGGCTGCACCGTTTTTCCTACCATGATCTGAGGGCTGGAAAGCTTCTGGGGACCACCCACTTCTTGAAGACAGGACAGGGAAAAAATTCATGGACGTGCTGATTTCTATTGGACCACCTATCAACACAGTAGTTTCTTAATGCTTTTTGGTGGCTCATGTCCAGCAAATTAACCTTAAGAGGGTGAGAGCTGTAATTACATTCCCTGACCAAAAATACAGCTCAATTTTTAACTTTCTGGCCAAGGAATGATTCAAACTAGTAATGATCATGACTTCTTAAATTATACGCAAGGAGAGGAGACAAATGAGCTGCATTTGATGTTCAACCTTAACACACAGACCCCACTCTTCTCTGGCTGCGTGGCAAGGATGAAAATCTGCCTCTGACCCAGAGGAGAAAGAGCGGGAAAACCTCCTGGGAAGGCACTCTCCATCAGTAACTGCTTTCAAAAGTGATACGGCATATCAACAGCTGTTTTAAATTTTGTTATCAGTTCTAGCACAAAGTATTTTAGCTATTTTAGGAAAAAAAATTTAAATGGATATTTTTAAGATTCCATTATTTCCAAAATTATGGAAATTATGGAATTTCCCCTATATTACTTATGGGAACATGCCAAAACACATGTTTCACGCAGCAAGCCATTCCCCTCATCCTAAGAGACAACGGTGAAATCTATTTCCATGACCGGCCCTCATTCCTCATAATGTTATCCTGTGACTTCTGTAAAAACCCTAAATCCCTTCTGATCTCTACTGCCATTAGAAATAATAATCAGGAAAGAACTGAAGTCCCAATTCCCAGTCATTTCAGGGGATTTCTCACCTAGTCACAAACGGTCTCTTATATCCAAAAACAGGAAAAAAGAACTCGAGGTACCACAGGAACACCAAGTGAAAATATTTTTGGTCTCTCATTAGGAAGGATGCCAAATGCATTTTAACTCTGCAGGTTACCTTCAAATAAGCTGCTCAAAAAGAACTCGATCACGTAAGTCCTAAGTATACGTGGTGATGATGGCAGTAACCTGGAGATACACATCCACAAGCTGTCTCAGGGAGCAAGGTTGCTGACAGGCCCACGTGGAAGCTGCCTTCCAGCCATTTATGGCCACACGCAGGCCGCTCTCACTGAAAGGAACCATCACAGGAGTGACAGCCCAAGAGCAGATGCCTGCAACCAGCTCCATGCCTGCAGGCCGCTGACAGGCCCTGCCTTCCAACAACTCAGTGACTTCACTTGATCATTCAAGGCCTCTCTTTCTGTCCCTCTTTCCTTCCTTCCCGCTGTGCACAGTATGGAGTCCTCGATCCCCTCAACAGACAGACGATTAACAAAGACAAATAAATGCACAGCCAGGCGCAGTGGCTCACACCTGTAATCCCAGCAATTGGGAGGCCGAGGTGGGTGGATCACCTTAGGTCAGGAGTTCGAGACCAGCCTGGCCAACATGGTGAAAACCTCTCTCTACTAAAAATACAAAAATTAGCCGGGCGTGGTGGCAGGTGCCTGTAATCCCGGCTTCTTGTGAAGTTGAGGCAGGAGAATCACTTGAAGCCTGGAGGCGGAAGTTGCAGTGAGCCAAGATTGCGCCACTGCACTCCAGCCTGGACAACAAGAGCAAAACTCCATCTAAAAAAAAAAAAAAAAAAATCAATGTGGTTCTCCAAATTTAGCTAAGTAAGGTAGACAGAGCATCTGGGACTTTCAGAAATTTCTAAAAGTCCATGTCCTACTCACATCAACTTTAAAAGTTCTTTATTAAGGGCTGTCACATCCAAAAAAAAAATCTAACCTGAAAAATATGAAGGACCAACTACACTCATCACAAAAAAGTACAGCAGGCTGGGCGCAGTGGCTCATGCCTGTAATCCCAGCACTTTGGAAGGCTAAGGCGGGTGGATCACTTGAGGTCAGGAGTTTGAGACCAGCCTGGCCAACACAGTGAAACCCTGTCTCTACTAAAAATACAAAAATTAGCTGGGCGTGGTGGTGTGCCTGTAATCCCAGCTACATGGGAGGCTGCGGCAGGAGAATTGCTTGAACCTGGGAGGCACAGGTTGCAGTGAGCTAAGATTGCGCCACTCCACTCCAGCCTGGGCAACAGAGCAAGACTCCATCTCAAAAAAAAAAAAAAAAAAAAGAATATAGCACTTAGAAGGAGTTCTTTTAAAAATACTCCTAGGGCTCTTGGGTGTTTTTATAAATTACTAACTGGGGACTATACTGGGCAAATAAACAGTTGGAAGATCAGTAAGAACTACAACATGAAAATAATCACCTTAATACAGTGTGGCATAACACAATGGGAATGTAGGATGTCATTTTTAAGAATGTGAGGTACGCAGCATTTCACAGGCCTACACCCACTACAGAAATAACCCAGGCAGACCAAAAGCAATGTCCCTGGACGTTCCCTAAGTCCAGTCTCTAGGCCACCTCTGTTCTACTACAGAGAGTCCATGAAATGGAAAGATAAGTCTAGCTGGCTTTTAACAATCACCTAAACTCCTTTTTATAAATAATATACAGATTGGTAACTTGGAGTAAAAGAGAGAAGCGGAGGAGGAAAAAATGCTGTTAGGAAGGCTGTTCTCTTACAAAATTCTTACTCCAGGTATCAGATGGGTCAGGTTTATTTCTTGAGAGCTTTCTTCGGAAGAATTCCCCAGTTGTGAAACTCCAGATCTTTCTCCACTGCCCAATCACGAATGCACAATTTCTCCTTTTGGGAGAAGACTATGCTGAAAATTAGTGTTGCATAAATACCGTTACCTTTTCTGGTGAAAAACTCCTTGGAGTATTTCCCCAACATAGCGTATTTTCGAGGGACTTTCCCCAGCAGTTCAATGATCAATGCTATGTGATCTGCATTGGGAAACATTGCCAGCAAAACAGAAACACACGACAGTTTAATCAGTACACTGCATGCAGACACTACCACCGCCCGCGCAGACAGAAACAGAGCGCAACTTGAATGACCAAAAGTACAGGCCTTCCTCGCGTTGCTGGATTCAGGATCCAGAGCTGGAGGGCACAGGAGAGGGGCTGGTGAACAGGGTGACCGCAGCACAGGGCTAAATGTGGTCTTCCCTGACAATTTTTCTATCAGCATAGGAATTCTGCTGGGTTGCGTTTCGAATTTAGGAGAAATGCCTTTGTCACCATTAATGCTAAAATCAGCAGCTGCTCTTCAGTTTCTGTCTGCATCGTGGCGCTTTTCAAAAAGAAGAGGTACTACCTCTGCGATTGAAGAATTCCCGAGAATATTTTCCAGATAGAGCAAAGTGCCTTGGAATACTGCCTAGCAGCTCTATGATGTGGGCTATGTGGTCTATGGAGGAGAGAAAAAAAGGATATGGGAATGGGAGGGGCAAAGGGAAGGATGGGATAAAAGAAGAGGGAAAAATTGAAATTAGTAAAAAATCAGAAATAGATTCAAATCAACAGTGTCTGCAGCACATCCATGCAGAGGCTTGTGGGAATGGCAGGCCTCAGGCACCACCTGGAGCAGTAACAGTGACTGAGGCCAGCTCACCCCAGGCCACCCCAGCATCGCAAGCAAATAAGCATGGAGATGGTCAGGTTTACAGATGGCATTCAAGCCAGAATTCCTGGGTTTTCAACTCAGCTCCCAAACAGGACAGAGAAATGGGCAGCACATCAATGGTCAAAAGGACCACATAGAGGCTTCAGGTCTGTATCATCTGTCTTCTCTCAGCCAGCTGGGTTCCTGCCCTGTGCAAGGCCAGGAAGAGCCGCTGGTGTAGGGCCCCTGAGGGCTCGCTGGAGTGCTGCCTGTGCTAGGCAGGCTCTGCCCATTCACTGAGACTGAGGGGGCATCAAACTCAAAGGAAAAGCATCTGAATTTGGTGTTTGAAAACCAAACACATGGCTCTATTTCAGTACAAAAATACAGTACTCTACAGAAGTTCAGGGCTGGCAGAAGACCTAGACCGAGGTATTCAGCAGGCACCAATACTCACCTTCGTCTCTGGAATAGTCTTCCCCAGAATGTGGTTCAAACAAATAATCTCCCGTTGCCAGCTCAAATGCCTAGGATACAACAGACGACATGCTAAGCACTTCAGAGACTGGCCCCCAAGTCAACAGCTTTTTCTCCTTATAGAAGAGACCGCCACTTTATGAAGATCTGAATCAAACAAAATAGCCTCCTGAAAGTGCTCAATACTAATTTTTTTCTTTCTTCCACATTCAAAGAAGTTTCAGAAGTATTTTTACATTTCTAAGGAAAGATATAAGAGCTATGTATTCTCTTCATTTTGCAGGAAGCAAAACCAAAACGTCAGTGAGTCAGCCGCACCTGCATGCAGGCCTGGCCAGAGCGCGGTATGCACTCTATAAATGGTAGAACGAGAGTTCAACCCAGGACTCAACAAGGCCCGTCTGACTCCAGCACCTGCCTCAACCACTATAATAGCCTTGGCCTCTGTATAGCAGACACTGCTGCGTCTTTTAGGCGAAGACCTTCATGTTTTAGTAACCAAGGACTATTTTCAGTATCTCATCAACCATTTTCATCATCATTTCATTCATTTCTGATTCAACCAAAGGAAAACCTGGAAACAAAAAAGACCCTCTTTGTCCCCAGGGCCAGAGGAAGCAGATGGTCTTGCAGACCCTTTTGTGGATGTCACGGAGCACTGGCTTCCTGGGTGGCCACTGGCTGTCCCTCAGCATGCCAGCATGTAGGGAACACATTTCCCTTGCTCACAAAAAAACCCTCAAAAACATGAGTTTAAGCTAGTAACAATATACAAAAATGGCAACTGCTACTGCTCTGCTGATCAAAGAGAATGTTTTAAAAGAGAAAAAAAGAATAAGCTAAATCCCATTTCTGGTTTTTCTCATAGCTGCTTCTATTCTGAACGGATCTTGCTGTCCCAAAAGGTGCTCAGAGGCCCAATCACTGATGCCTGTGGATCTGTGACTGCCCTCCCCATTCCCGCCCCAAGGAGCCAATACTGGGGAAACTTCACTGCATCAACCTACCTTCTTTTTCTTTCAATGACCACACAGTGCTGGAAAGGCACCTTTAAGGGAAGGCTCACCTGCCTGGGTGAGGGGCCACCTCTCCTGGCACTGTCTTTAACAAACCAAGAGTGAGTGCAGTCAGCCCAGGACCACATCTTTTCACCTTTTTTAAAAAAAAAGACTGCCTGTCAATCACTTGAAGGAAGGAAGGATGGTGACAAGATGGCTTCCAGCTGACCGAGCGATAAGCATTAATTTATGAACTCAGGATCCCTGCCCTGAACCTGGCATAGGTCTGAGCAAGACACGGACATGTCACATCTCAGCATGGTGAGCTGGTGGTCCCAGCACTGTGGATGCACGAAGGCACCAGCAGAAAACCCAGGAAAGCCCTTATGTAGGGCCTCTCCTTTCCACCCAATAAACAAAGAAGACAGTTGGGCCAATCCCAGATGAGGGCAGGAAAACCTCATAACTGGCCCCAAATCCAAGTGGAACAACTAGATTACACACTCAATGGCCAGGAGAGTCCTTCTAGCCTGGGAAACAATCAATTCAGTATCTTACAAGCTAAGAGAAAAATCTGAAAACTCTAATGGGACAACGAGGACTTGAAAAGCCTGGATCAAGTTCCAAGCTGCTTTTCAACCCCTGCCTTGAGCCCTATGCTAACTAACTCTTTTAATTAATTTTCAAAATGACTTCAATCTGGTTGCATATATTTCTTTTTCTTTCATATTTTTTAGAGAAGGGACCTCGCTATGTTGTCCAGGCTGGACTCAACCTCTTGGGCTCCAGTGATCCTCTCTCAGCCTCCAGAGAAGCTGGGACTACAGGCGCACTACACTGCACCCAGCTTTGTACATATTTCTTACTGCCAAAATATGTCAGGTATGTATTCTTTGAAAAAAATCATCATTTTGATTAGCACCCACATATTCCCAAGAAAACATGTATAGAAGCCAATCAATGAAATAATTTTTTTTTGAGACGGAGTCTCGCTCTGTCACCCAGGCTGGAGTGCAGTGGCACAATCAATCTCAGCTCACTGCAAGCTCACACCATTCTCCTTGCCTCAGCCTCCTGAGTAGCTGGGACTACAGGCGCCCGCCACCACGCCCGGCTAATTTTTTGTAGAGACGGGATTTCACCATGTTAGCCTGACCTCGTGACCCGCCTGCCTCGGCCTCCCAAAGTGCTGGGATTACAGGCGTGAGCCACCAAGCCCGGCCAAATAATTTTCTTTTTTTTTAAAGGAACAAGGAAGATGAAGGCTGTAATGCTACCCATTTTTGATTCTTTGGAGAGTGGCAAGATTCTCTTAACAATACAACATGTACAACAGGGCAAATGCACATTACAATGAAAAAAACTCTGCCTTCAACTCAGTTACTCCCAGTATAACCTTCTATTGCCCAGGCTGAGTGCAGCGGCACAATTTTGGCTCACTACAACCTCTGCCTCCTGGGTTCAAGCGATTCTCCTGCCTCAGCCACCTGAGTAGCTAGGACTATAGGCACGTGCCACCATGCCCAGCTAATTTTTGTATTTTCAGTAGAGATGGGGTTTTGCCATGTTGGCCAGGCTGGTCTCAAACTCCTGGCCTCAAGTGATCTGCCTGCCTTGGCCTCCCAAAGTGCTGGGATTACAGGTGTGCATCACCTCGCTGGGCCTAAGTATAATCTTTATTATTATTTTTAATACCTGGGAACTCCGGATTCTTCTCTACTTGGCTCAATCCCCTCAAAGGGCTCTTCCCTGGACCTACTTGTTTCCAGATTCTTGGGAGACCAACTACCTCTCTCCTAAAACATTCTCCTATGCTGAAGTATCCCGATTCTGAACAAATAAGATCACGTATTTGTTCTGTAATGTGACCAGTGCCGAAGAAGTCTGGTGAAGTTTGTTGGAATGGCTTTTCTTGTTTCTATGGCACTGACCAGGACTCACCATGGAGTTCATAAAAAGTCCTATCAGAGACTCTAATACATAAATGCAGAGAAACCAATGCTTCAGCCACAAAGAAGTTTCAGATTATATGTACTTACACTGGAAGGTGTAAAGCTCAAAAAAAAAGTAAAACTCAAGAAAAGTAAAACAGATCCAAACCCAACATACCCTTGCTGTGGTCCCTCATTCTGTTGTGCTTCTCCAGCTGCAGAGCCTAAAGCTGTCCTCCCTGACAATAGCCAATGGCTACCACCCGTCAGCTCTCATTCCCAACAGAGTCTCTGTGAGATTTGATGCTATTTATAAATCTCAAAGACAGCCGGGCACAGTGTCACATCCCTGTAATCCCAGCACTATGGGAGACCAGGGCGGGTGGATCACTTGAGCTCAGGAGATCAAGACCAGCCTAGACAACGTGACAAACTCCATCTCTACAAAAAATACAAAAATTAGCCAGGCGTGGTGGCATGTGCCTGTAGTCCCAGCTACACCAGAGGCTGAGGTGGGAGGATCACTTGAGCTTGGGAAGTGGAGTCTGCAGTGAACTATAGTCCTGCCACTGCACTTCAGCTTGGGGAACAGAGCAAGACCTTGTCTCCAAACAAACAAACAAAACCCTCAAAGACTATATATAGGCTTTACCACCAAGAACCATCTGTGGCCTTATGACAGCTTGGTATTATGAGGTCAAATTTAATATATTAAATGTCCTATTTTTACACTACAACAGAACGATGAGGTAAGAAAAACTGCCTCATTGCTCCTAGGTTCTCTAGGAGGAACAAAAGAAACCTCTAAAGCCATGACTTTTGGGGGGTGGGGCAAGCAGTGAATGAGGGCCTGCCCCTTTCCAAAAAAAAAAAAACCTCCCTTATGACAACCAACTGAAAAAGCAAACCTCATAAGCCGTCCTGACAGCACTGAGGGAGCTTATGCTTAATTCTTGGGAAGGGGGCAGGTGAGAAGACAGAAAGGCTTTTCCTTGGGAATCTGTTATTGATATTTATGCCACTGTTCACAGCAATAGCATTTCAAGAAGTAAGCAGGACAGGGAAATTGTATGGAGGGACAAACGTTCATCTAATGGAAGGCAGGTCAGATAACCTGGTATAAAATTGTGCTGAAAGCTCCATTAACCCACTACATCCGTGACTGCGTCCTATTTTTCTGGTTATATCACCAAACTTAATACCCCAAATTAGAAGCACAGCATTTCAGAGTTCAAAGAGTACTTAGCGCCTAATTCGGGGCAGCCCTGCTGCTAGTGGCCATTGTGGTCTAACCTCCCCACATCCTGAAATGGCCCCTGCTCCCCGACTCCCACTCAGTGTCTCCGCAGCTCCCGTTACACTAACTCCCACGTCTCAGTCTGCCTGCTGGGGTCACACAGAGAGGGTCAAATGCCTCTCCACACAGCACTCTCTAAATTCAAAGTGACCATCATTGGCCACCGGTTCTTTTAACCGTTCTTTTCTATACCTAGCTAAGGCAGGGACTTGGTTTTTGATATGGAAGAACTTTAATACCTTTAATAATTTAAACGTTATTGTCTGGTATTATCCTTAAGAGCAACGAGGGAATAGAAAGGCCTGGTGTTTCAGGACCTATCTGGCCATGTGCTGACTCAGATCATGCTGAGTCAAAGCTGAAAGACAGAAAGCACCCTCTTTTTCTCCTATCAGCTGGCACTATCTGCTCAACAATGCTTTTACTTGAGCATTAGAGGAGGTAAAACACAGTAAATTCAAGAAAATTGTTAAATTAACCTCTGAATAACAGAAAATTAATATATTTATTCTGCATTCCTTTTTTCAGTGAGAAGAAAAATGCTAAGCCTTGCACACAATCTTTTCTTTTAAATATTGGAAGAATATGGATAAAAAGCAGTATGGAATAGGAAAAGCATGAAACCCAACAGCAAGCAACCCACCTTTCCCAACACGGAACGCCTAAGTAAATACCACTGAGAAAAAGCTGCTGAATGGGCCAGGAAACAGGGCAGAGGAAGAGAACCAGGAACTGGCTCGCAAATGCAGGGCCCTTTGTGTTCACCAACTCACAGGTTCAGGGTCAATGACCAAACGATGCCAGGCAGGGCCAGGGGAGTTTACAGACAATGCAACTGTGCAGCACAAAACCAGCAGCAAAACAGGCCTGACAGATAGAAGAAGAGGCTTCTGCCGCCCTGTGGAAGCCGTCATCTCAACCACTCTGGGAACAGACTCTGTCAGAGGGAGTGGGCGTTGCTGCCACTGTTTCAGAAGAGGCTAGACATCCTAGAATAAGCCAGAATATCTGCTAGCTCTTGCTTTATAAGGGAAGAGAGATTATGCATTGGCATCTGGGGAAATCCCTTCCAGTCTGGAAAGGTGAGGAACCCTGCATGTCTGGTTGACCAGGCAGAGGCTTACCTGGAGGGGCTCCCACCTGCCCGCCTTAGGCAGTCTTCCCCTGGAGATGCTACCTCATCTTCCTCCACAGTGTGAGTGAAGGGAAAAGCTCCCTATACCCTGCACATTTTCAGGGACCACAAGTGAAGTCACTGTGTCACAACAACTGAGTCTGATTCATGGGGCTGTGGGCTGTGCAGGGCCTTAAGAAGAGACCATGTCTCTCTCACAAGCCCACAACCACACCAAACACCCAGGGCCCGCCTGAGGAGGATCCTTCCACTTCTTAAGATGCCTGCGGCAGCAACCTTCCCCTCACCCAGCCCACGGTGGATGACCCTTACAGTCAGAAAAACTGAGGTCGCATGCCTCAGAGAGACTCAGCCCCATCCAGAGTGTGAAAGGAACGAGCCAATTCCCATGGCAGCAAAGGGCACAGCCGTCCTTACCATACACGCCGTGCTCCAGATGTCCGCAGGGGTGCTGTACCCCGCTCCTATTAAAACCTCTATGGAGCGGTACTGACGCGTCTGGATGTCTTCCGTGAAGTGTTTATGCTGGAAGGGAACAGGCTGCATTACCACGGAGCAACACAGACATTCAAAAAGTGTCTTCGCACACAGAATCAAGACCAAAGGTTTTAGAAAGAAAACTCTACTTACCACCCAACAAGCATTTCCCAGGTCAGCAATTTTTACTCTAATTTTATCTGCATTCCGCGGATCCAGGGGATTCACCAACAAGTCAGCTGCCCGGGTTTTTGCTGGCATGAGCAAACAGCAGGACAGTTAGTGATCGGGATAGGTGGTTTGCATGTGTGAGCACAGTGTTTGCCAGGGTCAGTCTCCTTTCCTCAAGAGTAGTGGAATGATCACTTAGGCCTGGAATACTGTAAATTAAACTTGACAGAACTAAAATTGCTTGTTCTCCACCTCTGGAAAATACTCCAGAAAAGAGCAAACTGGGCTGCCCACAGGACGCCAAGGGCACTGCCTTGACCTTTCTCTTTTTATCCCCAGTTTCTTCGGGTCCAGGTCAGCCCTAGAACAAGCCAGCCTTGCTGTCCCCCTGTCTGCAGCTTTGTGGCGGCTCTTCATGGTGTCAATCCATCCCTTCACGGCCCAGATCGAGCTTGCTGATGCATTATTACAAGGAACATGAAGGTAGAAAGAACACTGCTGTGGGGGCCGATCACTCTCAGTGACACACAGTTCCTTGGACGCCACAAGACATCAGGGTCCCTGGCACCGACACCTCACACCCACATCATCCCCTACAGTTCCCACTGCTTGGGCTGAGCACACACAGATCTCAAGGGGTAGATGACTGTTGATTAACAAACACAGATTAAAGGCAGGGACTAAACTATTCTGGTTTTGTTTTAGACAAGGAAGGTCCCAGACAGAGGTCTCCTGAGATGGCCTGGGCCATAAAGGCAACCTCTGAGGTCAGTCATGAACTTGTCATGTACATGAGCAGTCATTCTAAATTCCAGGATGACTCCAGGGAATCTCAAAGGCAGGTATAGGGCCAGCTTCCCAGAGATTCTGGGGCCAGATCTTCTCAAACAAGTTCAGATCATGCCTGTATCAAGCAGAGTTAACCAAGGGGCAAGTGACAAACAAAAATAATCTGGTGAGGCCCAGAAAAATAGTCCTTAAAGTCAGCATCTTCATCACCAAACCTCAGACTGACCTACAAGATCAGATTTCTGGTAAAGATGAAATAAAACCAGGACTTTTATTTACTGTATAAGTAATTTTGAAATGGTATTTAAAAACCAAGCAGAAAAGCCTGTTCAATGTAGAACATTAAACACTGATATGATTCGGGTTTGTGTCCCTGCCCATAACTCATGTCGAATTGTAATCCCTAGTGTTAGAAGAGGGGCCTGGTGAGAGGTGACTGGATCATGGGGGCAGATTTCCACGTTGCTGTTCTCGTGATACTGAGTGAGTTCTCACGAGATCTGGTTGTTTAAAAGTGTGTAGCACGTCCCCCTTCTCTCCTCCTCCTGCTCCAGCCATGTAAGATGCCTGCTTCCCCTTCTACCATATTTGAAAGTTTCCTAAGGCCTCCCCAGCCATGCTTCCTGTACAGCCTGTGGAACTGTGAGCCAATTAAACCTGTTTTCTTTATAAACTACCGGGTTTCCGGTATTTTTTACAGCAATGTGAGAACAGACTAATATAAACACCTACCTAGGAGAGCCCCTTTGTTTCCTTGAAGCTGGGCACTGCTGAAATGAACTAAACCTCTGTTGGGGTACATACGAGCTGTGAAACCAGGGTGCTTGGGGAGGCTCTGATTCTTCAGCAAGCCCCATAAGAGGAAGGAGGGCCAGCCTTGCAACTTGCCGTAAGGCAGTGAACAGGCAAGGGCCTCAGGACCTAGGGTGCCCACACAGCTCCCTAGGGGGGCTCCAGAGGACGCCAAGAGAATTCTGACCAGTATCTTAACCCTCAAGACCTGTTCCTCTAGCATGTTAATCAAATGAGCCAGCCAGGTACAGATATTCCCTGCTTGCTACCTTCCATATGCCTGTTTCCTTCTTTATAAGGATTCTGCACAGCCTCACCAAAGGCCAGGTATGAGCTCAGGAAAAGAAACACCAGAACTCAGCAAAAATTCAGAAAGAAAGCAGCACAAAGACCAAAAAAGAAGGCAAAATGAATATACACTGATTCACCTGGGGCTGAGAACAGAGGTCCAGGATAAATATAAAAATGCTGACCCAATGGGTAGATGAACAACACTAGACATGACTAGATGAATGCCCCGTATGTCATTTAATCAAGAAGAATCAGCAAGAAGGAAAATGGAATTTGAGGTTTGAAAAATTGGATTCAAATCTAAGTTTCAATATCTACAAGTTGTAAGACTGGCAAATGACTTAAACTCTATGAGGCTTGGTGTTCAGGAAAAGAAGAATCGGAAGGGACCACCCCTTCCCCACCGAAGACACTAAAAACCCAAACACAGGAGAGTCAGGACAGCATCTGGGCGCCTGGCCAGACGCAGGGGCTTCCCTCTGCTGTGACCAGCTGAACCATCGTCTGGGGCAGAGGCTCCCAACTGGTCAGTGAGGGACCAGAGAGCAGCAGCAGAGGGAAGGGGAGGCCCAAGAGCAAGTTCCGCCCCCACAAACAACTCAAATCATAGGTCTAATGAGAAGAGGGCGAAGCCCGGTTAGACATATTGTGGTCCTCCTGAGCCACAGAACGATGTGATTTCTTTTTCTCCATGAGAACAGTAGCCGAGTTGGCTGTTATCTGAGGGCACTCAAGTGGAAGGAGATGATCTGTAATCTGCCACCACTCTGAGATGTTGTTTTTAAAAACATTTCTCAGGAGCTGCTTAATTCAATCACGCTAGAAGAAATATACTTTCAAAGACCCATCACCTCACATTTAAATGCAGGGAATTTTTTTTTTTTTTTTTGAGACAGAGTCTCACTCTGTCGCCTAGGCTGGAGTGCAGTGGCGCGATCTCGGCTCACTGCAGCCTCCACCTCCTAGATTCAAGCAATTCTCCTGCCTCAGCCTCCCGAGTAGCTGGGATTACAGGCGCCTGAAACCATGCCCGATTAATTTTTGTATTTTTAGTAGAGACGGGGTTTCACCATGTTGGCCAGGCTGGTCTCGAACTCCTGACATCAAGTGATCTGCCCACCTTGGCCTCCCAAAGTGCCGGGATTACAGGCATAAGCCACCGCACCTGGCCTAAATTCAGGGGTGTTTCTTGTACTTAATATCCCTCATTAAGGTTCACTGAACAGAATCTCTTTGGTGACATGCTGTTATCCTCCTGGTTCGGGTTTGTAAACAGTTACTTAGCTTCTGATGCGTTCCAAATGATGCTAGGTAATGTATCTCAATAACTTAATTGTATAAAAACACAACAGGAGGTAAAAGAGATTTTGCTTTTCTTTCTTTTCTCAGTATGATAGTTCCTGAACTAAGGTACCAGACTGCTACATTCCCAAGAAGTCCACTGAAACCCAACTGGAATGCTTTTGTCACACCTCCTCTGACTGAGTCACCACAGTAGTGACCTGTCACACGGTTTCCTTCTTACAGATAATGGTGACACAAAGGACAAACTGGAGCTGTCTTCCTTCCAAAATGAAAAGCTTGCAATTGCACTCTGCTTCCACTAAGAGGGGAATGAGTGGAAAGCTTTCACTTCGGGAAGAACTGGGCCCCTTAAGTCACCTTCTGATACGCTAGTCTTTGGGTGACACTGTGGTCACTCATTCCACAAGAAGCTATCCTAGGAACTATTAGATGGTAGCCAACAGTGCCTCAGCATAATGAGACAGCTGCTGTCACACGCACATAACACATGGAGCTAGGCACACACTGACTCTTTACATCATAAGGGGTCCTTACAAGGACGACAAGAATATCCCCTCTATATGGAGGAGGTTCACTATGAGGCCCAAGGAAGTAGTGGAACTAAGAGATTTAATGTTGCCACCTCAACCATTCGTGCAACAAATATTTACTGAGTACCTTCTGTGTGCTAAGCATGGTCTTGGTACTGGGAACACTGTAAGAAAAAAACACAAGCTAAATTAGGAAACTCGTGTACTGGTTGAAAATATGGGCAATAAGGCAAATAAACGAGGAATCCACACATCCTGTCAGGTAGCTAAACAGGCTATGAAGAAAAACAAAGCAGAGAAAGGAGATGGATAATGCCAAGGCTGTTCAGGGGAGATCTTTTCTGAGAAGGTGACATTCAGGAGAGGTCTGAACAAAGGCAGGCATGAAAGTAAGAGAAGTTTGAGGCAAAGGACACGGGAAGTACAAAAATCCTAAGGCAGAAACAGGCTTGCAACTTTGAGAAACTTTAGAAAGAAGCCAGTGTGAACGGTGTAGAATGAATTAGGGAAACAGAGAATGGGTCTGGAGCAGGCACCAACAGAGACCTGCCAGGGAACACACTGGAGAGTTTGTCAGCTTCAGTGAAGGACAACTCAGGGCATCACTACTCTACATGGGAAACACAATGGAGATCATGTTGGTGAGGCGAGGGTGGGTAAGGGGGAAGAAGTTAAGCCTTAAACAGTTCTCTCTGGACTGCCAGACAGAGACAGACTGGGGAGCAAAAGCTCAAGTGATAGGAGCACGGAGGCTGTGTTAACAGTAGCCTAGCAAGGACTGACAGTGGTGTGGGTCCCCATCGAGTGACACAGAAAGGATTCCAGAAATAGCCCACAGGTAAGACCAACAAAACCACCCTGTTCCAGGGCCTTTGTCCTTCAGATGTGTTGAGCCAAGATACACACTAAGGCTCTGGCAGCTGATCATCTAAGAGGGACCATCCTCTTCTCAACCTTCAATGGCTGCCAAATTACTCTAGGAAAAAAGTGTACCTTCTTTAGCCTGGCATTTAGGTTTCTTCAAGTTCCTCAAACTGGCCCCAGTCTTTCTTCTACTATGCCCTAACATGTACATTCTGCCCTAAAGTCAGGATCTACACAAACTCTTCATTGTTTCTCTTGCCTCAAATTCACGAAGTACCGTGTGGTCAAGTGCAAGACTCTAGGCTTATACCCCTTCCCATGCAGAAAACAAAACACACCTCCCATGGGGGAGGCTGCTCTTGCTTATCAAATGGCCAAGCTGCGGGCGAAAACTGAGTGCTTCCAAACAAAGGAGATCCTGTCCCTGGTACATCCCTAGAATTTGCCAATATTAAAATGCTCTTCAAGACCTCCAGTTTCTACCTGATGCAACAGGTATTGGGGATGGTATGTGTGTTGGACACAGTAAAATTGTGACTATAAATGGAAAAAAGCGGGAGAAAGGAAAGAGAAGAAGAATGTAAAAAGGTATCACTCATTTGTTTGTTCGTTATTCAATAAATATTTATCTTAGCACTGAATCAGATGCTGAGGATGCAAAGATAAAAACACACTGCACTCTCCAAGAGTTCACATTCTAATGAGAAGACAGACAGTGACAATGAGCACTGCCCATACAACTAAGACAAGCATGGCCAGCAGGAGCAGAGGGGAAAGAGAAGTAAGCCTGCTGGGGATACAGGAAGCCCTCACCCAGGAGGCAGGCTACTGTGTTGGATCATATCCTAGATCAGGAAAATTTAAAAAGAAAATTTTAGAATTATTGAGGAAATTTGAATATGGAATAAATAATAGATGATATTAGGCCAGGTGTGATGGCTCACGCCTTTAATCCCAGCATTTTGGGAAGCCAAGGTAGGCAGATCACTCGAGCCCATGAGTTCAGGACTGGCATGGGCAACATGGTAAAACCCTACTTTCTCTACCAAAAATATAAAAGTTGACCAGACATGGTAGTGCCAACTGTAGTCCCAGCTACTTGGGGGCTGAGGTGGGAGGATCACTTGAGCCAGAAAGCAGAGGTTGCAGTGAACCGAGATCACGCCACTGCACTCCAGCCTGGGCGATAGAGCAAGATCCTGTCTCAAAATAATAATAATATAAAATTAGTGCTATTCTTACACGTTGTAATAGTATTATTGTTACAATGGAGGACGTTCTAATTCATCTCTCAGAAGATGAATGCTTAAGTATTTAGGAGTGAAGTATCCTAATATGTGTAGCATGCAGTGTCTGTGTACACAAAGTATATGCAATGCGGCAAAATGTGAATTGCTCAATCTATGTGGAGGATATACAGTTGTTTATTGTACTATTCTTTCAAAATAAAAAAATACACAGATGCTCTAATAATTCCTTCCTGCACCTTCCTGGATGGTGCTGGTTATGCAGGGATGTACACTCTCCACTGTGGAGACCACTGCTGTAGATGATGGGGAGCTGTGGAAACTGTGAGCAGGGGAATACACTGATCGGGTGAGCATACTGCAAAGACACTCTAGCAGCACCATGGAAGGGCATGCTGAAAGGCAGGTGGGGAGAAAAGCTGGAGAGAACACAAAGCCAAGACACCAGTAAGGAACCTCCATAATAGGAGAGGCAAGCAATGACACTGCCCACTTTAGGGACAAGGCAAGGGGGACCCCTACTTAGGAGGTATGACTGGCAAAATGAGATGATTTACTGGACATGAGAGAAAAAAAGAAGACATCCTGATGATCAAGTTTCTCACTGGAGCAACAAGAAATGGTGGCAACAAGTGTAGGAAATACAGTATGTGTAGCAGGTTGGCAGGGAAAGTTGTATTCTGGTTTTGGACATGTAAGGTTTGAAGTTTCCTGTGACACAGAGATGGAGCTGTCATGTAAACAATAGGATAAGTCTTATGACTTGCCTGGGCCTCCAATGATGACCATGTGGTAACAAGCAGCAATTCTGCTCCTTTACATGGATTGTGATGACCAAGGCAACTTACATTCAATGGGAAATTTTTCAATATATTATTATTATATGTTATTTATGTACCTTTGCCATTGACCTGTTTTATTTAATTCAGTGCTACTAACAACCTTAGAGGTAGCCATTTCTTTCTTTTGATAGAGGAATGAACCAAGGCTCAGACAGGGTAAGAAACCAAAGTTCCACAGTTATTAAGTTTTGAGCTGGGGTTTAATCTGATATGCAGGTGCCTCTCGGTGTCTGCAGGGGAACTGGTTCCAGGACATCCTGAGGATACCAAAATCCACAGATGCTCAAGTCTCTGATATAAAACGGTGTAGTGTTTGCATATAACCTACATATATCTTCCTATACACTTTAGTTGATCTCTAGTTATTTATAATACCTGCTACAATGTAAATGGTATGTAAATAGTTGTTATACTGTATTGTTTAGGGAGTAATGACAAGGGGGGAAAAATCTGTACATGTTCAATAAAGACACAGTTTTTTTTCCCCTCCAACTATTTCCCACCTGAAGTTAGCTGAACACATGGATGGGAAATCCAAAGATGTAAAACCCATGGATATGGAGGGCTGACTGTACTTGAAGCCACTGCAGCCCAAGCTAATACTTGCAAAATAAGTATGAATAAAAAAGGTACTTTGAGCTGGTCATGGTGGCTCAGGCTCGTAATCCCAGCACTTTGGGAGGCTGGGGAGGGCAGATCACCTGAGGTCAGGCACTGGAGACCAGCCTGGCCAACATGGTGAAGCTCTGTCTATACTAAAAATATAAAAATTAGCCGGGCATGGTGACGGGCGCCTGTAATCCCAGCTGC
Organism: Homo sapiens; assembly: GCF_000001405.40. NCBI lineage: Eukaryota > Metazoa > Chordata > Mammalia > Primates > Hominidae > Homo > Homo sapiens. The sequence continues at coordinate 105,140,492 of NC_000007.14, forward strand.
TCGGGAGACTGAGGCAGGAGAATTGCTTGAGTTCAGGAGGCGGAGGTTGCAGTGAGCTGAGATTGCACCACTGCACTCCAGCCTGGGCAACTAGAGTGAGACTGTCTCAAAAAATAAATAAATAAATGAATGAATAAAATAGAAATAATTAAAAAGGTACTTTGTAAATTACTTTCTATATGAAACTTCAGCCGGGCGCGGTGGCTCACGCCTGTAATCCCAGCACTTTGGGAAGCTGAGGCGGGTGGATCACGAGGTCAGGAATTTGAGACCAGCCTGACCAACATGGTGAAACCCTGTCTCTACTAAAAATACAAAAATTAGCCGGGCATGGTGGCACGCGCCTATAATCCCAGCTACTCAGGAGGCTGGGGCGGGAGAATCGCTTGAACCCGGGAGGCAGAGGTTGCAGTGAGCCGAGATCGCGCCACTGCACTACAGCCTGGGTGACAGAGCAAGACTCAATCTCATAAAAAAAAAAAGAAACTTCAAGTAAGAGAAAAATTGAACTGCAACAGCAACAATAAGTCTGGATAAGGTACCTCTCACTACTGCCCTTTCCCAGAAATTAACCTACATTCTATGTAAGCACCTTCAAACACTCCCTGGAAAGGGGAACAGGAGCTGACCACGTCCAGCCAAGTAAAGAAAGCAAATCCTTAGGAGGATTCATCATAGCCAGTGCGTAACAAAGCCAGCTTACTCGGCGTGCAATTCCAGACTGCTGGAACCAAAGGGGCTGCAGAATGTCGGGCTGTTTGCAGGGCTGGCTCATCAATTTTACTCGCTGTGTGTTAAACAGTCTTGTCAGTAGAGGGAGCAGAGGGAGGTTTCAGAGCTTTTCCCCCATAAGCCAGTATGGAAACCAGCTGTGTTACCCAGTTTTCACTTACTAGAGTCACTTGGCATTCACTCCCAAAATAAGGCTTTGAATAAGTCAAGCCTTCTTAGGTAGACAAGAACACAAGAGCCAATCTATAATCTGTCATCACATTTAAATCCATGCCAATTCCTTGAAAATTACAATCCTGGGCCAGTTACCAATAGTAGGGTCCTATAATCAGGAACAACTATCAAAAGACAATATGACACTTCTTTCTCAATAGAGTCAAAGAGGAGGCATAATTTTCTTGAATAGAAACAAAACAAAACTAAACTAAACTAAATATAATGACATTAGATGGAAGAAGATACGAATTTTAAACTAAACTACACATTCTAGAAAGGTGTAAGTTGCTAAAACTGGAAGGTTTTTGCAAATGATGCTGCTGACTAAATATATTAAAAATGAAAACTGGTCAGAAATAAGATTTGGTATGCAGAGAGCAAGAAATAGCCTAATGGCATAGAAAATTTATTTAAATCACATTACTTCTTCAGGAGTATAAAAGTAATAAAACTGATCAGTACACACACACAGGGCTTGGCCACTTCCAGCCAATTCCTTCACAGCATTTGTTAAAGGCACGTCCCTGGAGTCAGCGATGGCAGACAGTTGATGGGAAGAAACACTTACCTTTTGGCAAATCCCCAGTACTGGAGGCTGAAACCGTTCTGCTTCTGTCATGGGATGGACTGCTCTCCTCTTGCTCAGTAAGTGGTGATCCCTCAGAAAGCACAGAGCCGCAGGCCACAGGTTCTAAGGATCCAGAGAACAACGAGGTGGAAAACTCTGGGAACTGTGACTCGGGAATTTTATGTCGTCCATTTGGCAATTCACCATTGAATTGTTCATAGGAGCTGCTATATGTGTAATCACTTTCTGCATTTGGCTCATCAAGATTATATTCCTCAGGATTTGGGCAGTCTTCTTCATCATCATCTTCATCGTCCAGTTGCTGCTCCAGTGAGAATGGGCCATTCTCAATATGGCCATTGGTTTTAGGTGATTCTATCCACGTAGGGTCTATGTTCGCAAGTTCCTGATCTACATCATCTTCATCTTTTTCAATGTTTTCTTTCTCAGCATCTTCTTTCTCTTCCTGGTCCTCAGCTTCACCTTAAGAATTTGATGGGTCAAGAATTAGAACTTGTTACTCTCCTTAATACAGCCTCATTAAGTACTTATCTCCATCAATAAAATACATTTTGAATATGCTTATGTACCACCTGGTAAACACCTCTTGGCTTTTGGGGTAAAACCTTCAGGTTTTCTAAATCTCATTTTTCATTCATTTAGTAATTGGCCTGCTCTTATAAGAAAAAGTTAGCTTTAAGGGAAAATAACTCTTTCTAAATAAAGTTGCACTTCCATTTCTACCCTCTATAATCTTCAGAAACAGACTTGTGGTGCATTACAGTTAGGTAAAAAGTTAATGACAAAATAAAGCACCATCATTAGCATGATAGAAACATGGAATTTCTCAATTATTTTACATTTTTAAAAACTATTTTGAAATGTTAACATATTTCTGGCATACAGTTCACAAATGAAGTACGAGGCTATTTCCCATATTTCCCAATAGGGAGTTGGAGAGAATCATCCTTGTCATCTGCAGCAGCAGCACAAATCAGCCCCCATGTTGACCTGGCAGAACCCTACTAATGGAGCTCTGAGAACCCCATGCAGCCCAGGTTCCAGGCCCCACTGACCATTGTCCTTTGCAGTCTCTGCCTCAGCCGCCTCCTCTAATCCTGTTGTTTTTAGTTTCACCTCTGGGCAGTATTCGCCATCCTGGTCATTGGAAGGTGCAGCTGAGGTGATGTTTTCTTCTATTATTTTCCTTTCAGCTTCTCGCTCCAATTCTTCTATCTCCTGCAGGCGCTTCTCCAATAACTCAGCCTGCCTCTTCTGTTTCTTTTTCAGTTTTTTCTTTTTGTTTTTAGATATTTTTCCTATCTATGTTAAGGAAAGACCACAGGTCAGTATTCTTCTTTTTAAAGCACCACGATAGTATAACGACTAGCAGCATGGCAAATAGCAATAAACTCTGCTTTCTCATGCCATATTCTATTAAAATCCCAAACCCAGACAGATCCACTTTGTGGTAAGGCTTACGATAAAATCAAAGGGAAAGCAGTGCTGACTGATATCACGTACTAGGTCTACTACCAGGTCCTGCCCTCAGAGGGATATAGCTTAAATCCAGTAAGTCTTCACCATTCAAACTCTAAGAGAACTGAAGTTCGAAATTCTCTTGGCCTTAAAGGAGAAGCTCCTCTTGCAAGTTTTATTTGCTGCTGTCTATATACAAAGTAACAACATCCCAGCTCCTCAATGCCAAAAATGAAACAGGTGCCCGAGCAGGTGTATGTCACTGTGTGTTTGGGTCTCACATATGAAGCTCTTAGCAGCCAAGACAACATGAACTGTAAGAGATAAGCCTATGCTGCAAAGGGAAAAAAGAAAAAGCTACAGCTTTTGTCTGCCTCCCGTCATGGTTACCTGACTTGCAAAGCACTGGCAATGACAGCCTCCAACCTTTCAATCAATCAGTAAATTCAAGCAGCTCAAGCCAGGGAAGAACTATGGGAAACAACTTGAGCTTCTCAGCAGGCCAGGAAGCTTAATTATTAAAGCTCCCTCTTGTTCCAGAACTTACATTCCAAATCAAGAGCTGTCTCAGTAAAAATAGTGTTTTGTTGTTGTTGTTGTTGTTTTCTTTGAGACAGAGTCTCTGTTGCCCAGGCTGGAGTGCAGTGGCGTGATCTCAGCTGACTGCAACCTCCACTTCTTGAGTTCAAGTGATTCTCATGCCTCAGCCTCCCATGTAGCTAGGACTACAGGTGCACACCATCACACCCGGCTAATTTTTTTTTTTTTTTTTGAGATGGAGTCTCACTCTGTCGCCCAGGCTGGAGTGCAGTGGCGTGATCTCAGCTCACTGCAACCGTTACCTCCTGGGCTCAAGTGATTCTACTGCCTTAGCCTCCTGAGTAGCCGGGATTACAGACGTCCACCAGCACACTCAGCTAGTTTTTGCATTTTTGGTAGAGACAGGATTTCACCATGTTGGCCAGGCTGGTCTTGAATTCCTGACTTCAAGTGATCTAGTGGCCTCAGCCTCCCAAAGTGCAGGGATTACAGGCGTGAGTCACCACACCCAGTATCTAATAAGGACATAGTGTTTTGACAGGACCACAAAATAGATCAGTCTCTTTCTTATTTAACATCCGCATGGAAAAAATTAGAACAACAGCTTCAGAAAAACAGGTAACTTAGCAGCCAATCAGAAATAATGTAAAGTGGTTTTGAAATAAAAATACTTCAACTCCATCACCTCACATTTCACTAAACTTGGCCACCATAGTCCAGAAAATGCATAAAGAAGACAATTTTTGAAAGGCTCTAACTATCCCAACTCTGCACAGATCATTAAAACTTAACAAGACAGGCTGGGCGTGGTGGTTCAAACCTGTAATCCCAGAAATTTGGGAGGCCGAGGCAGGCAGATAACTTGAGGTTAAGAGTTCGAGACCAGTCTGGCCAACATGGTGAAACCCCTCTCTACTAAAAATACAAAAATTAGTTGGGTGCGGTGGCAGGTGCCTGTAATCCCAGCTACTCGGGAGGCTGAGGCACAAGAATCGTTTGAACCAGGGAGGGGGAGGTTGCAGTGAGCCGAGATCGCACCACTTGCACTCCAGCCTGAGCAACAGAGTGAAACTCAGTTTTCAAAAAAAAAAAAAAAAAAAATTAACAAGACATTAAGTCTTACCTATTTGAGGATACACAGCTTTTATAAATGTGTCTACCCTTTAAATACACAACTTTTTTATAATTTGAACAACTCAATAATAAACGGTCTCTTTTAACATGGTGCATATAAAGTAATATGCGTAAGTACTTACAGGTTTCTGCTGTGGAGCCGTACTCACTAAAATAAAATCAAACAAAATCTGTATTTAGCAGAAAACAGACACATGCCTTCATGTAGGTCATTCGAATTGCAAAGTGAAATAATTATTGTCTTTTAATGGCTATCCAACTTCAAAAACTATTAATCAGAGCTTCTTAATCACAAGGATCTAGAGTAAGTTTATGCCACTGAAACAAATGAGTGACTCCTGAAGTCACAGCAGAAGTTACTCATACTGAGCCATTTCTCTTATTTATCTAAAATGAAATACTAATACATCTCAAACACAGTCAAGCTCAAGCACCAACAGATCACTTAAGAAAATGGAAAAGAATACATATCACAGTCATTAAACCAAATTTGTTTAAAATATAATGAAATGAACAATGTAGATGTACATCGATATTTGGAATCTATTTTGCAAGCTTTCTATAATTTAAATCAAATACTGCAGTTGGTATGCAGCAAATAGTCTAGGAATCACATGATTAAACCCCTACACCAGGGTCAAAAGCTTAACAGGCTGGGTCCATGATCTAAACAACACCCTGATGGCAGTAAAGGAGATGTGAAGAGAGCCCCAGGCAGTCCCAGGAGCCTCAGCCCTTTAGTATCCATGCTTGCCTGACAACACACAAAGGCACAGATCATGGTGTCGAAGAGTGAGAAGCACAGTCCACACTTCACTGCACCACCTCCCCGACCCCGCCCCAGAAATAAAGATATCCCAATACTCAGGTCACTTGATCTTCTTCCCCCACCATCAGGCCTTTTCTAACTAACTCCAAATCTGTTGATACAACTCAGGTTGACATAGCTATGCTAAATGGACAACAAGAATTTATGTACACAAAATTGAAGCCAGAAAAATATTCTGATGACTAAAGGTCAGCTACAGGAAAGCTGTTACTATGTTCTCCTCTGCAGAGAAGCTGGCAACAGAAAAAACTGTTCAAATATAGATGAAGCAGCAACTACAAATTTAAATGGCCTTTTAAAGGGGGACAAAAGTAAATACTTCCAATATTAAAATATAATGTAGCTGGGGCATTTTCCATTTCAAGGGTGCAGTTATTTCCAGCAATTAAACTTTTCCAAAATCTTCCTTATGTGTAACGTTTGATTCAGATACCTTCAACAACTGCAACTTTGCAAGCTCCCAATGCCCCCACACTGAAATGAAGCTGGCTCAGCTCCCTCACCTGCAGACCCTGAAGGAGGAGGAGCACCTGCTTTCTGCCACTCAGTGGCCTCAGCTGCCATTCTTCTCACATATGCATCATCCACACACATCAAGATATTTTCCGGCTTTATGTCAGTATGAATGATCTTGCACTTACTGTGTAAGTAATCTAACCCTTGAAGGACCTGGATATAGTAAAATCAAGAGAGAAGATAAGCTATTAATATCTCATTATATAACTTTTATTTATTTGAAAAACATGTAATACAATGCCAGGGTACAAAGTTTGATAAACACAAAAGGATATTTAGTAAAAATCTCCCTCCCATGCCTACCCACATTGGAATCCAGCTCTCCTTTCCATAAGCAACCAGTGTGTATAATTTCAGAGATTATTTATGCTCGTGGAAGCAAATGCATCTACATACAGTTGAACCTTGAACAACACAGGTTTGAACTGCATGGGTTCCCTTATACACAGATTGTCTTCCACCTCTGCCACTCCTGAGACAGCAAGACCAACCCCTCAGCCTACTCAACGCGAAGATAATGAGGATGAAGACCTTTATGATCATCTACTTCATATGATCTATCCACTTAATGAATAGTAAGTATATTTTCTCTTCTTTATGATTGTCTTAACATTCTTTTCTCTAGCTTACTTTGTTGTAAAAATATGCTATATAACACACATACAAAATACATGTTAATTGGTCATGTGATCATTAAGGATTCTGATCAACAGTAGGCTAGTAATTCATGTATCATACAATTGACCCCTTTAGGTATACAATTCAATGGATTTTAGATGTGCGACTATCATTACTATTTATTTTTTAAATTTTTTATGTATTTATTTTTTGAGACAGAGTCTCGCTCTGTCACCCAGGCTGGAGTGCAGTGGCACAATCTTGGCTCACTGCAACCTCCGCCTCCCAGGTTCAAGCAATTCTCCTGCCTCAGCCTCCCAAGCAGCTGGGATTACAGGCGTATGCCACCACGCCTGGCTAATTTTTTTTGTATTTTTAGTAGAGACGGGGTTTTACCATATTGGCCAGTGGTCTCGAACTCCTGACCTTGTGATCCACCTGTCTCGACCTCCCAAAGTACTGGGATTACAGGCGTGAGCCACCACACACGGCAACTACCACCACTATTTAAATGACAACATTTTCATTGCTCCAAAAAGAAACAACATATTCATCAGCATTCACTTCCCATCTCTCTCCTACCCCTTCTAACCCTTAGCAACCACTAATCTACTTGCTGATTCTGGACATTTCCTATAAATGGAATCATATAAAGTATTTTTTTGTAACTGGCATAATGTTTTCAAGTTTGACTCTTGTGCAGCATGTATTAGTACTTCGCTTATTCTTATTGGCAAACAGTATTCCACTGTATGGAGATACAACATTGTGTTTATCCCTTCACCTCATGAACATTTGGGTTATTTTCACTTTAGGGGCTATAAAAATAATACTGCTATTCACACTCGTGTATACATTTTTGTGTGAACATACTTTTTTTGAGGGGAGGTATATACCTAGGAGTTACCGTACTTAGGTCATATGGTGCCTCTATATTTAGCTTTTTGATGAACTGCCAAAGTGTCTTCCACAGTGGCTGCACCATTTTACATTCCTATCACCAATGTATGAGGGTTCCAATTCTTCGCCCTGAACAACACTTACTATCGTTTTTTACTTTATCCACCCAAGTGGATATGAAGTATCTTGTTGTAGTTTTGATCTACATTTCCCTGATGGCTAATGATGTCCATACATTTTTAACACTGCAAGAGAAGGGGGGCTTGATTTAAATAGAAAATAGCCTTGGTATCTAGACAACCCTACAGCATTATACTAAAAGAAAGTGATGAACCAAGATATTCATATTTCTCATATTAAAACAATCAAAAACTTACAGTGTCAGTGACCTAAATACAAGGTCAGTGTTTTTCTATAATTATTTCCACTGGAGAATAATTTTTTCAATTATTTCCATAAACAAAATTTATTTTTACAAAACAGATCATGTTCTCATATAAGCATTAGAAATTCCAAATGTTAAGCAAATATTACATCAATGACCATTCAAACAATGAATTGAATAGGCATTTTGTTCACAAGAGACAGGAAGTGTTATATGTTTCACATCATCCAATGTAGGGAAAAGAGAGATCCGACTGTTACTGTGTCTATGTAGAAAGGAAAGACATAAGAGACTCCATTTTGAAAAAGACCTGTACTTTAAACAACTGCTTTGCTGAGATGTTGTTAATTTGTAGCTTTGCCCCAGCCACTTTGCTCCAGCCACTTTGACCCAACCTGGAGCTCACAAAAACATGTGTTATATGAAATCAAGGTTTAAGGGATCCAGGGCTCTGCAGGACATGCCTTGTTAACAAAATGTTTACAAGCAGTATACTTGGTAAAAGTCATCGCCATTCTCTAGTCTCAATAAACCAGGGGCACAATGCACTGTGGAAAGCTGCAGGGACCTCTGCCCTTGAAAGCTGGGTATTGTCCAAGGTTTCTCCCCATGTGATAGTCTGAAATATGGCCTCGTGGGATGAGAAAGACCTGACCGTCCCCCAGCCCAACACCCATAAAGGGTCTGTGCTGAGATGGATTAGTAAAAGAGGAAAGCCTCTTGCAGTTGAGATAGAGGAAGGCCACTGTCTCCTGCCTGCCCCTGGGAACTGAATGTCTCGGTATAAAACCCGATTATACATTTGTTCAATTCTCAGATGAGAGAAAAACCGCCCTATGGTGGGAGGTGAGACATGTTTGCAGTAATGCTGCCTTGTTATTCTTTACTCCACTAAGATGTTTGGGTGGAGAGAAACATAAATCTGGTGTACGTGCACGTCCAGTCATAGTACCTTCCCTTGAACTTAATTATGACATAGATTCTATTGCTCACGTGTTTGTTGCTGACCTTCTCCTTATTATCACCCTGCCCTCCTACTACATTCCTTTTTGCTGAAATAATGAAGATAATAATCAATAAAAACTGAGGGAACTCAGAGACCGGTGCCGGTGCAGGTCCTTGGTATGCTGGGCGCCAGTCCCCTGGGCCCACTGTTGTTTCTCTATACTTTGTCTCTGTGTCTTATTTCTTTTCTCAGTCTCTCGTCCCACCCGACTAGAAATACCCACAGGTGTGGAGGGGCAGGCCACTCCTTCAATCCAACACTGAAATATTCCCAGTTTAATCGACAGTGGAAGGCATCTGATCAACAGTAAGCTATTAGTAGTTAGCCTACTGTTAGTAGAAGTTAAAGTAGCATTATGAAGTGAGAGGGAACAAAGATTTTACAAGGAAAATGAAAACAGGAATACCTCTTAAAAACGATCAAAATCCCTACAAACATTTAAAACAACTTTACCTTACAGAGTATTTTTACATAAATTCACTGAATGTGCATCGCCTGAGCTCCTATCACATGCCATTATTCCAGGTGTTTGATATATAAAAGCTCCCAGGCTTCATGTTGCTTACAGTCCTCATATCCTCACAGAGGTTACCAATTCAGGACAGGAAATGAGTATGACGGGTGGGGTAATTGGCCAAAAAAAAAACCAAGATGAATCATGGGCATGGCAAATATGATTTAATAAGATACTGACAAGTTCCTAGTAAGTACCAGTGAAGTAGATAAAACTAGGATAAGATTTTAAGACATTTTTTGCCTTAGAATATTTACTGTTTTGGATAATACTGCAATTAGGATATGTTTAAATTACATTTAAAATGTCAAGGCCGGGCTCAGCCTTGCCTTGTAATCCCAGCCCTTCGGGAAGCCGAGGCAGGCAGATCACTTGAGGCCAGGAGTGCGAGACCAGCCTGGCCAACATGGCGAAACCCTGTCTCTACTAAAAACACAAAAAAACTGCACAGGCATAGTGGCACAGGCAAGGTAGCACACGCCTGTAATCCCAGCTACTCAAGAGGCTGAGGCACAAGGCGGAGGTCACAGTGAGCTGAGATCATGGCACTGCACTCCAACCTAGGCGACAGAATAAAACTCTGTCTAAAAGGAAAAAAGAAAAAAAGCAAATAAAATGTCAAAGGACCAATAGTAAGAAAGATAACATGATGTAAAATATTTCCATGGAGAACATGGTTATACTTTTGAAGGAAACACAATCCAATGGGCTCATGTTATTCAACGACATTCATGCATCTTCCTGGTGCAAACTGAATAATATGTGGAGTTCTATATCTGAACAACAAAAGAGATTCTGAAAAGTACAAGAAATTAATGGATAGGCACATTGATGATGTCCAGCCCATAGAGGTCAAAGGAATACGATTTTTGAAAAATCGTTTTCCAACTAAAATTGTATTTCGGTATCAAATACTATCTCAAGGTAAAAATGTCAGTATCTTTCTTTCCTAAAATATATTTGACCATTTTCTCATGCACGAGAGTTGTCCTATCTTTCCACCTTGGCTTCTTTCACAGTTCAAAGGTTGATTCACTGTGCGGGAGGCTGCACAGTTAAGAGTTAATGTGCCTCAGTGTGCAAATGTGTTCACATGAGGTCCCAATGACAATGATGCACCTCATGACAAGCAAGAAGTGATCTCAGTAAAAACTTAAAGTTCCAGATTTTTTTTAAAAAAAATTGGCTATTGCACTCAACTAGGCTAACTTTCCTAAAACAGCAATGGGCAATAAACACAAGAAAAATACTTTGCCACTGGGACAAATAAAGTTAGTTAAGATAATTGAAACCATTAAAGGAAATGGCAACAGGGCAGCGTTAAAAACATGACCTTGGATTCAGACTGCTCTTAAATTACTGCTCAACCATTTACTCATTGTGTTACCCCTGGGCAAGCTGTTTAAGCTGTTTGAGCTTTCATTCTCATCTATGGGAGGGGGAAACACCTGTTACACACAAATGTAGCAATAAGCTTTAGAAATAATCTACGGAAAACTCACAAAAACAAAGTCTAGCACACAAGAAACTTAAATGGTAAAACGTATCTAAGTCAGAAGACTTGTACTGATATTGACTTATTGAATTATGATTTTTCATCACTTTTTAAAAATTAATTTCTTTTTAGAGATGGGATCCCGCTATGTTCCCAGGCTGGAGTGCAGTGGCTATTCAGAGGTGTAAGTAAAGCACACTGAAGCCTCAAGCTTCTGGCCTCAAGTGATCCTCTTGCTTCAGCCTCCCAAGTGGCTGGGATTACAGGTGTGAGCCACCACATCCAGCTTCCTAAGTCACTTATTAAAGTTCTCTGGGTTGGCTGGCACGATGGCTCACACCTGTAATCCCAGCACTTTGGGAGGTCAAGGCAGGTGGATCACCTGAGGTCTGGAGTTCAAGACCAGCCTGGCCAACACGGTGAAACCCCCTCTCTACTAAAAATACAAAAATAAGCCAGGCATGGTGGTGCATGCCTGTAATCGCTGCTACTCAGGAGGTTGAGGCAGGAGAATCACTTGAACCCAGAAAGCGGTGGTTGCAGTGAGCTGAGATCGTGTCACCACACTCCAGTATGGGCAACAGAGTGAGGTTCTGTCTCAAAAAAAAAAAAAAAAAAATTATCTGGGTCTCAGTTGTTTCCATTTCTAATATAAAAGGACTATACTTGATAACCCGTATGGTACATCCCAGCAACAAAACTTTGATTCCATAATTTAATTTTGAACTACTTTTTTCTTTTTTTGAGATGGAGTCTCACTCTATCACCCAGGCTGGAGTGCAGTGGCACGATCTTGGCTCACTGCAACCTCCACCTACTGGGTTCAAGCAATTCTCCTGCCTCAGCCTCCCTAGTAGCTGGGATTACAGGCACATGTCACCATGCCCAGCTACTTTTTGTATTTTAGTAGAGACGGGGTTTTCGCCATGTTGGCCAGGCTGGTCTCAAACTCCTGACCTCAGGTGATCTACACATTTCGGCCTCCCAAAGTGCTAGGATTACAGGCGTGAGCCACCATGCCTGGCCAGAACTACTATTTTTAAATGGTTTTATTTTCAAAAATAACATTTGTCTTTCCAGTGAAGTTTTAAGTAATAATGCACCCCAGAATCAACCAACATTGACGAGAACTCCTACAATTATTTATACAGGATAACTGTGACAATGGGAAAAACAAAAACACAAACCAAAAGGAATCATGTTTCATCCCCATGGATAGATCTCCCCTTGCAAAATCTGACAGAGTTAAGTCTTTACTAATTCTTTCCTCTGTTGCTTTTACTTGTCAAATCACAGTATGTTCATCTTTCTTGCCTAAAAACCTTAATACGGCTGGGCGCGGTGACTCACGCCTGTAATCCCAGCACTTTGGGAGGCCGAAATGGGCGGATCACAAGGTCAGGAGATCCAGACCATCCTGGCCAACATGGTGAAACCCCATCTCTACTAAAAATACAAAAATTAGCTGGGTGTGGTGGTGCATGCCTGTAATCCCAGCTATTCAGGAGTCTGAGGCACAAGAATTGCTTGAACTCAGGAGGCGGAGGTTGCAGTGAGCCGAGATCGCGCCACTGCACTCCAGCCTGGTGACAGAGCAAGATTCCGTCTCAAAAACAAACAAAAAACCTTAATACTTGGTGCTAGCAGCAGGAGGCAGCAGAGATCCTTTGGCTGCCAGGGAAGCTGAGATCAACCTAAGCCCAGACGAGCCAGGGACGTGACTCTCAATCATCCCACTCAGGGAGCCATTTCACACACATGAGGAACAAGTGCCAGGTTTCTCTGGGTAAAGTCAGACTTTGAGTTCAGCAGCAGTGCGGAAAAGAAGGCTAAGTCTAGGGCTGGGAGCTAGAAGCCCCGAGTCCCATTCCAAATTAACTAGCTACAGGTTCAGAGAAAGTTCCTTCTTTTCCTTGAACCTCAAATTCATCTTCAAAATAAGGGGCTTGGTTAAAATGGTCTCAAAGCTTGCTTTCTGTACATCAACATTTGTGTCAGATACCATCTATTACTGGTCTTCGCAACACAAATCTGCTCCTCTCCACCACAACTTGATTGAAATAGGTCCTGTAATCTTGTAGATAAGTCGGGGAACAGTCAAGCATAATGTGGAGACTCCTCTAAAGACTGTCTCCCTGGCCTTGCTCACAGCCCAGAGTGCAAAGCTTCCCCCAAAATTCTGAACTGTAAAAAGAAATAGAATGAGAGCAACTTTCCAAATTATGCTCTGCTACTGGTGATAAGCGGTGGACTTTCTTCCTCCCACACCTGAACAAAGGACACAGAGCAGGGAGACTCTGTCTCCTCCTACTCTGTGGGTAACAGAACCTAATGAAGCACCCAGAGAAACCCACGTGGGCAGCCAGATGGGCTGGCAGAGGAAGGAGGCGACCCCAAGCAGGAGTTCTTCATTGAGAATATTAATTACTTGTGGGCGTGCGGGACACCAGAGGGGTTCTCCGCAAGCCTAGAAGTTTCCTGCTGGAAACACTGAGGGTTCCACTAGATTTCCCTTCCACAGTGAAACACACAAGGCAGGTCCCACCAACTGCCTGTGAAAACCAAGATGTTAAACTCAATGGAGGAGCTTGGAAATACCTGTTAACAATAAAAGAGGACAAGAGCCAGAGACACGCTCAAACCAAAAATCCAGGGGACGGCGTCCTTACCCACATTGTCCTGAAATAGCCTCTGCTCCTTTTTCTTTCATCTCTAACTGGTGAGAATTAATGAGAAAAGCCAGCAGCTGTACTTCTGAATGTCATCAGGAAGAAAGTTAAAGCTGCTGTGCCCAGCACTGGGACTGCACAAAGCAATGGCTCAGGAAAGCAGCTTAGTCCCTTGAAACAGAGCCACCTCACCACATTTCCTGAGTCAAGGGCTCAACATCCTGAGGAGAATTCCAAGTCAATACAGCATCGTGTGCACTACCATGCTGAACAAACCCAGTAATATCAAAATGTTTACCAAATTGACATGAAAGCTTCTGGTCTGAACTTGAACAATACTGGTTCAGTCATAACAAAATTTACTGATAAACAGGGCCACTGAAAGAATTACAATGGTAAATAAATACTAAGTGTAGAGAGACAAAATCAGCCAATGATACAGGTGAGAGGACCTGCGGGGCACCACCGTGGCTCTCGGCATACTAGAGGGTTGCACCCCAAAGGGAGAAGTCTGGAAAAACATTGGGTTTTAAAGGTCTCATCTGGTTACATATTATAATATCTACTTCATAAAATCTAATGGCTATACTTTTTTTGTTTGTTTGGAGACAGAGTCTGTCACCCAGGCTGAAGAGCAGCAGTGACACAATCTCGGCTCACTGCAACCTCCGTATCCTGGGTTCAAGCAATTCCTGCCTCAGCCTCCCGAGTAGCTGGGACTACAAGCACGTGCCACCACACCCAGCTAATTTTTGTATTTTTAGTAGAGATGGGGTTTCACCATATTGGTCAGGCTGGTCTAGAACTCCTGACCTCATGATCTGCCCGCCTTGGCCTCCCAAAGTGCTGGGATTACAGGTGTGAGCCACCGCACCTGGCCCACCCTTATTCTTGTTTGTCTGTTTGAGTCAGAATTTCGCTATTGTCACCCAGGCTGGAGTGCAATGGCACGATCTCGGCTCACTGCAGCCTCCGCCTCCCAAGTCCAAGTGATTCTCTTGCCGCAGCCTCCCAAGTAGCTGGAACTATATGTATGTGCCACCACTCCCAGCTAATTTTTTATATTTTTAGTAGAGACAAGGTTTCACTATGTTGGCCAGGCTGGTCTTGAACTCCTGACTTCAGGTGATACACCCACCTCAACCTCCCAAAGTGCAGGGATTACAGGCGTGAGCCACTGCACCCAGCCCCCTTATTCTTAATCTCCACAATCAAACTACAAATTATGCATTACTATTTCGAGTTTACAAATGAGGAAACAGACTCACAGAGGCTAAGTAACTGATCAGGAGTACAAGATAGAAGTGCCAAAGCTATGATGTTAAATCAAGTCTGTCACCAAAGCACAATACACCTTACACTTTCTCTTATCCCAGTGGTTCTCAGTGAGAGGAAAACTGGCAAAGTTCAGAGATATTTCTAATTGCCACAATCAGGGATGGTGACAGCTGATACTGGCTCTGAGGGGTAGATGCCAGGGACGCTGCTAAACATCCTATCTGGTCTGAAGTGCCAGCAGCCCTAGGGTTGAGATGGGGCCTACACGTAGTTATGGGACCAAATGTGAGCTGAAGGCATTTCAAGAAGGGAAGGCATCCTCTTAATTGGGTACTGTGAGAAGCCTTTGTCACAATGGTGGGATTTTCGTTGAGTCTTAAAAATGTGGGTAGACAAGGATGGCATTTCTGGCAGCCTAGAACAAAAGAGATGATCAAAGATGTGGAGATAAAAAACGGAAAGGTGCCCTTAGGGGTCAAGATGATTACCAGTGAGTACTTTCTCTAAACTACCTACAAAATAAAACCAGTAAACATTCATGAATGAAAATTCTGGTAAATCTGCACATTATAAATGTTTGGGACATCTTTGAACATTCATAAAAAACGTAAGCTGGTAGATTCCAGAGGGAAATAGGGTACCTGAGGGACATCACTTTTTGTCTGCAAGGGGAAATACAGGCTGACACCAGATGATAGAAAATCTTAAACAGGTTCCCAGAAAGTGACTTAACTTCTACTGGACATAGGCCCAGTACAATTCCAAACTTATTACAGGCTCATAATAAGTTTATTATATAAAACCCATTATATAACGGCCAAAATGGTAAACCCATGAGCTCTGAAGCCAGACTATCTGGGTTTGAATTCCTGCTTCACCACTTAGCACTTTTTAAGCGACTTCCTAACTAGGGGCAAGTTACTTAACCTCTCTGGGCTTCTGTTTCCTCTTGATGAAATCAGGAAAGTAATAATACCCATTTCACAGGGTTATTGTGAGGAACTCAACTATGCAAAGTACTCAAATTATACCTGGCACATAGTAAGCACTGAATTAACTATTTGCTACTATTAGCATTACTATCTCTCATTACATCTTTACAATAAACTAATGAGGAAGGTATCATTTTTGTTTGTTTTTTGTTTTTAAAGAGACAGTCTTGTTCTGTCACACAGGCTAGAGTGCAGTGGCACCATCATGGCTCACTGCAGCCTTGACCCCTTGGGCTCAAGTGATCCTCCGACCTCAGCCTCCCAGGTAGCTGGGACCACAGGTGCATGCCATCATACCTGGCTAATTTTTAAATTTTGTTTGGTAGAGACACGGTCTTGCGATGTTGCCCAGGTTGGTCTTGAACTCCTGGTCTCAAGAAATCCTCCCACCTCAACCTTCCAAAGTGCTGGGATTACAGGCATGAGCCACCACGCCTGGCTGGTATCATTATTTTCCCCACTTTTATTGATGATGAAATTGTGGTTTGCAGAAGTTAGGTAACTTGGCCAAAGCCCTTTGGTGAATGTAGGGTATATTTGATGCCAAACCCAAGCTCTTAACAACTCCATATATTGCTTCATGAAGGCCAAGAACATAAAGCTTCAGCAAACAGGCAATGGGAAGCCACTAAAGAATTCTAAATGGGAATATGAGTCATTAAAGCAAGGTTTTACTTGCAATAGAAAGGAGAATAAACTGGAAAAGGGACCGGGAATTGGATGGGCTGTATGCACAGAGAGCCAAGAAAAGCCTGTGAAAAGGTACTAGCTGGAGGTGATAAGGGCCTGAACTAAAGAGGACAGCAACAGAAATACAAAGAACATCAAGAGTAAAAGACATGGCAAAGGAGAGTTCAACAGGCGGGTTCCTGGGGAAGCACAGCAAGTGATAGAGTAAGGAGAATGACTGGAACATGGTCGGTTATCCATGACTCTTAAGAAGAAGGTCTACAGTGAAAGGATACTAAGAAAATACTAAGAAAATTGGTCTGCTCTGGCTTGTTCTGGGAAATGATATAACTGTGTCAGTCTGCAATAAAAAATCTTCCTAGTACTACCCGGGAGAAAGAAATACTGAAAACATAGGCTGAATCAAAGGGGTTGAAGGGAAACCTCAGGTAAGTAGATTATTAACTGGAGTATGTAATTTCTTGAACAACTTACTACACTGAAAGTTCTGCGTAAGCTTAGGGGGAAAAAATCCAGATTCCATGATAATATTTTTCTTAAAGAAAGATGGGTTCACACACACAAAACCAAAACCAAACCAAAATTCCATTAACACTGCATATAAGAACAAAGTGCAGACCACATGACACAATCAAATTTTCAGCTTGAATTTCTCTGAACTAAAGAAATAATATAAGAGCTCTTTCTAAGTTTCCACCAAAAACAGGGTACATGAATTACAGTGAGGATAACACACGCATTGGCCAGGTGTGGTATAATCCTAGCAACTTTGGGAGGCTGAGATGGGAAGACTGCTTGAGTCCAGGAGACAAAGAGACCAGCCTGAGCAACACAGTGAGACCCCGTCTCTACAAAAAAATAAAAATTAGCTAGCACGGTGGTGCATGCCTGCAGTCCCAGCTACTAGGGAGGCTGAGGTGGGAGGATCACTAGAGCCCAGGAGGCCAAGGCTGCAGTGAGCTGTGACTGACCAGTGCACTCCAGCCTGGGTAACAGAGGAAGACCCTGTCTCAAAAAACAAAAACAAAATGAAGAACACAGGTTAACTTATTTAATCTTCGGTTCATTCAACAAGGATGCACTGAGGTTCCACTGAACCTCAGATTTTCATCTTTCAACTTACAGACTCCTTCAACTTGCTAAGGCTATATTTTCTTCTCTAGAAGATAAAATAAATGTCAATGGCTCATCTGTGAATTCACCTTTTTTTTTTTTTCCCTGAGATGGAGTCTTGTTCTGTTGCCCAGGCTGGAGTGCAGTGGCATGATCTCAGCTCACTGCAACCTCCACCTCCCGGGTTCAAGTAATTCTCCTGCCTCAGCTGGCAGAGTAGCTGGGATTACAGGCGTGTGCCACCACGCCTGGCTAATTTTTGTGTTTTTAGTAGAGATGGGGTTTCACCATGCTGGCCAGGCTGGTCTCAATCTCCTGACCTCGTGATCCACCCGCCTTGGCCGCCCAAAGTGCTGGGATTACAAGCGTGAGCCACTGCGCCTGGCCAAATTCACCTTCTTACACACTAAGCCTAAAGGGTGGTGGTGTGGTCAGTCACTTAAGGCAACAGCAAGCCCCTCTGAAAGCATGAGGTTCTGGGAAATGATGGAGCCTGCGGGAAATACATGCAGGCAGCTATTTCTGAAATTATTCAGTATTTGTTAGAATGTGTAATTCCTTTAATATTTTCAAGATTTATCAAAAATAATTAGGAGATTCTTCCCAAGTTTTAACAATATGGTTTTATTTTTTTGTGTTTTTTTGTGTTTTTTTTTTTTTTTAAAGACTTTAGAGTTGCTGCTAAATGTTACAAATAATACACTAGTCTTATTTGGGGATCAAATAATTCCACTTAACATACTAATTTCTGCCCTCACCACATAACCTCTTCTACATTAAAGTTGTTCATTTGAGATATCAGCCTGTCGAAATAATGAATAAAAATGCTACTATTTGAAAGCTAAGGGCAAACAGATACAGTACTGAACAAAAGTTAGCCATAAATCTAGGCCCACATGTATACCTAGCATAATACTACATAGAAACACCTCAATTCAACTGATATAGAAGACAATGTAGTGAACTTTTCCCTCTCCAGCCCCTCTTCTCAAGTAACATCTGTCATGTTACAGAATAAGCTGCCAATTTTCCATACAAGGCTGGGTGCAGTGGTTCACACCTGTAATCCCAGCACTTTGGAAGGCAGAGGCAGGCAGACTGCCTGAGCTTAGGAGTTTGAGACCACCCTGGGCAACACGGTGAAACCCTGTCTCTACTAAAAATACAAAAATTAGCTGGGTGTGGTACCAAGCACCTATAGTCCCAGCTGCTCAGGAGGCTGCAATGAGCTGAGATTGCACCACTTCACTCCAGCCTGGGTGACAGAGCGAGACTCCGTCTCCAAAAAAAAAAAAAAAAAAAAAAAAACCGTACAAAAGGAAGAAGAGATGAACACACAGGCAGGCTAAACAAAGTTATCTGCACACAAATTCAACAGAAATATCAAAGATGCTTTTACTACACAAATTTAAACTTCAAACTTTTTACAGGCAATGAGTAGAATACATACTGATTCCATGCAGAACACTGGAATGGGCAAACACTGCTAATTAGGAGGAGTTCTTCCATCTACGCATACTTTCATTCTACAGATGTTTACTAGAGCATCATCTCTAAGCCTGACCCTAGCTGAGGGTTTTCTTCTGGCAGGGCAACTGAACAAAACACACATCTAATACAGTAATTTCTATATGAGTTAAACATTTCCATTTTTTTCCCCAGCTTTACTGAGGTACAACTGACAATAAAAACTGAATATATTAGTAGTGTACATGTCTTGAAATATGTGTACACTGTGAAATGATTAGCACAAAACAGCTAATTAACCTAACCCAGTATGACATATAGACTCTGTGTGTGTGTACATGATGAGAACATTCAAGTCTACTCTGTTAACAAATTCCAAGTACACAATAATGTTAACTATAGTCATCATACTGTCTATTAGATCTGCAGAATTTAACCACGTTATAACTGAAACTTTGTACACAACTCTTCAATTATCTATTATTTAATCTCCATCCAAGGATACTTAGTAAATAAACCCAGTAAGTTATTTCTTCTAAATTACTTCCTAATGAACTAAGTGGATGTTTTATAGTAGATACTGAACAAAAACAATGTAATTGTACCATGTCACATACCTTAAAAAAAAAAACGACAGGCAAAAAACGTATGCCTGACAATTACATGTTGTTCCCTTCACAACACAAAATATCATTAAATACTGACTTAATAAGAGTTCAAAATGTTATGCACTGATACATATGTAACATACATAACATATATACATTATGCACTGATACATATGTAATACATATACATATTTGTAAACAGCATTCATGTTGAAAGCCTAACCAATTAGGTACTAGGGCCTAGGGGCTGCCGTCAAAAGTCTCACCTGTCGAATGATACTCTTCACACAACGTACTGGGAGGCCTTGATAGTTGGATTTGATGATCCACTTGAGGAGATGGTGGCCAAGTACTTCGAAGACCATGCAGACATCTGGGACACAGTTAAGGATCGTTTGTGGATGCACTGCCTGGAGTGAGGCAGTTATTGAAAGCAGCACCATTGTGTCACTTGCAAAGCACTTATTACTTTATAAAATACAACATCAACCCTATCAGTAATACCAAAAGTGAGAAAATGTTGTATCTCACTTAAATAACAAGAACTGACATTACTAAATACAGGTGTTTCCCAGTATCTCAGGAGATTGGTTCCAGGACCGCTCTCAGATACCAAAATGTACATATGCTCGCCTCTTCAGTAAACTGGTGTAGTATATACATAACCTATTCACATCCTTCCATATACTTTATTTTTATTTTTTTTTGAGACGGAGTCTTGCTCTGTCGCCCAGGAGTGCAGTGGTGTGATCTTGGCTCACTGCAAGCTCTGCTTTCTGGGTTCACACCATTCTCCTGCCTCAGCCTCCCGAGCAGCTGAAACTACAGGTGCCCGCCACCACGCTCGGCTAATTTTTTGTAATTTTAGTAGAGACAGGGTTTCACCATGTTAGCCAGGATGGTCTCGATCTCCTGACCTCATGATCCACCCGCCTTGGGCTCCCAAAGTGCTGGGATTACAGGCATGAGCCACCGTGCCCAGCCCATATACTTTATTTAAATCATGTCTAGATTACTTATAATACCTAATACAATGTATATGCTATGTAAATAGTTGTTATACTCTATTTCTTAATTTCTACTACTTTTTACTGGTGTTTCCCAAATATTTTTCATCCAACGTTTATTAAATCTATGAATGGGGAACCAGCAGATAAAAAAGGGCTAAGTGTACTTACTCTGTGCCATATATTATTTCACGTGTACTCCAAACAACCTTAGGCAATAATGTAATTAACCCCACTGTAGGCATGAGGACATGGCACTTTCTAGGTGTAGAGTGCACTTAGAAAGTGCCAGGTGGCTGAGCCACTACTCAAGCCTACACTGAGCTGCACTCTCACCCATCTCAGCACACTCCCTGGAAATCAGCCTGATGAAACAGGCAAGACTGAAACCTCCTAGGAACTGACATGAAACAAATACAGAGCTCCAGTATCTCAAGTGTCCTAACTGCCTGCCTAAATTTCTACTTGATAAGCTACATAAAACACATTATAAAATAAAAATTTAGTAAACACAGTTAAGACCTATTTAATCTTTTCCTTGAATAATATCTTACATTATACAACTAGATCAATTTTAATACTATAGGCAGGTGTTAAGAATGTATGATCACCATTTAAGACATGGTATTAAGACTTAATCTATAGTAACAACATCTCAGGAATCTGGATTTTCTTTTCTTAAAAAAGACAGGGTCTCACTACGCTGTGCCAGGTGGACTAGAACTCCTGGGCTAAAGATACTCTCTTGCCTTAGATTCCCAAGTAGTCAGTACTACAGGTGAAAACCACCATGCCCAGCTTAATTTTTTTTTGAGACACAGTCTTGTTCTGTCACCCAGGCTGGAGTGCAGTGGCACGATCTCAGCTCACTGCAACCTCCACCTCCTGGGTTCAAGCGATTCTCCTACCTCGGCCTCCCAAATAGCTGGGATTACAGGCGTGTGCCACTATGCCCAGTTGATTTTTCCAGTTTTAGTAGAGACAGGGTTTCACCATGTTGGCCAGGCTGGTCTCAAACTCCTAATCTCAAGTGATCCACACACCTTGGTCTCCCAAAGTGCTGGGATTACAGGCATGAGCCACCACACCTGGCCCCAACTTAATTTTTTTTTAAAATAGGTATTTCAGCCTTCACAACTATGATACCTCCAATTTCATTATATATTCATGTCATTCATACAGGAAGATTACAAATGGCTCTGAAACCCTTTGAGAACATTTTATTCATCCCTGGAGGCTTACATTTGACTTTAGAATCAAAAAAAGTAGTTGATTTAATCAACTATAATAACTGAATATGCTATATTAAAACAATATTATTTTAAATATTTTTAGTGAAAAAAAGAAAAATCTTTCTATACTGTTTAAGAATGTAAGCACTACAGATTTATGCGCAGATAATCTAAAGCCAGAAGTTTCTTACTATTTCCCAGGCTCATTACAAAAACGGCAGATTATTTAAGGACTACATTTAGCAGCAGGCATAGGGCGAGGCCCAGGATATCCCAAACATAACCTAAGTCTTCTCAAAGCACTGGCATATCTGGATATGATGATTACTTCGCATTTTGCTTAACAGTAAAAATACCCACTAGAACGTATATTTCAAAAACCTCTATTTACCCACGGATTAAGTAGTTTCTCCAAAGAAATGTTCTATTAGCTGTCCCAAGAAGGACCTTGCAAGTCGGACACAGAAGAAGTGAGTGCTCTGCCGCTATCTGCTTACTGATTTATCTATCCAAAGGGAAAAATATACTCAGCAGTTAGCAGAAATTAACTGGAGAAAAAGGACGAGGTAACATTAGCAGCCACTGGTACTTCCTAGTATACTCAAGATGAATTTCTAAAAGAAATATGAGGGATTTTCAAAAAGTCTATGGAAAATGTGTATTTTGAAAACACTATGCATAGATTTCAAAAATTTTTTTGCACCAAAATAAACTCATACTAGTTTGTTAAAGTATCTGAACAGGATCTAGTTTGAGGCACTCGCAAGATAAGACATCAGTTTGAAAAAAGCCTCTAACAGAGCAACATGAATTCTAAAATCAAAGCAATAACAAACATCAAATTTATGATGAAGCTTGGGTGAAAAAATGGTGAAATCACTGATGCTTTATGGTAAGTTTAAGGGGACAATACCGCAAATAAATCGGCAGTTTACAAATGAATAACCGGTTTTAAGAAGGGATGAGATAATGTTGAAGATGAAGCCTGCAGCGGCAGACCATTTGCATCAATTTGTGTGGAAAAAAAGTTTGCGGCCGGGCATGGTGGCTCACACCTGTAATCCCAGCACTTTGGGAAGCTGAGGCGGGCAGATCACCTGAGGTCGGGAATTCGAGACCAGCCTGACCCACATGGAGAAATCCCGTCTCTAAAAAAATAAAAAATAAAAAATAAATACAAAATTAGCTGGGCGTGGTGGCACATGCCTGTAATCCCAGCTACTCAGGAGGCTGAGGCAGGAGAATCTCTTGAACCCGGGAGGCGGAGGTTGTGCTGAGCCGTGACTGCACCATTGCACTCCAGCCTGCGCAACAAGAGCAAAATTCCATCTCAAAGAAAAAAAAAGTTTGCACCCTAATTGAAGAGGACAGATGACAGCACAAACAACAGCCAACACCACAGACTTCACGACTGGTTCAACTTATGCAATTCCAATTGAAAACTGAAGTTGAGCAAACTTTCCACTCAATGGGTGCCAAAACCATTGTTCCCAGATCAAGACAAGAGCAGAGCTTTCAACGGAAATTTTAAACAGGTACGATCGAGATCCTGAGGCATTTCTTCAAAGGACTGTAACAGGACATAAAACATGGTTCTACAGTATGATCCTGAAGACAAAGCACAATCAAAGCAATAACTACCAAGAGGTGGCAGTGGTCCAGTCAAAGCACTAGTGAACTAGTGAAGAGGAAAGGTCACTGCAACCGTTTTTTGGGATGCTGAGGCATTTTGCTTGTTGACTTTATGGAGAACCAAAGAATGATAACACCTGCTTATTATGAGAGCTAATTTTGAGAAAGTCAGTGAATGCTTTAGCAGGAAAATACCTCAGAAAACTTCACCAAGGAGTCCTTCTCCACCATGTAAATGTTCCTGTTCATTCCTCTCATCAAACGAGGGCAATTTTGTGAAGAGTTTCAGTGGAAACTCATTAGACATCCACCTTATTATCCTTATTTGGCTACTCCTAATTTTTGTTTCTTAATCTTAAAAAGGGCACCCATTTTTCTTCAGTTAATAATGTAAAAAAGATTTCACTGACATGGTTAAATTCCTAAGACCCCTGGTTCTTTGGGGAGCAACTAAATGGCTGATATGATTGTTTACAAAAGTGTCTTGAACTTGATGAAACTTATGTGAGAAATAAAGTTTATATTCTTTATTTTTGTCTTTTAATCTAGTTTTTCTATGAACATGGTGACATTCCCTTGTATAAAAACCTTCTCAAATATATAGAGTGAAGGAAATGCTTCCCTAGTTGATCATGACTTAGTAGATGCATAAACTGGATGTCATTTTGGAGTTTAAATCTGGGAAAAAGCCTTATCCTTAGGCTTCTGACATTTGTGAAAGTAAAATATCAAAATGGTGGATCTGTTCCAAACATGATATAAAGAGCAAAAAATCTGAAAGAAGCCAGAAGACCACAGCTACTGACACAACCTAGCACCCATCAGTCATGTGCCTCTGAGTAAAGTGGTCCGATTTTCTTGAACCTTGGAAAATGAAAGTACTGCCTACTCCAGGCACACAAAGGGCTATCTCAGAGGATCCAACACCCACATAAAGAAAAAGTACTCATGACACTGAAGGCATCATCTCTTCTCTTCATTTTTGCTTTCTTCTCTGAGCTACAGGTTTTGGGATACTTTGCTCTCTGTCACTTCTCCCTGGAGCTACCCTTTGCCAACTCCTCAGGTAGAGGAAGGATAAGGATAACATGCCAACCCTTTCTACAATCCTAATTCACTTCCTCCTGAGTCCCCATCAAAACCAACAAGCATCCACATAACTTAGTAGCATGGTCAAAACTGATATTCTCAAAAAAGAAAGGAAAGTCAAGGGACACCTTTGCTTGTCTTCTTCCTAGACACACTTCCAAAGATAACTAGTATTAGTGAGAGGTGAAGCCAGCTGGACTTCCTGGGTCGAGTGGGGACTTTGAAAACTTTTCTGTCTAGCTAGAGGACTGTAAATGCACCAATCAGTGCTCTGTGTCTATCTAAAGATTGTAAATGCACCAATCAGTGCTCTGTGTCTAGCTAAAGGATTGTAAATGCACCAATCAGCACTCTGTAAAAACGCACTGACCAGTGGTCTGTGTCTAAAGGATTGTAAATGCACCAATCAGCAATCTGTAAAAACACACTAATCAGCACTGTGTCTACCTAAAGGATTGTAAATGCACCAATCAGCACTCTGTAAAATGGACCAATCGGCAGGTCCATTTCTCCAACGTGGGCACGGACAAATGAGGGAATAAAAGCTGGCCACCCGAACCAGCAGCAGCAACCTGCTTGGGTCCCCTTCCATGCTGTGGAAGCTTTGTTCTTTCACTCTTCAAAATAAATCTTGTTGCTGCTCACTTTTTGGGTCCACACCAACTTTAAGAGCTGTAACACTCACCATGAGGGTCTGTGGCTTCATTCCTGAAGTCAGCGAGACCACGAACCCACCGGGAGGAACAAACAACTCTGGATGCGCCACCTTTAAGAGCTGTAACACTCACTGCAAGGTCCGCAGCTTCATTCTTGAAGTCAGTGAGACCAAGAACCCACCAGAAGGAAACGGACACATTACGACTAAGGCCATCCATCCTTTTAAAAAACATGAGAAACACCTACACTTATAGCTGACCAAGAAACACTTTCCTCTGTTAAGAATCACTAACTTCTGTCAGGATAATTTAAATACTCTGTGGATCATAGTCTAACAAGAAACAGAAAAATGTAAATTGAGCAAATTAATCTGAAACTGAACAACTAAAGTAAGTGAATACAGACTTAGGAGTAAACAATATTGTTAAAAATGATTCAAATATGTCTTTAAAAGTTCATTTTTGCAATACCAAGGAAATCTGTATTAAGAAGTCTCCAATACCAACGATATCTGACGAGATATCAAGAACCCGTTAATGTCTTTGGTGAGTTTTAAGGTTATGTTTAAAAGTTCATATTTTTTTCAAAGATTCACAATGACACAGAAGTAAAAGGACATGACTTCTAGGATTTGCTCTATAATAATTCAGCAAGAAAAGATAGATGGATCAATTATGGCCAGACCATGACAATTATTAAACTTGAGTGACGAATTTACAACAATTTACTGTAGTATGATCTCTTTCTTATATGTTTGAAATTTCTCCCAATAAGTTTGTAAAGAAAAACAATAAAGGTATTTTCGATCAAGCACTGGCTTATGTCAGATTTATCAAGGAGTATAGAAAATGCAGAGTATAGAAAATGCATCATTTTACTTTTCCTTAACTTTTGCAATATAGATAACCAGGAATAAAATCAAGAAAACCAAAATGTTTCCATACTCACCTGACAGAAAGATGAGCCTCTGCAGGACAATTATTTGAAAGGCTCAGTTGTATCATTTTGGAAAAAGAATTTGGCAATTATTAGTACTATTCAGAACTAAGAGCAGTCAAGCGCCACCTTGGGATGTGGACATTTACAGAGCATTTTTCCTTTTATCTTAACCAATGCTCCATTTTCACATGGTGCTTTGCAGCCACTGGGGCACACACAGATTGTCCTTATGCACTGGTTTTAGAAAGTTTAAAACACAAAGAAGTGGTGCTGATGTATGCTTTTATCTACCACCACAAAAAAAACTTTACCACTATTAATGGGAAGAGATCAATAATTAATTCCACACCAAAATTAAGTCAAGTTGTTGTGTTAAAAATAAGTTTCTAAGATGCTACTCTACCAAACACCCCAAAAAGCCATGAAAACTATTCTAGGTGGACCACTTCATAATACTTGACAATGTTCCTAGAGTGTTTATGTTGAAGGTGATACAGCAGTAAACAGAGATTATAGGAGCTTGAAATATTTTCATTTTTTAAAAGGTAAAAATACAAATAAATCAGGAAGTAAAGGATACGTATCCCATTCATGCCTGAAATCTTGAAGTCGTCAATGAGCTGGACCACCATGTCTTTGTTTGGGTCACTGGGATCACTTTCTCGAACCTATGCCAAGAAAAATGAATGCAAGAACACAGGAGTTTGAGACAAAGCATGTTTTCCCATTATAACACCAATACTGTTTAAATAAAAGTATATTTTAAAATAAAAAATTCATCACAAAGTTATAAAAAATAAACTTTATTTATTTATTTATTTATTTATTTTTTGAGACAGAGTCTTGCTCTATCGCCCAGTCTGGAGTGCAGTGGTACGATCTCGGCTCACTGCAACCTCTGCCTCCCAGGTTCAAGTGATACTCATGCCTCAGCCTCCCAAGGAGCTGAGATTACAGGTGCCCACCACCATGCCTGGCTATTTTTTATATTTTTAGCAGAGATGGGGTTTCACCGTGTTTGCCAGGCTGGTCTCGAACTCTTGACCTCAAGTGATCTGCTCGCTTTGGCCTCCCAAAGTGCTGAGATTATAGGCATGAGCCACCGTGCCCAGCCAAACTTGACTTTAATTTAGTATTACCCAGAAAAATCTTTCTGTAAAATTTTAAGTCATTAAGTTTTCTTATATCATTCACATTTTTAAAGTACTTACACATTTGAGCAATTTTATTTCATCCAAGGCTGTCTCCGTATAATGCTGGGCACTTTTTACAACTTTCATTGCAACAAATCTTTTCCCCCTAAAAGAAAAAACAAAAAAAGAGTCTATTTATCTATATTATCAGTAGAAAGAATCACTGGTATCCAGGTTGAGCATCCCTAATTGGAAAATGTAAAATCCAAAATGCGCCAAAACCTAAAACATTATGAGTGTGTCAACACGATGCCACAGTGTAAAATTCCACCTCTGACTGCAATCAAAACTCAGTAAAAGATTTGCATGTTGCACAAGATTATTTAAAATATCGTATAAAATTGCCTTCAGGGTATGTGTATATGGTGTATATGAAATATAATGAATTTTGTGTTTAGATCTGGGTCACATCTCCAAGATAGGTCATTGTGTATATACACAAATATTCCAAAATCCAAAACACTTCTGGTCTCAAAGCATTTCAGATAAGGGATATTCAACTTGTAATGAGATCTATCCAATACACAGAAACATAAGCTTTCCTTTAAAATAGTACTTTTCAAATGGTGGGGCCACATTAAATAGTAGTATGGGTCAAGACAATCTCTTTTATGTTTTGTTTTGTTTTTTCCCTAATTAAAATAAGACTAGATAAACATCAGAGTTATCACGAATATTACACACCAACCTAATAGTGAAAACCATTCTCTTTTAACACTTTTGTTTCAGTACACACACACACACACACGCACCAAATGTGTGTGTGTGTGTGTGTGTGTGTGTGTGTGTGTGTATGGAGTAGCAATGAAGTTTCTTACTATGGGTCATGGCTTTGAAAAGTTAAAAATGACTGATTTGAAACGCCTATACTATACATTATGTTTGTCTGATATGGATGAATTACTAGAAAAATAATATAATCCCAGTGTAAAACAATTTCAATGAATTAACTTTGAAATAAAGCTGGAAGCAAGTAATATTTTAAGATTTCAAATGAACTTCAAACTAAGGCAGGGGGCAGGAAGGAATCTAGCCAGCTGAGGCAGGCCTGTGCTAAGCACTTCACATACCTCAACAAAGCAGTGGTGACCCTCAGCCATACCTTCTTAGAACACAGATGTTGAACTACTCCAGGAAACAAATGCACAAATGACAAAGAACACTTACTGCATATCCCAGCACAGCCAGACAGTAGAGAAGTGCCCCCATCCAAGCTTTCTAATAACATGATACCGGCCATTGAAGAGGTCTCCAATTTTCACTGGATGATATCCACCTTAAAAAACAAGAAAGAAAGAAAAAAATTCAAAATATTCGAAAAGTAGTAATAAACATTTCATCTCTTTTGTCATTCTTGATGTCATTAAAGAAAGCTCTACATAATACATGCAGACTAAAACATGTTTAATAATACAACATTTTTTTCAGGAATATCTTTCAACAAGAAAAAGTGTTGGCTGGATGTGGTGGCTTACACCTGTAATCTCAGCACTTTGGGAGGCCAAGGCAGGTGGATCATTTCAGATCAGGAGTACGAGACCAGCCTGGCCAACATGGTGAAATCCAGTCTCTACGAAAAATACAAAAATCAGCAGGGCATGGTGGCGAGCACCTGTAATCCCAGCTACTTAGGAGGCTGAGGGGAGAGAATCACTTGAAACTGGGAGGTGGAGGCTGCAATGAGCCTGAGTGAAAAGTGTGCGACTGCAATCCAGACAGCCTGACCAAAAAGTGTTCTATGAATTCCTATTAGACTTCTTGTTTTAATTTAATTTAAAGAGGCAATGAACCATCTAGCACACCGTAATGATAACTTGAGGTTCTCTATTTACTTATTTATTTTTAAGACAGGGTCTCACTCTGTTGTCTAGACTGGAGTGCAATGGCATGATCTCAGCTCAATGCAACCTCTGATTCCCAGGCTGAAGAGGTCCTCCCACCTCAGCCTCCCAGGTAGCTGGAACTACAGGCACACACCACCATGCCCAGCTAATTTTTGTATTTTTTGTAGGGACAGGGTTTCACCACATTACCCAGGTTGGTCTTGAACTCCTAGGCTCAAACAATCCGCACATCTCCCCTCCCAAAGTGCTGGGATTATAGGCATGAGCCACCACACCTGGCCAAGGTTCTGTATTTCAATCTAGGTGTGTACGTTATGCACATACCAGCTCTTGGTATTTAAAGACTTTTTTTCTCCTAAACAAGTTAAATTCAAATCTTTTTGGATATGTGCAAGAAAACTGACCAAAATAAACAATGTTTACTCTGTATAATTCTGCATACATTAATGGTTTATTAATAACTAGAAACTGTACAATGATGTCTTAATTTACCCTCTAACAGGGCTTGTTCCTCTCATCACTCTTCTGCCAACTCCTAACTCCTGCCTGGAAACATTCCTCACAAATGAAGAAATGAGGCCGGGCACGGTGGCTCACACCTGTAATCCCAGCACTTTGGGAGGCCAAGGCGGGCAGATCACCTGAGGTCTGGAGTTCAAGACCAGCCTGGCCAACACGGTGAAACCCCATCTCTACTAAAAATACAAAAAATTAGTCAGGTGTGCTGGCGAACTCCTGTAATCCCAGCTACTCGGGAGGCTGATGAAGAAGAATTGCTTGAACCCAGGAAGCAGAGGTTACAGTGAGCCAAGATCAAGCCACTGCACTCCAGCCTGGGTTACAGAGTGAGACTCCACCAAGAAAGACAAGAAAGACAAGAAAGAAAGAAAAGGAAAGAAAGGGAAGAAAGGGAGGAAGGAAGGAAGGAAGGAAGGAAGGAAGGAAGGACGGGAGGGAGGGAGGGAGGGAGGGAGAGAGAGAGGGAGAGAAAGAGAAAGAAAGGAAGAAAGAAAGAAAGAAAGAAAGAAAGAAAGAAAGAAAGAAAGAAAGAAAGAAAGAAAGAAAGAAAGAAAGAAAGAAAGGAGAAAGAAAAAGAAAAAGGAAAGAAAGAAAGAAAGAAAGAAAGAAAGAAAGAGAAAGAAAGAGAAAGAAAGAAAGAAAGAGAAAGAAAGAAAGAAAGAGAGGAAGGAAGGAAGGAAGGAAGGAAAGGCAGGCAAGGAAAAGAAAAAAGAAAAGAAAGAAAGGGGAGGGGAGGGGAGGGGACGGGAAGGGAGAGGAAGAAATCAGCTATAGAGGGCACCCTATTAAGGTAGATTCTTGAGGGCAAGTAGGGTGCCTCACTGATATCTGGCATGAGAAGTTCTTCACTTCGCATTTTTAAGCAGAATAAGCAAGCTACAAACTAGCATGGATAATATGGTACACTTTTTGTGAAATACGGAGGATAAGATGTTAGGAATGGACATTCCTGGGTATAAAATTACTCTTAAGTCTCTTTATCTACATTTTATTCTTTTTATCTATGCTTTTTCAATTTCTTCAATTTTTCTAAAACAATATTTTACTACTTTTTTACTTTGGAAACAGATTTTTCATTCTTTTAACATTTGCTTTTTTATTGTAAAGATGTTATTTCTTTTTTAATCTGCAGAATTCTTACAAATTACTCAATAAAGATGTGGATGGCTTGTGCCTAGTCTTAAGAGCTCTAGAGCAGTTATAGGAAGTATCTAACCAGATCCTTCAATATATTCCCAGAGGGCTCTCAATAATACTTCAAGAATATATTTCTGAACATTTAAATTGTGTTGGATTAGTGAAGCAGGAATCTGACCAGATACTGAGTTCGTGAGATTCTTACCCTTCTACTGCCTCTGCACTTGCTTGTCCTGGATTTGAATCTCAAGGTGTATGACAACATTTTGGGCTAAATATATGAACTAAATGATAGTGAATTAGGAATAAAATGTAGCAAATTATTAAATGGCTTACTACTTAGAAGATTAAACTAAAATTAATTAAAAGAAATGAGCTCTGAGTTTATAATACAGTTATTTATTTATTTATTTATTTATATTTTTTGAGACCGAGTTTCGCTGTTACCCAGGCTAGAGTGCACTGGCCATCTCGGCTCACTGCAACCTCCACCTCCTGGGTTCAAGCCATTCTCCTGCCTCAGCCTCCCATGTAGCTGGGATTACAGGCTTGCACCACCACACCTGGCTAATTTTTGCGTTTTTAGTAGAGACAGGGTTTTGCCATGTTGGTCAGGCTGGTCTCTAACTCTTGACCTCAGGTGATCCACCCACCTTGGCCTCCCAAAATGCTGGGATTACAGGCATGAGCCACTGCGCCCAGCCTACAATACAGTTTTCAAACCATTAAAATTAACATTCAAAGCAGGAAATGAAACAGTTTATCCAGTATAATTAGGAACACTGTGCGAGGCACTTTATTTTCAAAACTATGTTCCATGAAACAAAAATAAACTATAATATACTGCAGGTGTTCAATAGAGGAGCAGGGGAGTAGGAAGGAAGAAGGGAGAAGTTCTGTTTGAGAAACGCAGTGTTGAACAAAGAAAAGCAGATTTCTTGACCATAGGCCTAATGTTTTAATACAGAGTGAGAACCTTTAAGAGAACAGAAAATGCTGCATATTCCTGACATACGTGTTCATGGAATTATTTCTTCAGAGACCTAGTTACATTTTATAACACAAGTATTTAGGAAAGACTGATCTACCATAATTCTTGAAACCACCATACAAAGTAGATGGTATTATTTCTACAATGCTACAGAGAACACCAAGTATCATAGATTATGAAGTACTAGGTTCACGGCTGGAAACTAGGTATGACTCCAAAACCCATGTTTTATCAACTAGTAAGAAATACACTCCAATTTTAATAACTAGAGGACTGCTTCCTGGTCTTAGTACACAGAAAACATGGGATGTCTTAATTAAAATCTATATACTACTTAAACGTACATTATTGCTAATATTTGTCACTAAATTTAAAAATAATTTATGCATAAAAAGAAACCTGTATCACTAGTATATGTTTCAGATTCAAATTCTCAATTAGCCGAAGTGTATACATGTGAGCAAAAACAGAAGAGCACTATTTCCAATGTAATCACAGTGTAAGCATAGCAGCTCCTTTTCTCAAGGGCTTTGAAAGCTAACAACAACAAAATTACTACTGGAGTAAAGTATCCCTGAAGCCCTCAGTCTAGCTAAAAATATTATCTCTATAAAAAGGCAAATTACACAAGAGGGGCATTTTTTTTTTAAAGAGATGCGGGCTAGCTCTGTCACCCAGGCTGGAGTGCAGTAGAGCAGCACGAACAGGGCTTACTACATCCTTGAACTCCTGGGTTCAAGCAATCTTCTCAACTCAGCCTCCAAGAAGTACATGCCACCATGCCTGGCTAGTAATAGTATTTTTAAAACAACTGAAAGTATAACGCACTTAACTTACTTCTATTTTGAAAACGTGATATACACAATTTCAAGTCTATGTATATTCTCATATTGTAACTCCTGGTTTCCTACACAATCAAGTATCTTCTGACCATTCATTTTTCATTCCCTTCTCACAGAATGGCAGCCTTGCTCACAGGGCATCTCCTCTAACACCCATGCTGCCAGAAGAGTGGTCTCTGTCCCCGTGCACCAGACCACACTAACCTAATACCCAGGGAATCTGAAAAAATGAACACTCCAGTAACTCCACCAGAAATGACCCCAATTCCCTGGGCTTAGTTAACTATGTGCACCATAATGGCTATTAGCAATGGAACCCCATGGTCTACCACATTGCCCAGCACACAAGAAAACAAGTACAGTCACTAGACAAAGACTCAAACTTTATTCAGTTTGCTGCTTCACCAGAGAACAGAAAAGGAGTATGGGACAATAACACTGCTATGGACCCTGCTAATAGCATTAGGCAGGGTGCCAGAAAGCCTCAGGCACTTGAAGATCACCATGACTTAAGAGTTTGGTTGATAACACCTGTACACTTCACTATTTGTACTATTTAATATAAAAACCATGCATTTATCAAATAGTTGTGTGTTGGTGTTTTTTTTTTTTTTTTTGGCTGCTTAAAAAAACAAATCTTAGCCGGGTGCAGTGGCTCACACCTGTAATCCTAGCACTTTGGAAGGCTGAGGCAGGTGGATTGTTTGAGCCCAAGAGTTCGACACCAGCCTGGGCAGTACAGTGAGACCCTGTCTCTAATAAAAAAAAAAAAAAACTCTTATCGGATTACAAACACAAAGAGAACAAGAACAAACTGTTAAGTAACCATTAAATTCATTGCTCTGGTTTCTTCTACTTCCATGCCTCTAGCACAGCCAAGATTTCTGTAACTAAAACTCTACCTATGCTAATAAGAAGACTCCAAAGAAGAAAATTTTAAAACTCTCCTTTTTACCTATTTGGGAGACTTACTGGCCAAAGATAAAGGTTCCCTTTTCCTTGCCTAGCAAAAATAGATTCTATTTATGGAGTTAACCAGAAGTTCAGAACTCCATGACAATGTTCTGGAAGTATTTTCAACAAAGTCTCTTTATTTTCTTAATAAAGATAATATTAAGTATTACCTGAGTTCCGCTGAGAATGCTTTCTCAGCCCTCTGATTGTGGGGTTTCTCTACATAACCACTGAAAACTTTCAAAGGACTAGGGAAAGCTGAGAATCACCCCCAACACACACAATGATTAAAAAAAGGAAGGGGTGGAAAAAAGAAATTTGTTCACAGTAACATAACATAAAGACACATTCTGTGTCACTGAAGATTTTAATATTTCCTTCCCCCAAAACTGATAAAAGCAAGCAGACATAAAATCAGTAAGGATATGGAAGATTTGAACACACTATCAACCAGCTTGACCTAATTACCATTTATAGATCACTACACTCAACAACAAATACTCTTTTCAAGGGCACACAAAACATTTACCAAGATATATAATGTACTAGACCATAAAACAAGTCTCAATAGAAATAAGAGGATTCGGCTGGGCATGGTGGCTCATGCCTGTAATCACAACAATTTGGGAGGCCGAGGCAGGTGGATCACCTGAAGTCAGGAATTCAAGACCAGCCTGGCTAATGTGACAAAAACGCCTCTCTTACTAAAAATACAAAAATTAGCTGGGCGTGGTGGTGCACGCCTGTAGTCCCAGCTATTTGGGATGATGAGGCAGAATCTCTTGAACCCAGGAGGCAGAGGTTGCGGAGTCGAGATCACACCACTGCACTGCAGCCTGGGCCACAGAGTTAAACTCCGTTTCAAAAAAAAAAAAAGAAAGAAAGAAGAGGATTCAAATCACACAAAGTATGTCCTCAGACCATAACAGAATTAAATTACAAACCAAGAAGAGAAAATACTCAGAAATTTGGAAACTAAGTAACACAATTCAAAAATAACCCATGGGATAAAGAAGAAATCAAAAAGAAAATAGCAAGTATTTCTTACATTAAGTGAAAATGAAAACTTAATATATCAGAATCTATGAAATGCTGTTAAAGCAAACTCAGAGGGAAATTTATAGCACTAAATGCCTATACCAGAAAAGATCTCAAAAAAGTAATCTTAGTTTCCACCTTAGAAAACTAAAAAAATAGCAAACTTAACCCAAAGCAAACGGAAGAATGAAAATATAATAATAATATGAACTATAAATAAGTAAAACAAAAAAGCATAAGAACAGTCGAGAAAATCAGTGAAAACAAAAGCTGGTTCTTTAAGAAAATAAAAGCAATTAACAAATTTCGGGCCAGGCAGATTGGGCAGTGAGAGAAAACACAAATTACCATCATGAGCAATGAGTGAGGTAATGTCACTATGTATTTTTGAGGTATTAAAAAGATAGAAGGGAATATTATCATGTTATACCTATACATGTGAAAACTTAGATAAAATGGACAAATACCTGAAAAGTCACAAACCACTCAAGGTCCAAACAGAAAAAAAAATCTGAAAAACCATGTATCTATTTTAAAAAATGAATTTATTGTTCAAAATCTTCCCATAAAAAATGCATTGGTATATTTTATCTTGATATTATGAAAAAAATACTACAAATTCCTCCTAAAAAGTAAAAAAAGAGGAAATACTTCCAGTTTTGATCCTATGAAGCCAGCATTTTTTATTCCAAAGCCAGGCAAAGACATTATAAGAAAACTGCAGACCAATTTTCCTCATAATGTGGATACAAACGTTCCAGACAAACGTTCAACAAATCAAATCAAATAATATATCAAAAGGATAAAACATCATGATCAAATGGGGTTTATTCCAGGAACACAAACTTGGGTCAGTATTCAAAATCCAACTGATGTAATTCATCATAATTAATATGCTAAAAAAGAAAATCTATATGATGAGCACATCAGACACAGAAAATCATCTGACAATATGAAACATTCATTCTTGATCACAATTCTCAATGAAGCAGGAATAGAGGAACATCAATGAAAAGCCCACAGATAACATCAGATTTAACTATTAAAGACCAAATGCTTTCCCCCTAATATCAGAAACAAGATAAGGATGTCTGCTCTCCCCATTTCTAGTCTGCTGTTTTGGAAGCTCTAACTAGTACAGTCATGCAAAATAAATAAAAAGGCATCACTGCTGGAAAAAAAAGAAATAAAATTTATCTTTATTCACAGACAAGCCACAGAGATGTATGTGGTTTTGCATATATGTGTGTGTGTGTGTGTGTGTGTATGTATATATGTGTGTGTGTGTGTGTGTGTATACGTGTGTGTATATATATATATGCACAGTGGCATATGGTTTTACATACATATATATAGATGTATGCATGTGTGTGTGTACATATATATGTATGTGTATGTGTGTGTGTGTGTGTATGTATGTATGTATGTGTGTATATGTGTGTGTGTGTGTGTGTGTGTGTATATATATATATACCACGCCTGGCTAATTTTTGTATTTTTAGTAGAGACAGGGTTTCACCATGTTGGCCAGGCTGTTCTTGAACTCTTGACCTCAGGTGATCCGCCTGCCCCGGCCTCCCAAAGTGCTGGGATTACAGGCGCAAGCCATCATGCCCTGCCTAGTCATATATTTTCTTGAGTGAAGTAAGAATCTGTTCAATGATTTTGATCACTTTTCTAATGGACTGTCATTTTCTTATCACTGTAGATATTCCGTATACATGTTAATACCTTCTTGGTTATACATGCTGCAATTCCGCTAATATTAACCACTTCCAAAAAGTACCTGGTAATTGTCAGGAAAGTGATTAAATCAGGAAAAAAAAACACATAAAAAAGAGCTGGTAAAGTGAAAATAAAAACATGATATGCAGAGATATCAATGAAACCTTTTGATGACTTGCTTTTTTTAAAAGCACTGAGAATAGACGGCATGACTTGCTATTATGTATGCACTAACCACCACTTTTCTTCACTGAAAAAAAAATTATTTAGAACATATGCAACCAATCTTTTTACTTCAATGAAAGGATATCTTTAGATTATTAAGATGTGTGATACAATGTAAGGACACAAAGGACTGCAAGAAAATCTTAAAACCTTAGCATATTTGTTGTCAATGATGTTCTTATGAATATTATTGAAATATCTCATTTACAAGATAAAACAAATAGGTAAATGTCATTTAAAAACCAAGATTTTCAACATAAAAGAGTTAAAATGTAAGTTTTTAAAAACAGTACAAATGATGTGTCAATGGAGGTTTACCAATTCTAACAAATGTACTACTCTGAAGGAGGATGCTCATCCTGGGGGCGGCTATGCATGCGTCAGGGCAGGGAGTTCATAGGTTATCACTGTGCTTTCAATTTTGCAGTGAACCTAAAACTGCTCTTAAAAAAACAAAAACAAAAACAGAAAAAACAGGCTAGGCACGGTGGCTCACGCCTGTAATCCTAGCACTTTGGGAGGCCGAGACGGGCGGATCACAAGATCAGGAGATCGAGACCACCCTGGCTAACACGGTGAAACCTCATCTCTACTAAAAATACAAAAAAAAATTAGCCAGGTGGGCATAGTGGCGGGCGCCTGTAGTCCCAGCTACTCGGGAGGCTGAGGCAGGAGAACGGCGTGAACCCGGAAGGTGGAGCTTGCAGTGAGCTGAGATCGCACCACTGCACTCCAGCCTGGGCGACTGAGCGAGACTCCGTCTCAAAAAAAAAAAAAAAAAAAAATTCACAACACATTCTTCCTAAGATTTGACAGTCACATTCCCTGAGCTGTGAAGAAAATGCCTGTAGGTGATATCAATAAAAATGTTTCAATCTAAGAAAACACTACTTTCCTCATCAGTAATTTAAAGCACAATTTAAATTACATTCACCACAGCAAAAACACTAATAATAATAATACTAAATATAAAAAAAGCATCAAGACTAAGGACGTTTTTAAAAGCACTTAGTAGCAACCAAAAATATAAACAATAATGAAGCCTCTGGCACAACCATTAAACTCCCTTGAAACTGGAAGAAATTCAAAAGCAGTCAATCAGAGAAGCCATTGTTATTTAAGAACTCTTGAATACAAGTCAATCTCTGTTATTACAGTCAAATATTTCCTATAACAGTAATGAATGGGAGACTGCTCTAGAGGAAAAACCAGAGCAAAGGCTAATATTCCAAAAGACACGGGAGGATTCCTACTTATCTACAACCTAAAAAAGTAACAACAGGCTGGGCATGGTGGCTCACGCCGCTGATAATCACACATGAGGCAGGAGGATCACTTGAAGCCAGGAGTTCGAGACTAGCCTGGGCAAAAGAGTGAGAGTCCCCCATCATTCCAAAATTTAAAAAATTTTGCTGGGCATGGTGGCGCATGCGTATGATCCCAGCTACTCCGAAGGATCACTTGGGTCCAGGAGGTCGAAGCTGCAATGAGTAGTGATGACACCACTGCACTCCAACCTGGGAGACAAAGTAAGGCCCTCTCTCAAAACAAAACAAAAAAAACAAGTAACAACAAAAATTACTTAAGGGTAAGATAAATATAAATGAAAACACTATTTTCCTCATTAGTAATTTAAACCACAATTTAAATTACATTCACCACAGAAGAAACACTAATAATAATAATACTATCAAAAATTATGCTGTGGTGAATGTAAATTGTGCTTTAAATTACTAATAAGGAAAATAGTGTTTTCTTTTTATAAAATATAAAAATATAAATGGATTCAGAAACCATTTTTGCAGTGAAATCACACAGATTAAAGGTCAGTCCGTTGATTGAGCAACCCTGAATACCTAAAATGTTCATGTCAAGGCCAACACATAATTCTAAACCCCTGCCTACTACCAATTACTTAACAGATATTTATGCTTGAATTCAGGGATGTCGATTTGAATATCAGCATTGGCATTTACTACTATAACATTAAGCCAGTTACTTAACCTGTGTCAGCACTTGCCCCAGCTACCTCACTCAAAACTATACCTGGGTATATATTATGTGCCACG
The DNA here is from genome assembly GCF_000001405.40 of Homo sapiens. Classification (NCBI taxonomy): domain Eukaryota; kingdom Metazoa; phylum Chordata; class Mammalia; order Primates; family Hominidae; genus Homo; species Homo sapiens. Next base: position 105,179,334 of record NC_000007.14, read on the forward strand.
TTAGTGTTTACTGTTCTGCCAGTACTCTAACCCACTGTGACTAATGACAGATTAACAAATGAGCAGGTCAGAGTTAAGAGTATTGTCTATGGCTATTTAAAACTGTAAAACTAACTGGCCCAAAGCATAATCCGATTCACTACAGTAGCCCAAATAGCAATTCAGGTATGATAATTTACAGCTGGTAAATGTCACTTAAAAAATTAAAAGACCAGGGATGGTGGCTAATGTCTGTAATCCGAGCACTTTGGGAGGCTGAGGCAGGCGGATCCCTTGAGGTCAGGAGTTTGAGACCAGCCTGGCCATCATGGTGAAACCGCATCTCCACTAAAAATACAAAGATTAGCCGGGTGTGGTGGCGCATGCCTTTAATCCTAGCTACTGGGGAGGCTGAGGCAGGAGAATCACTTGAACCCAGGAGGCAGAGGTTGCAGTGAGCTGAGATTGCGCCATTGCACTCCAGCCTGGGCAACACAGTAAGAGTCCATCTCAAAAAAAAAAAAAAAAAAAAAAAAGAATAAAATATCTTGGAGTACAGCTAACCAGGGAAGTGAAAGATCTCTACAATAAGAATTACAAAACACTCTCAAAGAAATCAGAGATGATACAAATGGAAAAACAGTCCATGCCCATGGACAGGAAAAATCAATATTGTTAAAACAGCTATACTGCCTGAAACAATTTACAGATTCAATGCTATTCCTATCAAACTATAAATGGCATTCTTCACAGAATTAGAAAGATCTTAAAGTCCATAAGGAACCAAAAAAGCCCAAATAGCCAAGGCAATCCTAAGCAAAAAGAACAAAGCAGGAAGAATCACGTTACCTGATGTCAAAGTATACTAAAAGGTGACAGTAACCAAAACAGCATGGCACTGATGCAAAAACAAACACAAAGACCAATGGAACAGAGTAGAGAGCCCAAAAATAATGCCACACACCTACAACCAGCTGATCTTTGACAAAGCTGACAGAAACAAGCAATGGGGAATGGACTTCCTAGTCCATAAGTGGTGCTAGAATTACTTGCTAGCCATATGCAGAAGACTGAAACCGCACCCCTTCCTTACACCATATACAAAAATCAAGATGGATTAAGAGTTAAATGTACAACCTAAAACTATAAAAACCCTGGAAAGGCTGGGTGCAGTGGCTCACGTCTCTAATCCTAACACTTTGGGGGACCAAGGCAGGCAGATCACTTGAGGTTGGGAGTTCGAGACCAGTCTGGCCAACATGGTGAAACCCTGTCTCTACTAAAAAAATACAAAAATTAGCCAGGTGTGGTGGCGCATGCCTTTAATCCCAGCTACTGGGGAGGCTGAGGCAGGAGAATCACTTTAACCCGGGAGATGAAGGTTGCAGTGAGCCGAGATGGTGCCACTGCACTCCAGCCTGGGTGACACAGCAAGACTTTGTCTCAACAACAACAAGAAAAAATAAAAGCCTGGAAGATAATCTAGGAAATACCATTCTGGACATAGGACCTGGCAAAGATTTCATGATGAAAATGTCAAAAGCAATTGCAACAAAACCAAAAACTGACAAAGGGAACCTAAGAACTTCCTGAACAGCAAAATAAACTATCAACAGAGTAAACAACCTACAGGATGGCAGAAATATTTACAAACAAAGCATCTGACAAAGGTATAATATCCAGAATCTACACAGAACTTAAACACATATACAAGCAAAAAACCACCCCATTAAAGAGTGTGCAAAGGACATGAATAGACATTTTCAAAAGAAGACGTACATGCGGCCAATAAGCATATAAAAACCTGCTCAACATCACTAATCATTAGAGAAATGCAAATTGAAACCACGATGAAACACCATCTCACACCAGTCAGAATGGCTACTAAAAAGTCACAAAATTAACAGATGTTGTCAAGGTTGTGGAGAAAAGGGAATGCTTATACTCTGCAGGTGGGAGTGTAAATTAGTTCAGCCATTGTGGAAATCAGTATGGCAATTCCTCAAGGAAATTTAAACAGAGTTATCATTCGACCCAGCAATTCCTTATTGTGTATACACCGAAAGGAATATAAACTGTTCTACTGTAAAGACACACGCACGCACGTGTATGTTCACTGCGACACTATTCCCAATGACAAAGGCATGGAAGCAATGCTCATCAACAGTAGACTGGATAAAGAAACCGTGGTACACATATACCATGGAATACTATGTAGCTATAAAAAAAGAACAAGATCATGTCCGCTGCAGGAACATGGATGGAGCTGGAGGCCATTCATTACCCTTGGCAAACTAACACAGGAGCAGAAACCAAATACCTCATGTTCCCATGTATAAGTGGGAAGTAAACAATGAGAACACAAAGACACAAAGAGGGGAACAACAGACACTGGGGCATACTTGAGGATGGAGGGTGGAAGAACAGAGAGAATTAGAAAAAACATCTATAGGGCACTATGCTTATTACCTGGGTGATGAAATAATCTATACACCAAATCCCCGTGACACACAGTTTACCTACATAACACATGTGCACATACATGTACCCCTGAACCTAAGATAAAAGTAAAAAAAAAAAAAAACAGAAAACACACACACAAAAACCAAATGTAGGCTAAAATTCAACTGAGATGGCCAGGCGCGGGGGCTCACGCCTGTAATCCCAGCACTTTCGGGGGCCAAGGCGGGTGGATCACTTGAGGTCAGGAGTTCAAGACCAGCCTGGCCAGCATGATGAAACCCCAACTCTACTAAAAATACAAAAAAATTAGCCAAGCGTGGTGGCAGGCACCTGTAATCCCAGCTATTCAGGAGGCTGAGGCAGGAGAATCGCTTGAACCCAGGAGGTGGAGGTTGCAGTGAGCCAAGATCACACCACTGCACTCCAGCCTGGGCAACAAGTGCAAGACTCTGTCTCAAAAAAAAAAAAAAAAAAAAAATTCAACCGTATACTCTAACAGCAAAAAAGAGGAAAGCCCTGACGTAAAAAAGGATAGCATGACGACAAGCACAGCAGTTTAAGGTGAAATAAATTAACTATGTTTGAGGCTGAGAAAGAAAACAAGAATGGTACATTGAATCAGACTTTGAAGAGCCTTGAGATTTGTGCAAAACTTGTGACTTTGTTTCCCCCCCCGCCTTTTTTTTTTTTTTTTGAGATGGAGTCTCACCCTGCTGCCCAGACTGAAGTGCAGCGGCACAATCTCAGCTCACTGCAACCTCCACCTCCTGGGTTCAAGCAACTCTTGTGTCTCAGTCTCCCAAGTAGCTGGAATTACAGATGTGCACCAACATGCCCGGCTAATTTTTGTGTTTTTTATTTATTTATTTTTAAGTAGAGATGGGATTTGGCCATGTTGGCCAGGCTGGTCTCAAACTCCTAGCCTCAAGCAATCCACCTGCCTTGGCCTCCCAAAGTGCTGGGATTACAGGCGTGAGCCACAGTGCCTGGCAAGTTTTGACTTTGTTACTTGTAAGGAAAAAATTAACAAAGTATTTATTAGAAGATTTCCCCTTATCTCTTATGACCAGAAGGAGGGAAAGTAAACTACTAATCTAAATATATCCCAAGTAGTATCATATAAAACACTACGAAGACAACTGTATAGGGGAAAAAAAAATCATATTTCTATTACAATGTAAAATTAAAATGTGTAGTACTCAAGGCAAACTAGTAAGAAAGACTGAGCTGTGATAGTATTTACAAGATCCTGAGCCAAGCTATCACGGGATCCACAAACATTTATGAAGTTAAAGTTCACTAAAAGCTCCATACATTTACAAAGCTGGAATCAAATTCTAGACAAAGAAAATTATTTAAATACAAATAAGGATCTCTTATGTTTTTATGACTAATCATCTTTTTTTGTCATTTTAGTGCTATAAGTTTGTAGCTGTGTAAAAAATTTTCTTCAATATACTGATACTGATTTTTCAGAAAAAACCCTAGAGAATAAGAGCTCACAATGCAAAGTCACATTACTATACAAGCCAATAACTAAAATCCTAATCTACATTCTAGTCTAGAACACTCCAGAACCATGTCTCAATACCAAGAGTACTTTAGAACACAATTTTAAATGCACTTGGGGATCAGCAGGAATCCTACAACTGCACAATGGTTAACATATCAGATCGTAAATGGCTAGCGGGTTTTTTTTGTTTGTTTGTTTGTCTATTTTTGTTTTTTTGAGACAGAGTCTCACTCTGTTGCCCAGGCTGGAGTGCAGTGGCATGATCCCAGATCACTGCAATCTCCACCTCCTAGGTTCAAGCCATTATCCTGCCTCAGCCTCCAGAGTAGCTAGGAGTACAGGCATGTGCCACCACACCTGGCTAATTTTTTTGTATTTTTAGTAAAGATGGGGTTTTCACCATGTTAGTCAGGCTGGTCTACAATTCCTGACCTCAAATGATCTGCCCACCTTGGCCTCCCAAACTGCTAGGGTTACAGGTGTGAGCCACCACGCCCTGCGTGGCTGTTTTTAAGAGGCCATGTCTAGAGATTTACTTGACTCTGTAATTTGGGAAACAAGCTGTTTTTTCTCATACACACAAATACAACTAAGTGTTCAACTTCGCTGAATGTATTTTAAGTATACTGATACCCTGTAAATCTCAGATTCCATAACTAAAAAGAGTTAACGTACACTATTACCAATTTTTTTTTTTTTTTTTTTTTGAGATGGAGTCTCTCTGTTGTGCAGGCTGGAGTGTAGTGGCATGATCCCAGCTCACTGCAACCTCCGCCTCCCAGGTTCAAGCCATTCTCCTGCCTCAGCCTCCGGAGTAGCTGGGAGTACAGGAATGTGCCACCACACCTGGCTAATTTTTTTTGTATTTTTAGTAGAGACGGGGTTTTACTATGTTGGTCAGGCTGGTCTCGAACTCCTGACCTCAAATGATCTGCCCACCTTGGCCTCTCAAAGTGCTGGGATTATAGGAGTGAGCCACCACACCTGGTCTATTACTAATATTTTTCCTTTATTTCTTACATACATAATGCCAGACACAGCTATTTCTCTCTTTAGGATACCTTGACAGAATAATCCAAACCACTGTTACAAAATATATGTTGTTATAAAATTTACCCTTAAATTTCTATGGAAACCAAATACACGATCTTTCAAGTCCATTTAACTGTCTAGTTAAGACGCTTAATAGTATTCTATAAGCTAAGTGTCCCAGAGGAATGCTACAGATTTGATTTTTCAGGTATACTTTGTATTTTAATGAAAGCAGTCTGTATGTCTATACAGGCCTCTTCCTTGATTTAGGTTGCTAGAAGCTTTTAACTTCAGTGTTCAAAAGAACAATATTCCCTCAGTGCTTAAATGTATATAACAGTTTGTATGAGATTTGTATAATGAAGGTCAGTTTGGCTGGATGTAAAATATTTGACTGACATTTTCTTTCCTTGAGTATGTTAAATGTACTTCTCTAGTGTCTTCTGGCCTAACATTTTGCTGCAAAAATACTTAATAACAATCTGGTTATCCCCTAATAAGTCATGTGGTCTTTCCATCTAAGAATTTTACCACTTTATCTAGGCTGCAATGTTTATTGGGACTTTATGATAGTTTTTATATATTATTTCTAATTCCTTCTTATTCTTAACCTTCTCCTTGTTTCATGGGCAAAGGAGGAGTAGACATTCTATGAGATCATTAAAAGGACTTTCCTCCAGAATAAAGAACATGAGCTTGAGTACATGAACTTTAGTACGTGAACTTGGACATTGTTTGTATCTGTTCAAAAACTTTGGGCTCATTTCTCGGTTCTTAATTATGTTTCAGATAAATAAATGTATAATATATTGAATTATGAACTGAAGAAACATAACTGATCTTAGAATGAGAAAGTCTTAGCTGAGTCAAAGTAGAATTCAGAAATCAGAATCCACTTAAGACATGAGATTTCTTTTAAAAGAAAAAATTAAAAAAAGAGAAAAAGAAATAAGATTTATATCTAAAAGAAAAAATTCTTAGTAACTAAAAAAATTTAACAATTAAAATAACTCAGAAAACAGCTCTCTGGCTGTTTAAAACTAAAAGCCCTAATTATCCACATTCCAACCTCAAAATATAACTAAAAAATTAAGTTCCTTCCAAAGGTTAGGACCTATTTCAGGCTCCTGCTGTTCATGGAGTGCAAGGGTATATATTATAGCACATATCCATGTCTGACTCATAACTGAAGACATGTTCCCAGGTGTATGTTACGTTCTCTTGTCAAAAAATAATAATAATAATACACTGTAAATAATCTAAATTCTAAACTACTCTAATGAAATTCTTAATTATTCTAAAAAATGAGAAAGAGAAAAAAGGTCTTAGAGACAAACTGACTACAAAAAGAATAAGTAAAAGGTCTCTATGTGGAAAACAAAACTGATTTTTGAGCCTCACTCGAAAGCCCCACCTAGTTTTATAATCCAAGAATAATTCATGCTTTCCAGTTTAATCACCATCAAAAAGTCTAACTCATGCACCAACTTGTACATACTCCTTTGTTAGGCACCCAACATAGCAATTTAGACATACTTAGTAGACTCTAGGCTTAGAAGGCTTATAATCCATGCCAGACAAAAAGAGAATTAGATAAATACATGTCCTAAAAAAGGGGGTTAGTTTACTGTACCTACATAACTATAACTACATATATTTGGAAGTCTGCATCTTTTTATAGATTTTATTCCCCTAGAATGTTCTGGGCTATGGGACGAATATGTCTTTATCAGTCAACTTTAGGTTTAATGTCTGCAAAATAAAGGTTTCATCTTGATTTATATAAGGTATTTTCAAACTACACAAATCTCTATTTCTATGAATGTTGTATCATTTGACAGTAGGAAGAATGCCCTTGCTTATAGGTTTTTACTTTTTAAATTTTATTTTAGATTCAGGGAGTACATGTGCAGGTTTGTTATGTGTATATATTACACAATGGTGGGGTTTGGGCTTCCGGTATACCCATCAACCAAATAGTGACCATTATACCCAATAGGTAATTATCAAGCCACACCACCCTCCCAACTTTGCCCCTTTTGGAGTCCTCAGTGTCTATTGTTTCCATCTTTAAGTCCATGTGTGCCCATTGTTTAGTTCCCACTTACAAGAAAGAACATGCAGTAGCTGATTTTCAGTTTCTAAGTTTTTTCACTTAAAATAATGGCCTCCAGCTTCATCCATGTTGCTGCAAAGGAAATCATTTCATTCTCTATGGCTGCTTTATTGATTTCTTGTTGCTGTATTCTGACGGACTGTGTTCTTCAACAAAGGCCGAAACAGTATCTCCCCAACTACCTGCTCTTCTACTATCCCTTCTACTCTGATGTTCTACTATCAAGAAATGGACTCTAATCATGAAACTGAATGAGCGTCTGATGTGCTTCTAACCAAAAAGAATATAGTGGATGAGACTGTGTGACTTTTGAGGCTAGGTCATAAAAGGAACACAGCTTCCACTCTGGAAGGTGTGTGTTACCTTTGGGAACTCTAAGTTGCCAGGTAGGAAGTATGACTGCTCTGAGGCCACCATGCTCTGAGAAAGCCAAGCCATATGCAAAGGGCATGGATAGGTGCTCCATAAGGCTGTCCTAGTTGTTTATCTTTCTAGCCCAGGGGCCAGATGTAAGCTTTCAGTTAATTCTAGTCCCCAGCCATGAAGCCACATCAAGCCCTTGAGATGTCTCAGTTGAGGCCCCAGATACCGTGAAGCAATGGGCAAGCCATCCCAGCTTTGTCTTTTCTAAATTCTTGATACATAAAATCATGAACAAAATTAAAAAGGGGTTTAAGGCTAAGTTTGAGGATAATTTATTATACAACAATAATCACAACGGTCTTTATTCTGCTCACCACAACAGCTATGCAAAACCTCCTCCTCGGTTCTGCAGGTAAGATGTGCCTTCAATCTTTAAAAGACTGATCAACTAGCTCCAAAAATCACTCATTTAATTCCTTTGTTGCTGGCCTTTCAACTCTACTCAAACCTTATCTCTTCTGCCTAGAAATATGCCCAGATATGTCACACTAAAATAAATGCTTTTTCTTGCACAAATCTGACCCCACTCCCTAGAAGCTACAATCATTTCATTGCTAAATTTCACCGAATAATCTGCTATGCTTTGCTAATATATCCTCACCTTGACATCTGCCTGACTCATCACTGGCCCCACACATGAGTCTCTAGAGAATTCCCCACAGGTAGTTCACTGTTCCTGTCAGCTTTTACCTTCCTGAAACTGAAATTTAGCTTAAACTAAATGCTATTATTAAATCCTTCCGTCTTGAAAACTCTTTTTTTATACCTCAGACCATATAGCCTTGGAAAGACCACCACCATCTCAGTGTGTTACCAACACAGGCAAAATTACTATTGTCCAAGGGAAGGATTTTGGTGTGGGTGTCTGACCAGACGTTCAGGTTTAAAGTCTCATGGTGAATATGCGTGGTGTAGTAAGCAGAGCTGAAGAGGCCATTGACAGGATCAATCAAAGGTTTTTTAAAAAAATAGGTAAAACTCATTCATTATAATAGAATTACAGAAGCAAGTAAGTCACAAGAAAAATAAACATAAAAGGGACAAAGGTGAGTAAATTATAACCAAGATAGGATTGCTGGTGGGAATATACAGTGACACAGCCATCTGGGGAAATAATCTGACAGCTCCTTAAGTGATTACCATATGACCCAGCACTTCCACTCCTAGATACATACCAAAGAAATGAAAACAAATGTACACTTTAACTCATATACAAATGTTCACAGCAGCATATTCTCAATAGCCAAAAGTGATAACAACCCAAATGTATATGAACTGCTGTGATACATCCAGAAAATGAAATATTAATCATGAAATGAATGAATAAAATACATGGTATAACAAGAATGAATCTTTAAAACATTATAAGTAAAAGAAGCCAAACACAAAAAGTGATGTATTGTGTTTGTTTATATGAAAATGTCCAGAATAGAGACAAAAAGTAGCTTAGTGATTGCTAAGGGTTGTAGAGGGGAGGAGAATAGGGACTGGCTGTCAATGGACAGTCATTTCTTCTGGAGAATGATGAAAATGTTCTGGAATTTTAAAGTGGTGAGTTGCAAAATTATGTGAATATACTGAAAACCACACAATTGTACCCTTTAAAGCAGAGAATGTTATGTTTGCAAATTATATCTCAATTTTTTAAAATGTATGAGGGAAAAAATAGCATGTTTTCAATTACTGCTTCCTAGTCAACATAAACCAGACAAAAAATCCCCAACAAAATCTGGAACTCCATTACTTCATTTCACTCTTTTCAATTCCAGGTTAAAACAGGATCCAAAACAAAGAGGAAAAAATTTTAACAATTCTACTGAATCCAGAACATCAATGTTAAGGAGTGAAATCTGAATAAAGAACTCTAAGAATACAGTCCATTTTTAAATTAGCACCAAATGGGAAATAAAAGAGAAAAGATATTACTCGTAACAGGTTCTGTTTGTAAATGTTTTTAGAATACTACCTTAGATCCCAAATAAGAATCAAACATGCCTGGGCCCTTAAAGAGAATTGGTGGATAGCCCCAACTAACAAAAAGACTTGCAAGAGTGTTCCAGCTTTTAGCTGGGAGCATAAAAGGAAAAAAACCCTTATGCTACAGTGAGCCTAAAGGGGGTGGAGGGAGGAAGGGACAGAGAATGAGCTAAGAAGAAGCCACCATGTTAATTGTCGACACTTTCTAAACCCAGACTCCAGCCCTTTCCTCAGCTGCTGCCAAGGGGCTCAGTACTTCTGGGAAAGCTACAGTCACACTGGGGAGAGGCCCTCACTTCATCCAGCAACTTGCACTGCATCCAACAGCAGCACCAGCCCCGCCACTCGCCCGCACCACAGCCCCTGAATTCGCCTGCATCTACTCCACCCTCATTCTTCACTATGAACGAGGTGACCGTCACAGAGGATAAATCAAGGCCCTAATTAAAGTAGGTGGTGTAAATGTTGAACCTTTTCGGCCTGGTTTGTTGGCAAAGGCCCTGGCCTATGGTGACATCGAGAGACTCATCCTAATGTAGGGGTTGGTGGACCTGCTCCAGCAGCTGCTGCTGCATCAACAGTAGGTCCTGCCCTGTCCAGAGCAGCTGCTCCAGCTGAGGAGAAGGAAGTGTAAGCAAAGAAAAAAGAATCTCGGCCGGATGCAGTGGCTCACACCTGTAATCCCAGCACTTTGGGAGGCTGAGGTGGGCAGATCACTTGAAGCCAGGAGTTCTAGACCAGCCTGGCCAAAATGGCAAAGCACAGTCTCCACCAAAAATACAAAAATTAGATGGGTGGGCTGGCGGATGCCTGTAATCCCAGCTGCTCAGGAGGCTGAGGCACAAGAATCACTTGAACCTGGGAGGCGGAGGTTGCAGTGACTGGGTGACAGAGCCAGACTCGGTCTCCGAAAAGAAAAAGATAAAGAAAAGGAAAAACAAAGAAGAATCTGAGGAGTGTGATGATGGCATGGGCTTTGGTCTTTTTGACTAGAAGTTCTTTTATAACTCTTTTTACAAATTTTTAAAAAATTAAACTGGACTCCAGGGACCAGTGGGTGAGGCCACTGGCTATAGGGGTGGTGGGCACGCTGTGGCGTGATGGCATGGGGCTGTTGCAGACATATGAACTGGTCTCTCACCACTGCCATGCCACACAACTGTGCTCTGGCACTGAGTACAGTGGGGACAGCCTTGTGGCAGAACGCCACAGCATTCTCTTAGTGGGTAATGGCAGCACCAGCAGGAGCAGGCCAGGAGCAGGAAGGAGGATCACAACAGATCACACATGGGGACTCCGGTCTGGATCCTGCGCTCCCTCTGGCGACTTCCAGATCCAAAAGGGCAGATTATGCAGGGGCTGACAAGTGAGGACAAGAGCCACTGACATCTGGAATGACTGCAAGTATGACTGCCCATCTATATTCAAACAATATAAACTTTGGGTTACACAACTGAATGTGTTCAGGAATGTGTCATTCAGAATAACACCACGGCTGCCATCTCAGTCCACTCTAGGTCAAAATGAACACATATCTTGGTTGCTCTCCTACCTCCTTGACTGCTATGTCTGTTTCTTGTACGTGTTCCTTTTCCTCTTGCATTCCATTAAATTTCTCAAAGGCTTGTCATTGAACAGCCTCTCTGCATCCTTTTTTTGTTTGTTTTTTTAAACCACTTACCATTATATGATCTGTTTTACCTATCAAATCTATAATATCTGTGTAAGGTTTGGGAACAGTCCACCAACTGCCTTCCCTTCTGACATGAATCACAGAGTTTGGGGGTCCCAAAGACCATCCTCACGTTCAATAATGTGCCACACTGTTAGACTATCAGGTGTGGCCCAAGGCACCCAGATCTCTATGCCCTTGGAAGGCTCCAAGGACAAAGGCTAGATATCTCTTTAGGCAAGGTTAAATTCTTTACTAAACCACCTGCTTGCTGATACTTCTGATTCTCCGATTCATATTTCTAACCACCTTCTTGATATTTCCATCAACAGTCAAACTCATCAACATCTTCCCCAATCCAACTGCGACTTCACTGTTTCTACTAATAATGCCAACATTATTTCACCTTGTTTAAAAAGCTATTTTTAATTAGTAAGCCATAATTGTATGTATGGGGTATGATGTGATGTTTTAATATATGTTACACTATTTTTTTCTATAAGGAATTGAGGCAGCTTATAAAACCACAATATAAGATACAAAATTAGAAAGAAATTGGGGCACAGAAAAAATAGCCCAGAAAAAGTAAAACAGAATAATGCTACAGTGAAGTTAGGATACAGAATGCATGCTATAAATTACTGTTCACTTGTTAGAGGTGGGCTGCACATTTGGCTCAGAGCTTTTTCATAGCCAAACGATATCCAATGCAAAAAAGAAATGACAACCACCCTGAGACACATAGGGAGACCCCGTCTCTATCAACATTTTTAAAATCCGCCAGGCATGGTGACTCATGCCCACAATCCTAGCACTTTGGGAGGCAGAAACAGGAGGAGATTCCTTGAGCTCAGGAGTTCAAGAACAGCCTGGGTAACATAGTGAATCCTGTCTCTACAAAAAAATTTAAACATCAGCCAGGCATGGTGATGCAGACCTGTAGTCCCAGCTACTCAGGAGGATAGCTTGAGCCTGGGAGGTTGTAGTAGTAGTGAGCTGTGATCACACCACTGCCTTCCAGCCTACGCAATAGAATGAGACACTCTATCTCTATGGGGAAGGGGAAGAAAAGCAGTTTCATAATTCAGAGTACACTAAAATAAATGATGCCCAGAAGGTACTATTCTTCTGATTATTCCAGGACTTAGAAGTGTGTGGGGTTTTCTGGTCACTGCCCTCCATACTCAACAGATTGTTGAATAATAAAGACGGTACCTCCATAACATTGTTTGCTTTTGTCTTCTCCTTGTATCTTCTCTCTCTTTAATGTCAATCAACTAAGATTTCAAATTAAGCTTCCTTAAATATAGCACTTCCCTCTTTAAAACCTACACTGGTTCTTTTTATCCTTTTGTAAAAAAAAACAAAAAAAACTTTTTTTTTTTTAAATAGAGACAAAGTCTTAATATGTTGCCCAGGCTGTCTTGAACTCCTGAGCTCAAATGATCTTCTGCCTTGGCCTCCCAGAGTGCTAGGATTACAGGTGTAAGCCACCATGCCTGGTCCACTTATTCCTTTTAAAAGCTCCACTTCTGCTTCTGCTTTTTTTTTTTTTTTTAATTTCCATAAGTTTTGGGGGAACAGGTGGTGTTTGGTTACATGAGTAAGTTCTTTAGTGGTGATTTGTGAGATTTTGGTGCACCCATCACCGATAGAGTATACACTGAACCCAGTCTGTAGTCTTTTGTCCCTCATCCCTTTCCTACCCTTTCCCCCTGAGTCCCCAAAGTCTACAGTGTCATTCTTATGCCTTTGCATCCTCATAGCTTAGCTCCCACTTATGAGTGAGAGAACATAGGATGTCTGGTCTTCCATTCCTGAGTTACTTCAATTAGAATAATAGAGTCTCCAATCCTATCCAGGTTGCTCCAAAATTCATTACTTTTTATGGTTGAGAAGTACTCCACACACACCACAGTTTCTTTATCCACTCATTTATTGAGGGACATTTGGGTTGGTTCCACATTTTTGCAATTGTGAATTGTGCTGCTATAAACATGCATGAGCAAGTAACTTTTTTATATAACGACTTATTTTCCTCTAGGTAGATACTCAGTTAGTGGGATTGCTGGATCAATGGTAGTTCTACTTTTAGTTCTTTACGGAATCTCCACACTGGTTTCCATAGTGGCTGTACTACTGTACATTCCCACCAGCAGTGTAGAAGTGTTCCCTTTTCACTGCATCCATGCTAACATCTATTATTTTTTGATTTTTTGATTATGGACATTCTTGCAGGAGTAAAGTGGTATTGCATTGTGATTTTGATTTGCATTTCCCTGATCATTAGTGATGTTGAGCATTTTTTCATAGTCTATTGGCCATCTGTATATCTTCTTTGGAGAACTGTCTATTCATGTCCTTAGCCCACTTTTTCATGGGATTTTTTTTTCCTTGCTAATTTGAGTTCATTGTAGTTTCTGGATATTAGTCCTTTGTCGGATGTATAGATTGTGAAGATTTTCTCCTACGCTTTCGGTTGTCTGTTTACTCTGCTGACTCTTCCTTTTGCTGTGTAAAAGCTCTTTAGTTTAATTAAGTTCCAGGTATTTAACTTTGTTTTGATCACATTTGCATTTAGGTTCTTGATCATGAAATCCTTGCCTAAGCCAATGTCTAGAAGGATTTTTCCGATGTTACCTTCTAATAATGTTTATAGTTTCAGGTCTTAGATTTAAGTCCTTGATCCATCTTGAGTTGATTTTTGTTTAAGGTATGAAATGAGGATCCAGTTTCATTCTCTTACAGATGGCTTGCCAGTTTTCCCAGCACCATTTGTTGAATAGGGTGTCTGTTCCCTTTTTTGTTTGCTTTGTCAAAGATCAGTTGGCTGTAAGTATTTGGGTTTATTTCTCAGTTCTCTATTCTGTTCCACTGGTCTATGTGCCTATTTTTATACCAGTACCATGCTGTTTTGGTGACTGTGCTCTTACAGTACAGTTTGAAATCAGGTAATGTGATGCCTTCAAATTTTCTCTTTTTGCTTAGTCTTGCTTTGACTATGCAGACTCTTTTTCGGTTCCATGTGAATTTTAGGATGGTTTTTTCTAGTTCTGTGAAGAATGACGGTAGTACTTTGATGGGAATTGCACCGAATTTGTAGACTGCTTTCGGCAGTATGGTCATTTTCGCAATACTGATTCTACCCACCTATGAGCATGGGATGTGTTTCCATTTGTTTGTGTCGTCTATGATTTCTTTCAGCAGTAAAAGCACATATTCTTCTGTATTTACAAAGAAATATATGCTCAATGCAGAAAACAAAGAAAACCAATACAAAGAGGTAAAGAAGACAAAAACCAAAACCCTACAATCCAGATGTAACTAGCTACTATCAATGTTTTTTAAAATTCAGATATTTACATGCAATGAAAGTCAAAGGTTTTATGTGTACGATTCCCTGCTTTTTGACAAATACATATACTCTAATCAATATACAGAACATTTTTCCAAAATCTCACTCTTGAAGTTCCCTCCCAGTCACATTCTTTGTCAGGTAAATGTATTGCAAAGAGCTTCTCCCAGTCTGAAGCTGGTCTTTTCATTTTTAAAAATGTCTTTTAATCAGGAACAGTTTTTAATTTTGATTAAGTCTAATTAATTTTTTATTTTATAGTTAATGTTTCTTATATGCTCTCTAATAAATCCTTCCCTACTCCCAAGGTTGTGAAGATATTCTCTTACTTTTTGCTAGAAACTTTACAGTTTTAACTTTATATTTAAATATATGATCCATCTCAACCTGATAAAGGTATCTAAAAAAAAACTACATATTCACTGTAAGATTAGAAACAAGACAAGGGAGATGTCTATTCTTACCACTTCTATTCAACCTCATGCATAAAAGAATGAGGCAAAAAAGAATAATAATTTATAAAGAATCATAAGGAAGAAGAAAAACCTCCATTTGCCCTGAAATGATGAAATGATTGTGTGTAGAGAAAACCTAGAGAAATTTACACATGCACAAACACTAATAAATAAGCAAACAGCATAGTTACAGGCCACGTGGTTGGTGCATAAGAATCAGTTACATTTCTATAACCCATCAAAACCACACCAAAAACTACAAAACATTTCTGAGAACAATAAAGACCTAAATAAACAGACACAATACCATGTTAATGGGTTGGAAGATTCAATATTATTAAGGCGTATCTAAAATTTATATGTATAAGCTGACTCTGAATTTATACAAAATGCAAAGGATCGAGACAGGTCAAAACAATCCTGGAAGAGAAGCACAAAGCTGGAAGACTGACACTACCCATTCAAGGCATGCTATACAAAGCTATAGTAACCAGACCTTTAGAGCAAGCATTGACCAAAAGAGGGATGGAGCAGATGGAGTCCACAAACAAACCCCCATACATTCTGTCTACTGATGGACAAAGGCAAGCAACTGAATAGGTGGGGGAACAAGTCTTCTCGATAAATGGTGCTGCAGCAACAAGATAAAAGTATATTTCAAAAAAACACCTCAGGCCTACCACATACTGCTGACATTTTGGCACTGCTCTTTTGCTAAATATATTTTTATTTTTTGTTTTTATTTTTTTGAGACAGAGTCTCGTTCTATCGCCCAGGCTGGAGTGCAGTGGCGCAATCTCAACTCATTGCAACCTCCGCCTCCCACGTTGAAGTGATTCTCCTGCCTCCGCCTCCCGAGGAGCTGGGACTACAGGCGCGTGCCACCGTGCCCGGCTAATTTTTTGTATCTTTAGTAGAGACAGGGCTTCGATATGTTGGCCAGGATGGCCTCAATCTCCTGACCTCGTGATCTGCCCACCTCGGCCTCCCAAAGTGCTGGGATTACAGGCGTGGGCCACCATGCCCGGCCTGCTAAATATGTTTTGTAAAAAGAGGAGAGATTATAACACCAGGATTCTGTTTCTACTCTGCTTTCTTTCGGTTTTCTGTGGGGATTTTTGGTAATATTTTGAAGTGATGCTTTAAAGTTACTTCACCACAAATTTCTCACACTCATCTCTATCCTCTACATGATGCTCCCAAACTGCTTTTAAACCTAATCTTCTACCATCAATTTTTAGTTTCCCCATTTGTTAGGAAAACACAAGCAGTTAGGGCTTCTTACACCTTGTTCTGCCTCCAGGATTTAGTCTGAGTAGTGCCCCATACTCTCAACATCATCCAAATATTCTTTACTGACAAAGTCCCTTTCAGTTTTTTATAACATCTTTTCTGAGTCCTCTATTCAAATATAACATTCTTCCTTTTAGCCCTCACATATCTTCCCTTTTCTCACTTATTATTAACGAACCACACTTAGATGAAAAAAAAGATATTTGAGCAGTCTATTCATTCAGTCACTATTCAGCAGGCCACAGATTGTTCTACTGGGGTGCCAGGGAAGCTAGACAGGTCAAGGCTCTGCCCTTAAGTAGCTGGCATTCTAGTGGCAAAGTCTAAGAGGCCATAATCTAGAAAGTAGGGCTGTTTCTCATTTACCTCTATGTGCCCTGTAGTAAAGTACAACGTTTTGCACATCATCAAGCCTCAATGAATAAACCATGAACTCACCTGTCATGCTATTTAAAGCTTGTATCATAAATATCCTTGTCAATTTAAAGCACCAACAGATCAGGAGTCAGAATCTCCTTGGTCTCCATAAAAGAAATGTAATGAGGCCTTATGTAATAGGTTCAAGAGCATCTATTGCTTTGTTCACATAGATAGGCAGGGTTTCTTTTTAAGGCTTGAATTAAGCCAAATTAAGCCAACTAATAAATGAAAAGCATAGTGAATTAAGTATCTGTGCAGCATTAATGATTTTAAGTAAAAGAACTGTGAATAAAGAAAGGTTATCTTTCTATCAAAAGGAACAGAAAGTAAAGACCACACGTCTATAAAATACTTCAGCCACACAACACCATTTTAATAGACAAAAACAGGCATTTCTATGGCAGAGATTTTCCATCTGGGCACTGCTGACATTAGGAGCTGAGTAATTTCTGTTATGGGTAACTGTCCTGTGCGCTGTGGAACCTTTAGCAGCATCCCTGGCTCTGCCCAAGAGATGCCAGTAGCAGCCCGTCACGGCAAGCAAATGTCTCCAAACATTCACAAATGGACTCCCAGGGGTCAAAACCGCACCCAGCGAAGAACCTCTGATGTAACACAGCCAACATTACTTGGCTGTACAAATATTTCTTTTGTTTGTTATTCTTTTTACTGTACAAATATCAATTCTAAAGCAGCTTTAAGGTTCTTTGCTTTTTTTTCCTTAAAAAACAACACAGATTGGGCACAGTGGCTCACACCTGTAATCCCTGCACTTTGGGAGGCTGAGACAGGCGGATCACTTGAGGTCAGGAGTTCGAGACCAGCATGGCCAACATGGTGAAACCTCATCTCTACTAAAAATACAAAAATCAGCTGAGCATGGTGGTGCATGCCTGTAATCCAAGCTACTCGGGAGGCTGAGGCAGGAGAATTGTTTGTACCCGGGAGGTAGAGGCAGTGAGTGGAGATTGCAGCATTGCACTCCAGCCTGGGTGACAAGAGTGAAACTCCATCTCATAAAAAATAAAATAAAATAAATCAAAGTCATAGACTCGGAGGGTTGGGGGGCAGGGAGGGAAGGAGAAAGGGAGGAGGGATGCCAATGACAGCAAATAGCCACCAACAGTAAATTTTGTGAGTTATTAAAATTCAACCAGTCTACCGTTTTCACAGATGGAAAATAGACACACATGGGTAAAGGCAATTTGTGTATAGGAAGAAACTCATCTGACATGCTTCTAGTGTGTATACTTATAATATTTTATGCTCTATTTTGAAGAAAATAATGTCCCTAAGTTTTTACAGGTAAGAAATATATGTCACTCAAATGTGTGTGACAGGTTAAGTATTCCGGAGAACTATGGATGATTTTAAGAAAACGTGAGGCAGAAACAAAGGCCCTATATTCTGATCTGCCAGTCAGCATGCCAGCCTGCTCATGCCGACATGCCTTCCCCAGATCCACCTGAACATCAGCACTCTGCCTATCCCGTACTTGCAACCCAACACTAGAGAAAATGCCTTTATCCAAACAAAATACGTACTGCATTATGGATGGTTCAAATGCAGTGGAGTTAACAAACTACAGGGCCTTGACCAAAGGGAACCTTTCAGACTAGAGAGGGGGAGATACATGAACACAGAAATAAATGTACAATTCCACACTATGATAAGTTGGGGATGCGGGGGACAATACCGTGGGTAATAAAGGAAAGGGTCTGATTAGAGGTCGAATAAATGCATTTCTAAGGAAATGACATGTTTTCATACCAAGTCAGACCACAGCTGTTGATGTCTCCAGAAATAATTCAAGAGATGAAAACTGTACAAAGGTGCCAACTTATCTAAGAATGATTTAAGAGAGCAACAAAACTCATGTCTGAGGACAGCTACTACAGGCAGCCTGATATTGCAAGGCAATGTTCCTACAGTCACCATTTAGTATGTCCTTGTAGCAGGTATACACCGAGGGTTCTGGAAAAAGTTAGGAACATAAGGTAGTTCAAAGCAATGATTCCGCTTATATTGCACGTATAGTATGAAGGGTGCCTTCATGTGGTTATATCCTTGGAGTTTTAGAAGGATGATACATGCAGACCTTAGAATGGAGCAGATTTTAGTGTTCAATGTGCAGAAAAATCACTGATGAATTTGTTAAATATTTGGATTCCTAAGTCCCACTCTCAAGGATTCCAATTCAGGGGTTTACAGTGCAGCCTAGGAATGTTTACCAGGCACCCCCTACTGCCTCTGAAAACCCCACATGAAACACAAATCTTCCCACAAAAGGAGGTTTGGCTGTGACACAGGTTTTTTTTGCTCAAACTCATGAAACAAGCATGTATGACACAAGGCCTCCCGACAGTGTTTGTTTACAGGCTGACCCTGCCCCTGATCTTGGTAATCCCCAGGGCTTGGAAGCAGAATCTGAATAAACTGCACAGCCTACTGCTACAGCTTGTGCCCAGACAACAGACCAGAGGTGATATGTAAAAAAGATAGGCAGTGCTGACAGCTCTCTCTCCAGAGGTTAAGGAAACACACCCAACATGAGACACGGTCAGGGAGTTAAGGGAGCCAGCACTGATGGGTATAGACAGCATGAAGTACAGATGAGAACACAATGAAAGAAGAATGATAGAACAGACAGAAGAAGAGTGAAACTCATATTTCTTATGAGCCTCGTATCAGATACTGTGTCATGAACTTCATATATTTCATTTAAATCCTCATAAAAATCTTAGGTATTAACATTAATATAATATAAATTATCATATCATAGATGAAAAACCAAAGCCTAAAGAGAAAGGAATTTGTCCAAGAAGACGGAGCTACAAAGCAACACAGCCAGGTTTTGAACCAAGGCTCAGGAATCAGTCAATAATGCCATAATCCTCTTGGAGATCTAAGATAACGCGAGTAGGAACATGGCTGTCAGGAAATGAAGAGTCCTACTCCAGAGAGAATACCAAGGCAAGTAAGTACACAAGAGCAATGAACAATGCTTTTGCAATATCAGAACTTTAAATATGGACCCTCTTATTAAAACAGCTGAGGGTTCATACATTTTAAATAAGGGAAACTTGTAAAGATGAGGTAAAAAGTTAAGATGTAATCTAGCTGATCATAAATGATGAAGGCTTGCTGCAGCTCTTGCTGAGTAGTGGGATCACAGGTGACTTCTGCCCTCCAACCCAAGTGTCTACATTTCCTGTGATGAACAAATTTTATTTTTAAAAAGAAATACATGTGATGTCTTTTGTTGTTAATTTTTTTTTAATTGTATTTTGAGGAAACTGAGAAGTAATTGAGGGCAGAGACTCTCCAGGAATGAAGTCAATAAAAGCAAGAGAAAGAGGTGAAGTATCAGAAGAAAAATGATACCTCAGATTACATAACACACACTACCAGCCTGGGAAAGCTCTCTCCCCTTCCCATCCTGGACCATTAAATCCCAAGCCATGAGGCAGGGCCAATCAACAAAGGATGTCAGAGCATGAGTTAGGTGAGAAGGGAAGGGAGAGACATAGTGATGGTGACTGGTGATTCATACCATACAGGGAAATCAATCAACTAAGTCAACGCAATGAGGATGGGAAGAGCCCAGACTCTTACTATCAGAGAAAGAAACCACAAAGATGGAAAGGGAGAACACCAGGCTGAATCTTCTGGTATTAGAGGTATCAGATTAATAAACTCATGGATTTCAAAACATATGTAAATATATAAATAAATATAAACATAAAGGAAGCAGGTGCATATGTTTGTGTTCCTAGCTCTGTACTGAGATCTGAAAGTGACAAGCCAAAAGTAATAAGCACACCTAATGCCCAGGTCTAGCTTTCTAAATATTATTGTTTAATTTAAAAAAAAAAAAAAAAAAAGCAGGATTCTCTGTGAAAAGAGTAGACTCCAGGGCTGGGATAGGAAAAACACAAGATGAACCTGGCATATCCTACTGTACTTGAAGGTAAAGAAATGATCAAAGGACCGGGCATGGTGGTTCACACCGGTAATCCCAATACTTTGGGAGGCTGAGGCAGGAGAATTACTTGAGGTCAGGAGTTCAAGACCAGCCTGGCCAACATGGTGAAACCCCATCTCTACTAAAAATACAAAGGTTAACCAGGCGTGGTGGCATGAGCCTGTAGTCTCAGCTACTCAGGAGGCTGGCACGAGAATTGCTTGAACCCAGGAGGTGGAGGTTGCAGTGAAACAGAGATCACACCACTGCACTACAGCCTGGGTGACAGAGCGAGACTCCATCTCAAAACAAAACAAAAAAATAAACGATCAAAGAACGATTGAGGCATTTCAAAAGGACACAGAACCAATCTGAAGGGGCTCCTAAGAACAAAATTTGGGATAATCTAAGCATCAAAACATATAAGGAGAGTAAGTGATCATAACCCACTGAATAAAACAGAGATCCATGAATTTATCAGTCCACCCGAGACAGAAAGTCAGCCCGGGGTGGCGGCGGGGGTAGGGATAAATATTTGAATGGGTTATATATGTAGTCTCAAAGTAACTCTCAACAAAATACTTATTACTAGGGGAAAAGAACAGCTGTCAGGGATATCTGGCAGACACAATCTTGATCAAGTGAAGGCATCAACTCCAATGGAATAAATCAAACCTGTGTACCATCTGAAAGGATTTAATGCAAAAAGACAACATCACTACTGTGGCATCCCAAATTGAGAAACATTATATAAAATAACCGGTTTACAATCTTCAAAAATGTCAAGGACATGAAAGCCAGGAAAACACTGAGAACTGTTCCAAATTAAAAGAAATTACAAAAACAAGAAAACAGAATATGCGCTTCTGCCACAGATTCATTACACATAATGGACAACACTGGGCAACTGGCAGTACCTGATAAGCCCGAGGTCTGAATAGTAGTGAAGTATCAGTGTTAAATTTCTGATCTTGATGGTTGTATTTTGATATATAGGAGAATGTACTTGATTGTAGGTAAAATGTACTAAAGTATTCAGGGATGATAAAACACCATATTAGTAATTTTAGCTCAACCAGTCCTGGCAGAGGGTGAGGGGATTTATCTCTTTATCCAAGAACAAAAAATGAGAAGGCCACAGGTCTTATTCCAGACATTCCAAATCAATTCCTTGGACTCCCTGAATATGTATATGTCAGTAATCTTATACAAACTGTTGTGGAATATACCACAAAATTCAAAGTAGGGCATCTGTCACATGTAATGCTAACTAAAGGTACAAGTTACTTACCAAATTTGGGGGGGGCTGGCACGGGTATAAGGAGGGAACCTTACTATCTCTAATGACCTTACTGATGCTGACTTTAATACTCTGTGAAGGTTAGAGTTCAGTGAATGTTACCTAGAAACAGCCCCGGCTGTGGAATACTTTATTCTTAGCCCTATATTTGGGGTTTGGATGTCCACTGTGCTGGTTCCCAGAGATAGTAAGGGGATGAGAGTATTGGTTACATCTCCTGACCCACATACTTAAGATCCAGATGAACAAGACAGTTTTCACTCCTGCTTGGTAGAACCTATTTGCTGAAGGAAACAGCTCCTAAAGAATGGTTCTAGCCAGACCCTGTCGCTACCAGAAGAAAAAAAAAAAAAACTTTTCATTAACCAGGGGTGGTGACACATGCCTGCAGTTCCAACTGCTCAGGAGGCTGAGGTGGGAGGACTGCTCAAGCCCAAGACTCAGGAGGCTGAGATGGGAGGATTGCTCAAGCCCAGGACTCAGGAGGCTGAGATGGGAGGATTGCTCAGGCCCAGGAGGTTGAGGCTGCAGTGAGCTGTGATCACGCCATTGCACTCCAGCCTGGGCAACAGAACAAGACTGTCTCAGAAAAAGAAAAAACAAGAAAAGAAAAAAGAATGGCACCTACAGATGAACCTAATGCTGGGCCTCAGCAGAAAAATCGAAGACAGTATAAGAAATGAAGAGTAAGAGGGAGGATGGAAAACACCTTCTTGTCACCTTTCAAACTGGCTCTATCTTTTCTTTTACTAGACTGCATAGATCTTTGGGGTTGTAACCACTATTCAGACAAATGCTAAGTAAGATCTACACTCTTTTCTAAGGAACACACTGATTCTATGTGGAAGTACGTGCACCTATGAAAGAATCAGGTTAGAGTAGATTAGTTCCTACACTTTTGTAGTACAGTAACTTTCTCTTCCTCTTAGCAGGTAATTAAATGTACACTGTTTCTGAACCAACATACAAATGATCTATATCTACTAGATAAATGATGAATTATTAAGACATATGGAACCCAAAATTCATTAATGCTTTATGTTCTGAACATGTCTGCATTTTCTGCCATTTATTCTAATGCTATATAGAATCTGATTTACAATTTTTAAAATCTGTAGCAAATAAATTCATCTCACCAACTTTGGCTCAGGAGCTCCAAATTCCAGAAAATTAATGTCCAAATCAGTAAGTTAAGTGACAAAGAAGCAGCTGAATAGTCATTTCTCTTTCTCCTAGATTCTCAGTTGGGTCCACACAAAGCATGGTGTCTAGATCATATTGTTCTTAATATTCATCACACAACACGCTTGCCCTTTAGGAGTTTAACTCTTGGTCTTTACAAAGCATCAATACAAGAACACTCCACTTGAATAGTTTCTGTGTCTTCCGTGAAATCATAGCTGAAAACATAACCCACTATGTCACACAATGGCAGAACCCCACAGAATGTCTTTTTCGTTAAGTACAATGCCAGGAAAGAATCTTTCTCTGTAAACAAATGTGCATGCTTGCTTCCCACAGACAATAAACGCTATGTAATTCAATGCTACACAAAGAAAGGAATGGTTTTCTTTTAGCCTTAGCAGTCAGAAAACAGAAAGTCAAATACAGTGCACAAGAGTTATAATTAGCTCCCCTCAGGAGCCTGGTACACTTTCTCCTCTCTATGTTCTTTTATTATTTTAATGTTTTTATTGTACTTTATTTTTTGGAGGCAGGATCTGGTTCTGCCGCCCAGGCTGGACTGCAGTAGCACGATCTCAGCTCACTGAAACCTCTGCCTCCTGGGCTCAAGTGTTCCTCCCACCTTAGCGCCCCAAGTGCCTGGAACTACAGGCACTTACCACCATGCCCAGCTAATTTTTTGCACTTTTTGTAGAGACAGTGTCTCACCACATTGCCCAGGCTGGTCTTGAATTCCTGAACTCAAGCGATCTGCCCACCTCGACCTCCTAAAGTGCTGGGATTACAGGCTTCAGCCACCGCACTGGCCCAGTGCTCCTTTTAGATGGTTTATTATGTCCTCTAACTGTCCTGCTGTATACTACCTTTAATTCTAACAGATTTAAGTCCTTCTGAAAGTACCTAGAATATGTATGTACAAATACATGTATTTTGTCTTACAATTCTCTCTCATATCACTTAATATTTTCTGATATCAGTCTCTATACAATGACCTAAGAATTTAAAATGATAATGACACAAGGAGGCTAATTTAATGAAGACCAAGCAATTTGCATCACTACCTCCTCCCCTTGTCCATTCCCCCAACAAATTACTACACAGCCCAATGGGGAAGGCAAGCCCCACACCACCATGCTTGGCACATCACCTTTGCAGTAGTCCGCAGGGTCCTCTTGCTCCTCATCATCTGATCCCAGGATCTCCTCCTCTGGCTCCGGGGGTGTGGGGTCTGGCAAAGGTGGCGGTGGTGGTGGTGGTGGCGGTGGAGGAGGAGGAACTAAAGGAGCTTTCTGTTGAGGCTCCGGCCTGAAAGAGCAGAGAGAAAATTGCTATTTACTTAGAAGTACATCTTGCATTATGGATGCATTTGAGCACTTCTTAATATGGGGGAAAAAATAAAACTTGTCACATACTAAGAAGAAATGTCATTTAATGTCACTTCACCCATTTTAGTTGAATTCAAGTAGTGTTTCAACATATAAGTCAGGCCAAAAAAAAAAAAAATCTGCCCTTATTAGCTAAGGAATTTTTTTCTGTAGGTATCTTTTCACTTAGCGCTTCAAGAACTACCAATGTTAGGAAATTTCAGTGCGCTCCACTCAACTCCTACCAATTCTGGGAAATTTAAGTGAAATGAAAGCGTATTCCATGGTATATAGCCTTATTGGTTAGAAAACATCACAACGATTATAAAAAGACAGGCGCAAGCAGCACTCAACTTTTGAAAGCACTTATTTCCTGTTATCTGAAAATGAGAATTCTTTTCCCATAGAAATAGGTGGCAATGAGGTTAGGTTTCAATAACTCATAAAAGCTGATTAACATACACTGTAGCTAAAATATACAAGATTGCCAGAAAGATTCTTGTACTTCTATAAGGCCTGTTCGAAGTTTTGAATGTATTCTGGAAGCGGTGTGTGTGTGTGTGTTTGATTGATTGAGATTATTCCCTTTCAGGGCTCTATGAGGAGAATGGTTCATAATGGGATTCACTTACTATTCCTAACCATGCCCCAGTGCGGGGAAATAGGACCCTACAGTCTCAATCTGGATGCCGGAAGCACATCTCTCCCTTAAGCTATCCCACTAATAAAACTACCACTGAATGCGTGCGCTGAAGATGACGGCTGCTGTGGAAAGGTTGCTCTGAGGGTCAGTTGCCCGACATGTGAGTGCCATTCCTTGGGGCATTTCTGCAACGGCAGCCCTCAGGCCTGCTGCGTCTAGAAGAACAAGCTTGACAAACATATTGTGGTCTGGTTCTGGTCAAGCAAAATTCTTTAGCACCAGTTCCTCACACCATGCACCTGCTGTCACCCAGCATGCGCCCTATTTTAAGGGTATAGCCGTTGTCAATGAAGAGTTCAAAGACCTAAGCCCTAGTTGTTGAGAGCAGGTGGAATCTTGGTGTTATTGCTAGATTTCCTTTTGGAACACTGTTGCTCTCTGCCCAGTGGAAGGCCGATTCTGGATCCTTTCTCTCCTCACTGCAGCACAGCCTGCGGCATACAGTCAAAGCTCACTCTTCAGCCCTGGAATCTTGAGAAGGTCAGGGTCTTAGCAATGCAAGCTCATCTGTAGCTGCCACTAAGAGACAGGCCAAAGGAGCTGCCTCAACCACTGCCTCTTCTAAACTGGGCCTCTAAATCCTTGCCCAATCTGAGAGCCTCCAACACCACCACTAATGCATGTGGCTTGCCAACAAAAAAACCCATACGGCCACAACTGAAGGAAGGAGTAGGAATAGAAGGCAGCAGAAACACCTGACATCATGAGGAAGGGGTGGGGATCACACACAATAGGTCAACTTAAAGGCAAATAATCAAAGGTATGAATATCTTTAGCAGGACAACTAAAGAATATTTATAAGCTGAAAATGTACTGATTGCTGCTTTCTGGAATTTATGAAGACTCAACAGTTACAGCTCCCTGGGTAACAGACATCAGGATTGTAGTGATGATAACACTCCAAGTTAACCATTCTCTTCACAGAGCCCTGAAAGAGAATAATATTCATTCTCTCTCTCTCTCTCTCTCTCACACACACACACACACACACACACACACACACACACACACACACACACACACCACTTCCAGAATACATTCAAAACTTCCAACAGGCCTTACAGAAGTACAAGAATCTTTCTGGAAGCCATGTAAATGCTCGCTTCTTTTTAACACATGTGCCCTTACTGAAAGTGGAATGGTCCCAGGCAAAAGAGAGTTCTGAAGGAGGAGAGGCAAGTAAGGAACTTCAGTAGTTTGCCACTTCCCCAGCGGGAGGAAAAGGTTTGAGATGACGTCCAAAAGAAGCACAACCCACTCTTCAGGGGTGTGGGCAGAATCAATTTGTCTGACACATTTCCTCAATGAGAAATACTTTGAAAGCTAGCTGTTTCTTCCTAACTCAGAAACTTTATATAAAAAATGAGTACATTCTCTGAAAACACACACACACACACACATTGAGTTTGCTGTAGAAACTACTTGAAGAAAAGACAAGAAATGATGGCTCTTGTGCTGCCAGTGCACGGCACTACTGTACTTAGCACAATGGATTCTTGGACTGGATAATTCATTGCTGTGGGGCTGTCGTGTGCACTGTGGGATGCTTTTCACCATCGCTGCCCTCCAGCCACTATATGTCAGTAGCACACAGCCCCCCACCCCCACCCCACCACCCAGCTGTGGCCATCAAAAATGCGTGTAGACACTGACAAATGTGTGTGTGCTGGGGGAGGAGGGGAGTCATGCCCATTGAGAACCAGTGCACTAGTAGCATTTTCTATATATGGCTTTACCTCAATGGAGTAGACTGCAGTATGGAGAAGAGATTCTAATTTTCACCACCATTTTCTCTCACTTGAGAGATTCCCGCACCTTCATTATAATGTCTCTCTCACTTACTCTTTACCTACCTGCTGAGCTGCCTACATGGATGACCCTCAAAATTCTCAGACCCTGCAGTCTAAGTGTGTAGGCACTTCTCATTCCTCCAGTGAGGGCCACACTGAACAGGCAGACAGAAAGCTTCTTAAAAGCCAGCTCTACCAAATGAAAAGTGGTAAGTCAGGATACCCCAAAGTATAGAGGAGGTTTAGTAATGCTGATTAATAGTTCAACTGGCTGTCATATCAAAACATCTAGAACTGTGCTGCCCAATACAGTAGCCACCAGCCACGTGGGGTTATCGGGCACATGAAGTAGCTAGTTCAAACTGAGATGTGCCAGAAGTATAAAATACATGTTAGATTGCCAAGACTCAGTACCCAAAAAAGTAAAAATATTATATTAATAATTTTCTACTTGCTCAATATTAAAATGTTTTATACACGAGTATTTCTAGTGGATGGTAGAACTCTGGACCTTTCAGATCCAACCTGTACTGAGGGGCATTTCAGCCTCACGTTGAGAGATTCCTGGCCATAAGTGATGATTATCTTTCCTAGGACTTCTAATGACCTACTTCATACTAATTATCACCAATACTCAAATCACTCAGTTCATCACAGAAAGTCTCAGTTCAATGTAACCGCCAATTCTTTTTCATCCCTCCATCCTTGTTACTGTCTACCACATAGGAAAATCAAGGTAAATTTCTCCTAGGGCAGAAATAGAGAAGAGAAAGCCAAGCCATACTGTCTTAGGGCTGGATTATTTTATTTTCATTTTGAGACAGGGTCTCGCTCTGTTGCCCAGGGTGGAGTGCAGTGGTGCATCCACAGCTCACTGCAATCTTGAACTCCTGGGCTCAAAGAATCCTCCTGCCTCAGCCTGGTGGGTAGCTAGGACTACAGGTGTGTGCCACTGGGCCTGGCCAAGGCTGGCTTCTTTAAAGTGGTTTCTGATGGCTTCTAGAGTACTGCAAAGCCTGGTTAAATTACAACACTGTAGAAGACCAAGACATGACAGGTTATCTCACCAAATACATACTCATTAAGTCTATCAACAGATTAAAAAAAACAACTTTCATCAATCCTAATGAAAGCCGTAAGGAAGCTATTTCATATAAAAATTATCAGAAGTATATAAGCAGCAATGGCAGTGGAAATGACCCATAAATATTTTCAACAACAATACCAAAATAATTAAATGGTAAAAGAATAGTCTTTTCAACAGTGGTACTACAACAAATACATACTCATATGCAAAATAAATAAAGTTGGACCTCTCTCTCACACACAGGCTTTACATGAAAGAGCTAAAACTATAAAACTCTCAGGAAAAAAACATAGGAGTAAATCTTCACGACCTTAGGTTAGGCAATGTTTCTTAAATGTGACATTAAAAGCATAAGCAATACAAGAAAAACTAAATTGGACTTCAAAATTTTTAACTTTTGTACTTCAAAGGGCACCATCAAGAAAATTTAAAGGCCACAGAATGGGGGGAAGTACTTGTAAATCATAAGTGATAAGTGATAAGTGACTTGTATCTAGAATATATAAAGAACTCTTCCAACTCAACAATAAAAAGACACACTAATTTAACAATGGATAAAAAGGATTGGAAAGACATTTCTACAAAGAGGATATACACATGACCAATAAATATATGAAAAGATGCTCAACATCATTAGTAATCAGAGAAATGGAAATCAAAACTACAGTCTGACACCACTTCATACCCACTAGAATGGCTATTAAAAGAAGTCAGATAATAAGTTTAAGGAAGGATGAAGAAATAAGGATCTTCAAACATTGTTGGTGGGAAGGGTAATATAGCATAGCCATCTTGGAAAACGGTCTGGCAGTTCCTCAAAAGTTTAAACATAAAATTACCAAATAACCCAACAATTCCACTCCCAAGTATATACCCAAGAGAAATGAAAGCATATATCCAGCAAAATCTCATCCACAGTGTTCAGAGAAGTACTACTATTTTTAACGAAAAGCAGAAACAACCCAAACGTCCCCTAACTGATAAATAAAATGGGGTATATCATTACAAGGGAATGTTATTCACTAACAAAGAGAAATGAAGTACTGATATATGCTACAACATGGATGGATCCTCCAAAACCTTATGCTGGGTGACAGATGCCAGTCAGAAAAGACCGCAGGTTGTATGATCTTCCATTTTCCATCAAATGTCTAGAACAGATAAATTTATAGAGATGGGGTAAATCAGTGGATGCTCATATCGGGGGTTGGGGAAATGGAGAAAAAAGGAGGAAAATGGGGACTGACTGCTAGTAGATATGGGATATCTGTTAGGAGGGATGAAAATGTCCTAATGTGGTGATGGTTGTACAATTCTGTGAACATAATAAAAAACACTAAAATATATATGTTACATGAGCAAACTGTATGCTATGTGAATTATACTTCAAAAAGCTATTGTTAAAAAATAAAAGAAGCCAGGTGTGGTGGTGCACACCTGTAGTCCCAGCCATTTGGGACACTGAGGCAGGAGGATCGCTTGAGCCCAGGAGTTTGAGGCCAGCCTGGGCAACACAGCAAGACCTCATCTCTACAAAAACAACAATAAATTTTTAAAAAAATAAAAGAAAACCCCAATACAGCTATAGATATTTTAAATATCCAACACTACACCGTTATAAAATGTATGACTTCAAGAAACAAATATCTATGTAGAGATTTAAGCAATCAATATGCATAGTCTCTTTTACAATAAGCTCAGCTACATTCAGAGTGAAAATTAATCTGTAATTCTTTAAAAAGGAGACTGAAATTTTATCTAAGGGTCCAAAGTTTAAACAAGGTGCTAATTTAAGAACATGTTTTCATGTACTATAAGAAATATAAAGAAATATACCACTTCAGGCCGGGTGCAGTGGCCCCCACAGGTGATCCCAGCACTTTGGGGAGGCCACAGTGGGTATATCAGTTGAGCCCAGGAGTCTGAGACCAGCCTGGGCAACCTGGCAATACCCACAAAAACTACAAAAATTAGCTGGGCGTGGTGGCACACATCTACAGTCCCAGCTACTAAGGAGGCTGATGTGAGAGGACTGCTTGAGCATGCGAGTCTGCAATGAGCTAAGATCATAGCACTGCACTCCAGCCTGCATGACAGAGTGAGACCCTGTCTCAGGAAAAAAAGAAAGAAGAAAATAGAAAAGGAAAAAGGAAAGGGGAAAGGGAAGGGAAGGGGAAAGGAAAAAGGAAAGGGGAAAGAAAAGGGGAAGGGGAAAGGACAATGGAGAAAGGGGAAAGCAAAGGAAAAGGAAAGGAGAAAGAAAAAAGAAAAAGGAAAGAGAAAGGAAAACAAAAGAGCAAAGCAAAGCAAAAGAGAAAAAGAGGGGAGGAGAGAAAAAAGAAAAACACAGCACTTCAGTGATGGGAATGAAATTAATTTAGAAAGCAAAATTCCACTAGCTACTTATATTTTTCACAAAGAACTATATTTATTTTTACACTACAAAGAAAATTCTAATCATTACTCTAAATTTAAAATGTGGTTTAAAAAAACTTAAAAATATTTTTCTTTCAATATCATACTATAATACTAAAATTATCATCATGCTATGTACTTCATACTATATTCTGCATGTACACTTGCTCTGTCAGAAAAGGGAGGAAAAACTCAACAACCGAGGAAACTACAAGTCTCATCTGCTCTAAATTGCCATGGCAACCAGATGAGAGTTCCGATTTCCTCTCAGCTGCTACTGCGTATTTCTTTTCAGCAGAGAAAAGAAAAAATAAACTCTACATTTAGTAGGAAAAATGTCCTCTCCTTTGCTATCAGCTTAGATGGCAACTGACACAATTTAAGAAATACAGTTCAGTTAATTTTTAATCAAACATAAAGAAAAGGAGCTCCAGATGAATTTCTTCAGTTAGTATTTGAGGGACATTCACATAAAGTCAAATTTCATTTTCTTTCCTCCCTATGTCCACCCTATATCTATAACTTTTCTCTCTCCCTTCCTCCCTCCCTCCTTCTTCCTCTCTTGGTAATTACTGTCAGCTTGAGAAATACCCAATTTCTAATTAATAGTAGAATCGGTCAATATAGGTTGAGTATCCCTCATTCAAAATACTTGGGACCAGATAATGTTTCGAACTTCAGATAATTTCATGTATTCCTCTTTAATGAAAGGTTAAGTTCAAAAACTTTGTGTAAATCAAACCTAAATGTGCAATGACCCTCAATGACCCTCATCCATGTTAAATCTCCTGCTTCTCTTGAGTATGGGTAGATCTGTGAGTGTGAGATATTACACCTGTTATCCAATTATCTACACTACATGCCAAAGGGAGATCACACTGGGTGGCCTGACCTAATCACACCAGTCCCTAAAAGCAGAGGGTTTTCTTTGGCTGGTCAAAGAAGTGGAAGCGGAGCGGCGGGCTCCAGCTGCCTGGAAAAAAAGCAGACATCATTTGTGAACTAGGGCCACAGAGAGCAAAGAACTGCCAGTGGCCTCTAGGAGTGACGGTGCTCCCTGCCAACAGCTAGAAGAATAGTAAGATAACAAAGACCTCAGTTCTACGAACTCAAGGAAATGAGTTCTGCCAACAACCAGTGAGCTGGAAAAGAACTCTGAAGCTCAGATGAGAGCTGCAGATCTGGCCAACACCTTGGTTTCAGTCTAGTAAGAATCCAGCCACACTGTGCTGCCCTGATTTCTGTCCTACAAAACTGTGAGTTAATAAACAGGTGTTGTTTTAAGCTGCTAAGGGTGCAGTAATTTGTTACACAGCAAGTGAAAGTGAATACACTGCCAAGTTCCTCAAACTGTACTAGAGTAGATCATGGAGAATTATCAGACTTTGGCCTCAAAAAGATCTGATTTTTTTTTTTTTAAATAATTGAAATGGCCAGGGGACTTAAGCTGGGTAATCCAGAATGGGAAACAGTTCTCTTTTGGGAATAGGAGTATCTTATTCCCTGAATGAGTCCATTCGTGCATTGCTATAAGGAAATACCTGAGACTGGGTAATTTATAAAGAAAAGAGATTTAATTGGCTCACAGTCCTGCAGGCTATACAGGAAGAATGATGCTGGCATCTGCTAAGCTTCCGGGAAGGCCTCAGGAAACTTACAATCATGGTGGAAGGCAAAGGGGGTGCAGGCGCAACACAGTGTGGGAGCAGTAACAGGAGTGAGAGTGAGGGGGGAGGTGCTACACACTTTTAGAACAACCAGATCTCAGGAGAACTCACTGACTACCATGAGAACAGCATCAAAGTGGAAATCTACCCCCATGATCCAATCACCTCCCACCAGGTACCACCTCCAACATTCGGGATTACAATTCAACATTAGATTTGGGCAGGGACATAGATCCAAACTATATCACTCCCCAAGTCCTAATAGCAAACAATTGTAATTCCAAGCCAAATACTACTTACTTATTTCCTAAGACCATACTGTTTTCTAGAACGTAGTACACAGCCAACTCAAAGTTAGTAAGGATGTAAGTAAATCAGACCTGCTTCCCAACTAATCTACATTTTAGAAAAGAAAGGAGTTGGTGTTCTAAAGGTATTGCTGCCTGATCACCTCACTGAGTTCTGAGTTCAGGTTTTTATCATCTATTTCCTGGACTAACTTTTCCTCATTAATTTCCTTGTTTCTTGCTTTTATCCTTCCCATTTTACACATTAATTCCATATATTCTTTGCAAAAAGCAAACCTCTGGTTCTAAAATTGCATTTCAGCACTACATATGTCTTATGCCACTAGTACTATTAATATTTTATAAAACACTTGTGGGATCTGACAGAAAATATTACTACTGAAATGGAGAAAGACTGACAGAAAAGTTAAACCAGTGAGTCCAAATGCATGTAAAATGACATCCACTGATTCTACAACTACCCAGAAGCACACAGATGCCCAGCACTGAGGGGTGTACAGTCTAGTGAGGAGGGGAAAGTGCATGTAAACACACAAATGTAAGCAACTGCTCCTGGTATCGTTATGGAAACAGAGATGGTAGTGGGCCAAGTCAGAGACATCTAGAGGTGATCTTACAGACTGGCCAGAATGAGGCTGACTGCAGGAGGTCCATGTCTCAGGGAACCACATCATCAAAAGCACAGAGGCCCAAACTAATCTGGTATGACTGGAGAGAGGAAAGAGGTTAGGCATAGGAATAATCCACAATTCAAAAGAATAAACCACAATGCTAAGAAGCTTGGGCTCTATCCCTGAGGCAAGTAGTAGCCACTGAAATGCAACCATAGAAACAAGGATTAGCTTTCTGCAAAAAACATATGAAATTAGAGTGTAGAACAGGTAGAAAGGATAAAAGCAAGAAGAAAGAAAATTCATGGGAAAACGCTGCAATTGTTAGTCCAGGACAGAGATGATTAAAAACTGGAACTCAGAACTCAGTACAGTTGTTGCTCTGTATCCATGCATTCCGCATCCATGGATTCAAACAACTATGGATCCTAAACATGGGGTGATGGCTACATGTGTACTGAACATGTACAGACTCTTTTTTTGGTCATTATTCCATAAACAATTAGGTATTACAACTATTTACATAGT
This sequence comes from Homo sapiens, assembly GCF_000001405.40. NCBI lineage: Eukaryota > Metazoa > Chordata > Mammalia > Primates > Hominidae > Homo > Homo sapiens. Next base: position 105,212,954 of record NC_000007.14, read on the forward strand.
ATATACACCATACTAGGTGATGGAATCTAGACATAACTGAAAGTATATAGGAGCATGTGCACAGGTGACATGCAAATACTAAACCATTTTATATCAAGGACTTGAGCATCCATGGATTTTGGTATCCGAATGGGATCCTGGAACCAATCTCCCACAAATACCTAAGGACAACTCTAATTCATTTGCTAGAAGTGGATGTTTGACTCTTCATTTCTGGTCTGAAATACTGTACCATTCATTTCGACAGAGAATAGAGCAGGTGGATGAAGAAGGGAAGGGGTTTTAGAGAAAAGTAACCGGCTCTAGCTCCTCTGAGTTTCACAGGCAAGTGGGATACCAAGCAGCATAGAATACGGTAGGGATTGCTTGATATATAAAATCTATAGCTGAAAAGTAAAGGTTTGAGCTGCAAATTGAAGCAAAGGTGATTGAAACTGAAGCATACTGAAGCATGACCATGCAGCTGGAAGCCAAAGCCTTTCCAAGCATGTAAGAGTGCTGGGGAGAAACTGGGGAATAAAAGAGCCAAGGGAAGAGCCCAGTTCAAAGCCGAAGAACAAAGTTAAACAAGCCACCAACATTATAATCTATAGTCAAGGACCCCTACTATAATTGCCAATATAAGTTTTAAGTGTCAAATACAGATTTTAGAGCACATACATATACAAAAGTAAGCCTACCTTTTACATTAGGATAAGATATACATATAAGAAGAACAAGCAAACTAAAGACCCATACGCTCTTCTATCTAAAAGCTATGTTTGTAGACAATCTGAAGCCAGCTAGGTGCAGAGTGAATAAAATGTCACAAAAAAGGAACTGTTTACTAAGACTTATATTGGTGAAAGTTGCTATAACAACTAACGATTGCCTCATGCTATTCAGGAAATAATGTAAGATGTACCACTTTACACAAGCCTTCTGCAAACTTCCACAAGCTTTAGATCTAAAGGCATACACAACTACTAATATATAATGGATCAACAAAATTCAAATGCAGTCAACTTTCTACCTTCTAAAGTAATTTAGAACACAGGAAATAAGGGAAATCCTAAACCTGTGTTACACAATATGGTAGCAACAAGACAAATTAATTAAAATGGAATAAAATTAAAAATTCAGTCATCCTCCTTCAAGCACTCAGTAGTCACATATGGCTGGTGGCTATGGCACAGTATGGGCAGTGCAGATATAGAACATTTCTATCACCACAGAAAGTTATATTGGACAGTAATGCTGCAGGCTCTAGATGCTGTAGCACTGCTCTAGGCATTTTTTTAAGGAGCATGAGCCTCTTCCAGCATATCACTATTTTTAATAAGTAGTAAGGTTAGCTGAAAAAGAGTTTAGAACATTTTTTATACAGCTTATTTTAAATACCTTACTGTAAGTTTTAAAATAAGCAGTAAAATGATAAACAGTCAGTATATAGCCATTTTAAATTTCACAGATGATTCCAATATCTGATACCCTGCAGCTCAGTAGTTCTCTTTAGTAGAATTCACCTTAGTGATACACACACTCTGTGGCAATGTCTGCAAACAGCAATATATTGGGATCTAAATGTCTATCAATAGGAAACTTGTTAATAACATTATGATAAAATTATGGCACAACCATACAAAACTCTCAAAAAGGATGAGGCAGAAGAAACAATTCTAGTCACAATAATAAAGTACATAGAAATAAATTAAACAAAAGAAGTTTAAAACGTACTATGAAAACTGCAATATCTTGTTGAAATTAAAGACCTAAATAAACAGAAGACATCCCATATTCATGGATTGGAGACTTAATACTGTTTGCCAATATGGGAAAATGCCCCCTACAGATTCAACAAAATCCCTATCAAAATCCCAGCCAGCTTCTTTGCTGAATTTGACAAGCCATTCCTAAAACTCATATGGAAATGCAAGGTCCCAGAATAGTCAAACAATCATGAAAAAGAAAAACACAAAACTGGGGGATTCGCACTTTCCAATTTCAAAACTTACTACAAAGCTATAGTAATCAAGACAATGTCGTACTGGCATAAGGATGAAGACCAATGGAACAGAATTGAGGGTCCAGAGATAAAGCCTTGCATTTATAGTCAACTGATTTCCAACTGATTGCCAAGACAATTCAATTGGGAAAGAATAGTCTGTTCAACAAATGGGGACGGAACAACCGAATATTCACATGTGAAAGAATAAAGCTAAATTCTTACCTCCCACCATACACAGAAACTAACTCATAATGGATCAAAGTCCTAAATATAAGAGCTAAAATTATAAAACTCCTAGGAAAGAGACACAACAATACTAGCCATCAGAAACATGAAAAAATCAAAACCACAATGAGATACCACTTCACACCTACTAGGATGGCAATAATCAAAAAGACAGATAACGAGACGTCAGTGACGTACAAAACAAGAGAACCCACAAGTATTGATGATGAAAATGGAAAATGGTGCAGCCAGTTTGGACAACAGTCTAGCAGTATCTCAGAAAGTAAAAAAGAGTTATGATGCAGCAATTCCACTCCTGGCATATACTCTGCAGAAATGAAAACATGTCCACACAAAAACGTGTACATGAACACTCACAGCCACACTTTCTTATAGCCTAAAGTAGAAACCACCCAAACATCCACTAACTGATGAATGGATAAATTAAAATGTGGTATATCCAATACAACAGACTATTACTCAACAATAAAAAGAAATGAAGTACTCATAGATGCTACCACATGGATGACCCCTGACAGCATTAAAGTATTATAAATCAAAGCCAGCCACCAAAGACCACATGTATGATTCAATTTGTATAAAATGATTACAATAGACAAATCTATAGAAACAGAAGGTAGATCAGTAACAGCGTAAGGCTGGAGGGGTACAGAAAATAGGGGTGACTACTCAAGTGTATGAAGTTTTTTGGGGGGGTGATAAAATAGTTATAAAATTAAGAGGGCTGGGTGCAGCTGCACAAGCTGATTGTCCCAGCTACTGTGCAGGCTGAGATGGGATAATCACTTGAGCTCAGGAGTTCAAGGCTATAATATGCCACGATCACACCTGTAAATAGCCACTGCACTCCAGCCTGGGCAATAGAGCATGACCCCATCTCTACAAAAAAAAAAAAAAAAAGTTAAATTATGTGGTTGATGGTTGCACAACTCTGAGTATACTGAAAAACCACTGAATGGTATACTTTAAATGGGTAATTACATGGTGTGCAATTAATCTTTTAATAAAGTTGTTATGCAAAAATAATGAAACACTTCTACATGTATTAATATGAAAGATATACACACTGATGAATAAAAAGATGCAGAGCACTGTGTATGCTATGTATCATTTGTTTTACACAGACATCCTAAGCACTGGATGGAGCAACAAGCCAATAATGGTTGTCTCCAGGAAAAGGAACTCAGTGACTGGTGAGATGAAGGAAAGGAGGTAATTTTTTCAAGATTCTTATCACCCCCCAAAAACTCCTTTCAGGAGTTCAAGACCAGTCTGGCCAATATGGTGAAAACTCATCTCTATCAAAAAAATACAAGTATTAGCAGGGCATGGTGGCACGCGCCTGTGGTCCCAACTACTCAGGAGGCTGAAGCAGGAGAATCACTTTAACTCGGGAGGCAGAGGTTGGCAGTGAGCCGAGATCGCACCACTGTACTCCAGCCTGGGCAACAGAATGAGACCCTGTCTCCAAAAAAAAAAAAAAAGAGAGAGAGAGAGAGACACCACCACAACAACAAAATAACTGTTACAGTCATGGTAAAGTTGCAACTAATTATCCTAGGGCTGGAGAGTCAAGATACAAGCCACAGTCCAAATGTACAGCTTTCTGGTAACAAGGCTCTAGGTTAGGCTGAATACCTGTTCCATCACTTACCAATCCATGAGAACTCAAGCCAGTGACCATTTCTCTAGGCTTCTGATGCACATTAGAGTGTTGTAAATATTAAAAGAGATGACACATAAATCCCCTGCCATGGTAACTGTGTACATGGTAGGCATTCAATAAAGGTTAATCCTCACCTCCCCACTCTTCTGGTATGTGGTGACAATAAAACTGTTTATTCAGGGTTCCAGCTGTGACCAATAAATACACCTTGATACATTACGCACGATACTGCTACAGGCCTTTTGGCATATCTGGAGTTCCTCCCATTCCTCTCTGTTCATCTCTGACTATCCTAACTGCAAAGGTCAACATCGATCCCACCACCTAACAACCCTCTGCTTCTAAATCTATGTATTTTATAATCATGATTAGTTAAGAGATTTCTTGAGAAGGTTACAAACAGTTAATTATCACATACTTCTACAAGGCAATATGACAAAGGCAGTATTTGGTGAGAAAAAAAAAGATTTAAAGTTGAACATAAAAAGTGACTTACCTAATTAAGCGGAATAGAAATTCAAAACATACAGTGGTGCTGAGACTAGCACCCATGAAACCAAATACTATAAATTATTCTCTCTTGCATTCACAGAAGACACAGAAGACACTGTGCCATACAGCACAACTGTATCTGACAAATGAAGACTGTCCTGAAATGTATCAAATCCATATACCTGACAGAGCAGGACTAAAGCCCCACCAGTGGAAGCATCCCACCAATGCAGACTGATACTCTCAGAACTGATTTTCTCCTTCCCTTGTGTCATGAATCTTGTGATTCTAACCCACAGTTCCAAATTCTGCAGGATTATCCCAAGTATAGAGAATATTCCTTATTTACTTGTTCAAGAAATACTTACAAAGCTCAAACTATTTTACTGCTAAAATGAGAAAAAAATGAGTCTTTTCTCATGGTACCAGGAATCTAACAGATAGATCAGATAGAAATAAAAATTAGAGCATAAAACAAGGCAGAACGTAGCTTGATAACATTACTTCTTTAATTAACTCAAGGCATATTCAATGTATCCAATTTCCAGTCTCCTGTATAATTCCCAGGGGATACAATAGCAAAAACAAAACATGTGGAAAGGTATACATGTTCTCTCCAGCTGGCTGAGTGCCTAAAAATTCTCAAAGAAAGGAGAGAAAATTGAAGAGGCCTATGACGAAGAAAAAGGTGTCAATAGATCTAGCTAGGAAAGGGCGTTCTAGGCAGGAGGACATGATGGCCTGAGCAGGAGAAGGTATGGCAGCAAGAAAGGGCTCATCCACTTCTGCCGGCACACAAGGTACCCAAAGGAGAATATTGGCAGAAGTGCTAGAGAAAGGTTGAGACCAGATTTTGACACCCTGGGGTGAAGAATTTGAAGTTAATTTGCTAGGAAATAAAATGCTACACAAAGTTAAATCTATTTCTTTCGGAAGCTATAACACAATAGTTCTCAAATAGAACTATACAGCACAAACAAGTGGAAGTTTTTCAAAATGCAAAAGTGAGAATCAAGAGATTCTTCTGACTCAGTAGGTCAGGAATGTAGCCTGGGAGCATGTCACCAGGTGACTGATACACACCCATGGTTAAGAATCAATGCTCCAAGGAATCATTACCATCTCTAACGGGTGTCAACTGGCAATGCACTAACGTGAGTTTATGGTCCAAACACAAGTAAGGAAAGTAGATACAAATAGACGTAGGTAAAGAAAGGCAGATAGAAATAAGAATTTGTAATGGTCCAAAAGGTTTAATGAAAAGGACCTCCACTTATAATAAATGATGTTTCCTAAGAAGTTACTGCATGAATCAGTTTTCAATCACCTACTACAAGTGAAGTAAAACTAATTTTTAGTGAATTCTATTAAAATATAAATAATCATACCACAATGTATTTAGAGTTCCAACTCAGAAAAGCATGCCTAAGGGAGTTATAATTTAAGCATGACTGGGGACTGAGTGACACCTTAAATATGACTGATAAATCCTATTCATTTTTCTTTTCTCCTTCGTAGTTGAAAAGAAAAAGAAGAAAACCCCAAAGAACAAATAAAAGAAAAAAAATCAAGGAACAAGAAATTCAACAATTTTTTTTAAAAAAATAATGAGAATAGAGAAGAGATGACAACTAGAAAGAACATAAGCAGCTATAAGCAAAAGTGGCCGCAGAAATAGATACTGACCAGAAAACAGTCCACCCTGGGACCACAAGAGCTTCAGCACTACAACCAGGGGCGGGGGAGACATTCTGGGGGATGATGCTGGAGACACATAGCTTCGTTGGATGGAGTGGTCGGCGCATACTTCCCACACTCCCACACCTCCAGTGTAACCAGATCACAATCTTTTCCAAGGCAGAAGACGGAACATTTTGGAGACACTAGGCACAAGGATATATAGTACTGGGCTAAGAAACAGTCTTTATGATGAACAGTTAGAATCAGACCAGGATCTTAGTCTCCTTACTCCACTCTGCTCCCAGAACATATCCCCGGCTCATGTCTACGCCCTGGACAGGAATACGGAGACTTCTTCACTGGAGAAACTAAATAGCCCCACTCAGGCCAGGCCTATGTATCATTATAACAGAATTACTTTTTTCACCCTTCCCTTTAAAACTAATGATCTTCAAGAAGACTTATGTTTTACTCACTAGGTTCTGCTCCTATATGCAAGATCCTTTCAGGCTTTTAAGTGCTAGAAGCCACTCCCTGTTTACTAAGTATGACGTTAGCTATGTGCCTAAGAACAGACTGAGCCTTAGTCCCTACGTACTTAGTAGAGCTCCTTACTTAGACATTAAATAACAGATGTTGAATGAAAAATCACAAGTGAAAAAGTATATGCCTAATGCTTGGTAAACTATTTAAGCCTACAATCTAATACTCTGATTTCATAATCTGACAGTGATCATAAACTTTTAAAATGTTACTCAAATTTGCAGTATTTAAGAGTAATATTTCCTACTCATTTATTTTCCCAAAATATGTAGGTACCGTGTGAAAGCACACAAAATTCTGTTTATTTAGTGGAGATAATGTTTCTATGTATTAGGAGTTCATGAGTAAAGAATCTTGCTAATGACTCAGCCACAAACTGGTGGCAAGAACAGGCAAAAATTCCTAACCAGTGTACACCTGACTTAGAGCCATGTAAGCCAAATAGCCTATTCATCACTACTTAGTAGGGAGAAGTTTAAGAACTCAAATAGTATCTGACTTAATCATAAAAAATGAAATACGGTTTAATCAAGTGATTAATGTTTTTAAAATAAGCAGGCAAAAAACTAAACATAGGGAAAAATAATGCAGTTTAAATGTGGCTATAAAATAAATACTTTATATACAGAATAAGTAGTTTTGTTTTTCCTAATTCTTAGATCCACTTACGATTTTAACAGTCTAGCTTGTGCCGGGTGTGGTGGCTCACACCTGTAACCGGGAGGCGGAGGCGGGCAGATCACAGGGTCAAGAGATCGATACCAGCCTGGCCAACATGGTAAAATCCCATCTCTACTAAAAATACAAAAATTAGCTGGGCGTGGTGGCGCACACCTGTATCCCAGTTACTCAGGAAGCTGAGGCAGGAGAATCGCTTGAACCTGGGAGGCAGAGGTTGCAGTGAGCTGAGATCGCACCACTGCACTCCAGCCTGGCGACAGAGCGAGACTCCATCTCAAAAAAGAAAAAAAGAGTTAATACAAGTGTTCAAAAACTCAAATTTAAATTGTAAAAGAACTAACATTAAGAAAAAAAGTCTAGCTTGTCATACTTAGCTAAAACAAAGTCTTTCAATCATTTATTAGTATATGAAACAAACCACCAAAAGAATCTAAAACTAGCATACCATTTACCACTCCAGTTGAATGTCACTATATTGTTTTCACTAAGACTCACTTTAACCATTTTTTTTTTCCATCAAGACATCCAGACCCCCAGCCCTGATTTGATGTCATCCCAGGATGTGTCTCATTTGTTTCAGAAGCCATCTTGAATTGTTTAAAATGTTTTAAAGGTTTCCCTTTACAATAGTCTAATCCTTTCAAAAAGTGGGGTCAGGGGCAGGAAGAGCTATACAATAATTTTTTGGTACTGGAGGTAAATAAGAGTAGAAAATGAAAAAATAAATTATAAATCATTACTTCAAAAAATATTAGCAGTATTTATTTGGCAGAATCAGAAAATAAAGTTCATGTGAGCTAACTGGTCTAATAAAAAGGTTTACTAAACCCACACACCAGTTTTCGACAAAAATCTCTAAAACATATTACGGATATTCCTCAACTCACGATGAGGAATATCCAAAACACCCTTCATAAAGTTGAAAAATCCTAAGTCAAGTCATTATGAGGGACTTGTATCTGCTGTTGCCATTATACGCTTGTCTTTACTAACTAAATAATATTTCACTCCTGTCACTAGAATTTGAAAAGTACAGAGTAGTAGTTAAAGGCATAGTCTTAAAAGTTGAGAGCTTGGTTTAAGTTCCAGCTCCATCAGTTATAAACCCTGTGGCTTTGAGCGAGTGATACCCACTTTTCTCACCAATCTTATTCTTTCTCCAGCTACAACAGTCCTCATGCCCTTCTTGAATCCAGACAAGAATCTACACTGCCTGATGATCTGGTTTACGAAAGCCTGTACATTTTTTCTGGGATTTCAAACCAATATCACACCAACGCCAAATGCTACTTTGGCCCCAACCATACCTATTTGCCAAGGTCAGCATCACGGAGCATTCTGTCACTACTGCCTCAATTTCCATCCCTGAAACAAGATGCTGCTTTTTTCTGTGGTGTCTCCCTTATATAACCCCCTGTCCACAACAGTCCTAACCATATCCTTTGCCATCTATCTGTGGCGCCACATCCCTCTCCCCACTCAACCCATCTTCCTTTTTAACAGAGCCAACTTTCCAAAATTAACATACAACTGGTGATTTTTCTGCTTGAAAAGTAGTATTTATTTTTCTTCGGATTACCAAAATAATATTTGTTCATTATCTGTAAATCACAGGGCTATAAACAAACTAATTCTTTACAGCCCTAGTATCCACAGATAAACCAAAATAACTCCATTTATTTCCTCTCAATTTTTACCCAGATATAATTTGAGATCCCTCTTTTCATAAACATCTTCTCCTATCATTAAAAACACTGTAAAATATCACTTTAGCAGGCACTTCATCATACACGTCTACCAAAACTACTGAACCATTCCTTTGTTTCCAGTCTTGGGAAGATTGTATATACTGTGAAAAACATCTTTAATCATGCATCTTTGTCTATACCTTACCAATTAAATTGTTAGGGCACAGTACCAGAAGTAAAACTGCCAGATCAAAGATTATACACATTTTAAAACCAAACATAATGCCAAACTGCTTTGCAAAATTCTGTGTAGCACTCTAAACACCAGGAAGAATCTTTATTGGCAGTTAAACTGCTTCTGATGCCCTTGCACAGACTTTAATAGAGAGACATCGTACCAACAAAAGAATTGTTCCTCACAATAACTTGTAACTTAATATTAACAAGTAACATTCCTTTTTAGGAAAATATTAAAAGCACTAAAATCAAAGGCTTAAAACTTAAAATCTGAAGTAAAATTTAACCAAACAATAACTGAAGACAATAGTCTAACAATTTAAGCATTTTAAGCAGAAAATAGTTTTTTAACCATAAAATCATTAGTAAGTTTGAAACTTCTATTTTTGCCTACTTTAGTATCTACTCTGAGCAGTGCTAACTCTTTAAATACTATAATGCCAAAGCATTCCTTAAAAGTTTTCCATCATTAGTTACATTTTTGAGAAAGATCAATCTGGTATAAATATAGAAATTCAATCCATAATAACATTAGTTTTAAAACATAATTCAGAAAGATTTACACTTATGGCAAATATAACCACACCAGCCATTTACTATAAAGTTCTGTGTTTGTTTCATCATGAAGAAGAATGATATGGCCTCTGACCTCATGGAGTCGTCTGTGGAACGACAGTGGAATTAGCAGAGAAATTTATAATTTTACTGATGAAAAAAAAACAGCTAAACTCTAGTATGTGGTAAGAATCAGGCATTATCTATTTGCTTTCACATTTATTCAAATACATTCTTTTAAGTTTTAATTTTCTTAAAGGCACAAATGACACAGAAAAAACTTTCCTACTGAGACAATTACTCTTTGTGAAAAATAAGAGGTAGGCTGAAGTGGCCCAGCTGACCACTGAGCGCATACAGTCCAGGGCCTCAGCCCAGGGCCCCAGTCGAGGAACGGCATGTTGGGACCACAAGATCTCACAACCTCCATTTGTCCAGACCGGGCTCAAGCGCAATAAATCCAAAAAACATCTGTCATCTCTTCAGCTGAAAAAAGCTCAACTGCAACTATTCTTTGTCACTGCCTTCCAGATCCTTTTCCTAATGTGAGCAAACCTGAAAAGGCCTCCAAAGAGGCTCCTAATAGGCTGACCAGAAAGTCACAGAATCTGTTTCCACATTTTAATAACCCAGACAGAACACGGAGTTGAAGGCTGTTTCTTTGCACTTTGTCCCTGACATACATACCTCCCTGCCCAAGTGTCAAAAAATTAAATGTCTCCCATCTCAGCTCAACCTTGTGTCTTCTACCCTATAAAAAGCCATTCTTCCTTATTTTAGCCAGATTCTACTTTTCTTTCAACAATCATCTCAAACCTTATTGACTCCCTGTGAATTGTCTATGTCCCCCACAGATCTCAACTATAGCACCTCCCGGGGTTCCTCTTGTATTTTAATTAACCACATACATGTTTTCCTCTGCCACTAGAGATGAAGCACTTGCAGGGTTTAGCTAAAATTTCCACATACATCTCTCTCCTTGCACACACATACAAGAGTTTCTTGAAGCTAATTTTTGTCAAGCTATACTCAGAAAGCAATGAAATCAATACACAGCTTTTTTAAAAAATGAAATAAAAGTATAAAATACCTAAGTGTGCTTCATGCGGTAAAAGTATTGTTTCTTGAGACATATTTCAGTTGTGTGTGAACAGATCTGTATATGCCTCGAGTTACACAAAATAACATATAAAAAATATTGCTCAAGGGTCTTAAGGAGCAGGCTATGCATATCTTCAAATATGCAAATTTAGATATATATTCCCCACCTGGAATTTTTGATTAAATTCTGAAACAGAGCTCTAGTTTTAGTTTATTTCATATGGATAACCAATTGTTCCAGCAATTATTTATTTTAGATTGAGTTACACACATATGCTGAATTTACAGATTTTTAAACGACATCTGTACCATATTAAGCAGCCCCATTCTATATTTTTAAATATTTATATTTTATGAGTCTATATATTCATTCAAAAGTGATTTTATGCCCTTTAATAATATTTTGTAATTTTTTTCATAAAGGTCATACAATAAGACTTTTGTTAGAGTTACTGTTAGGAATTCAGAATCTGTAACCTTTACTCAAAAATAATTTTAAGGTGGGTGCAGTGGCTCACACCTGTCATCCTAGGACTTTGGGACTCTGAGGCGGGCAGATCACCTGAGGTCAGGAGTTCAAGACTAGCCTGGCTAACATGGTGAAACTCCGTCTCTACTAAAAATACAAAATTATCCAGGAATGGTGGTGCACGCCAGTAATCCCAGCTACTTGGGAGGCTGAGGCAGGAGAATCACTTGAACTCAGGAGGTGGAGGTGGCAATGAGCTGAGATCCCACGACTGCACTCCAGCCTGGGCAACAAGAGCAAAACTCTGTCTAAAAATAATAATAATAATAACTTTAAGATATTTTAATTATCCAGTAAATACATCTCTTATTTATCATTTGGTTAATGTTGGCTCAAGTTTCAGTTTCCCCTCATCTTCCATTTTAAAACACTTAGAATTCTAAATTAAACTCCAAACTGTCAGTTAAAATACATCATGAAATTCATTCCTATTTTCTTTCATGAATTTAGTACATTCAGTTAGTATTCAAAGTGAACAAAACATTCCCCTTGACCCCAAAATGAATTTGTTTGCTGAAGTTAAACTTCTCATGATAAAAAGCCCCAATCTTAAAACACACGAGCTAAAACATAAAAAAGACGTTAAAATATTAAATCGAAAACTTCCCTTTCCTTACTGAGCTTTCATTAATCAGGTTAATAATAGTTAAATTTACCTAGAAGACTGCCACCATCAAAAAACTGTAAGCCAGGCGCAGTGGCACATGACTGCAGTCACAGCTACTTGGAAGGCTGAGGTGGGAGGATCACTTGAGCCCAGGAGGTTTAGATCACTTGAGTCTAGCCTAGGCTTTTTTTAGAGACCCCCATCTCTCTCTTTAAAACAAACAAACAAACAAACAAACAAAAACAAAAAACAAAACACCACTGTCAATAAAATCTGACTTGCTTTTCTGCCTATAAAGGCTGTAGCTTCTTAAGATCTATTTTATTTAAGGCTAGCAACTATCCTCTTTCAATATGTATTGGGAGAATCATTATGGTTCTTAACGCTAGAGCAAGCTGCAGTGAGCTGCCAACCAGCAGATCGTCTGCCTTAGTAACTTCCTATTTATGACTCATACATGAAACCAGTAGTTTCTCCCTCCATGTCCTGAATGAAGTATGGCAGAGCTCCCAAATCATTAGCCAGCCTCTCCAACAGAGGATGGCCACCATACTCCCAACAAAACCACTTTTAAGTATGACACATATCCTATATTTTTAGTCAGATCATCCAAAACCTTCTAAATTTGGTGAAAATCTACCTAGTCATTTTTCACATTGCAATTACAGACACAGAGATACAATTTTAATTGTATTTATAAAGTTTAATAGGCTGTTTCTAAAAAACAAGCATTCTTAAGACTGTAGAGAAAATAGTAAATAAATTCAGTAATTTTTTTCCCAAAATATCTTGTGCTTTTCCTTATAAATGTCTTACAACTAAACTTACACTTAAAAAAAAAAGTAAAAGTGGGTTATTGGGGTTCTAGACTTCTGCTGTCCTATAAGGTAGCCAGACACATGTGGCTATTTAAAGTAAAAATAAGCAAACAAAGATTCAGCACATCAGTCTTACTAGCCACATTTCAACTGCTCAACAGCCACATGCGGGGGTTAGCAGACTGGACAGAAAAATCACAGAAAGTTCTACTGAACAATGCTGCTTAGAGTTTAAAAGCTGTAAACTGTGCTAATAAAATTATCTTTAAAATGTAGCTTGTTACTACCAAGTAAGAAGTTCTGTTAAGTCTAGGAACCTAAAGACTTCCAAAATATATTAATAATCATGTCAAAATATTAGATCTATTTTTTCAATAAAAGAAACATAAAATAATATTTGTCTATGAAACATTTAGTGATCATATTCTTCCCAATAAACAAAATGGAAGATATATTTTGCTTGATTTTTTTTTTTAAAAAACGCACTATATATGTGCTCAAGAAAGAAATAATTTTTTTTTTAACAGAGTCTCACTCACTCTATCACCTAGGTTGGAGTGCAGTGGCACAAATTCAGCTCACCAAAACCTCCACCTCCAGGGTTCAAGTGAATTCTCCTGCCTCAGCCTCTCGAGTAGCTGGGATTACAGGTGCGCGCCACCATACCTGGCTAACTTTAGTATTTTTAGTAGAGTTGGGGTTTCACCACGTTGGCCAGGCTGGTCTTAGAACTCCTGACCTCAGGTGATCTGCCCACCTCAGCTTCCCAAAGTGCTGGAAAGGTATGAGCCACCATGCCGGGCCAAAATTCATGTTTTAAGAAGATATCCAAGCCACGCATACCAAAGACCTCCCCTTTAAAAGAAGGCCTTTTTTCAAGTGCAGGATTAAAACAAAAGAATATACTTTCAGACTTAAGGATAAGACAGTGTAGATCTCTGGCCAGGCACGATGGCTCATACCTGTAATCCTGGGAGGCCAAGGTGGGTGGATCACTTGAGGCCAGGGTTAAAGACCAGCCATGGCCAATATGGAGAAACCCCATCTCTACTAAAAATAGAAAAATTAGCCAGGCTTGAACCTCGGAGGCAGAGGTTGCTGTAAGCCGAGATCACACAACTGCACTCCAGCCTGGGTGACAGAGCAAGACTCTGTCTCCAAAAATTCCAAATAAAGAGAGAGCGAGCAGTGATTTCTGTCATCTGCTCAGCAGCAAATCGTTTCTCATTGCTGGCACCCTCTAGCGCTTGTGTGTCACCAGATTACTGGAAACATTTTAGCAGAGAGAATGGGGACCATAAAACACTGCTTGGTCCTTCTCTCCCTAAAAGTTAATTCTCAAACCAAGTAACAAAGCAAAGAACTCTTAACTCAGTAATAAAAAAAGACAAAAGACACAATTTTTAAAAAACTTTTTCCATAAGTTATTGGGGTACAGGTAGTATATGGTTACATGAGTAAGTTCGTTAGTGGTGATCTGTGAGATCCTAATGCATCCATCACCCAAGCAGTATATGTTGCACCATATATGTTATCTTTTATCCCTTGCCCCCTTTCCACTCTTCCCCTAAGTCCCCAAAGTCCGTTGCATCATTCTTATGTCTTTGTGAAAAGACACAATTTAAAAAAGCAAAGGATCTGAATAGATGTTCCTCCAAAAAAGACATACAAGTAGCCAAAAAGCACATGACAAGATGGCTCAACATCATTAGCCATCAGAGAAATGCAAATCCAAACTACAATGAAATACCACTTCATGTCCAGTAGGATAACTACAAGTAAAAGGATGCTAACAAGTGTTGGTGAGGATCCTGGGAAATTAAAAATCTCTTACACTGCAGGTAGGAATGTAAAACGACTCTGCTGTTTTGTAAAACATTCTGGCAGTTCTACAAAATTTCAAACATATAAGTTATCATACGACCCAGCAATCTCACTTCTAGGTATTTATCCAGTAGATATAAAAACATATATTCACTCAAAAACATGTACATGAATGTTCAGTCACAATATTCAGAACATCCAAAAAGTAAAAACAATCCAAATGTTTATCAACTGATGAACAGATAAACCAAATGTAGTGTATCCACAAAACAGAGTATCATTCAGCAAAAAAAAAAAAAAAAAAAAAAGTAACTAACAACGATAAGACTCCAAATAATGGATCAGTAATCCAATTTTTATTACTTTACTATTTCTAGCCTACTATTTAGAAAAGGAAGATTTTAATAACAAATATAAATGGTGAAAACCAATATCCTAATTTCTTTTTTTCTGAGACGAGGTCTCACTCTGTTGCCCAGACTGGATTGCAGTGATGCAATCTTGGCTCACTGCAACCTCCATCTCTTGGGCTCAGCCTCCCAAAGTGCTGGGATTAGAGATGTGGGCCATGGCACCCAGCCCAATCTCCTAATTTCATATGAAAAAAAGTTATACAAAGACTGGAAAAATCTCAGTATACCTGGGAAATTAATGGGCTGTCACTAGAATAGTACAGTGGCTGAATTTAGATCCTTCAAATACTGTTTAGAAAATTTCCATTGGAAGCTTTATAAAGAAAGCACATCAACTCAACTTTCTGAAATTACATTTCATAAAAGATGTTGTTTTAAAGAGAAATTGCTGAAATTCCAATTTCTGGATACTAACACAAACTTGAAAGATGAAATAAAAAGTTCTTTAGATGTATCCTAATGGGCCTAATGTAAGAATGTAGAAAGATTATGTCAACACCTTTAAAAAAAGTTTTTGGAGACGGGCGCAGTGGCTCACGCCTGCAAGGGGCCATCTGAGCTGCTAACACACCACCGTCCGCAGACAGCGGAACTAAGAGAGCAGTGTAACACCCTCTCTCAGGCCTCGGGGTCACGGGCACCCTCACCTAGGCAGCGCCACAAGCGGCAAGATGAGCTGCTAACACACTGCTGTCTGCAGACAGCAGAACTAAGAGAATACCGTAACACTCACTCTGGGGCTTCAGAGTCCCAGGCACCCTCACCTGGGCGCTGCGAGAGCTTGTTCCCGTGTTGGCGCCTGGAGCAGCCAGCCGGATCCCGCACTCGCTCGCTCACATGCTCCCTCCTGCAAGCGCTGGAGAATGGCAGGCTGAGTAAACAGGGCGCCCCTGTTACAAGTCCAGTGAAGAGGCCGAGAAAAGCCCTGCATCATAACTACTGCTCACAATAGTAGTGGTCTCTCTGCTACTTTTTCACTGTGAAATTGAAGCTGGAATGAAAATGGTACAAACACCAACAGCTAGCTGTTTTAAAAAGGCTGGCCCAAGAGAGCCAGCACCGAGTTCAGGGAACTGCAGTGAGTTCAACTCAACAGACAAAGCACATAAAACCACCCAAAATTTTGAAGGTACACTTGTTGCTTTAAAACGACCATCCTTTGGCCGAGCAAGGTGGCTCACGCCCGTAATACCAGCACTTTGGGAGGCCGTCGCGGGCAGATCACGAGGTCAGGAGATCGAGACCATCCTTGCTAACACGGTGAAACCCCATCTCTAATAAAAATACAAAAAAATTAGCCGGGCATAGCGGCGGGCGCCTGTAGTCCCAGCTACTCAGGAGGCTGAGGCAGAAGAATGGCGTGAACCCGGGAGGCGGAGCTTGCAGTGAGCCGAGATTGCGCCACTGCACTCCAGCCTGGGCGACAGAGCAAGACTCCGTCTCAAAAAAAAAAAGGCCATCCTTTTTGTGCTAACATAAAAAATCCAGACATCTAAATATGTCATTTTTATTATATCAAATACGTAGCTTTGATCTTAGCTATGGAGGAGGTATCTCTCCCTCTCCTTCCGCAGTGCCCACAACAGATGAAGGGGGAGCGCAGGAATAAAATTCTAGAGTCAGGTTACAGGACTATCATAGAGTAGGAATAAGTCTTGGTTAGACTATTCCTCAGAGAACTGAGGTTAAGAGCTGAGAAATATCAAACAATCATATACAGAGCAAAAAGATCTCAATATTCTTTCAAGTAAGAACTTGCACTGCTGTGTTCAGCCAGAGGCAGTGGGTGGGGGGGAATGGGGGTGGGATAAAATCAACAGCGAAGCTGAGTCGCTGTCCCAGGGATCTAGTCCAGGAATCAAGGCAAAAACTGCACGACAGTTTTTATTTTAAGTACTAAGTGGTTTTGATGGAAATGAGGAGGACTTAATCACACCGGAAGGTTTCAAGAAGACGTGGGACTGAACTGGATCTGACATATAGGTAGATTTTAGCCAGCAGTGGGGAAGACATTTTGTAAAAGGAGAATCAGTGCCTCTTCTATCCTTAAAATGCTAAGGCAGGAATTACCAAGGTCTGTCAGCTGAACACTGTAATGCTCATCCTGAGCAAAGCAAGAATGCCTGAGGATAAGAGGGCCCAAAACCACAGAGTCCTTTAATAAAACAGAAAGGTACAAATGAGAATGATACCTAAGATGGATATGGAAGGTGTGGAAGACTTTGACAGAGATGGAGGCTGGAACATTTCAGGTAGAGGGAGCAGTAACAAGAACAAAGGGCGGACAAACAGCTGCATTCCACCAGCTGGGCAGCAGCAGGGCATACGTCCAATATAATGAATGTAGCTGCAAAGGTGGTGGACACCGACACTGGAGACCATAACCACCAGGCTCTCACACTGGCAAAAAAGCAAGTAAGCAGTAGATAGAGAATAGGGAGATGGCAAAACCATCCATGTGCTTTAGAAAGATTACTCCAGCACACTTAAGCATGATGAAGAAAGAAAGACAGGAAGGTAAAAAGATTTACCCAGAGACCAGATTTCTTTTCCTATAAAGGACATGTATACCAACGAGGTGCCCTTGCTTCACCACTCACATTTGTCCCGGTTTTTAAAGACAATCATATACACAGATAAAGGAATGCTGAAATGGACACTCACATGTTGACAAACGTCAACTGTTAAAATAGCTGGGCAATATGCATGAAAAATCTTGTTGATTCTTGTCTTAGGAATGAATATGATCTCTGTCATATGTTGTGATTCTATCTTAGGAATTTATTTCTGGAAAATAAACCAACCATTTTTCAGTTAAAAAAAAGTATACAACTATTATCAAAAATCATTGTTTATGACAGCCAACATATTGTTAATACTATAAATGCAATATTCTTGAATTTATTACAAGCAAAATGTGTTTTTTATTTTAACTTTTAGGTTCAGGGGTACATGTGCATGTTTGTCATATAGGTAAGCTTGTGTCACTAAGGTTTGTTGTACAGATTATTGTAGTAAGCCTAGTACCAATAGTTAATTCGTCTGCCCCTCTCCCTATTTTCACCCTCCCTCGCCAAGTAGACCCCAGTGTCTGTTTCCTTCTTTGTGCTGATTTGATGAGTTCTTATCACTCAGCGCCCCCTTATAAATAAGAACATGTGGTATTTGGTTTTCTGCTCCTGCATTCTTTTCCTAAGGGTAATAGCCTCCAGGTCTATCCATGTTCCCACAAAATACATTATCTCTTCTTTTTTATGGCTGCATAGTGTTACATTTTCTTTATCCAGTCGGTCACTGATCGGCATTTACATTGATTCCATGTCTTTGCTATTGTGAACAGTGCTGCACTGAACATCCACATGAATGCGTCTTCATGGTAGAATGACTTATATTCCTCTAGGTACACACCCAGTAATAAGATTGCGGAGTCGAATGGTAGTTCTGTTTTTAGCTCTTTGAGGGATCACCATACTGCTTTCCACAGTGGTTGAACAAATTTATGCTCCCACCAACAGTGTATAAATGTTCCCTTTTCTCCGCAATCTCGCCAGCATCTGTTATTTTTTGGCTTTTTAACCATAGTCATTATAATTGATGTGAGATAATACTTCACTGTGGTTTTGATTTACATTTCTCTAATGATCTGAGATACTGAACTTTTTTTCATATGCTTATTGGCCCCATGTATGTCTTCTTTTGAAAAGTGTCTATGTCCTTTGCCCACTTTTTAATGGTATTGTTTTTCTCTTACAAATTTGTTTAAGTTCTTTATAGATGCTGGATACTAAACTTTGGTCAGATACATCATTTGCAAATATTTTCTCCCATTCTGTAGATTGTCCATTTACTCTTTTGGTAACAGGGTCTCACTCTGTCACCTAGTCTGGAGTCTAGTGGTGTGATCATAACTCACTGTAACCTTGAACTCCTGGGCTCTAGCAATCCTCCCACCTCAGCCTCTTGAGTAGCTGGAACCATAGGCACTTGCCAACACACCCAGGAAATTTTACCTTTTGTAGAGATGGGTCTTGCTATGTTGCCTAGACTGGTCTCGAACTCCTGGGCTTAAGCAATCCTCTTGCCTATATAATCTGCCTGCTTTAAGAATTCAAGGCATGAGCCACCACACCCAGACTAAAATTTATTTTTAAGATCAAGTTTGCAGGCCGGGCGCGGTGGCTCACGTCTGTAAGCCCGGCACTTTGGGAGGCGGACAGATCACCTGAAGTCAGGAGTTCGAGACCAGCCTCACCAACATGGAGAAATCCGTCTCTACTAAAAATACAAAATTAGCCAGGCATGGTGGCACATGCCTGTAATCTCAGCTACTCGGGAGGCTGAGACAGGAGAATCGCTTGAACACGGGAGGCAAAGGTTGCGGTGAGCCGAGATCGCGCCATTGCACTCCAGCCTGGGCAACAAGAGCGAAACCTTATCTAAAAAAAAAAAAAAAAAAAAAAAAGATCAAGTTTGCAAAGAGTTTTTAAGTACAAAAGTAAAACAAAAACGGCAATAAAAATTTGTACTTAGGATATTATCATTATTCAAACACTTGTAATCTAAGTCTCTAAAGTGAAAAGGCTGCAAAACAAAACAAAAAAAAACAGTAACAGAAATATTCACATGTGAAATAACCATTAATAAAATCAGACCCTTTTCAAATATCTCTCCCCATTAAAAAAAACAACAATAATAATAAAAAAAAAAAAGATAACCAGGCTCAGCGGCTCACGCCTGTAATCCCAGCACTTTGGGAGGCTGAGGCAGGTGGATTACGAGGTCAAGAGATCGAGACCATCCTGGCCAACATGGTGAAACCTCGTCTCTACTAAAAATACAAAAATTAGGTGGGTGTGGTGGCGGGTGCCTGTAATCCCAGCTATTCAGGAGCCTGAGGCAGGAGAATCACTTGATCACTGAACTTGGGAGGCGGAGGTTGTGGTGAGCTGAGATAACGCCACTGCACTCCAGCCTAGGCAAAGGAAAGGAGGGAGGGAAAGAAAGGAAAAGAGAAGAGAGAAGAGAGGGAGAGAGGGAGGGAGCAAGGAAGGAAGGAAGGAAAGGAAGGAAAGAAGGAAGGAAGGAAGGAAGGAAGGAAGGAAGGAAGGAAGGAAGGAAGGAAGGAAGGAAGGGGAAAGGGAAGGAAGGAGTTTAATGAAGGCACAGGTCAATTAATAGTCTTTGATAGAAACTGAGTGGCTGTCTATAGTCACGCCACCCTGAAAACACCTAATCGCATCTGAAACTAAGCAGTTGACAAGAGAATGCAGATACAATTCAATAAACCTGAAAACCTTACAAAATATGCAAGACTTCATGGTAGCAATAAAAGCCTTGTTGACCTTAGTAACAGCCAAGGGTACTGGCAAACAAGAACCCAGCAGACCAACTAACAACTGTAGAAGACAATATCAACAAAGATAATGGACTGACAGGCTCTTTAATGGAGAACTTGCATATGAGAGAATTAGAGATCAGTGGAAAAGAGGTGAAGCTCTCAACTACTTTTACAAAATAGTTCCTTTATAATTCCTGTAAAAATAAAATACGGGCTGGGCGCAGTGGCTCACACCTGTTATCCCCAGCACTTTGGTAGGCCAAAGCCGGTGGATCACTTAAGGTCAGGAGTTCAAAACCAGCCTGGCCAAATGATGAAATCCCGTCTCTACTAAAAATGCAAAGAAAAAAAATTAGCCAGGCATGGTGGTGTGCACCTGTAATCCTAGCTACTCAGGAGACTGAAGCAGGAGAATCGCTTGAACCTGGGACTCAGAGATTGCAGTGAGCCAATGCACTCCAGCAGCCTCGGCGACACAGCAAGACTCCGTCTCAAAAAAAATGAAAAATGAAAATAAAAATAAAATAAGTAAAAAATCATATTTTTTTGGAAACTATTACAAGAGAAACAATATTTGGGTCAATTCTTTGTTCATTCTATAAACTAACAGATCCAAGAGTGATAAATTTTGTTAAATATTAAAATAAAACTAATTTCATTTTAATAATTAGTATCTATTATTATTAAAATAAGGCCCAATTAAATTTTTTTATGACTTACATAAAATTTAGATCCCTGTTTTAAACAGATTCACATTAAGAACACCTTTGCTGCACCAGTTATAATAAGGTAAATGAGACTGATTATTTTAGTAATTTCAGTTATGTAAAAAGAAAAAGACTACAAAGATTTATACTAGTAGTTGCCACTGGAAAATGCGGTTGTGGGTGTTTTTTGTTTGTTTTAAACAAAGGGACAGAATTAAATACTGTTTAAAACAATGCAAATATATTAACCAGTAAATAAGATTTTTGAAATGTAAACTAATATTTCATCAATGGATTGCTATTGCTTTTCAATCTACCAAAAGATCATTAGAGAAACTTCTACTATCTCATTTAAGAAATATTTCCTGGATCTCTACGATGTGCTAAATACCATGAAGACAAAATTTAATAATAGGCTATACTGATGCTTACTATGTGCCACTTCAACCCGTAAAATAATGCAGCCAACAAACTAATTATTATCAACGTCCAGAGACTGAGAAACATTAAGTAACTTACCCAATGGTATATAACTAAATAGTAACTAAACCATCCTTCAAAACAAAGACTGTCTACAAAGCCCAGGATCTTAAGCACTTAGCTATGTATTGCGTTGGAGAGGCAGCCTTAAAATAACTTACACATTAGAAGAAGAAAAGCAGCAAGCAGAAAAGCACCAAAGCAATGAAGATAGGTGTGCTGATATAAGATTCACCACATGCTATATGAAGCAGGAAAAAAAAAGGTTCAGTGTGGGTAAGAAAAGAGGGCATCACAGACATGGAGAAGATGGTAACAGAATTTCAAAGAACACATGAATTCCACAAGAAGAAAGAGGTGTTAGACCAAGCCTGTCCAATAGGCCACATGCAGCCCAGGACGGCTTTGAATGAGGCCCAACACAAATTCACAAACTTTCCTAAAACATGAGTTATTTCTGCAATTTTTTAAGCTCATCAGCTATCGTTAGTGTTAGCGTATCTTATGTGTGGCCCAAGCCAATTCTTCTTCTTCCAATGTGGCCCAGAGAAGCCAAAAGATTAGATACCTCTGTGGGAGACCATCTGAGGCAGACAGGGTAATGTAATTTTTTGGAAACTACAAGTATTATTTGGCAACGGCTCCCACCAAAATTTTGTAAACTTGTAGGAATAGAGATAAAATAGTCAAATGTTTGCTTATAATATTTAATGTTTAATTCAAGTACATATGTATTTAAATTCATGTTATAGATTATTTGGAAAGACTGTATTTCCCATTGTCACAAAGCAAGTTTATTTCAAATGCTTTATCACATGCACCTTTACCATCATTGTACTCATCAGTAAAGCCATCTCTTTAGTCTAAAGTCAGTTTTCTGAAATGCAGCATTTTCACTTCTACGTTGTCTGGGATTGTGTGTGTGTGTGTGTGTGTGCATGTGCATGCATTTTAAATATGTAT
Organism: Homo sapiens; assembly: GCF_000001405.40. Classification (NCBI taxonomy): domain Eukaryota; kingdom Metazoa; phylum Chordata; class Mammalia; order Primates; family Hominidae; genus Homo; species Homo sapiens. The sequence continues at coordinate 105,235,509 of NC_000007.14, forward strand.
GGTATTGCCAAAGGAAGTGTTCCCCAAGTCAAAAATAACTACTCATTCTCGTTCATGTCAGTTAGCTTTTCCATTTGGTTTTATACACAAACAAATATATCCTCTCTATATCACAATCACTTATTGTTTTGCTTTTTCATATGATCTATAAAAGGCATGAGAAACATTCAACATTTGAAACTATGAGAAATAATTAACAAAACAGGTGTTAAAATATCTTTAAAAAAAAAACTATTTCTACTAGTGAACTCTAAATTACCTAAAACTAACAAAAGATTGAAACCATTTCCATTTATGTCATCACAAAGAATTATTAGCTATTCAAAATAAAGTCATTGAGATAGTTCCCTCTAATATGAGAGATGTTGCACAGCACTATTCTCCGGGGGATAATTTCTTGGGGAAAGGGGAATTCATTTATATTCTAGCAGTACTTCTATACTAACATCTATAGGTACATTAGAGGAAAAGCAAAAGGAAAGAAACTTGAAATAGGCCTGAATAAGATCTGTGGTTCTCAAACTTAGGTATATGTCAGAGTCTCCTCAAGACCTTGTTACAGTACAGTTGCTGGGTTCCATCCCTGTGTTTCTGATTCCATAGGAATGGGGTAGGGTCTGAGAAGGTGCCTTCCTAACAAGTACTCAGGTGCTGCAGATGCCACACTCTGATCTAGATTATGCTAGACGCTGTTCATCATACGAAGGTTGATTTTATCTTTCAGGAGTTTAGGACAGGGAAATGACATTATAGGATTTGTGGTTTTTAAAATATCACTGACAGCATTATGGACAGTAGTGTTTTCACATAACATATTTCATTTATTCTAATATGTATTTTTTCACAATTTCTGATAACAGAGTGCATCTTCCCATCAACAGTATATCATAGTTTAATTAGCAGTGATTTTTCTTTCTTGGTGGTGCATAAAATAATGGTGTAAATTATCACTTACAGGCAGCAGATTCACTAACATACAGTATTATCACCTCTGATATAATGGCACTGTGAAGGGGGAAAATAGGTTTTATTCCCGTTTTACAGATGAGGAAATAGGTTTCAGGACAATACAGGAAATAACATGCCTAGTAAATGACAGGTCCAAGATGAGAAATTCAGAAATTTTTGACACACAAAACAAACACCATTCCCCTCAATGATACCACTTATAACAACCTGTAGTTCACTTGCCAGAGAGAAGACAAGACAAGAGCATACCAGTGTACCCTAACCAACAACAGGAGCAAAGAGAAGAGTCCATGGGTACCAGGTGTGAAATGCCAAATTTAAGTAATCAAGAAAAAGTGTCTCAAGATTTTCATTAAAAAACTAAATAAATGAAAAGACACAATGAACCACCTCCACAAATATAGAGATAGAATCAAAAGACTAGTTTGGGAACACTGTTTCATGCAGTGCTGAGAGATGCAGAATGTGACATAACATCTCCAAAGCAACAGACATCAGCTTAAGGATTTAAATTATAGTTGGTGATACTAGGAAGTCAAGTTTGTGTAAAGACAGGCACTGGGCCTGGAGAGTGGCCAGAGGCCAGAATGCCATACATGACCAGCTTTCTGAAAGATGACTAGAAACCCAAGATACTGCAGCAGCATCAAATGCAACACCTCTCAAAAGCCCACAAACTTAGCTTCTGACCAAACCCTGTCTGGAAAGGTGTGATGTTCTAAATACCATTCTGTAGGCTGCCAGATGATTTTTTATTTTGAAAAATTAAAGGAAAAATCAGAATAGAAAATCTAACCATTATTATTTGTCATAACATCCTGCATATTCCTACTCCCCACTGCAAGTCTACTAATAAAAGATACACTAAATTATGCAATCTTCTCAGTACATTCTGAAAAGCACATTACACCTTTACTTGGCTCAATGACATGTTCTAATTCCTAGGAGAAGAATGTGCAGATATTCTAGTTCATCAAACAAATTTTCCTCATTAAAACAACTCAAAGCTCAGAGGAGCGAACAGTCTAAACTGATCATTATTCTGGAGCCCAGATAGTTTTCATCTCTAAAAGGAACTCTAAATACTACTTAAATCTCAAATTCAACTTCTAACTAGAAAAATGAAAAAACAAACTTAGAAGAGGGCACAAAGCTTTTGCTGTGACCATGATACATACTTTAAAACTTGAATACCTTGACAGATAAGCAGAGTTATCACAAAGACCGAATGGGGATAGGGTCTACAACCAGACATGAGACATCTGAGTGCTGTGGTAAAGCTACAAGCCAAACATGAAGAACGTAAGGAAGCACCATCCAGGGCAATTAACTCAAGATATTTCTATTTTTCCTGCTTGGTTATAGGTGCATTATAAACATTTAAGTCTTAAGACTGATTTAGGGGAAAACATTTAAATGTTTATAAACAGGCAATAAAAGCAGCAGTAGAGTCTGACAGAGCACTAAAAAAGCCACATTATTATTAAGTTTGACACAACTCATGAGCAAAATAACCTAGAGTTAAAGGCAAGGCATATATCTAAATCAGCTCCTCTGTCAAAATAACTATTCCATACTCCCCCAACCAGACAAATGACAAAAGCTTCTAAGTAAAGGCTGAATCGTGCAGGGTAAACAACAGCAAAGCAGCATCACTTGAATAAACAACTAGCAACAAAATTAACAATCATTTTCACTTCAAGGCAGATGGCCCCTGAAAGGTGATACTTGCCTCAAAGTCCTAACTGATCAATAGTCAAGGTAACAAAATCATCATCGTCGTCATCATCCTCATCATCATCATCCCTTGGGTGAGAAAAGATGCTGAGAAAAGTCTGGACAGGAGTCAGCATAAAGCACTGCTTCCCACTCCAGGAGCCTCAGGAGGTACAGTCTGTCCTTACTCCCAGGCAGCCAAGGCAGAGGCCCACGGCCTAGGCTCAGTTTGTAACATGCCCACTGGTGGTGACTCTCCAAAGAAGTCTCGAGGTCACAAGCGGCAAAACTACAGGGGAAAATCACTGGAAGGACTCAGCTTCAGTGGCAAGACACATCTAGCACCATGGCCTCAAGGCTGATCCAGTGGTTTGCCCACAGCTGCTGCCTCTCCCATTGCCCACTCTTTTATTACACAACCTACTTCAATCACTGTAACTAGAAATAAAATAGCCAGTCAGTTTGTATTATTTGGAACCCAGAAGCCTGAATGACAAGCTTCACCATTACACAGTCATTATTTCATTTTTATTAAAATTAAATAATTTCTGAAAATTTGTTCTGTGTTTTGATTTTAATAAGAAAATCATTTTCAGTAGGAAATTAGAAATGAACACAATGAAGAAAGTAACATCATTTATAACCCCACCACCTAGACCGAAATACCCACGACCACTTTGGAGCACACTCTTCTAAGCTTTCTTCCAAAATGGACAACTTGACAAGAGAACAAAGCACGAAGGCAGTAAGCAAACTTGTGGTCTACGGAGTCATTAGGCCGGGGCAGCCAGGTAAAGTTATCATCCAATACACTTCTAAGAACGAAGGGGCTTCATTCCACTTCTCCTAATAAGCAAGCCAAAAAACATATAAATCACAGCCATCCCTGGCAAACCAGAGTGTACAATTGCACTACATATCTGAATAGTCCAGCCTCCTGATTAGGAAACCCTACTCTAGAAATAGTCCCATTCATCAGAAGAGGCAATGAATTATAAATTCTTCCTATATAGCACAATTTAATCAGTTGTTAAAAAGGGCAACAATAAAATAAACCTTCCTATGTTATAAGCGACCTAAAATTTTTATGAAAAACTTCTCAAACAAAAGCTACAATTTAACATCAGAAAGCACAAAGTATAGATAGCATTCCTTCCTTCCTATTAAGTCAGAAAAAAATGTCATTACAATTTATCTTTGCATAGGTCACTCAAATAAAAATATAGAGAGAACAAAGGACATTTTTCCTAAATTATCAAGGTATCACTGAGGCAGTTACATCTAGTCCTTCTCAACCAAAATAATACATCTTTGTTTTCTCCTCCTGTAAGTGGGTCAGAGCCCTTACAAATGCTGGAAGCAGGGAAACAGCCTGAACATCAAAATATATTGTTTCAAACATACTCCTAGGAGCTGACAAGATGTTCTGGGATGAGAGCAAAAAAATGGAGCCATAATTAACAAAATCTGGTTAGACGGAGTCTGACTTAAAAATAATACTCCACAATATAAAGCAACAACAGAAACCCCACTAAAGTATGGAAAATCCAAGTCTAGATTCAAATACAGTGATACATGGTTGATAAGAATAAGAAAGCCAATTCTCTGAGCTTAACATTGATCCTGTTAAACTAGGATCTTCGCAGCAGTGTCAGATTTGGCTTCCTGCCTTTCTCAGAAACTACTTACCTACAGGCTATTTTCTTACCTCTTTTCTCAAAATACTCTATTTTAAAGATGAATCCTGATGAAATTCCCTATCTCCACTGATCAAATTCTACTTACAGAAGAATAACCTCTGGATCAAATACACTGGGCACAACATAAAAGGTCTTACTCTGTTTAGGTTGCTATAACAAAATACCACCGAGTGACTTATAAAAAAGAGAAATTTATTTCTCACAGTTCTGGTGGCTGGAAGTCCAAGATCAATGTGCCGACAGACTGATTCTGGTGAGGGCTGGTTTCCTAGCTCACAGGTGGGGCCTTCCAGCTGTGTCCTCATGGTGGAAGATGCAAGGGGCCTTTCTCAGTCCTCTTTATAAGGATACTCATCCCACTCATGAGAGCTATGTGTTGGTGATCTAATTGTCTCTCCCAAAAGCCTCACCTCCTAATACCATCACATTGGGGGTTAGGAATTCAATATATGAATTTTAGGGGAACATATTCAGACCATAGCATGGTCAAAAGTAAAACTTATTTTTATCCTTTCATGGAGCAATGGTGAAATAATCATTCTATCTGGAGGAAGTATGGAATGAACATACATTAAAACAATTCTTTAAACTGAGTCCTAAGAATATAGAAGAGGTATAGAAATCATGTGATTTATTATGTTTTCTACATATAAACCCTTCCTGGACAGAAATTAGGGGGCAGTGGAGGAGGAGAAGAAAAGGAAAAAAAAAATGTTTTTTTAATTTTAAAGCCTAACCATAGATTGTAGTTTCAGAAAGTACAAGGAGAAGTGACACCAAACTTTGAACCTCACTTGACTCTAAAAATGGGAAGATCTACAGGTGATGAGAAAGAATTGCACTTTGAAATGGCAACTTTTACCATCAATTTTTTTCTGTTATGTTGCATATTAAATATGCTCAATTTATTATGGGCCTTCAATTTCCACAAATAAAATACTCGTCCAGTATGTACTGAAATACCTATCTGCTAAATATTTATAAAGTAACCTTTGTCAGTACTATGCCAGTTCACAGCCTGCAATGTTTTATTGTTATTATTCTGACTTCATTTGCCTGTTTTTTAAAGAATGTTCCAGTATCATTTTTACAAAATTGGAGGGAAGGGATTGAAAGCAAAAAGATGTAAGAACTCTTAAGTGAAAGCACAGAAATGGTGTCAGAAAATAAAATAAATTAGCTTTAAAAGAGGCTGCATGGTAAGAAAAGGATGTAAACTTTTTAAATGTTGTTTCTAAGGAACTCTAATTTTGATGCCAAAATTAGATGGTGACATATTGAGGTATATAACAGGACTGTAAAGCTAAATTTAGATGTTCCTTCTTTAAAGCATCCGCCAGCTCCTAGACCACTTATTGAATAGGTAACTTGTGCTAAACAGTTATGTACATTATTTCAGTTAAAGCTCAAAATGTGTATGCATTATAGAGAAACTGGACTCCGGAGAAGGACTCCGGAGAAGGTTACCTATTTGCCCTAGGTAAACATCAGTGACCAAGTTCATATGAAAATCCTGCCTGACTCCAAAGCATGTGATCATTCCTCTAAATCAAGTTGTCCCTCATACCATCCACCCCTCTTCAGCATCTACTTTATATTGACTGTCCCCTTAAATCCTCACAACCCTATGTGAGGTGAGCATTATCATCTTTATTATAAGGATAAGGAAAACTAGCACAATGAGGTTAGGCAACTTTCCAGAATTTAGCTTCTGGTCCCTGGCTCCAAAGCCCATATATTCTATCCAATATATTTTGCTGCTTTCAGCTCTAACAATCTACAAATCTATCATCACGCAACAATCTATTCCTTTACAGGAAACCATGATTCTGTGCAGGAAGATCGAGTCAGACGTGATATTTCATTACCAGCCCAACTCTCATCTTTCTCCCTTCACACGTTCCATATCACCTCTCCTCCCAGCAAAATGACCAGACATCTTCTCATAGATTGGCATTACTATCAGCTACTCCCCCTACCACACCTATAGATGACCATAAACGATGAAGAAAAGTAGGAGGAAATGTTCCCACCAAGAAAAGGTCATTGGGGCCACTTTTACAGTCTGCCATATTCTACCTGATAATCTTACTCCAACAAGCCCAAGGATCAGGTCAAATTCAATACATATTTAAAATAAAAATTTAAATATTCCCATTGTCATTTTGATCTTATGTCATTATCAGCTGGTTGACGGCAGGCAACATTTCTAAGTCTGTGACTTCATCTATAAAATGAATATGATATCAAATGACCCTTCAACCTTAGAGCTCTAAGTTAATCTAACATACATCCCCTCTTCCTTTGCCTGCTTGTGAGAAAGCAGCTGAAAATTTGGCAGGGTGCAGTGGCTCATGCCAGTAATCCCAGAACTTTGGGAGGCTGAGGCGGCTGGAATGCTTGAGGTCAAGAGCTCAAGGCCAGCCTCGCCAACATGGTGAAACCCCATCTCTACTAAAAATTCAAAAGTTATCCGGGGGTGGTGGTGCACACCTGTATTCCCAGCTACTCGGGAGGCTGAGGCAGGAGAATTGCTTGAACCTGGGAGGCAGAGGTTGCAGTGAGCCAAGATCACCCCACTGCACTCCAGTCTGGCAAAAGGGCGAGGTTCCATCTCAATAAATAAATAAATAAATAAAAAGCAGCTGGAAATGTATAAGCAAAGGCAGATAAAACTCGACAGTAAGTAAAGCAAGTGATCATTATTAGGTTCTGCAATATACACAAGGACCTACTCAGAGGCAGGTGTGCATGCACACATGTCTAATCTGAAACAAGTGACAAAAACAATCTAGAGTTTATTCTTGCCAACCTGAAATGAATCACCTATTTTTACCTCATCTGCATTCAAGAGGGGGCCCAGACTGATCCAAAAGAGCCAATGAACCATGTTCACCATTGAGTCTCGAGGCAAGCCGGATCTCCAATCCTTAAAGTGACCTCTGGCTTGACTGCAGCTATCAACTGAACATGAGGAATGGAAAGCTACAAAAGCCTAAAGCTTACCACAGAAGTAGCATTTCAAATATAAATCTACTTCTGTATTTTATTAATTCTGGTAGAAGGTGAGGCCAGGGCTCAAAAAGCCTGGATATCTTAACATTCTAATCGTTTTTTATTCTTCTTCTTCCTTTTTAGAGACACGGTCTCACTCTGTCACTCAGGCTGGGGTACACTAACTCACCGTAGACTCCAACTCCTGGCCTCAAGTGATCCTCTCACCTCAGCCTCCAGAGTAGCTGGGACTCCAGGCCCGCTACCATCCCAGCTCCTTTTTCTTTTATTATCTGGGTAGATAAGGGGAATCCCTATGTTCCCCAGGCTTGTCTTAAACTCCTGGCTTCAAGCAATCCTTCCCCATCAGCCTCCCAAAGTGCAGGGATTACTTCCATGTGAGCCAATGCACCCCGCCTACATTCTAATCTTAATTCTCTAAATCTAGATGATGACACTTCACAGTTGAGGAGCCTGAGATAGGATCAAAGGTGGCAAGATTACAATTAAAATCCTAAAGTCATTTGTAATCCCAACACTTTGGGAGGACAATGCAGACAGATCACCTGAGGTCAGGAGTTCAAGACTAGTCTGGCCGACATGGTGAAACCCTCTCTCTACTAAAAATACACAAATTAGCCGGGCGTGGTAGTGCATGCCTTGAACCCAGGAGGTGGAGGCTGCAGTGAGCCAAGACCGCACCATTGCACTCCAGTCTGGGTAACAGAGAGAGACTCCATCTCAAAAAAAAAAAAAAAAAAAACCACATGCCAAGCAATCTCAAATAACGAACGGTAAATTTAGGGCTGTGAAGAAACTTGAGAATTACAATAGACTGAATTTGCAGCAAGACAAAAAAAAATTTTAATTTCAGTTACAAAGATGTTATTATCTCTAAACCATAACACAATAAGAATCTGCAGCTCAGCAGATTACCTAAATTCACACGTGAGAAGTGGAATGAACAAAATTTACCAGTCCAATCCAGAGACCTTTGTCGGGAATTCTGGCTGCTGCCATCAATAAAATGGAAGAGAAACAGCCAAGGTAACTGAGTTGGAGTCCCAACTCTGCCATTAATAAGATGAGTGTGCCTCCAAGGTTCAGAACTTGTGGGTATTTCAAACATTGAGTGGGAACTTCTAGAAGGAAAGAGCTGCCATAAAGAAGCCCCACGAGGGCTGAAGAGCTGGCAGGGGTAGAGGGCCCAAGTCCCGTCCGCTGGTCAGGAGGCTTTTCCAGGCCAACCAAAACCACTGTAGTAGGTGGAGACCCCACTGAGTCCATGAGAACACAGAGAAGTTGGGGTAAAACCGCTATAAAAAGAAACATTTGCAAGGCTGTTCAGAAGGCAGTAAAACAAAAAGATACTGTCCAATATTTCCTATTAAAAAATACAGGGCCGGGCGCGGTGGCTCACGCCTGTAATCCCAGCACTTTGGGAGGCCGAGGCTGGTGGATCATCTGAGGTCAGGAATTCAATACCAGCCTGGCCAACATGGTGAAACCCTGTGTCTACTAAAAATACAAAAATTAGCTGCACATGGTACCAGGCGCGCGCCTGTAATCCCAGCTACTCGGGAAGCTGAGGCGGGAGAATCGCTTGAACCCGGGAGGCGGAGCTTGCAGTGAGCTAAGATCGTGCCACTGCACTCCCGCCTGGGCGACAGAACGAGACTCCGTCTCAACAACAATAAAAAAATCCCAGAGTTCCACGCGGCGCCAGCCCCAGCGCGCCAGGGCCGCCTTTGGAGAGCAGCAGCCCTGGCTCTGCGCTACCCTATGGCCGTGGGCCTCAACAAGGGCCAAAAGGTGACCAAGAACGTGAGCGAGCCCAGGCACAGCCGCCGCCGCGGGCGTCTGACCAAACACACCAAGTTTGTGCGGGACATGATCCCGGAGGCATGTGGCTTCGCCCCGTACAAGCAGCACGCCAAGGAGTTACTGAAAGGTCTCCAAAGACAAACGGGTCCTCAAGTTCATCAAGAAAAGGGTGTGGGCGCACATCCGCGCCAAGAGGAAGCGGGAGGAGCAAAGCAACGTCCTGGCCGCCATGAGGAAAGCCGCTGCCAAGAAAGACTGAGCCCCCTTCCCTGCCCTCTCCCTGAAATAAAGAACAGCTTGAGAGGAAAAACAAAACAAAACAAACACACACACACACACACACACACACACACACACACACACCTCTTTTTCTTAGTATTTCCTAACCAAGTGGGAAAGAAATAAAAATCTTTATTCAAATAAAATTTGTGTCTATAGGCCAAAGAACGTGCTAGGCACCAGAAACGTGAACATGAGACAGTTAAAGCTCCTTGCGTCTCGAGCTAGTGGAGTGAGAAGCACTGAGTCTCAGTACAAAGGTCTAGATGGTGCTCTAGGAGGCAGCAGGACCCTCTGCAGTGGGATGGTAAGGGCAGCGTGCAGGGGACATGGCATCTTCTCAGTGAGGTCCAGGCAGAGGGAAGTACACATTATGAAGATAAGAAGGGTAAAAGAGCCAGAAATGGCAGGATCAGTGAGGACTTTAGATAAAGAGGACCACCAGACTGTGAACGACCTGTTTTAAGCTATATTAATGAGTCTCTTTTAGGAATATAATTCTGGGGATGATGCAAAGGGCGGAGGAACAGGAAGAGAGGCTAGTGAACAATATTTGAGGGCAAATGAGGAATGACAGATGAAAGCAGTACAGCGAGTTTTGACGGAAGCATTTGGAGAGGACTCCTGCAAAGAAACCGGTAGGATCTAGTGACCAACTAGATACAGACTACGGGGGAAAATGAGGAGATAAAGTAACTCGGGCTTCTGCATTTAGAAAACACTTTTTTTCCCCTCAAGAGACAAGTTCTCTCTGTTGCCCAGGCTAGAGTGCGGTGGTTATTCACAGGCACAATCTTCATGCACTATGGCCTTGAACTCCTGGGCTCAAGTGATCCTCCCACCTCAGCTGCCAGAGTAGCCACAACTACAGGCACACATCATCGCACCCAGCTGGAGACACTTTTAAAAATTAAATAGCAGAGTGACAAAATGTTAGGTCACCGCGAGGCAGGATAAAGCCTGTGGGCCCCACTGTTGTAGACCCTGGCAATTAACAACTAGCATGAGTAGGAAGCCTGGCAGAGAGAGGATAATGGCTCTAGCAGCTGCTGCAAAAAGAAAAGCTGGAAGGTTACATCGGCAAAAATCCTTACTATTTGCTAGAGTAAGATTAGGGAACTTAATTCTATTCTTACATAGACCTTACAAAATTTCTTGTTGCCTTCTACTTTCTTTCAAAGATATTTATGATGTTCATTTAAACACAGACAGAAAGTTACACACAGAGTAATTTCTGTCACCGACCCCAGAGCCCCTAAGGACAGCCATAAACCAAAAGGAATATTTATTCCCTCCCCCTCACCCTGCAACATTTTACAAGAAAGAAAACTGAATGAAGCACAGGCCATATGATCTATCTTTCATTACGGTCAGGAAAGATTAGACAAGATAATGAGTTTGGTTTAGGGCCAGTTATATTTGAGATGTCGACAGACATTTAGGTAGTGATGTAAAGTAGACAGCTGGACATATAGATCTGTGGCTCAGAATACAGAGCTACAGATATAAATGTGGTAGTCACCAGCCCACAAATGGTATTAACACCATGGAAACAGATGCGATCATTTTCAAAGAGAATGCAGATGAGAAGAGCAACAGACCTACGACAGTGACACTGAGGAAGGGCCAACATTTAGATAAAACCAACAAAGAAACTGAGAGGTACTGCTTTGGGTTCAACTTCTATCTACTTCTTCACTAATCAAAGACAGAAACCTTTTCTATTAAAGCATATATATTTTTTTTCAGTGCCAAATACTGAAGTATTGGAGTACTGAAGACAATCAACTATAAATTTTAACAATTTCAGTAAGTTGCCAGCAGTTAGTGACAGCAATCTTTCACTTTCCCTGAACTGTCAGAGAGAAATGGATTCCACTTAAGTGACATTTCCCAATAAAGGAAGCTTTTCCCTTTTTGTGAACAGCTCATAGCTCAAATTCTTCCAAGAGCCAGGCAGGTGAGTGAGAAGCACTAAGATTCAGACAGTAAATGCTGGGTCCTAGTTCTACTGGAGTGGGCCTGTGCCTCCTAAGGGCATTCACATTCAGTCTTCTGTAGAGAAAACTTGAGGGCCCTGGTACTTGCGGTACCATGTGACCTAGAAATCCAAACCATGCTTCCATGGGCTTTTTAACGACTGCACAAGGCCACATAGTAACAAACTTTCTTACATTTATCATCTCCAAGGTCTTTTCTCCAGCTATTAACCATTTTTCTCTATATACTAACTAAGTCCTCATAAACTCTGTGTTGTAAAAGAGACAATTCAAAAAATGATCGGTTCTGTGGCTTGGGTAAGTTATCTCACAGCCTCACTTTTTCGTCTGTAAAATACAGATGATTAATAATATTGTTATGAGGACTAACTGAAAGCGTGCTTGAAGTGAGGTCGTTAATGGTGAGGAAGAGGGGAAGAGAAGGTGAGTAAATGACGATGTCCTTTAAGTACATCACTGATGATCAAAGTGCCAATAATGCCTACACAACTACAAATAACACCGGAGTGCCATACATACCAAAAAACACACACACACATAAACACACACACACACACACACACACACACACAGAAGTTATACCTTTTCTTGGTTTTTAATTGTTCAAAGTTTTTAACTATTAACTGAACAAAATATGACAATTAAATGGTACCTAACAAAATGCATCACTAAAAAGAAGAAGTTTAATTCTTGGTATTTTAATTGACTGTATTAACCACCTATTTTTTTTAAAAAAAAGTTTTTTATTTTTATAGAGATGGTACCTCACTATGTTGCCCAGGCTGGTTTTGAACTCCTGGGCTTAAGTGATCCTCTTGCCTTGTGACTCCCAAAGTACTGGGATTATAGGGCATGAGCTGTCATGCTTGGCCTTAACAATCTTTTTTTTTTTTTTTTGAGACAGAGTTTCACTCTTGGTGCCCAGGCTGGAGTGCAATGGTGCAACCTCCACCTCCCGGGTTCAAGCGAATCTCCTGCCTCAGCCTCTCGAGTAGCTGGGATTACAGGCATGCACCACCACACCCGATTAATTCTGTATTTTTAGTAGAGAGGGGTTTCTCCATGCTGGTCAGGCTGGTCTCGAACTACCAACCTCAGGTGATCTGCCCGCCTCGGCCTCCCAAACTGCTGGGATTACAGGCGTGAGCCACTGCGCCCAGTCGGCCTTAACAATCTTTTAAATCATCTCCGGAAAAGGTTGGTACTACTTAAAGGAAGCAAATTTTATAGTCCTAAAAAGTCAGAATCACATTTATATTTAAACACCAGTATCCTAGCCTAAGAAATCACACAGTTCTCTTCAGATAGAAAAGAACTGGATTAGGGGTGGTGGCACAAGTACTTAATTCCAATACTTTCAGAGGATGAGGAAACAAGATTGTTTAAGTCCAGGAATCTGAGAGTAGACTGAGCAACACAGCGAGATGCCATCTTTACAAAAAATTTAAAAAAAAAAAAAAAAAAAAAGTCAGGCATGGTGGTGTGCACCTATAGTCTCAGCTACTTGGGAGGCTGTTGTGGGAGAATCATTTGAGCTCCAGGGTTGAGGCTGCAGTGAGCTATGATCATACCACTACACTCCAGCCTGGTAACAGAGCAAGACCCTACCTCTTAACAAAAAACAAATAAACAAACAAAAAAGATTTGAAACTAAAAATTCAAAGGTTAGTCCGGGCGCGATGGCTCACGCCTGTAATCCCAGCACTTTAGGAGGCCCGAGGCAGGCAGATCACGAGGTCAGGAGATTGAGACCATCCTAGCTAACACGGTGAAACCCCGTCTCTACTAAAAAATACAAAAAAAAATTAGCCGGGTGTGGTGTTGGGCGCCTGGGCTGAGGCAGGAGAACGGCGTGAACCCGGGAGGCAGAGCTTGCAATGAGCCGAGATCGTGCCACTGCACTCCAGCCTGGGTGACAGACCGAAGCTCCATCTCAAAAAAAAAAAAAAAATTCAAAGGTTAAACCAGGCTGGTCTAGGAGAGGGTGGAAAATAACAAAACTGTCAATTCTGTCCACGTGTGCTAGTTGTGTCTGTTCTATTTGATGACCAAGGACATCACACCTCGTCTCTCAGCCTTCTTGAGGCATATAAATGGAAGTGACTGGAGAAAAGACATGAAGAGCACATCCTGTTTCACACATCTGCAGCCTGATGCGGGCCACCTTGTACATATAAACAATGGACATCTTTGTTGTTCAGATATTATACTCTGAGGCATAGGGGTTTGGAGCTCCAAAACATAGCTTTTAGAGCATCTCTAATATTAACTGGTATGTGACATTCTTAAGTCATACACTTACTGGTTTTTTTAATCTACAAAGTGAGAATAAAGCCATCTACATTACTTATCAACAAGGATTTTTTTAAAGAACTAAATAGTGAACAGGAAAATGCTCTGTAAAATGAAAGGCATTTAAGTTATTTCTTCCCTGGCTAGGACACAGCTAGAAGAACAGTACTAGTATAATTTAAAATAATCATTCTTGGTTTTCTTAAAGAACAGAAAAAAAAAAACTGGTCAAATTCCTTTGTACTAAGTTCCCAGACTCTAAATGCCTGAATTTCAAATACTGGAAGTTATCAGTTTATAAGAATCCCATCTAGAACCTGAGTTGTATCAATTCACCATTTTGGGCATCAGTTTTTCTATCTAATGTATAAAACAAGGGTGTAAGATGACCCAGACTTCCATGTTCTTTTCTTGCTATCATGCTTTTTCATTCCATTCATCATCCTATATATGTCTGGTCAAAATCAAGCAATAATAGTTAAATGCTTTTGAATAGCAAATAAAAAATATTAAAATGCTACATCATTCATAAATGAACTTTTAACTTCCAAAACCTCAACTATACTAAAGTTAAAAAAAATAGTAATTCTCAAATGTGGAGATTCCTCCTAATAATCTATTCTTACGCATATGACCTAGAATGAGGATGACATATGATATGTAAATATTTTTCTCATATGAGCTCTTGTTGCCCATGTGCCTCTCAAAGCATGACCATTTCACTGAGCTAAGCGTTATTCTACTGTTAAAAAGTCGTGGCTACTTTGGCCAGGCACAGTGGCTCACGCCTATAATCTCAGCCCTATGGGAGTCCGAGGGAGGTGGATCACCTAAGGTCAGGAGTCAAGACCAGCCTGGCCAACATGGTGAAACCCTGACTCTACTAAAAATACAAAAAATTAGCCAGACATGGTGGCAGGCACCTGTAATCCCTCCCAGCTACTCAGGAGGCTGAGGCAGGAGAATCACTTGAACCCAGGAGGCGGAGGGGAGGTTGCAGTGAGCCGAGATGGTGCCATTACACTCCAGCCTGGGCAACGGGAGCAAAACTCTGTCTAAACAAACAAACAAACAAACAAACAAACATACTTTGTACCACATGCCCTTACATGCAAACAATGCAAGAAAAAAAAAACAAAAACCTGATGTGTTGCATCACTGGACAAAAGTTGGCTGTGTTGGATTTACAGAAGTATGTCATCAGTCACTGTAATTTCACATTTGGAGATATACAGGTTTTCCCTTACATGCATGCAAAACACTAGGCCACTGACTCCTAATAGGGATTTTTAAGTTCGAAATTACAAAATGTACCAAATCACACCAAGGAACTAAATGGAGCCTTGTTCTTAGAAAAAGTTAACTTCAGTAGATCTACTTTAAAAACATTTAAATTGGAAGAATATTTTTTGGAAAATGCTTGACTTGTACTGATCTAAAAGCTCTTCTCCAAATTCATCATGAATATCTGGTCCAAAGAATCGGAAAACCTTTAGTGGTCCCCATAAAACCTGTAATTCCATTAAACAAGTAGATGAACCGCTTAACTACTATGATAATCAGCTCCATTTTTTTCACCAGCTGTTAAATCTTTTCTAGCAACTCTGGGGAGGCAAGGGATAATAACTTTGTTTTTCTTCAGGAGCTAGAGGTACTGCCAAGCAGAGCCTAAGCTGCCACTAGGAACATGGCTGATATTAGGGCAGCAACAGCAACAGAAGCTACTCAGGGGTACGTGGCAGTGGAGGAATGAAATGAGGATGAAATGGACACTGCACAACTCATTACACCCAAACACAATTTCTTCATTTGTGTACTTTGAAATAAATACTTACATCTATGTTGAAATGAAGTAACTATAACAGGACAACGCCATAGCAATAAATACATCAATACACCTTTTCCTTCAACAAAAGGCACCCCAAAAAACTGACAGCCCTAAACTGAGGCAAAGGTCACATGTAAAAGATCTGGTGTTTCTTATATCACAGGCACCCAAGGGTTCCTCTAGAGAAGTCTTTCATTTATTCAAACACAGACTGTCAAATTATAACTGATGAATACTCAGTAAGAAAGGAGGCAAGCTTTTTTCTTTTCTTTTTTTAGAGACAGGGTCTCACTATGTTACCCAGGCTGGTCTTGAACTCCTGGGGTCAAGCTATGCTCCTGCCTTGGCCTCCCAAAGTGCTGGGATTACTGGTGTGAGCCACTGTACCCTGCCACAAGCATTTTTTATGAAAAAGACTGGGCTGAACAGCAACAACAAAAATTCTTTCCTCTAAGCTTAATCCCACAAGGCTTCCTTTTCAATAAATGAATATAATAACACCTACCATCATTTAATTGTAAACCTTCCACAGCTCTGCATTAAACAGAGGCTTCTCCTACAGGCTAAAGATTGTGCTGGTCTCAGGAAAAAGATGTCCTTTTTGCATACTGGGCCCAAAGAGTATTTTAATAATCATTAGTAATCACCATGTGGGGGTGTGTCTGGTGATGGGTACAAGAATTGAAATTTGAATCCAAATTTGGGGGTTTTGTATTTTTTGTAAGCTCTAGCTAGACTGAATGGCAACAACAAACTGAGGCTAAATTCAGTGTCGTGGCTTGAGGGGGAAGAAGGAGCTGACTACCATCATAAACCATAATTTCTCTACTGACCTTTATCTCTTTTATCAGACAACACAGAGTTCGTCTATATTAATTTATCTTTCCCTTTAAAACTGAACATTTAAGAAACTACACTCCTTTTACTTTAAAACTGTTTTATGTTAGTAGAACATTAAAAAGAGGATATAACACCAGGCAAGTAATATGATGGCAGATAACTGAATATTTTTCTCCTTAAATGATGACAGAAAATTAAGCAGCTCCTTAAAATAAAAAATGCTCAAAATAACTTTATACAAGGACAAATAACTGAGTGCAGTTTCCTTTAAATTACTAATTTGAGTTACAATGAAGGAAATAAACTCTTGCCTGTAAAATATAATACTGTCAGGATAGAAAGGGCAAAAGAATTTTAAAAAAACAAAAACAGAGTAGGGTGGAGCTTAGGAAACAAAGGGCAAAAGGAAGCAATATTCATTTAGGAACTAAAGAACAATAAAGGAAACAATCTTCATTTCTAAATTTAAAAAGAAAGGTTAAAATAACAGTTCACTGGCGTTCTCATCTGAAAAGAAAAAGTTGAGTGGTTTTTGAATTTTAAAATTAGGTAAAATTAAAAATTTAATCCTTCAATCATATTAGCCACATTTAAAATGCTCATAGGTTTTACTGATATTATACTATCTTCCATCAGTGGAAGACAGACTGCCCAGAAATTCCACTTAGGCAGCACTGGCCTAAGTATTTTAAACAATTTATAGAAATGATACTTTATATATCCATTGAGTAAGAATTTCTGCAACAAAATGATTAGTGAAACATTCCAATTATCATCTTTCTTTTCTTTTTTTTTTCTTTTTTTTTTTTTGAGACAGAGTCTCCCTCTGTTGCCCAGGCTGGAGCCCAGTAGTGTGATCTCAGCTCACTGCAACCTCCTGTCTCCCAGGTTCAAGAAATTCTCATGCCTCAGCCTCCCGAGAAAGTGGGACTATAGGCACGCACCCCACGTCTGGCTAATTCTTGCATTTTTAGTAGAGACAAGGTTTCATCATGTTGGCCAGGCTGGTCTCAAACTCCTGACCTCAGGGGATCTGCCCGCCTCAGCCTCCCAAAGTCCTGGGATTACAGGCGTGAGCCACCGCGCCCGACCCAAGTTAGTATCTTTAAGTTAGGATTTCTTTAATCATAATTAACTGCGTAAAACCTAGGAAAAAAATACGTAAGACTTAACAGGTCAATCACCTGTCTTTAGAAAGAAGCACCTCTAACTATGGTACTCCATTTCGATGTTTAATACCCCCAGTGTCAAGGAATTCATCCACTCTCTGTCACTCATTGTAAATGCTGCCATAATATTCCCACCAATTTCCAGAACAGATGAATAATATCTTGCTGCAAAGTCTACAGCATATCTTATAGCCTTCCATGCTAGGGGGAAAAATATATTTCTTTAGACTTTCTTTAAAAGACCTTACTTCATGCCCACAGGAAAATGTGCATGTATTATCTACAAACATCCTTGCTAAAACCTTTCAATGGCTCTTGGTAAACATCAGCATAAAATTCAAAGACCTTTCTTTGCCACCTGGTCACTATATACCCCTCTCATCTATTTTCCCATCCTCTCCTCCATCTCTTTTCCCGCTTATGCAAGTATTTAGAGTTTCAAGATGGTGCCACAATGTTTCATTTCACCCTGATTTCTCAGATGCTGTTTCCTGGAATACTATTTAGACTAGATCCAAGCCGTCCTGAGACTACACAGAGAGCACGCCCCTGTCCCCCACAAAAGTAATTCAAATTCCAGAAAGAAAAATGAAAAGGTCTTGACCAAAAAGGTGATTACATTTTAGAACTGTCTTAGAAGGGGAACAAAATTAAGTAGTAATTTTATTGTAGTGCAACAAAATTAAGTCATTGAAAATATATTGAGCAACCAATCATGAGGCCATGGTTGAAAAGGTAAGGTTAGAGAATCTTAATTCCTGTACATCTTTATTTTAAAAAAAAACAAACAAACAAAAAAAAACAAGCCAGCCATCTGTGTTGAATGTTTTGTCACCTGTTTAGAGTGAGAGGCTTGAATCACATAACTTCTTGAAATCCTTACAAAATTTAGATTCATTAGCATAAATAGAATACCCAAATTTTCTCAGTGACTATGTCACTTAACTGCTAACATCAATGGCTCATTTAGCTGTTTCGTAAATGCTTGACTGAATATAAGAATCTATTGATGAATCTTTTACCTCGTTACAGCTGATTGTACTGATCTTTGACTTACCCACACCCAATTAACACAGAAAGTACCACAATAATACTTAACTTTTACTAGAGTAAAGACCTAAAGAACAGAGACTAGTAAGTCAACACTATCTGGAATATTCTTCAATGTCATCTATACGACATTCAGAAAGAGGCTGTTTTGAGAATTTCAAGTGAGGGTGTAAGTTAAAAGGTTCTCTTATACACTGCCAATGACAACGTAAAGATGTATCTTTCTGAAAAACAAACACTCCTTTATAAAGAGCCTTACAAATTGGCTTCACAAGTGATTCCATTTCTAAGACTCAATCAATAAAATTATGTACATCCATCCATATCATGAACTCAGTTCTATGCAACCTTTATAAATGATACTACAGATGATTATTTAATAACATAAGAAAATTTGCATATGTTAAGTATAAAATGCCAGTTTGAAAATCATTTCTCAGTATGATACTGGATTGTACGGTTGGTGATGATGTTATCGTTGAAGTACATCTGCTTGTTTTTTTTTTGTTGTTGTTGTTGTTATTGTTGTTGTTGTTTTGAGACAGAGTCTCGCCCCGTCACCCAGGCTGGAGTGCAGTGGTGTGGTCTTGGCTCGCTGTAGCCTTTGCCTACTGTGTTCAAACAATTCTCCTGCCTCAGCCTCCTGAGGAGCTGGGATTACAGGTGTACACCACCACACCCAGCTAATTTTTGTATTTTTAGTAGAGATGGGGTTTCACCATGTTGGCCAGGCTGGTCTTGAACTCCTGACCTCAGATGATCCACCCGCCTCGGCCTCCCAAAGTGCTGGGATTACAGGCATGAGCCACTGCATCTGGCCCATCTGCTTTTTATAGATCTTAGACTAAAACAAAAAATTGGCCAGAAAAAATTAATCATGGTGACTGAACTTTAATGATTAACAGCTCAGTGCCTTATCATCATTTTATCTGAAATTTCTAAAATAAATAAGCATTTAAGATATGTAGAAAAAAAGTTATGCTAAAATGATAATTAAGTTAGAGGAAAAGGTTTGGTTCTACCGGGGAAACTAATATTGTTTCTCCTTACAGATGAAAAGAGCAATGTTAATTATTTCCTTAGTATGGCTGTCAAGAAGCTTAAAGCCAATTTTGTTAGTCACCTTTACTAGTTGCACAGCAAATACCCGTATCTGCGTGTGCATCTGACTATCCTCCATCATAACCTTCTACTGTGATCTGCATTTTCTCTGACCCCCTTTTTTCTACTGCATTATAGGTAGTTATCAAACTAGTCTCAATATATTTCCTGGGGGGAGGGTAGGTGAAGGGAGGAAAAGACAGATGGAAAAGAAGGAAAAGGGAAAGGCGGGGAATAATGAGGTGGCAGTTTTGAAAACAGAACATTTTTCTACCTCCACCATTTTCAGATTATTTATAAAGCTTAAGTTCTACCATAGTGGGTACATAAATATTTACAGAACAAATCAATGATATCCAAGTTGAGAAACGCACATCTAGGCCAGGCACAGTGACTCTTGCCTGTAATCCCAGCACTTTGGGAGGCTGAGGCGGGCAGATCACCTGAGGTCAGGAGTTCAAGACCAGCCTGGCCAACATGGTGAAACCCTTTCTCTACTAAAAATACAAAAATTAGCTGGACGTGCTGGTGGGCACCTGTAATCCCAGCTACTCAGGAGGTTGAGGCAGGAGACTTGCTTGAACCTGGGAGGCAGAGGTTGCAATGAGTCAAGATTGCACTCCAGCCTGGGCGATAGTGTGAGTCCATCTCAAATTGAAAAAAAAAAAAAGAGAGAGAGCGAGAACAAGAAAAATGCACATCTGTCAGGGCTCTTCCTATTACATACAGTTAATACCTTATTGAATTTTGTACTGTTATTTTAGTATGGCTATTAGAGCAGTGATCTGCAGTGTTTGGCATGCCTCAAATGTCAGAAAAATCCAGAGACACACCTGTGAGCATCAAGATAATTTTACTTCCATTATTTCAATCTACAGCTAATGCTTAGTAATCACAGTATTTAAAAATCCCCTACAATAAGTCTGCACAAGTCTGTGGCTCACAAATTGAGAATCAATGTGCTATAGCACAGAAGAAAAATATTTACCATAGGCTGAATCTGAAGAGGAGATACTCTTATTGTTAAGGCTGTTTTGAGTTACTGTTTTGTTTCTAACTTGCACCATTATGTATGTATGTACGTACGTATGTATGTATTTTTAGAGACAGAGTCTCACTCTGTCACCCAGGCTGGAGTGCAATGGTGCGATCACAGCTCACTGTAACCTCAAACTCCCAGGCTCAAGAGATCCTCTCACCGCAGCCTCCTGAATTGTTGGGACTACAGGTACACATCACCATGCCCAACTTATTTTTAAATTATTTTGTAGAGACGGGGGTCTTGGTATGTTGCATGGGTTGGTTTTGAACTCCTGGCCTCAAGCAATCCTCCCACTCTGGTCTCCCAAAGCACTTGGATTACAGGAATGAGCCACTGTGCTCAGCCACACAAGCATTTAAAATGAAGAGATTTGACATAAAAATCCAAATGTTCAACTCGTAAAAAAAATCACAAGAGCAGGCAAAACTTGCCCGGTATTTCTACACGGCAGCAATCAGCAAGAGAGCCGATCAGCACCCACATCTAGATGGTGTCATCATCTCCAGTTTCTGTGCTCCCCACCTGGCTGTAGCCACTCATTGGACATACTCTTGGTAAGCAACTGTGTTTGTAACCTCTTTACCATACCACTCATCTTTTAAAGTAAGTTTCCCAGAAGTGCAATTATTAGTTATGTGCAATTCTTTCTAAGGAGTGCCAAAAGCTACTCACTGTAGTGTTGTCCATTAGAGTACTTAGCACTGCATGTCCAAGAAACAGAACAAATTATGCCAGGGGCCAGCCACCCACGAATGTGTCTTCCATGCAAGGTTTGTACACTGATATTCTGTACAAAACCTACATTTCTGTGCTGGCTTTGTGGCTCCCTGATTTCCAAATCACTAAGTGGCTAGTGCATAGCAGCTGCTGAAAAAAATGCTGGGTGGATGGATAACAAATAAAATCTACTAAAATTAGTCTTAATTTCTTCCAGCCCCAGTACATAAAAGATTGTTACAAAAGGAATCTGCACTATGACTGTTGAAAGTAGAGTTTTTATTGTTGCTATTGTTATTATAATAGCTGCTCACATTTGTTCAGAACCTCCCTGATAAATTCATCATAATCTACATTGCTGGAGCAGAAGAGGATCCCAAAGAGAAGAGGAAGTGCCACTGCTGACATGCAAAATTATCTTAGGTGATACTTGAAACCTGGTATTGAATTACACTGAATCAAATACTGAGGAAGTTATTCCTTTTCCGAGGTTCTTTCAATCTGTCTGGGTGTATGAGAACAACTCTCACTTTGGTGCTAACACATATTTATGTCCCTTTATGACACCTGCAAATTTAACTTCCCTTGTAAACACAGAGAGCATATGGCTCAGGCTTGGAGCCTTTATCAGACAACAGAATCTAGACAGGGTTTAACAGTCATTTTTTTTTTTAAGGCAAACAATACAGGTTCTCTATTGCTGGTGGAGACACAAAGATTCCTTTTTAAAGAAAATTAAGCTTTAAAAAGCATTAAAAGGTTTTACATTTATTTTAAGAAATTTAAAAATAAAAAAGAATGGCCGGGTGCAGTGGCTCACACCTGTAAACCCAGCACATTGGGAGTCCGAGGCAGGCAGAGCAAGAGGTCAGGAGACTGAGACCACCCTAACACAGTGAAACCCCGTCTCTACTAAAAATACAAAAAGTTAGCCAGGCGTGGTGGCACGCGCCTGTAGTCCCACCTACTCTGGAGGGGGAGGCAGGATAATTGCTTGAACCTAGGAGACAGTTGCAGTGAGCCGAGATCGTGCCACTGCACTCCATCCTGGGTGACAGAGCAAGACTCCATCTCCAAAAACAAAAAAAAAAGGAAAGCATGATATGAGGCCAGGTGCGGTGGATCACGCCTGTAATCCCAGCACTTCGGGAGGCCGAGGCAGGCGGATCACGAGGTCCAGAGTCCTACACCAGCCTGACCAATATGATGAAGCCCCATCTCTACTAAAAATACAAAAATCAGCCAGGCGTGGTGGCATGCACCTGTAATCTCAGCTACTCGGGAGGCTGAGACAGGAGAATTGCTTGAACCCGGGAGGCAGAGGTAATAGTGAGCCGAGATCATGCCATTGCACTCCAACCTGGGTAACAAGAGCGAAACTCGGTCTCAAAAAAAAAAAAAAAAAAGAAAGAAAAAAAGCACAGTGTGGAGTGCAAATGTGACAAAAAAACACCAAGGTGATACACAAAATACTAATATTTGGGATGTAAATGACTATGTTTTATCAGTCCAGCATCATCCTGATACCAAAGCCTCGTAGAGACACAACAAAAAAAGAGTATTTTAGGCCAATATCCACGATGAACACTGATGCGAAAATCCTCAGTAAAATACTGGCAAACTGAATCCAGCAGCACATCAAAAAGCTTATCCACCACAATCAACTTGGCTTCACCCCTGGGATGCAAGGCTGGTTCAACATACACAAATCAACAAACGTAATCCATCACATAAAAACAGAACCAACAACAAAAACCACATGATTATCTCGATAGATGCAGAAAAGGCCTTCAACAAAATTCAACAGCCCTTCATGCTAAAAACGCTCAGTAAACTAGGTATTGATGGAACCTATCTCAAAGTAATAGGAGTTATTTATGACAAACCCACAGCCAATATCATACTGAATGGACAAAAACTGGAAGCATTCCCTTTGAAAACTGGCACAAGACAGGGATGCCCTCTCTCACCACTCCTATTCAACATAGTGTTGGAAGTTCTGGCCAGGGCAGTCAGGCAGGAAAAGGAAATAAAGGGTATTCAATTAGGAAAAGAGGAAGTCAAATTGTCTCTGTTTGCAGATGACATGATTGTATATTTACAAAACCCTATCATCTCAGCCCAAAATCTCCTTAAGCTGATAAGCAACTTCAGCAAAGTCTCAGGATACAAAATCAATGTGCAAAAATCACAAGCATTCCTATACACCAATAACAAACAGAGAGCCAAATCATGAGTGAACTCCCATTCACAATTGCTTCAGAGAGAATAAAATACCTAGGAATCCAACTTACAAGGGATGTGAAGGACCTCTTCAAGGAGACTACAAATCACTGCTGAATGAAATAAAAGAGGACACCAACAAATGGAAAAAACATTCCATATTCATGGATAGGAAGAATCAATATCGTGAAAATGGCCACACGGCCTAAGGTAATTTACAGATTCAATGCCATCCCCATCAAGCTACCAATGACTTTCTTCACAGTATTGGGAAAAAAACTACTTTAAAGTTCATATGGAACCAAAAAAGAGCCTGCATTGCCAAGAAAATCCTAAGCAAAAAGAACAAAGCTGGAGGCATCACACTACCTGACTTCAAACTATACTACAAGGCTACAGTAACCAAAACAGCATGGTACTGGTACCAAAACTGAGATATAGACCAATGGAACAGAACAGAGGCCTCAGAAATACCACCACACATCTACAACCATCTAATCTTTGACAAACCTGACAAAAACAAGCAATGGGGAAAGCATTCCCTATTTAATAAATGGTGCTGGGAAAACTGGCTAGCCATATGTAGAAAGCTGAAACTGGATCCCTTCCCTACACCATATACAAAAATTAACTCAAGATGGATGAAAGACTTAAATGTAGGACCTAACACCATAAAAACCCTAGAAGAAAACCTAGGCAATACCATTCAGGACACAGGCATGGGCAAAGACTTCACGACTAAAACACCAAAAGCAATGGCAACAAAAGTCAAAATAGACAAATGGGATCTAATTAAACTAAAGAGCTTCTGCACAGCAAAAGAAACTATCATCAGAGTGAAAAGGCAACCTACAGAATGGGAGAAAATTTTTACAATCTACCCATCTGACAAAGGGCTAATATCCAGAATCTACCAAGAACTTAAACCAATTTACAAGAAAAAAACAACCCCATCAAAAAGTGGGCAAAGGATATGAACAGACACTTCTCAAAAGAAGACATTTATGCAGCCAGAAGACACATGAAAAAATGCTCATCATCACTGGTCATCAGAGAAATGCAAATCAAAACCACAATGAGATACCATCTCACACCAGTTAGAATGGTGATCATTAAAAAGTCAGGTAACAACAGGTGCTGGAGAGGATGTGGAGAAATAGGAAGGCTTTTACACTGTTAGTGGGAGTGTAAATTAGTTCAACCATTGTGGAAGACAGTGTGGCAATTCCTCAAGGATCTAGAACTAGAAATACCATTTGACCCAGCAATCCCATTACTGGGTACATACCCAAAGGACTATAAATCATGCTGCTATAAAGACACATGCACACCTATGTTTATTGTGGCACTATTCACAATAGCAAAGACTTGGAACCAACCCAAATGTCCATCAATGATAGACTGGATTAAGAAAATGTGGCACATGTACATCATGGAATACTATGCAGCCATAAAAAAGGATGAGTTCATGTCCTTTGCAGAGACATGGATGAAACTGGAAACCATCATTCTAAGCAAACTATCACAAGGACAGAAAACCAAACACCACATGTTCTCACTCGTAGGTGGGAGTTTAATAATGAGAACACATGGACACAGGGCGGGGAACATCACACACTGGAGCCTATTGGGGGGTGGGGGACTGGGGGAGGGACAGCATTAGCAGAAATACCTAATGTAAATAACGAGTTGATGGGTGCAGGAAACCAATATGGCACATGTATACCTATGTAACAAACCTGCACATTGTGCATATGTACCCTAGAAATTAAAAAAAAAAAAAAAAAAAACAGTATGGAGTGCAAATGTGACCAAAAAACACCAAGGTGATACACAAAATACTAATATTTGGGATGTAAATGACTATGCTTTAATGTTGCCATTTTGGCACAGAGATGGAAAGTGTCCAAATTTAATTTCCATTGTATATTAAATGAAAAATAAATGTAACAATAAGCTGTGCGCTTTTATGGTGACAGAAAAATCTGGCCGGGTGTGGTGGCTCAAGCCTGTAATCCCGGCACTTTGGGAGGCCGAGGCGGGTGGATCACAAGGTCAGGAGATCGAGACCATCCTGGCTGACACTGTGAAACCCCGTCTCTACTAAAAATACAAAAAATTAGCCAGGCATTGTGGCGGGCGCCTGTAGTCCCAGCTACTCAGGAGGCTGAGGCAGGAGAATGGCGTGAACCTGGGAGGCGGAGCTTGCAGTGAGCCGAGATCGCGCCACTGCACTCCAGCCTGGGCGACAGAGCAAGACTCGAGACTCCATCTCAAAAAAAAAAAGAAAGAAAAAAGAAAAATCTAAGACCTGTAACCTTGACAGTTTGTAACAAAATTATCTTATGATTATTTATTAATCTATGCCAATACCACAGAAAGAGATAACTCCCCATACCAAGAAAGTCTTCCTATAAAGCTCATAATTTGTAAAATGCAAATGAACATTATTTGTTTTGTTGACATTTTGTGATGAAAGCACTTCTATATATAAGATCATAAGGTGGGGTTAACAGTGAGTAAGCCAGTAAGTAGACCAAATGTCACTGATACGCCCCACTGTCAAACAGCAGCTGTGACAAATGCTACAAAGGAGAAGTACATGGTACTGTAATTTGATACAGGCAGAGCTTCCTTGAGACAGGAAGGATGGGAACAGCAAAACAGCCAGGACATGACCAAAGGAAGAGATACATGAGACAAGGCTGGAGAGGGAGATGAGGACAGAGAAAAGAGGTACTCACTGACCCAGGTATGGAGTTTACCTAACTCCCAAGCACAAGGGGAAGACAGCTGAAAGGTTTTAAACGTGGAATGACCTACCTGATCAGATTTGTGTTCTGAAAGGTTTGCTCTGGCTGTAATGTAAGCAACCCTCCAGAGAAGCATCAGTAAACAGACAGAATCAAAATTGATTACAAAATAATGTAGAAACTACTACATCTAGACCAAATAAATAATGGCCAACAGAAAACCTGATCAGAACATTGTCCAGTCTTTCATTGGAAACTAACACTACACTTTTATTTAGGTATATGATACATAAATTTTAGAGACTAGGAACAGCTTAAAACTTAACACTTCAGAAGCTATCAAAATGTCATGATTTCTTGGACAGACCTAAGGTGGCCTACCTACCTCAAGGGCTTTAAGTAAAGAGGACTGGAGCTCGAGGAAGTGGCTCCAAGGCGGACGGCTAAGCATCAAAAACTGCGGCTCTGATTTACATTCCCCAGCTCCCAAACCAAGCATCTTCTTTATATATTTTACATGATAACTTCCTATTAAGGTTTGACGAAAGAAGGTTTTGCTACTGAAACCAAGTCTGAAAACTAATGTTAATACCCACGGCCTCTAGTACCCAGTTACAAGACTATAATCAGTGGGAAAGCAGTGCCTCCAACAACAACACCCTAGGGTCACTTACTGGTCTATGCTTCTAATTCTGTTCCCCCTCAGGAACGCTCATGTTCAGAAATAGTCCAGTTTCTACTTCTAATCCTCCTCAAAATGGTGCAAACTCTGGGTAACACTGGTAGAGCCACCAGAATGCTAACAAGGAAAAAGGAAGGGAGAAATGGAGGGAAAGGTAAGAGAAGGAAAAAAATATATACAATACCAAATTGAAAAGAACCTGGAGCATACACAGTTGGTGGAAGTATAGAGTGGTACATTCACTTTGGAAAACTGACAATACCCACTAAAACTCAGCAACTGCACTCCTAGGAATATATTAAACAAATGCATGCAAGCTTCATTAACCAAAAGACATGTATGGAAATGCTCACGGCAGACTGGGCAAGGTGGCTCACACCTGTAATCCTAGCACTTTGGGAGGCTGAGGTGGGTGGACTGAGGTCAGGAGTTTGAGACCAGCCTGGCCAACAAGGCAAAACCCCGTGTCTACTAAAAATACAAAAATTAGCCGGGCGTGGTGGCGCGGGCCTGTAATCCCAGCTACTCTGGAGGCTGAGGCAGGAAAATTGCTTGAACCTGGGAGGCAGAGGTTGCAGTGAGCTGAGATCGCTCCACTTTACTCCAGCCTGGGCAAAAGAGCAAAACTCCATTTCAAAAAAAAAAAAGAAAAAGAAATGCTCATAGCAGCACTATTCCTAATAACCACAAACTGTAAGCCTCCCAAATGCTCATTAATAGAATGAATAAACTGAGGTATATTCATGAATACTGTACAGATATGAGACTGAATTAATTACAACTACACACAACAATATGGATGAACCTCACATAGGTAACCTCACATAGGTAACAGACCAAAAGCTTATCCAGAGGGTTTCTATTTATATAATGTTCAAAACAGATACAACTGAACTGTCATATGCAAAAAATTGAATCTCAATCTTTACCTTAATACTAAAACCCCAAATGAATCACAGACTTAAATGTTAAGATCCTAAAACTCCTAAAAGTCAATCTAGCAGAAAATATTAGTGACCCTAGGCTTGGCAAAGATTTCTTAGGCACAACACACACACACACAAAACAAACAAACAAAAACACTGAAAAAAAATTTCAATAAACTGTATTTCATAAAGATCTATGATCTGGGTACTATTCCATATACGTATCTTCAATGAAAATACTAACAAAAATTAAATAAAGAATTGAGTGATGAGAAGACAACACAATCAACCACTATGTCATCTCATTAAGGAACAAGTACACCTCTACAAGGAGAGAAAGAAAGCCAACAGTGGCAGAGCAGGAGTTGGAAAAGGGAAAAATAGTTATCAACAAATGTTTTTCCTAGTCTTTGCATTGCAACGGGGGGAGAAAGGGAAAACAACGAAGAAAGACCCTTTGGTTCTCCTCCTATAACTGCTCTTAGTCCACCACACATCATAAAAGAAAATATATCAACTTAAGAGCAAATCAAAGACATCTTGGTCCAGGATCCTTTTCCACTGAATGCCCTTTACTTCTTTCTCTCTTCATCTGGTACCTTCCTCACTTTTGAATTTTTTCCCTTCCTTTCTCCTTATTTTTCCAGGTATAGCTTTTTGCTCTCCGCATCCACACATCGCTATGTATCACTTTCACCTTTGCATACGAGGCACCAAAATAAGAAGAGAACAATTAAAATACACACACAAAAACAGCCTGGGTTCCTTATGGATTTGAAATACCCTTATATTGGAGAAGGGACAACACACAATCTCTATCAATTCTCACCAATCCTTTTTATTCGGCATTGGTAGAATATAGGCCACAGCATAAATATTACTATGACACTTTTTCCCTCTCCGCTTCTCTCCTCTCCTGAACAAGACAGCTACAGTTTGTGAATTCAGTATTGGCTAGCTAACTGAAATGTTAAGGATCTAGGCTAGGAGTTCTTATCTATTGAGCTACAAGTATAAAGACTCCCTTTTAAACACTAAAATACATCAAAAACCCACAAACATGCAAAAAGAAATTATCCTTTCCGTATCTGTTCCCTGAGAAAATGCAAACCTATATAGCACTGTTGTGAGTTGTTAATTTTTAGTTCATTGTGAACTTTATCAATTAAAACAACATCCACTCACACTGAACAGCAGATGTGGGCAATGCTATGTGTGAATGCAGTCTCAGCTTCTCAGATCTCCTCATCTCACAAACTCCTCAGCCCTCCTTGGGTTTACCTAGGCAGACTGGGAATCAGCTCTGACCACTCTGGGCTCAACTTTCTTTACTGATTAAGAATTGTACAATTTTGTTACCTGAGTTCCCTGAAGAAATAGCAATAAAGTTTGACAAAAATGATAGTACGGTAAAGTACCTTCTGTTCACACAGGATTCTTCTGGGATGATTTATTAAACAGTTCTCCCAATAACCATTCCTTCTACACACAACACACACACCCCTTCCCTCTCTTTCTCTTCACCTAAAAAGCACTCAGAACTGGTATCTAGACTGTTTAATAAATGATTAGAGTCAGCCCTCCACATCCACAGATTTGACCCACTACAGATCAAAAATATTTGGGATATAAAACAATAAAAAATAAAATACAACAATAATACAAATTTTTAAACTATAATATAACAACTATTTACAGAGTGTTTTCATTGTATTAGGTATTGTAAGTAATCTAGAGATGTTTTAAAACATATGGGACGAAGTACACAGGTTATGTGCAAATACTATACCATTTTACATGAAGGACTTGAGCATCTGTGGATTTTGATATCTATGGGGGGTCATGGAACCAATCAATCCCCCTTGGACACCAAGGGACAACTGTACTACACCTTTTTAGCTATTATGGTTATTACTACTACTACTCTCCCCCACGCACATTACCCCATAAATCCCAGAAGTGCTCTAGCTAAGAAAGGGCAAAATGAAGAAACGAGAACTTGAAAACCTAGTTTTTTTAATCAGATATTCACATTTATTACTGTAAACAGGAGTAAACAAGGGAGTAAAAATGTGTCTAGCACCGACTCTACTATATTCAAGATGAATTCATTCATTCAACAGGCACTCAAAAAAAAGGAAAATACCTGCAGTAGGATTTACCCCTAAAATCTCCAGAGGGTACTGTCTTGCAGCAAATATCTTCCTCGTAACTATTATATACATCATTTTTCATTCATCATTAGGCATTTTTTTTAAAAAATTCATTCAATAGCATTCTCTGCTCTTAATTTTTTAAATGGTTATGCTGAGTTTTTTTCTCTCTCTTCAAAACACAAAACCAAAAAATAAACTAACGTTTTGTAACCCTGATAGTTTTGATCTTAGGAGTCAGCCATTCAGAACAGAAGTACTCCATAACTCCCCTACAAAATGGCACTCTTCAGACTTCCACTGTTCCTTTAAAGGTAAAAACATAATTTTAGATTTCAAGGTGTTATTGAGATCTATTAGGATAACGTATTTCCCAATTTAGCCCCCCAAACAACCTTCAAATTCCATTATAATTTTACTTCAAATCGTATGTATATTTTTCAGTGAAGGACTCTTAAGATTCTACAAAAATAAATTAGGTTGTTTTGCTTTTCCCATTTTATAAAATTGAACAAAAACAATTCAACCAATACTAAGCTCTTGCAAGACTAGCAATTCTTTTAAAAGGATAAAAATGAGATGAAAAATTACTAGAAATAATCACATCAGGGTTTTTGTATTTATATTTTGTATTTAGAGGTACTTTTCTCTACCCAGTTTTCTGAATTATCAAAAGATAATTCTATATACTGCAGGAACAAAATCAGTTGTGGTGAATGATAACTTTTGGTTTGCTTACAATCAAGCAGTTTCTCCCCTGCTAAAGAAAGAAGTCAGATTTCTTCAACCTTTCTACCAGTAGACAGATGGGAACACTGACTATATGCAAATTCCAAATATCTCTAAGATTTAGAGCACCATGCCTCAAACCATTAACTTATTTTTTTTTTAAGTGAAAGCAAAAACTCTTAAAATGTAGCTGGACTGGTGAACAAGGAATTTAAGAATGTAATGATAATGCTACATGATATTGTAAGGTGTTAAATTCCTGGACAGGATATAGTGTTACAAGCCATAAATTCTTTTTAAACTTCAGATTCTTATTTTTCAAGTTCCTCCAAACAAATTAAAAAGACAAATGATTTGACTGTTCATTACCATATGACTTTTAATAAAAAGTAGGGGCAAGGGAGAGTACCTTCTTGTTGTAATATATCTACATTAACGAAACAACTTCTATGTTTGCAAAGTGTTGTCTGATTTATAAGCTACATTTATCAACCATTAAGTCAGGACAGCATAATGGCCATGAAATAATAATACATAAATTAAGTAATCTCTGGTAAAACTGTGCATGAAGTTATCAGAAGCAATAGTGGCTGATTTCTAAACTTTAAAATCATGACCACATGCGTCCTCCCTTTCCTTCAAATAACCACCAGAGTGTAGGTAAGTAAATAAATAAAATCACTAAAATATCTTAGAATATCTTTCCTTACAGAATGTATTTTAACCAGAAAACCTCATCCACTCCTAATTTGTTTCTCAATAATATTCATCCACTCTGTCCAACCCTCAATTTATCAGTAAAGAATTCATGATATTCCAAAAAGCTAATGTAATTATTACTGTCATCTCATTAAGTGTGCTCTTCCTAGTACCAAACTCTAACATTACAGCTGATACCCAGCTCGTTCACTATGCACACCACCCTCTTCTACCCTTCCCATCACCACCATTTTACTGGCAGAATATTCACAAGGCTGAAGACTGTTTCTCATCTCAGCAAACAGAATGCTTAAGATCAGATGGCTAGCCACAAACCAAAAGTTAGAAGCCACACAAAAATAAACACTAGCAGTCCTAAAATTTTCTACTTTCAGTCTCTAACAAAAGCAGTAACATCATTTTTATTTGTGATGCCCTAAGTTAGAGCCATAAGCTTTTTCCCCTGATTATACTAATAAATCAATTTAAAATGATAATTTTACATCAGATTATGTCCTTCATATACTAGCATACTTTAAATAAATCCATTTTACCATGGTAGGTTCTTCAACTCATTTTTTTTGTATTTTTTCTGTATCATTCCTTAACTACCACATTATTTCTCCATTATTTTTCTAAATATTACATCTATGAACAAAAAAGATAACCCTGCAAACCCTAGAAAAGATAAATCAACATATACCTTAAGTATAAAATATCAATATTAAGTATAACCTATTAGGTAACCAAGAGAAAGGTAAGCATCAACTGTATGCCCAGGAATCTCAATTTAAGACATCATGTAGTATACACTATTTTGGTAAACAGAACTGTATACAATATTTGCATATCAAAATAGGCAACTATAGCCTTATTTCTGACTTCAGATAAAAATATCTTAATTCTTTTTATAAGGCAAAACAGTCATTTTAATGAAATATCTCTTTTCAGATATAATCATATGATTGACAGATAAAATAATTGCTTTAAAAATACTTCTGAGTCATTTTGTCCTTACCTGCAGGCATGAACCATTACTGCATGCAGTGACTGTTCCATTTCCTAGCACAGACTTGAAGAAGCATCATATCTCTCTTACAGAATGTGACTAATCTGTGGGTTTGCAATTCCTAAGCTATTTACAAATGGCACTCCCTTACCATATAAGAATAAATATTTATTACAACCCAAAATCAAGTATTTTTAACCTACATTTTACAAATAACCTTCGTAATTCTGTAGAGCAGCAACCTCAACATATAGGAAGAAAACCTCACAGCATTTCCCTTTAAAAAAGCAAGATTTTTCTTTTCTGCTTTTTAGCTAAATTATTTTTAAAGCCTTCAACAGCTGTCACACATGAACCAGCGGTCTGCTGTGTTATGGTGTGCATGCTGCAGCTGATCAGGCTCCACTATTTTTCTTAAAAAAATCAATCACCCTTTGCAAAAGCAGAACAGCTTGCCCCAATACACATCTTCAATACAGCACAATACCAGCATGCAGGACAATACGTTATATAGCAAACTTGACAAGAAAAAAAAATATGTCCTGGTTTGTTTCTTAGCAATGCTACACCATTAATTGTTCATGCAAGAGATGTAGCTGTACCTTTCTGAAGAGGACGACTTCTCAGAGTTAACTGACATCAGCAGCTCAATCTTCTGCTTGATTTCTGGAAAAATCAGAAAATATTCACAACCAAGATTGCCTGCCCTTGCTTTCAAGCCTTATATCAAGAGATTTTTCTTCTCTAATCCCTTTTGTTCAGAATGAGGCCACAAGATTCGCAGTACTTCTGTTAGGACTGGGATTCAATGGTGCTATAAAGGGAAAAAGCTCCAGAGGCATCAGGCCTTGCTAAACTATGCACATGACTGTTTATGAAAGCAGGAAGTACCATTTCTTTAAAGCAGAGGGGTGTTTTCTTTTTTAAGGTAGAACTAGCATGGTTCTACAAGATGATTTTCAATTTAGCAAAATAAAATACAAACAAGAAATCTTGAACATCTGAATTAAATATACTAGATAATTTGAGAAGCCTGGGTAATCACGTCACAGGCTGTAATAAACAGATATGCAACCCTTGGCTGTTTCTATTTCACTAGCCCTAAAAAATATGGCTCAGTGAATCATTTTTGTCACTTAAGAATGAAATATTAAACCAGAACCCCGATGTATAGATTTCAAAATGTTTAACCTTTGTTTTAATTTCTTGATTGTGTTTAATTAAAGACACATTTAATATCTAGTGTTCCTAACTCCTCTAGAAAGAGACTTCTGATTTTATACCTTAATTTTCCCCTCCTCCTTAGCAGTACAGTACAAGTGAACAGCAACACCCATTTACCGAGCAGAGATAATATATTTGTCCTTTTAGGAAAGGATTGACAATAGACATCTACAACAGGAATGTAAGCACCAGTTCAACTTAATTAAAAGATAATTGCTGATACTGATTTGGAAGGGAGATAACAGACTAAAAGGGAAGGAAGGGTGAAAATAAGAGAGGGAAAAGATAAGGAGACAATCTAACACGTTTCCTTTAAAACATCAACGACTGACTAAAGCACATAATTTTAAGTTAATAAAACTGACATGGTCCTATTACCCAGACTATTTCATGTGTAAAGCTGTTTTCCTATCCCTAATAAGTATTTCCAACTGGATTTTTAAAACTGAAGTGTGCTTTCATAATAAAAAGTTCACATACTAAAAAATAAATTAGTGCCAATAAAATGCTATCAACAGTACCAGGATTTCAAAATAGACCTCAATAGTTTTTTAAGCAGTAAAGCAAATTTTTTTTAAAATGTTGACTATATAAATCAAAGTTGAATATGAGAAGATGTAAAGGAAAAAGGAATAAAAATTAGTTCCATAAAATACAATGGACCTGTACAGAAATATCCTCTCAGCGTTGTTAAAATAAGGATTTTTCCCAAATTTTTAAGCTTATAACTTCAATGAGCATTATAAAAGCGGCATGAATACCTGATGAGAGAGCAGAATCTACCACAGGGTGTAGCCAAGCTGCCGAGCCACTGGGAGAGCAGAGCACAGCGCCTATAGCTGGGGTGGTGCTGAGACTCACCTTGAGGATCAGGCACATGGCGCCACAGTGAGCCCTCAGCAGGGCCCCTCCCCTCATTTTGGAAGGAGCAGGGTGTCAGAGCTCAGACTCTGCCTTGGATTTAGGAACAGCCTCCTCTGCCCTTTTTTTTTTTTTTTTGAGATGGAATTTCACTCGTTGCCCAGGCTAGAGTGCAATGGCACAATCTCGGCTCACTGCAACCTCCGCCTCCCGGGTTCAAGCGATTCTCCTGTCTCAGCCTCCCGGGTAGCTGGGATTACAGGCGCCCGCCACCATACCCAGCTAATTTTTTGTCTTTTTAGTAGAGACAGGGTTTCACCATGTTGGTCAGGCTGGTCTTGAACTCCTGACCTCAGATGATGCGCCCACCTCAGCCTCCCAAAGTGCTGGGATTACAGGTATGAGCCACAGCACCAGGCCTCCTCTGCCATTTTTAATAGCTGTATGACCTTGGAGAAATTACTTAAACTCTCTAAAGCCTCTATCTCCTCTCCTGTAAAATGAGGATAATAACATATATCTGAAAGGCTGTGGCAAGGATTTAATGAAATAACCCATGAAAATAAAGTAGTATTGTGCCTGGGATGCCATGAGCCCTCCCTGCTTCATCTCTCAATAAATATTTACTGAATTAGTTAATGAAGGATACCAGGCCTGTCCAATGTTAAATGGTTTTTCCATAGTTTAAATCCACCTTCTCCTTCTTATCATCAACCTCAACATCCCCATTTTTATCACTGTAGTGTTATTGTAGGTGGGAACTTAACTTTAATCTGTATCTCAGCCTCCCTTCCTAGAGAATTGTGCTCCATGTATCAACTTGCTGCTTCAGAAAAGAGATTACACTTGAATCCATCTTCATCATGGCAATTTTGTATTCCAAAACAACAAAAAGTTCACACTTCAGTATACGTACGTATATCAATGCACTTAAGATGAAAAAGCCCAAGATTAAATTACACAGCTCTAACGAAGTTAATGCCTATCTTGTAAACACTGGAAAGAAAAGTTCAAGCTATAAACCATATTCTGACTGGTGACACTGGAAGCCCCAAACCAAAGAGGATTCTAATAATACATGAAAAGGTTTCCAACTTCATTTTCACCTTATCTCTAAACCTTCAGATTTGTTCATCGCTCCAGAAGGACTCAGAAATCAAGGAACGTTAACACTATGATACTGTATCCTTTGAGGCCCACATACTCTGTCTATGCTACCATCAACTCCTCCCTGTCCTTATCATCCATAGGTCTGGTAATTCCCCACATTCGTGAAGAATTCCAGAAGCCATTTAACTGATTTCCATTCCACCACAACACCTGCCATAATCGGGGGTACCTGGATGTCCATACTGATATGACTTATTAGAAAAGGCTTGGCTATCGACTCCAGGCTCCTCAGTCCACAGACTCTTGAACCTCTACCTCTTGAGCCATCCGTTCCCTTGACCATGCTCAGGACACTTTCTTACACACACCGCAAACACTTTCCCCCTCAATTAGTCAGTTGTTTTGGAATTTTATTCAATTACTTCCAGGGTAGTATCTGGGACCCTATATGCTTTATTTTTCTGCAATAAAGTCAACCAATCTTTTCCTTGTTAAATTCTGGCCTTCCTGATAAACTTAGAAACAAACTTAGAAACACCTTCCTCACACCAAAGTTTTTAAATTTTTCATCCAATTTTCCTCTAATATGCTTTATAATAGTATTTGCATGTAAATCTTAGAACCTTCTAGATTTTGTTACATTAATTGATATAGAGATCCAGTCTGCTTTTACAAGTCAGATTTTAAAATGACTCTCTTGTCATTTTAAAATGACACATCTTCACAATTCTAAAATGACTCTCTTGCCCACCACTTCATGGTTCTTCCAAAGCAGCACCCACTGTCTCCATGTATACATTTAGACCAGTGAGTGCAAAAAAAAGTCCATCAACCTGATTATTTAACAGTTGTATTCCCTATGGATGTAATCTGAAAATGCTTGACAGTACACTCAACAGCTCCTTCTACATCTCAGCCTTTAATCAATCCTTTACCATCTGCCCTACTCCCACCTCAAGACCACACTTGCTTATTTCACACAGAAAACAGGCAAGCAGTTCCTGTGTAGTTTGAATAAATATATTTTAAATTATGGTTGCTTTTATTTTTAGTCATAATTTTGTTTCTTAACTGCTAAATAACATTATAGGAGGACATAAGTTTTTGTGGCTTTTTTTTAATGCTTTTACATTTGCTTTCTCCTTCTAACTCTGGGTACTTTGCAAGACCGTTATCTTCCATGCAGCCCTTAAATGCTGGTAATACCTGTAAGGACCCTCTTTTCACTCACTGATCCTTCTGTCTACATACACCCTTGCCATCAAGAACTACAGGGCATTGATGATAACGGTAACTTAGTTTCCAGCCCAATATTCTCTCCTACAACCCAGAACCACATATCCTCCATTTTCACCTAGACAGTCTCTGCATGGCTTGAATGCGATGTCTAAAATTGAACCCATAAACTTATAAGCCTAATGTCTTCTTATATACTCCTGATCTCAGTGAACAGCAACACCATTGCCGTACCAAACCTGAAATGTTTGAGGGATCCCAGGCTAGTTCCCCCAATCTCATTTGAAATATCTTTCCCGGCCGGGCGCGGTGGCTCACGCCTGTAATCCCAGCACCTTGGGAGGCTGAGGTAGGCAAATCACGAAGGTCAGGAGATAGAGACCATCCTGGCTAACATGGTGAAACTCCGTCTCTACTAAAAATACAAAAAATTAGCCAGGCGTGGTGGCAGGCGCCTGTAGTCCCAGCTACTCAGGAGGCTGAGGCAGGAGAATGGCATGAACCCGGGAGGCGGAGGTTGCAGTGAGCAGAGATCGCGCCACTGCACTCCAACCTGGGTGACAGAGAGAGACTCCGTCTCAAAAAAAAAAAAGAAAAAAGAATTATCTTTCCCTCCATTCTCTCTTTTTTATATCATACGCTCTGGAAATACTGAGCTCTAGTCTACGTGGCTCCCCAAGCATGCCATGCTTTTTCACGCCACTAAATCTTTTCGTATACAGTTTCCTCTCCCTGGAATACCACCGTTCAGTCGTCTCCCTTGTACACCCAACTCGTTTTTTCTTTTTCTTTTTTTCTTTTTTTTTTTTGAGACAGAGTCTCGTTCTGCCACCCAGGGTGGAGTGCAGTGGTGGAATCTCAGCTCACTGCAACTTCTGCCTCCCAAATTCAAGCGATTCTCCTGCCTCAGCCCCCCGAGTAGCTGGGATTACAGGTGGGCACCACCACGCCTAGCTACCCAACTCACTTTTCTAATCTCAGTCCCAAATGTTACCTCCACACAAACACATTCCCAGAATTAAGTTCACCTCCTCTACGTCTCTGTATTTGCATTACCAAATTACTAAAATATATAAATTACTTGTTTCAGTCCCCATGAGACCATTGCTTCCCTAACGACAGGCACCTGAATGTTCAATTCAGACAGCCTGGCATATCAGACACTGGTTGTTGACACCTTCATAGTCTTCTCAGCCTGTTACAGTCAATCTAATGTTAGTTACAATTGAGCTACATTAATTTATTCTTAAATATACATTTCCAGATACACTTAACCAAAGATCCAAGCAATTTTAGAACTAGACTGATCCTCAGATCATCTCATAGCTGAACCACATGAATTTATAAAGGGGAAATCTAAGGGGCAAAAAGATACTGGAGGCAATCACATTCTTCATCTTCTCCAGAAGATTACTGTTGCTGAGACCTACAGTAAAATTTCCAAGAACTTCAACAACCCAAATAGTAAAACCCACCCAATAGTCCCATAGGCTGTTCTTTTGGATAAACACAGAAACTGACCTTTCTGGTCTTAAAGCGTAATACAAGTATGTTTTATCTAAGTTCCTTCCTCAGCAAAGGACCCTCAAGCCTCCAAAAAAAAATTAACAATAAATTCCCTCTCTCTCTCTCTCAAAGAACTGAAGGCCAGGCACAGTGGCTCATGCCTGTAATCCCAGCACTTTGGGAGGCCCACGTGGGCGGATCATTTGAGGTCAGGAGTTCAAGACCGGCCTGGCCAAGATGGTGAAACACCAACTCTACTAAAAATACAAAAATTAGCCTGGCGTGGTGGCAGATGCCTGTAATCCCAGCTACTCGGGAGGCTGAGGCAGGAGAATCGCTTCAACCCGGGAGCTGCAGGTTGCAGTGAGCCGAGATCACACCACTGCACTCCAAGCTGGGAGACAGAGCAAGACTCCGTCTCAAAAAAAAAAGTATAAAAAGACGGATGAATAGGGAGACCACAGAGAGCCATCTATGTGCGTGGGGCTCCACCTCAAAGAAAGAAAAAAAAAAAACTGAAACTCACCAAATCACCACATCCAGACAATGACACTTTGGATCCCTCATTCATCATGATTGCTTCCTTGCCCCTCCCTAGTTCCTATTTTCTTACACACTGTTACATTTCTTCCCTGCTATATCAAGCTCTGGTTTTAGTCTGGGAGATGGATTTGAGACTGAG
Source organism: Homo sapiens (assembly GCF_000001405.40). Classification (NCBI taxonomy): domain Eukaryota; kingdom Metazoa; phylum Chordata; class Mammalia; order Primates; family Hominidae; genus Homo; species Homo sapiens. Next base: position 105,274,823 of record NC_000007.14, read on the forward strand.
CTCCCATCTCCTTGCTGCAGCATCCAATTAAAGCCTTCTTCCTCGGTAATACTTGTTCTTTCAGTGATTGGCTTTTTTTTTTTTCCTTGAAGACAAAGTCTCACTCTGTCGCCCAAGCTGGATGGCGCAATCTCGGCTCACTATAACCTCCGCCTCCCAGGTTCAAGCATTTCTCCTGCCTCAGCCTCCGGGATAGCTGGGATTACAAGCACCCGCCACCACGCCTGACAAATTTTTGTATTTTTAGTAGAGACGGGGGTTTCACCATGTTGGCTAGGCTGGTCTCAAACTGACCTCAAGTGATCCACCCGCCTCAGCCTCCCAAAGTGCTGGGAGTATAAGCATGAGCCACAGCACCCAGCCAGTGATTGGCTTTCCTTGTGGAGAGCAGCAGGACCTAGACCAAACCCCTGGCATTTTGGTAACAGTAGGACATTTCAATCTTATTTTAAATCAGCTTTTAAAATGCTATTTTCTTTTATCTCCAATCAATTCAAATTATCCTTATTAATCAACTTTCTTGATTGAAACAACTAATCATCTGGGGCATGATACTCTTCTTATTCATCCCCTTTATACATCCCTCAAAGCCAACAATTCACTGTGATTTCCCCCATTCATTCTCTTGCATCCAACCTACAGATCTTCCTCATAACTCTTTTATTCTTGTTTTTACTCACACCTTAAAAGATACTCAAACTCCTTATGAAGATGAACAGTTTTTAACTCTTCAGTTAATGGCCTAGGAGCTCTAATGCTTCACCTGTCTACGTTGTAACACACTGTAAGTTTAAGGCTCCCAGACCACTAACTAAGGGCTATCAGTACAGCACTAAGCCAAGCCCCTGGAACCCTGATGAGGAGTAGCAGATTACCAGTAACTCTACTCAAAATGATGTCCCATGGGGTGGTGCTTCAAAGATACAGACATCCTAGGAGAAAAACGGAGCCGCCCTGAATCAACCTAGAATCCTAGGAGTGAGGGGAACATAAGAACACACAGAAGCTGTGGGCATGATATGCTCCTTTGTCATTCAGATCACTAAACCTGGGCATGAGGACCCTGACTTTTGTCAAGTGGAAATTTAAAAAGACATAATAACTGGGCAGATTATTCTACCTAAATAATTAGAGCTACATCCTTTTTCAATGGGAATCATTCTGGCAAATTTAATAAACTTCCTTTCACTTGCCAAATTCTTTACATAATCATCCACAAACTTAATTTTGTTTGGGGTGTACATGAGGAGGATATATATATATTTTTTTTTTTTAGAGGGACAGAGTCTTGCTCTGTCACCGAAGCTGGAGTGCAGTGGTGCAACGATAGCTCACTGGGATCTCAAACTCCTGGGCTCAAGCAATCCTCTACCTCAGCCTCCTGAGTAGTTACAACTACAGATGCACACCACTATGCTTGGCTAATTTTTTTTTTTGGTAGAGACAGGGTCTCGCTATGTTGCCGAGGCTGGTCTTGAACTCCTGGGCTCAACCGATCCTCCCACCTTGGCCCCCTCAAAGTGCCAGGATTGAAGGCATGAGCCACCACTTCTGGCCCATAAGGAAGATTTTTAAAAATTAATTCGTGCCTTACATTTATCTGGAGCCACTTTAGACTATGACAAACAAATGCAGCTGGTCAAGGTGGCTCACACATGTAATCCCAACAATTAAGGAGCCCAAGGCAGAAGGACCGCTTAAGCCCAAGAGTTCAAGACCAGCCTGGGCAACATAGTGAGACTTCATCTCTTAAAAAAAAAAAAAAAATTAGGTAAGCATGGTGACATGCACGTGTGGTTCAGCTACTTAGGAGGCTGAGATGGCAGGATCACTTGGGCCCAAGAGGTTGAAGCTGCAGTTTACCAAGACTGCACCACTGCACTCCACTCTGGGCAACAGAGCAAGAATCTGTCTGAAAAGAAAAGAAACAAATACGTGTTAAGGTTGCCTGAAATGACAGGGAATACTGCAAGAATATACCTAGAAGTTAAGAGGAAAATGCCTCAGCAGGCTTCAAAACCACACGCTTCTTCAGAAGTCAGAGCAGCTCCCAAATCAATATTTCCAGGTGTTCAGTGGGATGGTTCTCCACCTTAATGCTCCACTATTCTAGGGTTTCAACACCTCTCCCATCCTAACTCTACTTCTCCTGCCACTACCAATTAACTGCTTCTTCTCTCTATTTCACATGTTTACACATTCTACTGCCTCAGGATACACGCTTATGGAGCCCTTCTTGGTGTCTCCAACTTATTATTATTATTTTTTTTTTGAGACAGAGTCTCACTCTGTCGCCCAGGCTGGAGTGCAGTGGCGTGATCTCCGCTCACTGCAAGCTCCGCCTCCCGGGTTCACACCAGTCTCCTGTCTCAGCCTCCCGAGTAGCTGGGACTACAGGCGCCCACTACCACGTCCGGCTAATTTTTTGTATTTTTAGGAGAGATGGTGTTTCACTGTGTTAGCCGGGATGGTCTTGATCTCCTGACCTCATGATCCACCCAGCTCAGCCTCCCAAAGTGCTGGGATTACAGGCGTGAGCCACTGCGCCCGGCCCAACTTGGTATTTTTAAGAGACTTCTCGCTGAAATGCAAAAGGCCCGCAAAGGCTTTTCTGGCTCAGGTGCCAATTTCTAATACTGCTATCTGAAGCCAAGTATTGAGGTCCTGATTCAAAACTGACTGACTCATAAGTGAATGTTCACAAAGGTGCAAGAATAAAGCAATTCCTCTGCGTAATCTAGGAGGGTGGATGATTAACTGACCAACATCTGCTAAGGCCAGTCTAGCCTTAAAAGGGAGTCCCTGTTATCCCAGTGTTCATTACTGAAGTCCTCTGTTATGAGAATTCACAGAAAAGCAGAAATTCTGCAAAACATAAAAATCATCATTGGTAAACTGAACATTCAAAAAACTATCCCCAATTATCACTAACTTTTATCCCCACCCATCAAAATCCTTTGTCACTCTCTCATTAATAATCACACAGTCTAACAATTCAATAAAATACAAATCTAGAGCCAAGTGAAAACTTAAAATCTGCAAAGGATGAAAAAAGTGACAAAGTTGACAGAAAATACTAAAGAAATTCTAGAAAGCCAGGCAAAATCAATGATAAATGAGGATAGAGGAGCAGGTTATGAGGTTTGTAAATGAAGAGAAAAATCAACAAGGACAATAACATGCTAAGTGGCTCAAGAATAATTATTTGAGGCCAGGCGCGGTGGGGCTCATGCCTGCAATCCCAGCACTTTGGGAGGCTGAGGCAGGCAGATCACTTGAGATCAGGAATTCGAAACCAGCCTGGCCAACAAGGTGAAAACCCGTCTCTATTAAAAATACAAAAATTAACCAGGTGTGGTGGAGCATGCCTATAATCCCAGCTACTCAGGAGGCTGAGGCAGGAGAATAGCTTGAACCCGGAGGCAGAGGTTGCAGTGAGCTGAGATCACGCTACTGCACTCCAGCCTGGGCGACACAGCGAGATTCTGTCTCAAAAAAAAAAAAAAAAAGATAATTATTTGATTATTAGAGAATACATAACAAAGCCCTTAAACAATTTGCAAAAATGAGGCTGGGCGCAGTGGCTCACAACTGTAATCCCAGCACTTTGGGAGGCCAAGGCTGGTGGATGACCTGAGGTCCGCAGTTCGAGACCAGCCTGGCCAACACGGTGAACCCCATCTCTAATAAAAATACAAAAAAAAAAAAAAAAAAATAGCCGGGAGTGGTGGCATGTGCCTGTAGTCTGAGCTACTTGGGAAGCTGAGGCAGGAGAATCGTTTGGACCTGGGAGGCAGAGGTTGTGGTGAGCTGAGACTGTACCACTGCACACCAGCCTGGGCGACAGAGCCAGACTCCGTGAAGAAGGAAAGAAAAAGAAGAAAGGAAAGAGGAAAGGGGAAAGGGGGAAAAGGAAAGGGGAAAAGGGGAAGGCAGAAGGCGGAAGGGGAAAGGAGAAAGGGGAAGGCGAAGGAAAGGAGAGAGAGAAAGAAAAAGAAGAAAAAAGTAATTTGTAAAAATGCTCTTCATTATGGCTGCATTATAACCTAAAAGATGTCCAATCATGTTATTATACAACTTAGTATGGAAATGCACACCAAAAACAATCAACACTTGGTATAATCTTTGTTCATTCTAAAAATAAGTACATATTTTCTATTACAATTTAAGATTTTTAAATAAAATAGGCTTACTTTCAGATTGTGATTTCATTTTTCAAGATGAAGTCCCAGTTCCACCCCCTTCCTTAAACGTAGCCTTTGCCAGTACCAGCTTTCCCCTGCTGCAATTCCAAAGCAAGATCATTTGTGCTCCTGAACACAGTGCCCACAGACTATGTCATGTTCGCTCCAAACTTTACAGTGGGGGTGCCAGAGGGCGGGCGGCGGGGGGAGGAGGGAGCGGTGTTGGCGCAGGCAGAAGAGAATGAAGAAGGAAAAGGAGGTAGTCTCAGGCTGGTTAGGTTTCTGATTTAGATAGCTGCTGCTACTACTTATGAGAAACTCTGTTTGAGAGAAAATGTTTTTCTGTCACTTTTAAAATTATTATTCCAAGCAAAATTTATAACCCAAGAGAAATACTAGTTCAAAAGGAAAGGGGTTTGCTGCTGATTTCTAAGTTCTGGCAAGAAAAGTGAGTCATTCTCTCCAAAAGTGGGATCCCTATTCCCCCTACCCCCAGGAGGGTGTGAACAAAAGCCAACAAGCAAGAAGACAGAGAGGAAGCTCAGACCACCCAGCCTAAAGGCTGCATGGATACACTAAAACCTCACAGTTCACCAGAACTGTTTGTTACCAGTGTTTCGGTATAAAATTTGAGAACTAAATACAACAATGTATTAAATAAATTTCTAATTTTATTAGCCTCACAATTACTCCCGTTAGCAATGAAATGTGGTGAAACCAATCTCTGAAAACTATCTAAAGGTTTCTCACTATGACAAAGTATCATTAATAGTTAATCCAGCCCCTCAACAGAACAAAGCCTCTTTTACCCTGACTCTGTCAAGTAGACAGTAGAAGTAACACAAGTTCTTAGATAACTGTGAGCTGTTACCAAACTCAAGGTGAAACCCAATGCTGTGTTCAGCAGGAGGCCAAGTTTTAAAGCTTTTCCTGCATTATTCTTAATATATGAATATCATTTATTTTACTGATAAAATACATAAATTTTACAGATTATATCATAGAGTAATATTCAGAAAAAATAAGTATTTTTATAATCTTAAGAGACAGTTTTTTCATACCAGATATTAACAGACAACTGAAACTACTTGGTTCACTGATATTGGGATGTACAAAGTCAAAAATTAAGCTGAGCGCAGTGGCTCACGCCTGTACCCCAGTACTTTGGGAGGCTGAAGTGGGCAGATTGCTTCAGGTCAGAAGTTCGAAACCAGCCTGGATAATATGGTGAAACTCCATCTCTACTAAAAATACAAAAATTAGCCGGGTGTGGTGGTGCACACCTGTCATCCCAGCTACTGGAGAGGCTGAGGCACAAGAATCGCTTGAACCTGGGAGGCAGAGGTTGCAGTGAGAGCGAAGACTGAGATCACACCACTGCATGCCATCCTGGGTGACAGAGTGAGACTGTCTTCAAAAAAAAAAAAAAGTCAAAAATTAAGATGTTATTATTTATTTTATTATTATTTGCAATTTTTGCATACAAACAACTGTGAATTCACCAAGGCAATGAATGCCTGATTTCTAACTTCTTTGGTAAGCCAACACCCACTCAAATCATCTCAAAAACAAACTTCATTATGTTAAGAGGTGGTAAAATGATTGTGGGAGGCTATTTACATGTATAAGAAAACAAGTCATTAAAAAAAAGGGGGGGGGGGCCGGGCACAGTGGCTCACCCCTGTAATCCTAGCACTTTGGGAGGCCGAGGCGGGTGGATCACGAGGTCAGGAGATCAAGACCATCCAGGCTAACACAGTGAAACCCCGTCTCTACTAAAAATACAAAAAATTAGCCGGGCGTGGTGGCGGGCACCTGTAGTCCCAGCTACTCAGGAGGCTGACGCAGGAGAATGGCGTGAACCCAGGAGGCAGAGTTTGCAGTGAGCCGAGATAGCGCCACTGCACTCCAGCCTGGGCGACAGAGCGAAGACTCCATCTCAAAAAAAAAAAAAAAAAAAAAAAAAAAAAAAAAAAAAACCTTGTTTATAAGGCATAAGAGTTAGTGCCCCTAACTCTCAACTTACATTAACTTTCAACCCATTTCTTCCTTCTTTTTTTTCTTTTTGTTGTTGTATTTGTTGTTTGGTTTTTCCCCCGCTTTTTCTGAGACAGGAGTCTCTCTAGGTCGCCCAGGCTGGAGTATAGTAGCGCGATCTCAGCTCACTGCAACCTCCACCTCCCAGGTTCAAGTGATTCTCCTGTCTCAGCCTCCCGAGTAGCTGGGATTACAGGCACTGACCATCACGCCCAGCTAATTTTTGTATTTTTAGTAGAGATGGGTTTCACCATGTTAGCTGGGCTGGTCTCAAACTCCTGACCTCAAGTGATCTATCCACCTCGGCCGCCCAAAGTGCTGGGATTACAAGCATGAGCAACCACGCCTGGCCTCCTAACTTTCAACTGCAAAAACCGCAATTACATTTGCACCAACCTAATAATTTCCATTTAACATGCATAGAAACTAAAAGTTAAATTTGCTCAAGACTCCAGCGCTACCCACCAGTTGCAGTGGCACATGCCTGCAGTCCTAGCTACGTGGAGACTGAGGCAGGAGGATCACTTGAGCCTTGAAGTTTAAGGATATAATGCACTATCATCACACCTGTGGATAGTCACTGCACTCCACCCTCAGCAACACACTGAGACCCTGTTGCTAAGGTAAAAAAAAAAAAAAGATCCCAAAGCTAAACAGTTTCACTTACAAAAGCAGCAAAAAGAATAAAATATTTACAAATAAATTCAACCAAGGAAGTACAAGGCTTGTACACTGAAAACTATAGAACACTGTTGAAAGAAATGAAAGACCTGAATAAATGGAAAGATATCCTGTGTTCGTGGATGGGAAGATTTAATATTGTTAAGATGGCAATATTCCCCAAATTAATCCACAAATTCAACATAATCCCCCGATAAAAATTCCAACTGCCTTTTTTGCAGACACAAACAAGCTGATCATCAAATTCATGTAGAAATGCAAGGTACAATGAATAGCCAAAACAATCTTGAAAAAAGAAAAAGTTGGAGGACTCACACTTCGTAGTCAGTTTTGGCTTCAAAACTGACTACACAAAGCTATAGGAATGAAAAGTGTGAGGAAAGAGGCCTAAGGGTGGACATTTAAATCAATGAAAGATAACGGAAAGTCCAGAAATAAACCCTCACATTACAATCAAGTGATTTTTCAACAGGGTGCCAAGACCATCTAATGGGAAAAGAATACTCTCTTCAGCAAATGGTGATAGACAACTGGATATTCACATGCAGGAGAATGAAGCCAGAGTTCCCCTTCACACCATATACAAAAATCAGTTCAAAATGGATCAAACAGCTAAATATAAAGGCTAAAACTATTAAACTCTTAGAAGAAGACATAGAAATGAATCTTCATAACCTTAGAAGAGGCTACAGTTTCTTAGGTATGACATGAAAAGCACAAGGAATAAAAGAATAGATAAATAAACTTAACATCATAAAAATTAAAAACATTTGTGCATTAAAAGACATTATCAAAGGGCCAGGGGCAGAGGCTCATACCTGTAATCTCTGTGCATTGGGAGGCCAAGGTGGGCGGATCACTTGAGGCAAGCCTGCCCAACATGGCAAAACCCTGTCTCTATTAAAAATACAAAAATTAGCCAGGTTTAGTGGTAAACATCTGTAATCCCAGCTACTCGGGGGACTGAGGCATGAGAATCACTTGAACCTGGGAAGCGGAGGTTGCAGTGAGCCGAGATTGTGCCACTGCATTCCAGCCTGGGCAACAGAGTGAGACTCTGTCTCAAAAAATAAAATACATTAAATTATAAAATAAAATAAAATGCATTATCAAGAAAGTAAAAAGAAAACCCACAAGATGGGAGAAAATATTTGTAAATCACGTAACTGATAAAAAAAAAAACTAGCATCCAGAATATATAAAGAACTCTTAACAATCAATTTAAAAACCCAACAACCCAATGATAAAGTGGGCAAGGGATTTAAATATACATGTGCCAAAAGAAGAAAAACAAGTAGCTAATAAGCACACAAAAAGATGCTCCACATCATTTGTCATCACACAGAAATGCAAATCAAAGTAACAGTGAAATACCACTTCACAACCAAGAGGGCTATAATCGAAAAGACAGATAATACCTATTATTGGTGAGGAGACAGAGAATTTCGAGACTTCAGGCATGGCTGGTGGGAAAGTTAAATGGTGCAGCTTTGGAAACACGCTGGCAATTCTTACAAGAGTTACAGAGTTACCATATGACCCAACAATTCTCCTCCTAGGTATATACCCAAGGGAAATAAAACATATATTCTTACTCTTCACACAAAAACTTGTACACAAATGTTCACAGCAGCATTACTCATAATAATCAAAAAGTGGGAACTCATATGTCCATCAATTGAGGAATGTTAAATAAAATGTGGTATATACATATGTAAAAGAAAGAGTACTAATACATGCTACCGTATGGCTGAACGCTGAAAACATTATGCTAAGTGAAAGAAGCCAGGCACATAACAAATATTATATGATTTCATGTGTGTAAATTGTCCAGAATAGAGAAATCCATCAACACAGAAAGTAGATTAGTGATTGCGGGTAGGGCAGGGTGGGAATGAGGAGTGTTTGCTAACACAAAGAGGTTCTCTTTGAGGTGATGAAAATGTTCTAGAATTATGTAATAGTGGTAGTTTCAAAATATTGTGAATATGCTAAAAGCTATTAAATTGTACACTTTAAAATGATTAAAACCGAGGCAGGCAAGTCGTTTGAGCCCAGGAGTTCGAGACCAGCCTAGGTAACATGGTGAGACACCGTTTCTACAAAAAATACAAAAAAAAAACTAGCCAGGAGTGGTGGTGTACGCCTGTGGTCCCAGCTACTCAAGAGACTGAAGTGGAGGCTGAGCCCAGAAAGTCAACGCTATAGTGAGCCGTGATGGTGCCACTGCACTTCAACCTGGGAGACAGGCTGGGAGACAGGGACCCTGTCTCAAAACAAACAAACAAACAAAAAATGATTACAATGCTGACAAGTTACTTGGGCGTTTTTTGTTTGTTTTTTTTGTTTGTTTGTTTTTTAAAGAAAAACTGCAGAGCTAGTATGTAACTAAGCCAGGATAAGAAACCGGGGCGGTCTAACACCAAAGCCTAAATCCACAGCTGTGCTGCCGAGCATGAAAGGAGATAGTTATCAATCTGACCAGGGAAAGGGAGTGGTCATCAAGGTCATTTGGGCTTGGTTATAAAGGTCAGAATGACTTTGCCAAGTGAAGAAATTAACACTGGGCCCACTCCAAACAGAAAAAAATGGTACATGCAAAGCTACAGAGAACCTCTCGTGTACGCCATCTTAGTGGTTTTGGTGGCTGGCATGACTTAAGCAGGTACTGGTAAGAAATGAAGCCAGAGATAATGGCAGAGCTGTTCCCAGAACACCTTCTGTGCCATACAAAGAAATCCTACTTTTAAGTATGGCAGAAACATAACCAACTATACAGTCAAATTTAAAGATTCAACAGGTGATTGAGATTTAAAAGCAAAATTAAAAAATCTTATATCATGCTGGGGGAAAAATATTAAACTTCATGGAGCTATTTATAAGGCTTGTCAATTCACCACAATTCATTTTGTGTCTGTACTCCCACACAGTACCCCTCAGGAGCTTTGCCAATTATCACTTCTCTCATTTGTAAATCCTAAAATTCTCACCTCGAGCATCAGTAGTCCCTTATTTCTACAAAAATATCTTTCACTGCAGCAAGTAATAGTAAAATCTACTTTCAAGACTTTGGTGCTTTATACAATATTATGAAGTACCACAAACACTTCAGCCAAATGGGCTGGGTCTACTTTATTCCTGTCTTGCTGTTTGTGAGGTTTCCCACATAGGCACCAACTAAAAATCTAAACTCGTTCTTCAATTTAATAAGCAAGAATCAACATACAGGGTCTTAAACACAGCAAGGACATACAAGAGTCTTAGCTTTGTTATAATAAAGTTACCCTGAGTCAATATTCCAGGATCCAAGTTCTTCATTTTTATCAGCTTTGGCCATGTACTGAGTTGCTGGTTTCCAATCACACTGAAACAGTATTTTGGCCAGGTGCTGTGGCTCCAGCCTGTAATCCCAGCACTTTGGAAGCCCGAGGCAGGAGGATTGCTTGAGCCCAGGAGTTCCAGACCAGCCTGGGCAACATAGCGAAACCCTATCTCTACAAAAAAATCAAAAATTAGCTGGGTGTGGTGATGCACGCCTATAATCCCAGCTACTCGGGAGGCTGAGGTGGGAGGATTGAATGAGCTGGAAGGCAGAGGTTACAGCAAGCCAACATCGTACCACTGCACTCTAAACTGGGCAACAGAGTGAGACCCCGTCTCCAAAAAAAAAAAAAAAAAAAAAAGGAAAAGGAAAAGAAAAAAGAAACAGCATTTTAAGCATGAAACAGTGCTTGACATTAAAATATCAGGATAATAATTGTATTTCAAATAAATTATATGTGGTTTAGATATTTGTCCACTTCAAATCTCCTGCTGAAATGTAATCCCCAGTTTTGGAGGTGGGGCCTGCTGGGAGGTGTTTGGATCACGGGGACTGGGATGGATCCCGCATGAATGGCTTAGCATTGTTCCCTTGGTGACAAGTGAGTTCACATGAGATCTGATTGTTTAAAAGTATCTGGCACTTACTCCCGCTCTCTCTTGCTCCAGCTCTTACCACGCAACCCATCTAACCACCTGCTCTCCCTTTGCCTTCACCATGATTGTAAGGTTCCTGTGGCCTCACCAGAAGCAGATGCTGGACCCATGCTTGTAAAGCCTGCAGAACCGCGAGCCAATTAAACCTCTTTTCTTTAAAAATTACCCAGCCTCAGGTATTCCGTTATAGCAATGCAAGAACTGCCTAATACAAAGTAGAAACAGAAACAACAAGCATTTTACACCAGTTACAATGTATCAGACATGCATCTATTTGCTTTACATATAATAATTCTGTTGATACTCCCATATCCCTGTAAGATAAATACTATCGCATTATCTTCATTTTACAGGAAAACTGAGGTACAAAAAGGCTAAGCAATTTGTCAAAGATCACAGAGCCACTGTGGTAGAGGGAAAATCTGTACCAAGACAGTCTGTACATAGGGTTTGGGTTCTAAGCCACTATGTTCTATGCATCTCCACTTTCAAATGTCCTCAAATTTTTCAATGACATTCCTTTACATTCATAATATTTGTAAAAGCTATGATGCAAACCTACAAATCCAGTCGTATTCAGACTTCAAGTTTATAATCTTGCTGCTCCATCCCTCTACAAATAATTTCTTTTGTCCTCTCTGCTAATCTTAAAACAATTATTTATTAGATTTACTATGCTAAGTGTTTGGAGGGTAAAAGTCATTAACATATTAACTGTCCATAAAGAAGATCAAAATTTTTTGCTATATTTGACCGTAGTTTATGAGGTAAACTACATTTAAGTTAAGCGCTGGGTAATTTGGGCATTCTAAGACAGTCTCAGAATGCATCCTCTGTATTTAATTTTACTCTTCATGCTAAAGGACAGCTGTACTGATTTACAGACCAACGAAATCACTCTCTGGGGGTGGTAACACCTAAAAAGTTCCATAAGCAATTCTGATGCACAGCCAGTATTGAGATCACTGGTTTTACTTACACTGGCACTCCCTAACTAAAATGACAATATTGCAAATGCATAATTCATTTTACAAACAATTAGTCAATCATGCCAAACACTATTCTACTTATTGATTTAAATATGAAGAATGCTGGCTATGTATGCTCCAGCAATTCCTCTCCCAAATCTACCCTAGAAAGACATTTACACGTGGCCTAGGAGAATCACACAAAGATGTTTGTCACATTGCTGTATGCAACAGCAAGTAATGAATAGCCGTGCAACTGTCAGATGAACTATGGTACATTCATAATATACAGCATTTGAAAAGGATGCAGGCCGGGCGCGGTGGCTCACGCCTGTAATCCCAGCACTTTGGGAGGCCGAGGCGGGCGGATCACGAGGTCAGGAGATCGAGACCATCCCGGCTAAAACGGTGAAACCCCGTCTCTACTAAAAATACAAAAAATTAGCCGGGCGTAGTGGCGGGCGCCTGTAGTCCCAGCTACTTGGGAGGCTGAGGCAGGAGAATGGCGTGAACCCGGGAGGCGGAGCTTGCAGTGAGCCGAGATCCCACCACTGCACTCCAGCCTGGGCGACAGAGCGAGACTCCGTCTAAAAAAAAAAAAAAAAAAAAAAAAAGAAGAAAAGGATGCAGAAGATCCACATGTACTGATAAACATATCCAAAACATAACTCTCACAAAGTAGCTTGTAGAATACCCAGAATATACTATCATTGTTATAGATATTTCACAGGTACATATACATGTGTATATACATGTAAAATATATTCTTAAATAACTAGGAAATGGCTGGGTGCAGTGGCTCACGCCTGTAATCCCCACACTTTGGGAGGCTGAGGAGGGGAGATCACTTGAGGTCAGGAGTTCAAGACCAGCTTGGCCAAATGACAAAACCCCGTCTCTGTTAAAAATATAAAAATTTGCCAGGTGTGGTGGCACATGCCTGCAATCCCAGCTACTTGGGAGGCTGAGGTAGGAGAATCGCTTGAACCCAGGAGGTGGAGGTTGTGGTGAGCTGAGATCACACCACTGCACTCTAGCCTGGATGACACAGTGAGACTCCATCTCAAAAAATAAAAATAAAAAATAACTATAAAATGATATTCCTTATTCTGGGGATGGAGTGTAGAAAGAGGAAACATAGGCAGGAAGATCTACCTTTATTTGCACTTTAATTTTTTACAGATATTATTTGTGTAACTAAAATGTATATTTTAAATAATCTTGTCTTACCAAAGGATGCCCCATTTAAAATACATGCCTTTTGTGGTTATATGGCTTTCAAATGGGTACTACACAAAAACACTGCCATCACACCATTATAAATAGCCTCCAAAATGCCAATTTTCACTTTTAAATAAAATTCACACTTTAATCAAGGTCAAAGCAATGCTCTGTTGGGATTCTGAGAGTGTTATATTAAAGGAAAAAAATAACAACTAAATTCTTCTCACACTATTCTATCATTTAAAAAGGAAGTCTTATGGAAGTTGTACAACTGGCATTCTAAAGAGACTAGCGTTAAAAACTTAAATTCAGTCTGTCCCTTCTATTTCCACCCATAGTAGGATCTTACAACATAACAAAATTGCTAAAATAAATCACTGAACTTAAAATAAATAAATAAGTAAGTAAACAAACAAACAAGGCCAGGTGGGGTGGCTCATGCCTGTAATCCCAGCACTTTGGGAGGTAGGGCGGGTGGATCACGAAATCAGGAGTTTGAGATCAGCCTGGCCAACACAGTGAACCCTATCTCTACTAAAAATATAAAAAATTAGCTGGGCGTGGTGGCGGGCACCTGTAATCTCAGCTACTTGGGAGGCTGAGCCAGGAGAATCACTTGAACCCGGGAGGCGGAGGTTGCAGTGAGCCAAGAATGCGCCATTGCACTCCAGCCCGAGCGACAGTGCAAAGTGCAAGACTCCATCTCAAATAAACAACAACAAAAAAAATATATAAAAACATATTAATTAAGCAGCCCAAAAAATAACAAGTTTCTACTGCGAAATGGGTGGAGTATGCTTACAGAAGATACTGCTGTTAGAAACAGAGAATCACATGATAAAAATATAGGATAAAAACTCCAAGTCTATAAGTAGAGCCATCCTCCCAGATGCTCTTCTCCTGGACCATGCAGAGGAGGAAGACATGTGCTAAAGAAACTGGAGCCAAATGTCTAGACACTGACTTAGGAAGCTGCTGCGTACCACAAAAGGGCTACCACAATAAAGAGGTAAGTATAAAATCTCTCAATAACGAAGCTTTCAGAAATTCTAGTTTTCCTTTTTTTAAAAAATAACTTCCAGCCAGGTGCGGAGGCTCACGCCTGTAATCTCAGCACTTTGGGAAGCCGAGGCAGGCAGATCACAAGGTCAGGAGATCGAGACCGTCTTGGCTAACATGGTGAAACCCCATCTCTACTTAAAGCACAAAAAAAAAAAAAAAAAAAAAAAATTAGCCGGGCATGGTGGCAGGAGACTGTAGTCCCAGCTACTTGGGAGGCTGAGGCAGGAGACTGGCGTGAACCCAGGAGGTGGAGCTTGCAGTGAGCCGAGATGGCGCCACTGCACTCCAGCCTGGGCGACAGAACAAGACTCTGTCTCAAAAAAAATAAATAAAAAAAAAATAAAAAATAACTTCCTTCCAGTCACATCATTATGTAATAACAAAATCACTCTCAGTGTATACTTAAAAATAAAGACATACCTCCAGGATATCACAGGTTCAATTCCAGACCACCTCAATAAAGAAAGTCACACAAATTTTTTGGTTTCCCAGTGCATATACAAGTTCTGTTTATATGATACCATAGACTATTAAGTGTGCGGCAGCACTCTGGGAAGCTGCGGCAGGAGGATCTCTTGAGCCCAGGAATTCAAAGCCAGTCTGAGCAACATAGCAAGACCTATCATTAAAGTGATCATAAAAATATAAATTATTCACACTAATTATTCACTGGTTGATATTCTATCCATACCCAACATTCAGACTTTCTCCATATCAGCAATAAGGGTGTTTTGCTTTCTTATCATTTGTGTTCACTGAAGTAACACTTTAAATTTCCGTCAAAAATTTTTCCTTTGCATTCATACTTGTCTAATTGTTTGTCATAAGAGGTCTAGCTTTCCTCCTTCTCAGCCTCTGACATGCCTTCCTCACTAAGCTTAATCATTTCTTACTTTTGATTTAAAGTGTGAGATGTGTAACTCTTCCTTTCACTTAAATACTCACAGAACATTGTAGGATTATGAATTAGCTTAATTTCAATACTGTTGTGTCGCAGGAAGTAGGAAGGCCAAAGAGGAGGGAGAGAGACAGAGTACAGGTCAGTGGAGCAGTCAGAACACACACAGCATGTATCAACTAAACTCACTGTCTTATATGAGCACAGTTCTTAGAACCCCAAAACAATTACCATATTATCAGCAACGATCACTCATCACAGATCACTATAATCACAGATATACAATGAAAACTTCTGAAATACTTCAAGAATTACCAAACTAACACAGAGACACAGGCTCTTCAAAAAAAAAAAAAAAATGGCACAAACAGATTTGCAAGATGTAGTTGTCACAAAATTTCCATTTGTATTAAAAAAAAAACAGCCTGGACAACATGGTGCAAGCCTGTTTCTATAAAACAAACAAACAAACAAAAAATATATATAAAAAATTAGCCAGGCATGGTGGCACACACCTGTGGTCCCAGCTACTACCCAGAAGGCTGAGGTAGGAGGATCACTTGAGCCCAGGAGGCGGAGTTCACAGTGAGCGGAGACTGCGCCACTGCACTCAGGTGTGGATGACAGAGCAAGACCTTGTCTCAAAAAAACAAACAAAAACAAAAACCACAATATTAGCAAAGTGCAACAAAATGAAGTATAGGTCGGGCCACATCTGTAAGTCCACCATTTTGGGAGGCTGAGGTGGAAGGATTATTTGAGGCCAGGAGATCCAGACCAGCTTGGGTAACACACGCAGACTCTGTCTCAACAAAAAATACAAAATGTAGCCAAATGTGGTGGCACACGTCTATACTACCAGCTATGAAATTTAGAATGACTTTGCCAAATGAAGAAATGAAGGCCGGGCGCGGTGGCTCACGCCTGTAATCCCAGCACTTTGGGAGGCCGAGGCGGGTGGATCATGAGGTCAGAAGATCGAGACCATCCTGGCTAACAAGGTGAAACCCCGTCTCTACTAAAAATACAAAAAATTGGCCGGGCGCGGTGGCGGGCGCCTGTAGTCCCAGCTACTCGGGAGGCTGAGGCAGGAGAATGGCGTGAACCCGGGAAGCGGAGCTTGCAGTGAGCCGAGATTGCGCCACTGCAGTCCGCAGTCCGGCCTGGGCGACAGAGCGAGACTCCGTCTCAAAAAAAAAAAAAAAAAAAAAGAAATGAAGACTGGGACCATTCTAAACAAAAAATGGCACATCCAAAGCTACAGAGAACCTATCATGTGCACCATCTGAGTGGTTTTGGTGGCTGGCAGGACTTAAGTCGGTACTGGTAAGAAATGAAGCCAGAGATGATGGCAGGGGCCTGTTCCCAGAGCACTTTCTGGGCCATACAAAGATATGTCACTTTTAAGTAGGGCAGAAATAAAATGAGGTATGCCTGTACTTGCCAAAGTATTTTCACTCACCTAAAGTGCCCAACTTTTTCCTTATTCTAAAGCCTAACTCTGTCTGACATTTGGACTGAGACTACTTTCTTTAAAGACAGAGGGAAGGCCGGACACAGTGGCTCACACCTGTAATCCCAGCACTTTGTGAGGCTGGGCACAGTGGCTCACACCTGTAATCCCAGCACTTTGTGAGGCCGAGGCAGGTGGATCACTTGAGTTCAGGAGTTTGAGACCAGCCTGGCCAATATGGTGAAACCCCATCTCTACTAAAAACACAAAAAATTAGCCGGGCATGGTGGCGCACGCCTATAGTCCCAGCTACTCGGGAAGCTGAGGCACAAGAATTGCTTGAACCCAGGGGGCAGAGGCTGCACTGAGCCAAGATGGCACCACTGCACTCCAGCCTGGGCAACAGAACGAGATTTTTTTTCAGGGGGAGGGGGTCTCAAATAAATAAAATAAAGGCAGAGAAAATAAAAAACATACAGAAAGTAAAGCGAGAGGAAAAATTAACAGCATGAATATAAAGAAAAAATATCTCTACTTGTGGTAGCATTCCATTTCTCAAGTTAGGGATTGACTATTTTATTATTCTTTATGCTTATAATTTCCTGTATTAAATACATTTAAAAATTCACAATTTTCAAATATTTTAAACAGAAGAATAACTGAAAGATGTGCCAAAGCAAAATGGAATGCTGTTTATCCCAAAATGATGGCCTAGTCACCTCCTAGTTTTCCCGTTGCTCTCACGTGTTCCCTTCCATATTTCCTTCTCTGAAATACACATGAGCCTCAGCTACCAACACTTCAAGGAATCAATGATTCTTGACAGTCATATGTTCATGAGTTGAAAGGTTACCTATCTTAACTTTATTTAAGCCATCCTAAATTGAACTATTCATGTCTGGTTAAAAAGTAAATTAGGCTGGGTGTGGTGGCTCACACCTGTAATTCCCAGCACTTTGGGAGGCCGAGGCGGGCCAATCATCTGAGGTCAGGAGTTCGAGACCAGCCTGGCCAGCATGGCAAAACCCCATCTCTACAAAATATACAAAAATTATCTGGGTGTGGCGGCATATGCCTGTAATCCCAGCTACTCAGGAGGCTGAGGCAAGAGAATCGCTTAAACCTGGGAGGCAGAAGTTGCAGTGAGACGTGCCACTACACTCCAGCCTGGGCGATAGAGTAAGACTCTCAAAAAAAAAAAAAAAAAAAAAAAAAAGAGCATAATATAAAGTTTCTTGGCTAACTCCAGGCTTTTCCTTATTGGCACTACTCAGATATTCTCAGGGCCTCTGAAACGCACCTGAAGATCTGCTACTTCTGCACCAATGGTGCCATATTGGGACAGCGCTTTTTGCTTGCTATTGTTTTTCTGTTTTATTCCTTACAGACAGACTATTGCCTTATGTTGCCATCTGTGTACCCTTCTAATTGGCTGATTTGATCCTGTTGAGAAAACTATAAATGGTAGTTTCCCACACTGTTCATAAAGTTTTCCTTAAACCATCTATGGCACTTGAATGTTTATGAGTTCTACATCAGGTTCTTATAAAGACAGTTCTACTCCTGCTCTCTCTCTTGAGGGTTCCATTGCCATAGTACATCTGCTTCTGTTTGAGCATCTCCTTGATTCTTTCCCAAGTGATTAGCTCTACAACTGTAGCTTCCAAGTGGAACATAACAGTATGCCAGGCTTGGCCAGGCGTGGTGGCTCACGCCTGTAATCCCAACACTTTGGGAGGCCAAGGGGGAGGAGGGAGGGGGGCGCGGATCACCTGAGGTCAGGAGTTCGAGACCAGCTTGGCAAACATGGCGAAACCCCATCTCTACTAAAAATACAAAAATTGGCCGGGCATGGTGGTGGATGCCTGTAATCCCAGCTACTCAAGAGGCTGAGGCAAGATAACTGCTTGAACCAGGGAGGTGGAGGTTGTAGTGATCGCACCACTGCATGAGTGAAACTCCATCTCAAAAAAAGAAAAAAAAAAAGTATGCCAAGTATGCCAGGCTCCTTTATATGATGGTTACAACACTAACTGTTGCTTTGTATTATGGTGACAACTACCACTCTAGAATTTGGCAAGATGTTACATATCTTCATCCTCATAAAATCAGTATTAGGTAGATACAAATATCATTTCCTTTTTTGTGGGGGGGTGGGAGACAGAGTCTTTGCAACCTTCCCCCTCCACCCCCCACCCCGCCCCGGGTTTCAAGTGATTTTCATACTTCAGCCTCCTGAGTAGCTGGGACTACAGGAACCCACCATCACACTCGGCTGATTGTTGTATTTTTAGTAGAGACGGGTTTCCACCATGTTGGCCAGGCTGGTCTCAAACTCCTGACCTCAGGTGATCTACCCACCTCAGCCTCCCAAAGGGTTGGGATTACAGGCGTGAGCCACCATGCCTGGCCTCATTTCCATTTTAGAGGTAAGAAAAGGAGGTGAAACCCTGCAAGATAAGATATGTCCAATGTTACCTAGCTAAGTAAGTAACAAACCCAGAACTGGGCCCCAGATCTTTCACTATAAGTCAATGCTTTTAGTATCTACAATGCTATCCCCATTGAACTGACCTAATCTCTTAGAAATTCAAATTCCTGAGGCAAGGAAAGCATTATCCCAGTTTATCTTTTCCAGCCAGGCTACACCATCCACAAGGTTGCTGGACTATCTGTGAACTGCCTGCACCGGGGTCAGGGGGCACACCTAATCCAATCCCTCGGAGTGATACAACATACAACATAGCCAAATCCCAAAGGGCTGCCAGTGGGCATCTCTAGTCCATACCTGTACCCATGTGCCCCTAGTTCCTGACAACCAGAAGGGTTAAGAGAATGCCTGGCATAATCAGGCCCAATCCCCAAAGTTCAATGAATGGAACTGGGAAAAAGAAGTTCCGCAGTTTGAACAAAAGTTCTTTTATCCAGTTTCACAGCACCCTCTGCAAATTTCTCTTCGAGCTCTACTCAGTATTCAACATTTTGTATTCAAATGTTAGGTACCTATTGTTTACCAGCACTGTATTTAGCAAGGTATGAATCCAATAAAATTTTGTCGATCCAGTTCCCTAAACCGTCTCTTCAGAGGTTTTGGTGAAAAAAAATTCACAGTAACTGTTTGTTCCTTTAAAGGCTACCATCCCTTGTGAGGTTTGAAACGAAGGGAAAGCTATGCCTGGATCTTTCTTTTTTGTTGTTGCTGTTTTTTTGTTTTGTTTTGTTTTGTTTTGTTTTGTTTTTTTGAAATGGAGTCTCTGTGTTCAGGCTAGAGTGCTGTGGCACAATCTCAGCTCATTGCAACCTCCGCCTCCCAGGTTCGAGCAATTCTCCTGCTCAGCTTCTCAAGCAGCTGGGATTATAGACGCGCACCACCATGCCTGGCTAATTTTTCTATTTTTAGTAGAGACAGGATTTCATCATGTTGGCCAGACTGGTAACGAACTCCTGACCTCAACTGATCTGCCCACCTTGGCCTCCCAAAGAGCTGGAATTACAGGTGTGAGCCACCGCACCCAACCCTTAGTCATTTTCTAATCCTGTTTTTCTATGGCTGATGCCCAGAATCTTCTCTAATAATATGTCTTTTGGCAAATATTAGTTTTCTTTAAAAAATACAAAATAGGCCGGGAGTGGTGGCTCACACTTCTAATCCCAGCACTTTGGGAAACCGAGGCAGGTGGATCACCTGAGGTCAGGAGTTCGAGACCAGCTTGTCCAACATGGCGAAACCCTGTCTCTACTAAAAACAAAAAAAATCAGCCAGGTGTGGTGGCATGCGCCTGTAGTCCCAGCTACTCAGGAGGCTGAGGCACGAGAATCGCTTGAACCCAGGAGGCAGAGGCTGCGGTGAGCCAAACTGCGCCACTGTGCCCCAGCCTGGGTGACAGAGCGAGAACCCGTCTCAAAAAAAAAAAAAATTGAATGAAAATATTTTATTAATATTTAATATTTAATCTATCTTTACATATTTATATAACGTTTTAATATATTTTAATGTTTGTTTTATGTTACAAATTCATATAAATTTACATATTATATAAATATTTTTATGTAAATTAATATTTCATACTAATTACATGAATAAGACTATCTTGGATGTGTTAAACTAAATGCATTATAAAATTATATAAACATACAATGGAGTATTATTCAGCCACTAAAAGGAATGAAGTATGACACATGCTACAAGATGGATAAACCTTGAAAACATTATGCTAAGTAAAGTATTGTTTAACTCTGCTTATATGTGGTAGCGAGAATAAGCAAATTTCATTGACAAAAGGTAGAACAGTAGTTACCAGGGGCCAGGAAGGGAAAATGGGGAGTTGCTGTTTAATGGGTACAGAGTTTCTGTTTGAAATGAAAAATTTCTAAAAACAGTGGTCACGGTTACAAAACAATATGAATGTACTTAATGCAACTGAACTGCACACTTCAAAAATGTGGTTAAGATGGTTTTATGGGATATACATTTTACCACAATTTGAAAGTACACTAGTGGCTCACACAATATTTCTCTTGGATAACATTAGACACACAGGGTTCAGGTTCCACAATGACAGATACTGAGGATTAAGAATGGCTATAAAAGTCACCTCAAATTCTCAGTATACAGGATATAAACACTGCTAGCAAATGAGTTCATGGTTTCTTGAAGTACTTCTAATGAATACTACCCAATTTAACCCCAAAAGGAGAAAAGTGTGGGGTTAAACTGGGTTGCTAATAAATGGCTTGCTATCATCAAGCTTAAAATATGGACCTTATTTTCTCCTACTAAAGAATGGCTCTGAAGAGTACAAGAATACTTTGTGCAATCTCACAGCTGTTTCCATAAACTACTCCACAAGTGCTTTTCAACAGGCATCTTCAAAATACTCTTCACAAAAACAATCAGCTTTGTGCTAAGAGTACTTTTCTCTATAAAAGACACACAATTTTACAAAAGTAATATCATACACAGAGAAGCAAGAAAGTGGATGTTCTTTTGATTTCTAGTATTCAGTCCTCTTAATTTACCAACTTTTCTGAATCTTGGCCTTCCTAGCCTCCTAACTTAGGAGATAAATAGTTTTGACTCATATTTCTTAAGGCAAATGAAATAGTTTTGAGCCTCTGAACACAAAAGGAAAAAAATGTAACAAATTATTTCCAGTTAGTGTATAAGATTTTAAAAAAAAGTCTTTAGAAAAAAGATTCCAAATGCATCAAGCATATTTCCTAAAATTCAAATGTATAATAAAGTATAACTTAGAGGAATTACAGTGAAACAGGAGAGGAAAGAAAATACAATGGAAGTCCACTGGCTTTACAAGAACTAAGGAAATCTGATTTCAGGAAGCCAAAGGAGAGATGGCATCATAGGCATTCATGTATTTAAATATCTGAGGAAAGCCTATGAGGCTATTAACTGACACAGAAGAAAAACACTAATAGAGCTTACTATGTGCCAGGTACTGTTGTGGGGGCTTACTACTTATTAGCTCATTTAATCCACACAAACCCTCCATGGAGTAGACACTGTCATTATCAACCCTCTTTTACAGAAGAGAAAACTAAAGCAGAGAGGTTAAATAGCTTGGCCCAAGGTCATACAGCTAGCAAATGGTAAAGCTGGAAAACAAATCCAGGCACTCCAGCTCCAGAGGCAACTATACATACTGCCTCTCATAATATTTACAGCAGGTTCAGAATAATGTGTGGTGGGGTTTTAAGTCTCATAAACTAATTACAAACTAGACACTAAGAATACTTAGTGAACTCCCCTCACCCATCTACTGGACAATACTCTAGGGAATTGTCAATAACAGTAACTCACAGGTATGATAAAATTCTCAAACTGAAATAAACATGGGTCAATTTTATTAGGTTGGTGCAAAAGAAACTGCATTTTTTGCGATTACTTTTGGAATATAAAGTAAAAACAAGCTGTTAGAAACAGCAAACCAATTGCCAATCAAAGACCTTTAGTTTTACATGGTGTTCAATAAATACACTGAATGAAGTGACACAGACACAGATCTGTGGTCCATAAATCACAGTGATCACAAGTGCTGGAAACACAGGTAGAATACAGCTATCACGTTTTCACTATAAATTGTACTTAATGTTACCTTATTGAACATTTGCATATTTTTCAAAACACATTGGCTTTCCCTGATATGGTGGCCATCTGGCCCCTCAGATGTATCAACATCCTACAGCCCATCGCCTTGGTTGTTCACTCCTATAAAAGATAAGGCACACCGTTTACCATTTTAGACATACAGAAGGTCCACGCTACAATTACCTAAAAGGTCTTCCGAGATTATCACAATCTGGCAAGTTCTCTTCCCCAAACCTACAAAGCTCTATAAAGCTTTAACAATTAACAAAATCTTTGTTACATTAATTACTTTTGTTTTATTTTCATCTTTAATTAAGCTGTAAATTTTTTTTTTTTTTTTTTTTTTGAGACGGAGTCTTACTCTGTCACCCAGGCTGGAGTGCAGTGGCACCATCTCAGCTCACTGCAACCTCCACCTCCTGGGTTCAAGCAATTCTCCTGCCTCAGCCTCCCAAGTAGCTGGAATTACAGGCATGCGCCACTATGCCCAGCTAATTTTTGTGTTTTTAGTAGAGACGGGTTTTCACCATGTTGGCCAAGCTGGTCTCGAACTCCTGACCTCGTGATCTGCCCACCTCAGCCTCCCAAAATGCTGGGATGACAGGCGTGAGCCACCACGCCTGGCCTGTAATTTTTATATACAGTAATATTCATCTTTTTCATGTTCAGCTGGGTAAGTTTTGACACAGTTGTGTAACCACTACCACAACCAAAATATAGAAGAGTTCCAACACTCAAAAAATTCCCCATTGCCACACTACAACCAACTCCTCTCCCACCTCTACCTCTTGGCAACTACTGATGTGTTTCCCAGAGTCTGTATGCTTTTGAGTCTAGCTTCTTTCACTTAACATAATGCCTTTAAAGATGCATCCACTTGCTGCATGTATTAGTAGTAGTATATTTTTTAACTGATGAGTAGTATTCCATTGTTATGGATGTATCAGAGTTTGTTTATCCATTCACCAATTAGGGAAATTTGAAAAGCCCACATTTTTCTTAACTGTTAAAAAAGAAATGCTGCTACAAGCAGTTACATATAGGTTTTTTTTCTGAACCTAAGTTTCTGTTTCACTTAGGTAAATACCCAGGAGTAGGTCATATAGTGTCTGACTCTAAGAAACTGCTAAATTGTGAGATGACTGCTTGAGACCAGGAGTCTGAGGCCAGCCTGGGCAACACAGCAAGATGGTATCTCTTACAAAAAGGAAAAGCAAACAAAAGTATCAAATAAAAAGGCCCCATAGGATAGCATGGCTCAGATTATACTGCAACCCCCTGCCTAAAATAGTTCATCCCCATCCCTCCTCAGCTGATGCCTCACGTTAGCAGTAGGAGACAGCAGAGGCACAGGGCCCACTCCAACAGAGCCCACCTCCCGCTGTAAGGAGGGCTTCACGCAGCCCTGCATCACAATGCCAGCAAGAGAACCTGTGACAGCAGTCTTTCCAGGGAGACAATGTAGGCCAACGCCTCATACTCTGTTCAGCTCAGTTAGCACACAGTGAACCCAGTTATCCATCATCACCCAAACCCTCTCCTACATCCCACTTTCACCACCATGAATGCCCTCTACGTTCCACCAGCCCCAGAACACCCTCCCCCATCCATATGCACTGAAACGTTAAGATCTGCCATGTCTCCAGAAGGGCTGCTCCTTGCCCTAACAGGACTGGCTGCCCAGTGGGCACTCTTCCTCCTGTTGGAACTGAGAATGAGCCTCTGTTTCTCTACAGTCCTGTGTTCTGCATGGCCTGCATGGAGGTGGGGCCACACAGTCTCACCATCCCAATCTGAAGACTGGGAAGTTATCTTCCTAAACCTGCAAAGCTCTATCAAGCTTTAAAAGTTAAAATCTTTGCTACGTCAACCACTTTTGTTTTCATTTTTTATTATGAGTGGAGTCAGGTGGAAGAGCCTGATACTTCCAAGTAAAGGATCTACCTTAAGGCTTCTTTCGGATATCCTTTATCTTCTCATTTTTTAAGGTCTACCAAAAATAATCTGAACCTAAAAAGACACTAAAGCTAACACATATATTGCTAGCTAAGGAAAATTAGCAAAAGAAACATTAAGAAATTAAATATATTCATCTTTTAGTCTGTTGTACCACAGACACTGGAGAGATATAACGGTCCCATCACCTCACAAGAAGCATAACTCATTTTGACACAATCTTTAGAATGTAATGGGATGAGGCCTGGTGCCGTGGCTCACACCTGTAATCCCAGCACTTTGGGAGGCTATGGCAGGCAGACCATCTGAGGTCAGGAGTTCTAGACCAGCCTGGTTAACATGGTGAAATCCCATCTCTACCAAAAAATACAAAAATTAGCCAGGTGTGGTGGAGGGTGCCTGTAATCTCAGCTACCTGGGAGGCTGAGGCAGGAGAATCGCTTGAACCCAGGCGGCGTAAGTTGCAGTGAGCCGAGATCGCGCCACTGCACTCCAGCCTGGGTGACAGAGAGAGACTCCATCTCAAAAAAGAATACAAAACAAACAATACATAGATCTAAAATATTTCCAAAATAAAAATCATTCCTTCCAGTCACAAGCATATGAAGTGCCCATCAAAAATTAAATATAATAAATATTTAACAGAGAAATTCTTTATGCTTCAACTTAATTCAAATGTACAAATTAATTTTTAAAACACAGTATTAGCAATAATTGGCCGGGCATCACCATGTACAGATACAATACATGGCGTGCATCTGTAGGCCCCGCTACTCAGGAGGGTGAGACAGGAGAATTGCTTCAACTCGGGAGGCAGAGGCTACAGTGAGCCAAGATCACGCCACTGCACTCCAGACTGGGCAAGAGACAGCGAGACTCCATCTCAAAAAAAAAAAAAAAAAAAAAAAAGTATATATATACATATTTAGAACACTATGTGCACATAGAAAACTTGTGTGACTTGTATAGTTATACATCTGACATCATGGCTGGGATATACTAATATTTCAACACAAACACAAATGTGACTATAAAACAAAACTGATTTTCTGCCACGACTTATGGAAACAGAAGAATAGCCACAGGAGGAATGTATTGTAATATTTTCATTTGTACTGTAACCATTTTCAAGGCCAAAATACAACTAATGGAAATTAATGCACATCTAAGCTTCATGTCAGTATAAAATTAAAAATGACCTGAGTACAACCTACAGAATGGGAGAAAATTTTTGCAATCTACCCATCTGACAAAGGGCTAATATCCAGAATCTACAAAGAACTTAAACAAATATACAAGAAAAAAATCAAACAACCACATCAAAAAGTGGGCAACGGATATGAACAGACACTTCTCAAAAGAAGACATTTATGCAGCTAGCAGACACATGAAAAAATGCTCATCATCACTAGTCATCAAAAAAATGCAAATCAAAACCACAACGAGATACCATCTCACACCAGTTAGAATGGCGATCATTAAAATATCAAGAAACAACAGGTGCTGGAGAGGATGTGGAGAAAACAGGAACACTTTTACACTGTTGGTGGGACTGTAAACTAGTTCAACCGTCGTGGAAGACAGTGTGGCGATTCCTCAAGGATCTAGAACTAGAAATACCATTTGACCCAGCAATCCCATTACTGGGTATATACCCAAAGGATTATAAATCATGCCACTATAAAGACACATGCACATGTATGTTTATTGCGGCATTATTCACAATAGCAAAGACTGGGAACCAACCCAAATGTCCATCAATGATAGACTGGATTAAGAAAATGTGCCACTTGGCTGGGCGCAGTGGCTCACGCCTGTAATCCCAGCACTTTGGGAGGCCGAGGCAGGCGGATCATGAGGTCAGGAGATCAAGACCATCCTGGCTAACACGTGAAACCCCGTCTCTACTAAAAATACAAAAAAAAAAAAAAAAAGCCGCGGCTCCGGGTCCGAGCCCACAGCCCACCGCTGGCAGCTGGGCGCTGCCGAGGCCAGGGGCACGCACGATTGGCACCTGCCAGTGCCAAGACTGTGCCGCCCCCACAACCAAGGCGCCAAAGGGGGTCGCCGGGCCTCTGGGCCGCTGCCCTCGCTTTGTCTTCGTTGTTGCAAGCACCGTCCACTCAGGAGGCGCCCCGCAACCGGTGTGACGAGTGCCAACGAGGACCAGGAGATGGAACTAGAAGCATTACGCTCTATTTATGAAGGAGATGAAAGTTTCCGGGAATTAAGTTCAGTTTCTTTTCAATATAGGATAGGTGAAAATGGTGATCCCAAAGCCTTCTTAATAGAGATTTCCTGGACAGAAACATATCCCCAAACACCTCCAATTCTATCTATGAACGCTTTTTTTTTAACAACACCGTATCATCAGCTGTAAAGCAGAGTATATTAGCCAAGTTACAGGAAGCAGTAGAAGCTAATCTTGGAACCGCTATGACCTGTACATTGTTTGAATATGCCAAAGACAATAAGAGCAGTTCATGGAGAATCACAATCCCATTAATTCCACAACATCGATAAGCAATATCATCTCAATTGAAACTCCTAATACAGCCCCATCAAGTAAGAAAAAAGACAAAAAAGAATAACTTTCAAAAGCCCAGAAGCGTAAGCTGGCAGACAAAACAGATCACAAAGGAGAACTTCCTCGAGGCTGGAACTGGGTTGATGTTGTGAAGCATTTAAGCAAAACTGGCTCTAAGGATGATGAGTAGCACTTGGAATTTGAGACAAGGAAAGAGCATTCTTTAAAAAGTAAAACTGGGTTCAAAATCTTTCATTACCATTTTCTGGTATTGAGGTGGCTTTTTATAAAATAATTTTTGTATGTTTCTTACATTAAAAAGGTTGTAAGTTGAAAGTTCATGAAGAGATCCAGTTGTATTAAATTATTTTCACAAACTTGCCTTAATAAAAGGTGAAAATGTTACAGTTTAGTATACTTTATGAAGCCTCTTGAGCTTTGTAAATGGACAGGCATGTGGAATAAGAATCAGTGTTAATTTATATGATCTTATCCTGGTGGATGTGCTGTCTTTTAAAGGAGTATGAAGCCCTTTTCAAACTATCATCCTGGTGGAGCCAAGTACTCAGTGAACAGTTACTCCATAGTGCAATCCATATTAATAGGCTTCTTATCTTAAATAAAGTCTTCATCTCTTCTTTTGCTTAATTACTGAACCGTAAATTGCTTCAGAGAAATTTAAATGCTGGTATTTGAACTTTATACATGATACTTTTTCTAGTTTCTTTTAATTTTTGAAAGGTGAACTGCTTCCCTTTAATAAATTAATATCTATTTATATTTTTCTCTTGATTTGGGTCAAGATGTGTGATCATGAGTGCTTTGAGTGATAGGTGGAACAGGAGAATATAAAAACAAATCTGCTAAATACACTAGAAAGCATTTTAGTAAGAAATGCTGGCCCTTCCTTAAAACATTTCTCTTGCATATACCAGGATGGGAGTAAAAGATGCCTTAACATTTAATTTCTGTATTGTTGAAGACACTGATTTTAATGAAATCCTACTTTTCTGAAGAAAAAAAAAAAATTAGCCAGGCATGGTGGCGGGCGCCTGTAGTCCCAGCTACTTGGGAGGCTGAGGCAGGAGAATGGCATGAACCCAGGAGGCGGAGCTTGCAGCAAGCCTAGTTTGCGCCGCTGCACTCCAGCCTGGGCGACAGAACAAGACTCCGTCTCAAAAAAAAAGGTGGGGGGGAGAAAATGTGGCACATATACACCATGGAATACTATGCAGCCATAAAAAAGGATGAGTTCATGTCCCTTGTAGGGACATGGATGAAGCTGGAAACCACCATTCTGAGCAAACTATTGCAAGGACAGAAAACCAAACACCGCATGTTCTCACTCATAGGTGGGAATTGAACAATGAGAACACTTGGACACAGGGCGGGGAACATCACACACCAGGGCCTGTCGTGGGGTGGGAGCTGGGGGAGGGACAGCATTAGGAGAAACACCTAATGTAAATGATGAGTTAATGGGTGCAGCAAACCAACATGGCACATACATACATATGTAACAAACCTGCACGTTGTGCACATGTACCCTAGAACTTAAAGTATAATTAAAAAAAAAATGACCTGAGTAAAAAGTAATTAACATTTAATTAGGGGTGGCATTAAATCCACAAGATTTATGGAAATAAAAGGGAAGAGCTCTTAATTTTCATATTCTTATATGAAAATTAATTCATATTACTAAAAGAAAATTAAGGAGGTTATGGCTGATGTCCATCCTGGCAGCATTATACACTGAAAAAAAACCCAGAAAACTGGGATTTGAATCTTGACTCTTTAGTATCTCTGATCCCTTAAATCAAGTCTCATCTTTCGTAAACCTGTTTCTTCATCTATAAAATGATGTCAAAGTAATAACTCAATTCGTACAGTTTAATGGTTACATAGTAAAAAAACAAAACACACGAATATGTGGCAGAGGGTCAAACTATGTGAAAAGCTAGTGAAAACGTTTGGAAGAAATTTTCACCAAGTGATAAAGAGCAGTTACAACCTGTTCACTGTTTTGGATCTTTTGTTAACAGCTGAAAAAAACAGAAATATTTTGAGAAAATCGGTAGAGTTGACTTCAAAAGTTTTCATTACGACCTGAAAACATGAAATTTGCAATGGTATACTTTGCTGTACTACAAACCCAAGAAAACATCCATCTCAAAATCACAAGTGAGGACAATGTTAACTTGTTTATTTGATCTCAATGGCACTGCTAATGTAGCACAAGACCAAGAGTCAATTGGACCCATTGTTCAAGACTGCTGAATGTTAACAAGGAGTTAACTGTGGCTTAGAAACTAGTTTCATCATCCTATTTTGGCTCACAGTCCATGAGTCAAAAACAATAAACCAAAAGCTCTAACAACCCAGATTGCCTATCCAGGTTATTCACCAAACTCGGCACTTAATGACTTTTAGCTGGTTCCAAAAATTGATTCTAACATCAAAGGATAAAGATTTATGACCAATGAACATATTCAAATCCTAAAGAAGACCTTGGGGTACAATGGCAGCATTGTTGGGGTAAGTACACTACACACCATTTGGAAGCCAGATTCATTTCAATTTGAAACTAGTAACTGTATTTATAAATAAGTCTCAGACCATAAACCACAGAAAGTGCACAGCAGTGCCACCTTAAATCCTTTTTGGAACAAGGCAGGCTATGCATGTATGCATACTAAAGTAAACAGAGTTGTCTTGCCCAAAGACTTGCCCTGATTTTGTCTTAACTGTTCATTTCCCATTAGACAGTATCCCGAGCCTTACTTAGATGACTCAAAGAAAAACTGATAAACTGAAAAACAAAATATTTGGTCCACCTTTCCGTTTTAGTATCATGACTACAGGAATCTTGAAACAGATGATATATAGACAATCCACTGTGAAAACCGCAGGGCTGCCCTGGCCCCGGGCTACAATCACTGATTGATACATGCTGCCTACAGATGCCCTCAGACTAGGGACACCCTCTTCACTAAAAGAAAGACTAAAAGCCTTCTTAGCCTAAATAGAAGTCAAAAAGCATACAGCTTTAAAACCAAACTATTACACAGCTAAATATCCTGACCTAACAAAGATAAAAACTATCCTCTAGTCTAAACTTTAGAAGCATCTAGAACCACAGCAATAAATATTATTCAAAATACTTTAGGTCAAGTTCATATTTTCATAGGTTTCCATGTTTTCTGGGATTTCTAAAATCTTGGAGACAACAGAGGATGATTATTTAACAAAAATCCTGTTGCCAGCCAGGCGCTGTGGCTCATGCCTGTAATCCCAGCACTTTGGGAGACTGAGGCAGGCAGATCACCTGAAGTCAAGAGTTCAAGGCCAGCCTGACCCACATAGTGAAACCCTATCTCCACTAAAAACACAAAATTAGCCGGGTATTTTTACAGGTGGTGGGCACCTGTAATCCCAGCTACTGGGGAGGCTGAGGCAGGAGAATCTCTTGAACCCAAGAGGCAGAGGTTGCAGTGAGCCGAGACTGTGCCACACAGTCTCGCACAATAGAGCGAGACTCTGTCACAAAAAAAATTTTCTGCTGCCTACTAGTTTATTATAACAGTATACAAAAGACCAAGGAAATTGTAGAGAAATAACTTTATTTAAATGCATCTGACAGATAAATCTATGTTCGCTTCTTCATTCCTGTGTTACTTTAATTCTTCTGTGTAATTTTGGGGAGAGTCAGTGTTGAATTACCCAACAGGAAAAAAATGAAGCACACTGTTGGAGAGGAAAACACTCTTTCCCTACCCTCTTAGATTCAGTGGCTGGGGTCCCTGAATTTAACAGATAAAAGATTAACAGGAGGGGGAAAAAAAGCAGTTTACCTATGCATGCAATGTGCATACACAAAGGAGAACTCAGTGTTAACTCAAAAGGGTGATTAAAATTTGGGTTTACACACCATCTTAACAAAGGGTGATAAAGTACGGGGAAAAGGCTAGACTGAGGAAAACAAGTTCTGGACTTTGAGGGAGGTACAAATCATGGGAAGATAACTAGAAATGTATAATAAATAGGGGTTCTTTAGTACGGAACACTTTCAGAAATGTAAATGGATAGCCTGCTTTTAGACAGAAAGGTGGAGGGCAGGAAACTAAATGCCTTCAGCTTAAAACAACACCTACACTAAAAGTGGGATATTTTGGGGTGGCATGCTCTGGTCCCCTTCTACATGCTTAGAAAACCAACAAAAATGAGGTACCAAAAGAAGTAAGAGGATTTTTTTTTAAGGCATCTGATGTAGTTTTTGAAGCCATGAGTAACAATGAGAATTTTTGCTGGTATTCTATTAGTTTGCATTTCAGTATTGTCATTTTCCATTTTGCTAGGAAGAGAAAAGACACACCATAATCTTTTCAGTGCACTGGGCTTCTAAGAAACTTAATCAGAACCTGACGGATCATCTCTGAATACCATAGTTTCAGAATATTAACAAAAGTCATAATAACTGTGAATTATTTTTGCAAAGTACGTATCACTAGAACCAAGATGTTTAAGTAGAAATTTTGAAACCTAAGAGACCACATCACTGTCATCTTCTTGGTCAATACTTGAACCAGGCAAAAAAAAAACCAACACTTCCTTTGAAATCTCATGAAGGAAAGCAGTGAGGAGTCTTCTACCCTTGAAGCAGCAGGATGTACTCCACCTGAACAAAGAAAAAACAGTCATGAAGAAAAAACATGTTGGCTAACTGCTATCCTCTCGTTGGCAAGATGCCACCTTCAGTTGGAAAAGCATTTAACCGAAACACTCATTTACAAATATCTTTATCTGCAATCCATTTTAATGCTGTATACATCTCTAACTTAAGTGGAGAATAACTTTTAAAAAGAAAATGTCATAAATTTCTCAGAATTAAAAGTAAAACACTATTACAAGAACATTTTTGTAGAAGAAAACAATACAAAGGAGGAGACATGGCTAAATATGGGGGAAAAATGTTTAAACACAAACTTACAACTTGATTATAGATATGGAGACTCACACTTATGGAAAGCTGTCAAGTTATCCACAGAACTCTAGTTCTGAATAGAGAATACAATCCTTTTCCTCTTATTTTATAACTCTGGTGAAGAAAGAGACCGAATAGCAGGCAGGTGCAGCTAAACATGTCCTGGAAACACAAAGGCAGCTCAAAAGGAAGATTTAATTTAAGGGTCAGATTTTTTAACATACAAGAACTAATGAACTACCTTGAAGGGAGACTTAATTATGACTTTTCCCAATACTGGGTGGGAGGGGAGGTAATCAAAGTAATTAATTTTTAGTGCTATTTTGGTACTCCTACTACTGAAAAATTTAGAAGTACAAATGCCATTCCATCTGCTGTGGTGGATACAAAGAGGCTTTTCTTCAAGCAAGAAAGCTTTATTATTAAAAAAGAAGAAGAAAAATTCTATGACGTTTTTAAAAGGATAAACATACGATAACCCAAAAAGAAGTATAGAGAACCAATGTGTAATAAGTAAGTGTTTTGCTCTAGAACTTAGTCTGTTAAGCTGGTGAACAGAATCACTGACCAGCAGGAGAGAAAAGCCGGCTTGCACCCTCACAGCCCTTGCTGGCAGTGCCATCCATTTGTCATCTGACATGTGCTCTCTCTTATTTTTTCCAAACATTATTAAACTCTCACCTTTAAAAACACTTCTGGAGAAAAATTAACAAAGATATACCTCTACAAAATCCTGACTACAATGCCCCACAGCTGTTAAAAAATATTAGTAAATATGACTTCCTACAGAATCCAGGTAAGTTTATGTTAAAAGTGTATAAGTGGTAAGACTGTGGGTGGGGTTTTTTCCCCCTTATTTCCACATTTTTGAATTTCCTAAGTTTAACTTTAAGTATATATTTTATAATCAGAAATAACATACGCTTTATCTTTTATAATCATCATAGTAACTTAACAGTGAAGTGGGATATACAATGGTGATGAACAGTATGAGCTTTGGTACATTACTTGGACTCAAAAGATAGCTCCTGAAATTCAAATTACTTTCTATCTCTAATTCTGGATTCCATCATGTATCTCCTAAGATTGTGGTGAGGTTAACACAAAATAACATATGCGAAAGTATTTTTGCAAAGTGCTTGGCAAAATGGGAGAACTTAGTAATATTAACTGATAGCTTTACTACTATAGTTATGGGTTCGTCACCCAAATATACCCCAAAATTAGCAGTTTAGTGTTAGAGTTTTTGCTGCTCTACCTGGAGGTCCTAACAGTTTACATTGTTTTCATGGAAAAGTTTGCACTAAGGGGAATTTCAAAAACATGCTGGAAACAAACTCTGACCTTATTTTGCCAACAACCAACTGTAAAACAGACTGAGTTGGCACCTGAATATTTCTTCTGCTCTCCCTTCTCTTATGCTACCTCCCAAGCATTGAAAAGATTATGTTCTCTGAGCACTCTAGAAAACCCATTCTTGAGCAGGCTGGATGTGTTTATGTGCAAAAATGTTCAGGCAGTTGTTATTTATAAAAATTGGAAAGCCCTGTATATTAGAACTCTTATTTAGGGCAACCAACAGAGGGAGGGGATTTCCTTAAAGAATGATGGGCATGTACTCATTTTCATATAATTGTATGGACTTTAATATAACCTTCATTCTCATGACTACCAAGAAACTATAATCCAAAATTCTTATGGTAGTACTACTTTTCCAATTGGCAAGACCACTTCTGCAGTTCCTAAAGCACCCGACACCTAAAGCTTTAATGTATCACAAGGTGGAAAGTGGTTTCTGCTTATTCAACTAAAGATTCTTTTCCTACAGAGAGCTATGAGACTATTTTACCATTTTGTCTAATTCAATCTACATAGTAGCTTATTAAGAGGATATTGTCAGCCACAGTATCACAGTTTCATAATTAACATAAGTACTTAGATTACTTAAAACTCCACGAAAACTAAACAGGATTTCTCTCTCTGTAATCTTTCATCCTGGTTGGAGCCGTCATCATTTCTGGCCCCTACTAGGTCTCCTACCCCTCATACTTTCCTAATCCTCAACCCACACCACTGCAGAATCCTGCTTAGGGCCCTTCAGTGCTGCTTCATTTCCTATGGCCCCAGTCCTTTGCTTCGATGTGCTTGTGATCACTCCCCTATAAAAATACAGTGGGAGTTATGGACCATAATGTCTCCAAAAAAAGTGCACACAAACTTTGCATACACTCACAAGAATACTATTTACTTAATGCTCTTAAAATTCCAAACATAAGCAACAAAACTCAATCTTTAATTTCAAAAAGGAATTAAAAACTTCTTCAGGCAAGTCTATAAATATTTGCTGAAGGTTACAAGAAAAAAAAAAAAGCTCATTTTACCTAAAAGAAAAAAAATACATTAAAAGTACAGACAATATGTCCATTTTTCTTTAAGGAATCTACAAACTTCAGAATGATAAACTTTCCCAGTCACTAAACATTTCATTTTATGGGAGCCTTCATCATTAAAGTATCCTAGGATAGTTATTCAGCTAAAGGCCTTGAAAATTCAATTCATCAGCATTTTGTGTATATTTTAGCATATACATGTGTATCTACACATACACATGAGTATCTGCATTAAGGCTCTATCCTTAATTAGCCATTCAGAAAGCCAGAACTGCAAAAACATGCCAGAAACCAGAACCCCATCTTTTACAAAAACACCAATCTGTGGCAAACCACCAAAAATACCTAGTGAACAACTATCATGAAAGCATGCTGACCCAGAGTGGCCAAATAGTCACATTTTTTTTCAGACTATGGAAACCATAGAGACTTTCATGTAAAATATCTCCAATTTTAAAGCACTGTCAACCACATGATCACATCTACAGAAGTGATCCAGCCCACATCCACCAGTTTGCCTCCTGTGACATTATAGATCTTACTTATCCATTCTGCAGACAGATACTGGTGCCAACCCTGGGCCACACACTCTGTTACACAAGCATAAACAAGAAGTCTCAGTTTATGTCCCTGAGGGGCTCATAAGCCAGTAGAGGAGAAAAAAATCACACAGACATAATGCCATAAGCACTGTGGTCTGCACAATGACAGAGGTAGGCAAAGGAACTCCTCACGCATGGGGGAGAAGGAGTCAGGGAAATCCTCCCTCTGGGGGTGAGATCTGATATGAGTCCTAGTAGGTCTAAGCCAAACAGAAAGGAAAACACAGAGGCGCCAGGCTGCAGCAGAGAAAACATGGAACACAAAGGTGTAAGGCTAGGGAGATGAGCCTGGGAGGAATACTGCTGAGTCTAAGACCCCATGAGGTACTGGAAAGGGGAACAGCTGAACCAACTGAAGTTCAGGGAACAGGGAGAGACTGAAGACAAACATAGGTAGCAGATAAAACCATAATAATGGATCACACATCAGTGCACAGAACGCAGCAAGGCTAGTAAATGCATTCAGAATTGTAATATTTTAGTAAAATGTTCTCTTTACTAAAGAAATATTAAATGTAAAAAATATGAAAAAATAGGCTGGGCGTGGTGGCTCACCTGAGCTCAGGAGTTCAAGACCAGCCTGGGCAACATGGCAAAACTCCATGTCTACCAAAAATATAAAACTTTAGCAGGGCATGGTGGCACACTCCTGTAGTTCCAGCTACTCGAGAGACTAAGGAGAGAGGATTGTTTGAGCCTAGGAGGCAGAGGTTGTAGAAGCCGAGATCGCGCCACTGCACTCCAGCCCGGGTTAACATAGTGAGACCTTGTCTCAAAATAAATAAATAAATAAATAAATAAAATGAAAGTCACATACAAAGAAGAAAATTTTGGATCACCCATAATCCTACACTACTGCTATATATTTATTTTCCATCTAGAACTCTCCAATGACATTCTTTTCCCCAATCTTTATTCTACTTATTTTTCCTTTGATCCTAGTTTTTGGCATATCTATTATAAGTCTACTCAAACTTTTTGTGGAATGAAATGGAGCATTAAAAAACTAAGTTATGTCTCAATTTTAAAAGCCAAATCCACCCTTCCACAAATACACAATATTAACGTCAATTGCTTCAGACTTTTTACACCCTTTCCATCAGACAACCCACAATCTAGGAGGGGCTCGGTTGTGCACATAGTACAACCGTCCTTAACCGCTTAGTTGACTAAAAACTGTAATAAAAGTAAAGAGCTGTTTTGGGCATCAAAGGACATTACCAAAAAAGTGAAAAGGCAACCTACAGAATGAAAAAAAATATCTGCACATCATATATCTGATAAGGGTCAAGAGTATGTAAAGAACTCTTACAACCCACCAACAAAAAAATAAATAACCCAATTAAATAATAAGCAAATAATTTCTTTCTTATTTTTTTTTTGAGACGGAGTTTCACTCGTCTCCCAGGCTGGAGTACAATGGCGCGATCTGGACTTACTGCAACTTCCACCTCCTGGGTTTAAGCAATTCTCCTGCCTCAGCCTTCTGAGTAACTGGGACTAGTGGCACCTGCCACCACGCCTAGCTAACTTTTTGTATTTTTAGTAGAGACAGGTTTCACCATGTTGGCTGGGCTGATCTTGAACTCCTGACCTCAGGTGATCTGCCTGCCTAGGCCTCCCAAAGTGCTGGGATTACAGGCCTGAGCCACTCCACCTGGCCAACAAGCAAAGGATTTCAAGTCATTTCTCTAAAGATATAAAAATGGCCAAAAACACATGAAAAGATGCTTAACATCAGTCATTAGGAGAATGCAAATAAAAACCATGAAATACCACCTCACACCCATCAGGACATCTACAAACAGAAATACAGACAATAAGTGTAGGCAAGGATGTAGAAAACTGGAACCCTTGTACGTTGCTGGTGATTATGTAAAATAGCTCAGATGGTCATCATGTAAAATAGTTCTGACACTGTGAAAAAGTGTGGTGGTTCCTCAAAAACTAAAGCACAAAAATTAATCTATGACCCAGCAATTATATTCCTAGGTTTATATTCAAAAGAAAGAAAACAAGAACTCAAATCTTTGTGCAGGAATGTTGGTATAGTTCTATTCATAACTAAAAGGAAGAAACAATCCAAATGCCATCAATGGGTGAGTAAACAAATTGTGGTACATATATACAATGTAATATTATTCAGTCATAAAAGCAAGTGAACTTTGACAAATGCTACAACATGGATGGACACTGAGGACAAAAATAAATAAAAATTAAAAATAAAATGTACATGAACAAATAATTTCAAGATGAAGTACTGATATATGCTACAAAGTAGATGAAACTTGGCTGGGTGCAGTGGCTCACGCCTGTAATCCCAGAACTTTGGGAGGCCAAGGTGGGGGGATCACAAGGTCAGGAGTTCGAGACCAGCCTGGACAATATAGTGAAACTACGTCTCTACTAAAAATACAAAAATTAGCCAGGCATGGTGGTGCACGCCTGTAGTCCCAGCTACTTGGGAGGCTGAGACTGGAGAATCGTTTGAACCCAGGAGGCGGAGCTTGCGGTGAGCCGAGATCATGCCACTGCACTCTAACCTAAGCAACAGAGTGAGACTCCGTCAAAAAAAAAAAAAAAAACAAGCGGGGGTAGATGAACCTTGAAAACATTATACTATGTAAACAAAGTCAGACACAAATGGTCATTAAATATGTTAAATTTCCAGAATAGGTAAATTTAATCTCAGCCCTGCACCTCAGATGCAATTTTAATGGAGCGCCTGCTGGCTGCAGATAAAATCGTATGTATCAACAAATATAATAAAACCCAAACATTCCTGAATCCATAAGTCACTTAATTCTTTTCATCTTTTTGGAAGCCAGTAAATCAACTATTTTCAATGTGCTAAGCAAAAGGAAAGAATCAAGCATGCATCCTGACTTTCCCTCACAAACTCAACCTGAAGTATACAAACAGTTGATATGGGAATATTTATCTTTTCTGTAGAAATGAGGTCTCACTATGTTCCCCACTCTAGGCTCAAATTCCTGGCCTCAAGTGATCCTCCCACCTT
This sequence comes from Homo sapiens, assembly GCF_000001405.40. Taxonomy (NCBI): domain Eukaryota; kingdom Metazoa; phylum Chordata; class Mammalia; order Primates; family Hominidae; genus Homo; species Homo sapiens. The sequence continues at coordinate 105,312,889 of NC_000007.14, forward strand.
GGCCTCCCCCAAGTGCTGGGATGACAGGCATGAGATACCACACCAGGCAAGAAAGTTTCTCTTTACAAAATATTCCAGAAATGAATAAATAAATAAGGAATAATAAAATTACACTATCACCATTTGAAACTACTAATGAATTAATGAATGTAGGCAATGGTCAGTGGGCAATAACATCACAAAAGACAAGACAATCAGGCATTATATGCATGTAAGGGGAAAAAAAAGTTAGGACTTACTTTTGTCAAAAGGTAATGATTTTTTTTTTTTTAAATTACCAGGTGCAGTGGCTCAAGCCTGTAATCCCAGCACTTTGGAAGGCCAACATGGGCGGATTGCCTGAGCTCAGGAATTTGAGGCCAGCCAGCGTAACATGGTAAAACCCCATCTCTACCAAAATACAAAAAAATTAGCAGGGTGTGGTGATGCGCACCTGTAATCCCAGCTACTCGGGCAGCTGAGGCAGGAGAATCGCTTGAACCCGGAAGGCAGAGGTTGCAGTGAGCCAAGATCACACCACTGCACTCCCGCCTGGGCAACAGAGTGAGACTCCATCTCAAAAAAAAAAAAAAAAAAATTGGCCAGGCACAGTGGCTCACACCTGTAATCCCAGCACTTTGGGAGGCCGAGGTGGGTGGAATGCCTGAGCTCAGGAGTTTGAAACCAGCCTGGGTAACACAGTGAAACCCCATCTCTACTAAAATACAAAAAAATTAGCCAGGTGTGGCGTCGTGGACCTGTAATCCCAGCTACTTGGGAGGCTGAGGGAGGAGAATCCCTTGAACCAGGGAGGCGGAGGTTGCAGTCAGCAAAGATTGCACCACTGCACTCCAGCCTGGACAACAGAGCGAGACTCTGTCTCAAAAAAAAGCAAGAGACATCATGAACTGTTGGAGGGGCAGCAAGGTACATTGTCAGTGGGTGTATATATCTTGAACTCCTTTTCTTATTTAAAAAGAAAAAGAAAAAACATTCAAATAGAAAAACAAGCAAAGTAAAAGAACTGGCAGTATACAAATGAAAAAACAACTAATTAATATAAAAGGGCAAAGTCGCACCTCATTTATATCCAAAAAAATGTAAATTAAAATGACATCTATTTGTTTTAACTGCATTATCCAGGGCTCACAAAAATTCAATAACATGTATTATGAACATATGAACTGGCAAAACCAGTTGGGCGTGGTGGTTCACACACTTTGGGAGGCGAGGCTGGCCGGTAATTTGAGGCCAGGAGCTAGAGACCAGCCTGGCCAACATGGTGAAACCCCGTCTCTACTAAAAATATGAAAAATTAACCGGGGGTCATAGCACATGCCTGTAATCCAAGCTACTTGGGAGGTTGAGATATGAAAATCACTTGAACCCAGGAGGCAGAGGTTACACTGAGCTGAGATCGCACCACTGCACTCCAGCCTGGACGACAGAGTAAGACCCTGTCTTGAAAAATAAACTGGCAAATCCTTCCCAAAGATTACCTGGGCAACATGTTTCAAAACACATTTTTTATTTTTTCAAGACAGAGTCTTGCTCTGTCACCCAGGCTGGAGTGCAGTGGCAGAATCTCAGCTCACTGCAACCTCTGCCTCCCAGGTTCAAGCAATTCTGCCTCAGCCTCCTGAGTAGCTGGGACTACAGGTGTGCACCATCACGCCCGGCCAATTTTTGTATTTTTGGTAGAGACAGGGTTTCACCATGTTGGCCAGGCTGGTCTCAAACTCCTGACCTCAGGCGATCTGCCCGCCTTAGCCTCCCAAAGTGCTGGGATTGCAGGCGTTAGCCACCATGCCCGGCCCAAAACATATTTTGTAAATGCCGGCTGACATAGTAATTGGAAATCTAGAAGTTAATGTTCTAGAAAATGAATGCTCATAGGTGTATAGCACATTACATATAACAAAAGAAAAACCTGTAAACATAAATGTCGAATAATGAGAAATTCATTAAGTAAATTGCTCAAATGTAGTGAAATCTCATTAATCATTCTTACAAAGTATATGTAGGAGAACAGGAAATATGCTTAGAATATATTCTTAAGCATTTAAAAACTCACAATAAAATGGTATGGTGGGTATCTCAATTTTTCTAATAAAGAAACAATTTATGAGCTGGGTGCAGTGGCTCCTGCCTGGAATCCCAGCACTCTGGGAGGCTGAGGCAGGAAGATCACTTGAGCACAGGAGTTCGAGACCAGCCTGCACACCATAGGGGATCCCACCTCTATTTTTAAAAAATAGAAAACTTATAAAGGAGCCTAGAATGATTCACACCAAAATATTATCAAAGCCCTAGCCACTGAAAGTCAAGTATTTTTTCCATTTTATACTCTTCTGGAAATTTTTATTTTACTGCAAAAGACCTGAATTAATCTAACAACTGGGAAAATAAAATATCACACACATGCCACTAGCTAAACTGACTATAAGAATTTTAATAATACTAACTCTATTAAAAACTAGTTTGAGATGCTGGGCAATTCATTTAAGCTCTCTGGACCTGTTTCTTAACAGAAAAAAATCAGAAGCTGAACTAGATAAGTGGTTTTCAAACTGTGAAATCATACATGTAAAGTGCTTAATACAAGACCTGGCACAGAGTGAACACTAATGCACACTAACGCTGTGTATTACTACTAACCAAGGACTTGCTGCCAGGCAAACATGAGAATTCTGGGCCCATGACTCTCATTTCAACCTTTCAACCACTTGGCTTTTATGCTTCAAATATTGGACTCTGGATACAATTTCAATTAAAGAAAAGGTTCCACTGTTTTAAAACAACTTGACTAGATAATCCCTAAAGTCACTTATAACATAATATCAAGCTAAATATTACACACGTGTGTTCTCATTCCTTTGGCAAGTCCAGATATACCCCCAACGAACAAATATTCATGGTGAACAAACAATAAAAATCTGGATAAGTTGTATTTGACATGATTCTAATATAATGCATAATAAATTTTTGTTAATTCTGAGATTCTATGATGGTTTTCCTCCTAACCCTCTTTCAAAGTATAGGTATTGGTCATTAAAAATTTTCTGTAGTTACTACCTGTTTAGTATTATGAAACTCCCAGCCTTTTTATAGAAAGCAAAAAGGTGTACACTAAACGAAAAGACATCTTTAGGTAATTTTTTTTTTTTTTTTTTTGAGACTGAGTTTCGCTCTTGTCACCCAGCCTGGAGTGCAATGGCGCGATCTCGGCTCACTGCAACCTCCGCCTCCTGGGTTCAAGTGATTCTCCTGCCTCAGCCTCCCAAGTAGCTGGGATTACGGGCACCCGCCATGATGCCCAGATAATTTTTGTATTTTTAGTAGAGACTCAGCCTCCCAAAATGCTGGGATTACAGGCGAGAGCCACCGTGCCTGGCCATCTTGAGGTAATCTTAAAACTGTGCCTTTTAACTTGAAGAAAATACCTCTCAAATTACTGTGCATTAAGGCCTAGGAAATAGCATTAACTTCGGTAGTATATTCACCACTCAATCAAGACACTCTCAAGGCCGCTTATAAAGCCTGGTATCTACTCACTTACACTACTTTACCTCCAAGCTAAGTAAGCACTTCAACAGCAAACTAGCACTAACAATTCTAAAAACCAGGGAGCCCACCAGATAAACTACATTCCTGACTTGTAACTCTGACAATATTTTTTCCATGACTTTAATTTTACAAATTAGATCAAAGATAAACAGTTTATCTGCTGTTTCCATGACCATCTTTCTAATGAGGAATTCCTACTGTTCTAATTAGAAAAGGTTAATGATAAGGTTAAAGATAAGAAACTAATGCAAGGACACAAGAGATACAAGGATAGGACAAAGTTACTCTGACCTTTGGATTAGCCTCTTCTCACTCCAGGATCAGTTACATCCATGTGGAGGCAAGCATGGCCTAGGGAAGACTAGTTCCCGCCCACTGGCCATACTTACTAGGTTCTATGACCTTAGGCAAGCTATTCTAACCCTCAAGACCTGTTTATCTCATTTGCAAAAAGGGGACAACAATATCTAGTGTACATGACAGTTATGAGGCTTAAGTGAGACTGAATAGGAATGTCATAAACATCTGTTCCCTCTCCCACTCCTTTATACCTGAAAATCAGACTCTCATTTGATTCTCTTTTTTCCTGAGGGGAAGAAGAGCAGCCAAAGCAACTCCCAGTGTTAATGTTTATACCTTCCAGCAGTTCTCAAAGTGTGGTTCACAAACCTTCAGAAGTCTCCAAGATCAAACCTATTTCCATAATGATTCAAGACATTATTTGCCTCTTTCTGTGTCAACATTTGCACTGACGACATAAAAAGAATGGTGGATTAAGCTGCTGGCATCTTAGCACAAATCAATGTGGTGGCCCCAAGCTGTACTAGCAGTCCTTGCATTTAACTTTCAGTTAAAAAGTTGCCAGGTTCATGTAAGGATGTTCTTGATGAAGCAATGAAAAAATTAATTTCATTAAATCTCAATGTTGAGTTGACAGCGTTTTCATATTCTATGTGCTAAAATGGGAAGTATTCCTGCTACCAACCAAAGTAAAATGCATGTCTCCAGGAAAAACACCTGTGCAATCATTTTATTTGCTTTTTCCAGCAAGGCTTATTAACAGACAAGCCTTGGTTATTCAAATTTGGGAACCTGACAGACATTTTTCTCAAAAGCGTATGAAATGAGCTTGTTGCTTTAAAGAAAATATACAAGAACACAGGATGGGGTTGAATATTTTCTTCATATATTTCAACAAAAATAACATATCACAACAGACTGAAGGCAGACACATATATGATAATCTGTCTTCAATTAAGCCAGACATTAAAGAAATTTTCAAAAATGTCCAACAATGTCATTCTTCTCATTAGTTTTAAAAAGTACCCCTTTTTGTTGCTGTTGTTGTTGAGACAGGATCTCATTGTCATCCAGGCTGGAGTGCAGTCACTGTAGCCTCAACCTCCCAGATTCAGGTGATCCTCCCACCTCAGCCTCACAAGTAGCTGGGACTATAGGTGTGCACCACCACTCCTGGCTAATTTTTGTATTTTTTTAGTAGAGATGGGGTTTCACCATGTTGCCCAGGCTGCTCTCGAACTCCTAAACTCAAGCAATCCACCCGACTCAGCCTCAGCCTCATAAAGTGCTGGGATTACGGGCATGAGCCACCATGCCGAGCCAAAAGCATACATTCTTATTTTAAAATACGCTATTCATTTTTGTGGTTTTGTTTTTTGATACAGAGTCTCGCTCTGTCACCCAGGCTTGAATGCAGTGGTGTGATCTCAGCTCACTGCAACCGCCGCCTCCTGGGTACAAGCGATTCTCCTACCTCAGTCTCCAAAGTAGCTGGGATTACAGGCGCACGCCAGGTCGCCCAGCTAATTTTTGTATTTTTAGTAGAGGCAGGGTTTCAGCATGTTGGCCAGGCTGGTCTCGAACTCCTGACCTCAGGTGATCCGCCCACCTCAGCCTCCCAAAGTGCTGGGATGACAGGCGTGAGCCACTGCACCCAGCCTAAAAATATGCTATTTGTTAACATACAGTAAGTGTATTGACAACTACACGTTTTTAATTTCTGACAAAGCAAGTACCAATTGATATAAACTGCATTAAAAGGCTCTTTGGGCTCCTAAATAATTTTTTAGAGTCTGTCCTAAGAGCAAAATGTTTAAGAATCAGTGTTTATACCATTACCAAATTCCTTAATACAGGCTATTTGGGTAAACAGAAATGTCACTCAGTACTCATTTTATGTTCTTTCCGTCACACACTTAAGAGCAAATAACTTCACTGTCAATATTCTAGCTTAATCAACCTTTTTTGAAACACGCTTCTCACCATCCCCTTTGAGAATATGAGTAAGGTACCAATTCTCCAGAAAACTCTTGCACACTGCAGAATTCATGCAAGTTCTGAGTCCAAGGACTCTGTCCTTTGGTCTATTCCACTAGACACTGGTATAAAATCCTGGTAATAGCAGCGAGGTATCAGTATTTTACATATCCAGTTTTTAACCACTGTATTCCAAAGAATAGAGAGTCACAAATCAAATGATGACAAGCCGACCTATAAAACATAATTTACATGAATGAGTAAAATTCATGTTTTAAAACAAAACCCAAGCAATATTTTCAAGTAAAACAAGAATCACATCTCAGCTAAAATAAAAACAAATCCAAAAGGGTGAAAATTAAATCTGTTGCATCTTTTAAAACTGCTTAATTCACTCAATATTTCAAAATTAATTTGGAAATCACAGCTAAGAAAAACATATGTTCACAGATCTAATTTCTGTGAAAATGTAACACACTATTTTTAAATTCTACACGTTAATCAAGGAATCACAGTTTTTCATCACTGCAAACGTCCTTTTCAATATGGCCTGAGTTATAATCAAAATGGAATAATCTACTACCATAGGTTCGTTTCTAAGAATAGAAGAGTTTAAGTATACAGCCCTCCATTTATGGTTTTGTGAATTTTTTTTAACATTATCAAGGCTAAAAATTACCTTCCTCTTTGTTCCTTCTACATTCTTGAAAGCTTACTTAAGAAACATACTGGTGATTAACAATTTTTAGTTTTTATTTTCAACATCCACTCTTAAATTTAATGCACTTGCGGCGGGGGGGGGGGGGGCGGTGGATGGCAGGGGGAGAATATAAGCCCCTTTAAACACTTTTTTTCTAGTTACTTTTCCGGTTAAAGGAAACTAAATATGGCCTGAGAAGGACTCCGTACTTCAATATTTAAGTCCTTGTGGAGGATCCATAAGCTAACAGGTAGACAAGATTGAAAAACGTAACTATGGGTATGCGCCTGTAAATACAGCTGAGTCCTGGCAAATTCCAGCAGCCGTACTTTAACCATTCATACACTGCTGAGTGTTCAAACTGTGTTCAGCTAAGGCAAATGCTGACCTGTAACCAACCTGACTGTTTCTGTACCTCACTTCCGAGTTCTGGACATCACTTCCCCCCCTTTTTTTTTTTTTTTGTCTATAAATCTTCTTCCACCACATAGCTGCACTGCAGTCTCTGAATCTCCCGTGATTCTTGGGGCTGCCCGACTCGCGAATTGTTCACTGCTCAATTAAACTCCTTTAAATTTAATTCAGCTGAAGTTTTTCTGTTAACATTCCAAATAATAACATTCCAAATAATAAAATGGTCTTTCCACCAATCCACTTTATTAAATCTTCACACAGTTACATTTTCTCTTCAGGTGCATTGTCTACAGGTTGATTTTGCTATATATTTAAGGCAAATAATAAAGCAACATCTATACTTTTAAAAAATCAGTGACACATACACACATTCTGTTTCTCTCACAATCACACAAACACCCACGCATATCCCTAACAAGGTACAAGAATAAACCTTGGAAGATTCATATTTTGCTCAGCACCTCTCACCTTAATTCCTCTAATACAAAAATTTTACCAGTTTAATCATTTGGAAGAGGAAAAGAGGAACTACATCTTCAAAATGGACACAATTTATGTGAAACAAAATATGGAGAAAACTTATCTATAAAATTTCTTCAGTGTTTTTCAGTTTAAAAACACATCAATAATTACCTTGAGAATAAGTTAAAGTACACATTTTCAGAAACAGCAACCAGTAAGCTCATTTCCACAGTACTCAAAACCAAGAGGCAAACTAAATACATCTTGTAAGGCGACCCATAAAAATAAAAATAAAATCAGTAATAATTTAGCCATTTAGTTTCAAAGTTATAGTTATAAAGCTAATTTTGCATTCAAGTGACAAAACCCTATCTACCATCAAAAACCAAACTGTGGCCAAAGACCTTCATATACAGCTTTTCCTTTTTTTAACCCATTTATGCCGAAGGTTGCAAACTTTTTTTGTGAAAAATCAGACCTTGGCAATGACCTGGAGCAGGATATAAATAACTCCCACAAGCTTAGTGTTCCAATAATGGAACACTAGGCACAACTGGGTTAATGAGACAAGGTCTTGCTCTGTTGCCCAGGCTGGAATGGCGGTGTGATCATAGCTCACTGTTGCCCTAAACTTCCAGGCCCATGCAATCCCTCTGCCTCAGCCTCCTGAGTAGGTAGGACTACAGGCAGGTACTACCACACTCAGCTAGTTTTTAAAATTTTTTTGAAGAGACAAGGTCTTGCTATGTTGTACAGGCTCATCTCAAACTCCTGACCCCAAGTGATCTTCCCACCTCAGCCTCCCAAAGCGCTGGGATTGCAGATGTGAGTCACTGCACCTGGCCCATATACAGTTCTTAAAAGTGAATTCCAGATAAACAGATATACACATGCACAGCAATAACAGTCTGCACATGAAGACCACTCAATGCGGAAAGAACAGACTATTCAACAAATGGTGCTAAGACAACTGGGTATCCACATGCAGAAAAATGAGGCTGGACCCCTTCCTCCTCGTACCTTATACAAAAATAAACTTAAAATCGACAAACAACCTACATAAGAGCTGAAATCATAAAACTCTTAGAAGATAACATACAGGTAAATCTTCATGACCTTGGGTATGACAACAGATTCTTAGATATAACACCAAAAAAGCACATACAACAAAAGAAAAAACTGTAAAATGAACTTCAAAATTAAAAACTTTTCTGCATCAAATGACATTATCAGGAAAATGAAAAGACAACCTGCAGAATGGAAGAAAATATTAACAAATCTGATAGGGATCTAGTACCTGGAATATATACAACAACAAAAATAAACTACTTGATTATAAAATGAGCGAAAGATTTTAATAGAATCTCTCAAATAAAATATACAAAAGGTCAACAAGAATATGAAAAGATGCTCAACATCATTCATAAGGAGAATGCAAATAAAAACGAGGCACAACTTCACACCCACAAGGATGGCTAATGATAAAAAGTTAAAAACAACAACAACAACTAACAAGTACTGGAAAATATGTGGAGAAATTGAAATCCTTGTACACTGCTGGTGGGAATATAAAATGGTATCTTTTCTATGAAAACTGGAGATTTCTCAAAAAGTTAAACATAGAATTACCATACAACTCAGCAATTCCACTCATAGGTAGAAACCCAAAAGAAGTGAAAACTAGTACTTCAAATAATATGTACACCCATGATCACAGCAGCATTATCCACAATAGCCAAAAAGTGAAAACAACCCAAATGTCTACCAACAAATGAATGGATGAACAAATCCTGGTGTATAGATACAATGAAATACTATGTAGCCATAAAAAGGAATGGAATGTTGGGCCAGGCACAGTGGCTCACAGCTGTAATCCCAGGACTCTGGGAGGCCGAGGCGGACAGATCACTTGAGGTCAGGAGTTGGAGACCCGCCTGGCCAACATGTTGTGGAATCCCACCTCTACTAAAAATCCAAAAATTAGCCGGGCATAGGGGCATGTGCCTGGGGTCCTAGTGACTCAGGAGGCTGAAGCAGGAGAATCGTTTGAAGCCAAGAGGTGGAGGCTGCAGTGCACCGAGATCGTGACACGGCACTTCAGCCTGGGCGACAGAGTGAGACTTGAATGTTGATCCATGCTGCAATATGGATGAACCTCAGAAACGTCATGCAAAGTGAAAGAAGCCAGACACAAAAGGTCATGTGTTATATAATTGCATTTACATGAAATATCTAGAATAGGTAAATCAACACAGACAAAAATGCATATTGGCTCCCAGGAGTTGGGGGAGGGGGAAATAGGGAGCAGCTGCTTAATGGGTAGAGTTTCTTACTGGGGTGACAAAACATCTTGGAACTAGACAGAAGTGGTGGCTGCACAGCATTGCAAATGTATTAAATGCCACTGAACTGTTCACTTGTAAAATGGTGAATTTCATATTATGTGAATATAACCTCAATTAAAAAAAAAAAAACAGTTTGCACAGATGTCTTATTAGCTAGTCTATACAATCTCCACTTCGGCCAAGGAATGCTCTCCACAGCTCCATGGTCCCCACTAAAACTCTAAAGCCTCCCTGGCTCACAGCCTGGGTGCAGCTGGAGACAAAACACAGGATCAAAAATGTCCAGCCAGACACGGTGGCTCATGCTTGTAATCCCAGTACTTTGGGAGGCCCAGGTGGGTGGATCACTTAAGGCCAGGAGTTGGAGACCAGCCTGGCCAACATGGTGAAATCCTGTCTCTACTAAAAATACAAAAGTCAGCTGGGCATGGTGGCGCATGCCTGTAATCCCAGCTACTCGGGTGGCTGAGGCATGTGAACTCAGGAGGTGGAGGCTACAATGAGCCAAGATGGCGCCACCACACTCCAGCCTGGGCGACAGAGTGAGACTCCATCCAAAAAGAAAAAAAAAGTCCTACAAAAAGAAACAGTAAGAATATACATTTACATAAATATTGAAATTTTATGCTAGAGACAAAAATGCTAGAGAAAAGTATACACTAAAACTTCCTTAACAAAATTCAAAAACAAATGAAGGTAAAGCCTTCTGCAAACCCAAGCAGTGGCAAATATTCAAGTCTGCATTACCTTCACCAATGTTAGAAAATAGCAGGCAACATATGACTTCCTCCTAAATTTCAAATTTCCAACTACAAAGGAGAACCACATAGAATCTTTCTAAAAACACCTACCCATATTCCGTGTTTGAGACACTGTAGGCAGTCTATTACTTTTGCAAGGGCTGACTCTTAATGCAAATAAAATTATAATACTGGCACTGTTAAGAATGTTAAAAACAAAAAAGTCTTTCTTCTCAGCTACTTGCTACATACTTTACTCAGCACCAAAGTGTACTAGATGCTACATGCTAACACAAAACATAAAGGAATAGTGTTTCTTGCCTTTTAGAGTGAATATTCTAAGAAGAACAAAGTGGAAATAACACAGTAATTTCCAAAAAGGTATGGTACTACATAATCAACACTGTAAGAATAATTTGAGGACATGACACTCACATCTTTCCTGTAGTGGACCCAAGCTAACTGGGTGAAAAAATTCAGCTAAGGAGGCATTCTTCCAGATATGAAAGACCAACTCAAGTATGCTCAAGAAAAATAAATTTTTGGAAGGATTCAAACTATCTTTCCTTAAAAAGACTTTGGTCAGACTATTCTTTGTGTGTGTGTGTGTGTGTGTGTGTGTGTGTGTGTGTGTGTGTGTGTGTGGTGGAGTCTCACATTGTCGCCCGGGCTGGAGTGCAATGGCGCTATCTTGGCTTACTGCAACCTCCACCTCCCGGGTTCAAGCGATTCTCCTGCTTCAGCTTCCCAAGTAGCTGGGATTACAGGCCCCCACCACCATGCCCGGGTAATTATATATATTTTTTTTGTATTTTTAGTAGAGATGGGGTTTCACTATGGTGGCCAGGCTGGTCTCGAACTCCTGACCTCATGATCTGCCCATCTCAGCCTCCCAAAGTGCTGGGATTACAGACATGAGCCACTGCGCCGGGCCAACTATTCCCTCCCTCCCTTCTTTCTTTTTTTTTGAGATGGAGTCTCGCCCTGTCGCCCAGGCTGGAGTGCAATGGCGCGATCTCAGCTCACTGCAACCTCTGCCTCCCAAGTTCAAACAATTCTCGGCCTCCCTAAGTGCTGGGATTACAGGCGTGAGCCACCACACCCAACCAGGCCAGACTATTCTTAACAGAAAATCTAGCTAATGAATGTGCAATACAAATAAGCAAAGTTGGTAGGCCCATAGAATGCTGAGGACTGTTGCTGTTTTAGTGAGAGTGTCCATCAGGCACTATGCCTGGCACTGTCAATATCTGCTACCATCCCCAGCACTTTGGGAGTCCGAGGCGGGTGGATCACTTGAGGTCAGGAGTTTCAGACCAGCCTGACCAACATGGCAAAACCCCGTCTCTACTAAAAATACAAAAATTAGCCGAATGTGGTGGTGCACGCCTGCAATCCCAGCTTCTTGGGAAGCTGAGGCAGCAGAATTGCTTGAGCCACGGAGGCGGAGGTTGCAGTGAGTCAAGATTGCGCCACTGCACTCCAGCCTGGGTGGCAGGGCAAGACTGTCTCAAAAAATAAAAATTAAAATTAAAAAAATCTGTTACCATTAATACTCAATAGTCCTATTTTTCCTATTGTAAAATCCACCATGCTAATTGCAGAAGGTATATTAGAAGTCAACTGGAGCCATTCATTATTAACAATCACTTAAGAGGCAGTTTCATTCAAGCAAGCTTTTATAAATCCCAACTGTATTCTCCCCCAGAAAGGCAGCAGTCAACATCCTTAAACATACTAACTTAATAATCAAGTGATCTAAGTCTTCACACAAGTCAATGAAGAAAACATTTAACAAAATAGAATCAAAGAAAGCATTTTACCTCACCACTAAAGAGCACCTTTGAAACTAGTGGCTATGCTTTCAGAGAAGGGCTGTTAAAATAGCTAGGCTTACAATTATATAAAACACATTTCTCTAGCTCTTTAACAAGGTGTCACAAGCGATTATTACATGCCTTTGTGAAATTAAGAGCTGGTATGTATGGCTAAGGAACCCTGTTGATCCCTCTGTAAATGTCATGCAGTCCACATAAAGGAACCAAGAGACAGAAATGTCAAGACAAGTTCACGTGCCATCCTAATGAGGAACTAAGACTAGAAACCAAGTCTTCAAAAAAAAAAAAAAAAAATGATGTCCATTATTTAATGGCATCATTTTCCCCTAGTTTCTCAAGGCAAAAAAAAAAAAAAAAAAAAGTTCAACTGGATACAGTGGCTCACACCTGTAATCTAAGTACTTTAGGAGGCTTAGGCAGGAGGATCGCTCCAGCCCAGGAGTTCAAGACAACATAGCGAGACCTCATGCCTACAAAAAGTTAAAAAATTAGTCAGGCACAGTAGCAGTAGTGCCTACCTGTAGTCACAGCTACCTGGGATACTGATGCAGGGGGATCACCTGAGCCCAGGAGGTCAAGGGTGCAGTGAGCCTAGATCGCACAACTGCACTCCAGCCTAAACAAGAGAAGACCCTGTCTCTTTGGTGTATGTGCTTGGCTGAGAAGCCAACAGGGTGAAGCTACCATCTGTGGGACTACGACTGAAGGCTTCTTAAGTCAGAATCCTGCCCAGGCGGAAAAACAAGGCAATGCTGAGGGGCCTCGGATAGCCTTGGCTACCGGTCCCCTGCCGGCGGGACACTGCCCTACCGCACACGGGGACACGGGTCTGGTGCGGAGAGCCATCATCCTGGAAAACAAGGTGTGGCAGTAAAAAGTTTAAAAAGTCATCCTTGACTTTCCTCTTAATTCATACCCTATCATTAAATCCAATCAACTCTACATTCAAAATAAGTCCTTAATCTGACCACCTCATCTCCTCTACTAAGACCACCTGGCCAAGCCACATTACAACCCACCAACTAGACTATTGCAACAGCATGCTCTCTAGTCTCCTAGCTTTCACTTTTACCACTCTATAATCCATTCCCCATATGGTGGCCAGAGTGACTTTTTAAAATTTGAAAGAAAGCTGCGGAAAGGCATAGTACAAAGAACTTTTTCATACTGCTTTGAAGTACATTATCTTCTCCATTATTTATAGTAATCCTGAGAAATAACTATAGCAAGTTTACTTTCTTTTTCATGGATAGACAAGGCTCAGAGAAGTGCACTGATTTGCCCAATATTACACAGCGAATAATTGGCAAGATCATGACTGGCCTTCTAAATACTATCAATTATGCCATTCAAGTCCCTCTGCATGTATGCCACTTATTAATCACCCTCATAAATCCTAACATCCTTTCAATGCCCAGAATTACAGTAATGTTTCAAAAGAACAGCTAGAGGTACAGAAACACTATGATTTTCAACCCGGCCTACAAATTTCTTTCCTGCTAAAAGCATAATGCATGCTCTGACTACAGGTCTACCACATGGCAAGTGTTTTTGTAAAGAATTAAAGGTGGCCGGGCGCGGTGGCTCACGCCTGTAATCCCAGCACTTTGGCAGGTGGAGGCAGGTGGATCACCTGAGGTCAGGAGTTCAAGACCAGCCTGACCAACATGGTGAAACCCGGTCTCTACTAAAAATACAAAAAATTACCCAGGAGTGGTGGTGGGAGCCTGTAATCCCAGCTACTCAGGAGGCTGAGGCAGGAGAAGCACTTGAACCCAGGAGGTGGAGGCTGCATAAAGCTGAGATCGTGCCACTGCACTCCAACCAACCTGGGCGACAAGAGCAAAACTCCGTATCAAAAAAAAAAAAAAAAAAATTCAAGGTATAAGCAAAAGAGCCCCGATAATGAGCAATTTAGCAGCATATTCCATGAGGCTGCAAGCTACAGCATGCCAGCTGTATTTGTTAGAACATATGGACCTACAAATGGCCTTTACATTTTTGTTTTAATGGTTGGGGAAAAAATCAATGGAATATTTCATGACACCTAAAAATTCTTAGTTAATTCAAAGTTCTGTGTCCATAAACGAAGTTTGATTGGAACACAATCATGCTCATTTGTTTATCTATGGTCCATGGCTGCTTCCACACTACAATGGCAGAGTTAAGCAGTTACAACAGAGGTCACTTGGCCTGAAAGGTCTAAATTATTTATCTGGTCCTTTACAGAAGAAGTTTGCTAACCACTGCCAATCTCTTGGTTTTGTACCTCTGGCCAGCATCCTGACCTCTCTCCTCCCTGCCAAGTGCAGGTGAAGCTTTCCCCTAGCACCTGATACTTCTCCCACCACTTTACACCCCATTTTGAGATGAATTAATTGTTACACATCTGACTCCACAGCCAGATAACAAGATAACAAGATGCTGAAGGGTGAGGCCCACATGTCCTGGTTTATTACTACATCCCCAGGGCCTAGCAATGCCCATTTATAGTAGGTGCCCAATATTAGCTGAATGAATGAAAGAACACAAGATACTTAATACAGATTAGCTTATCTAAACAACTCTAAAATTTATAGGAGTTTTTTTGTTTTTGTTTCTGTTTTTTGAGACGGAGTCTCGCTCTGTCACCCAGGCTGGAGTGCAGTGGCGTGATCCCGGCTCACTGCAAGCTCCACCTCGCAGGTTCACGCCATTCTCCTGCCTCAGCCTCCCGAGTAGCCGGGACTACAAGAAGCCACCACCACAGCAGGCTAATTTTTCTATCTGTAGTAAAAACGGGGTTTCAGTTCTGACCTCAAGTGATCAGCCCACCTTGGCCTCCCAAAGTGCTGGGATTACAGGCGTGAGCCACAATGCCCAGCCTATAGGAGTTTCCTCTAGAAGATACCAAAAATACAGATTATCAGACTTCCAGGGGAGACATACAAATGACTCTATCCCTGGGCTCACTCCAATCAAAATCCCCAACTGCATCCAAAATGGATCAGGGCAGGAGGGTAGATTGCAGAGTGGAAGGAGTGATAAATCAATATGCAGCCCAATGTATTTTTTAAAGCACTTTTTAAAGGCCGGGGGCAGTGGCTCACACCTGTAATCTCAGCATTTTGGGAAGCCGAGGCGGGTGGGTCACTTGAAGTCAAGAGTTTGAGACCAGCCTGGCAAACATGGTGAAACCTCGTGTCTACTAAAAATACAAAAAATTAGCCAGGTGTGGTGGCAGGCGACTGTAATCCCAGCTATTCAGGAGGCTGAGGCAGGAGAATCATTTGCACCTGGGAGGTAGAGGTTGCAGTGAGCTGCGATCAGGCCACTGACTCCAGCCTCAGTGACAGAGCCAGGCTCTGTCTCAAAAAAAAAAAAAAAAAAAAAGGCCAGGCGCAGTGGCTCACACCTGTAATCCCAGCACTTTGGGAGGCCGAGACGGGTGGATCACAAGGTCAGGAGATCGAGACCATCCTTGCTAACACGGTGAAACCCCATCTCTACTAAAAATACAAAAAAATTAGCCGGGCATAGCGGCAGGCACCTGTAGTCCCAGCTACTCAGGAGGCTGAGGCAGGAGAATGGTGTGAACCTGGGAGGCAGAGCTTGCAGTGAGCCGAGATTGTGCCACTGCACTCCAGCCTGGGTGACAGAGTGAGACTCTGTCTCCAAAAAAAAAAAAAAAAAAATTTAATAGAAACTCAGCCAGATGCAGTGACATGTACCTGTAATCTCAGACACTCAGGAGGCTGACGTGGGAGGATCACCTGAGGCCAGGTGTTCAAGGCCAGCCTGGGCAACATAGCGAAACCCCATCCCTTAAAAAATAAAATAAATATTTTTAAATAAGTAAACAGAATAAGAACTGCAAGTTCCAGTCTCAGATGTGAGATAAGAGTTTACATATTACTGATCTATAGGGCCAGTTTTAACCACCTCCCCCAAATTTTTTTCTCCCACATTGCCTGAATCTTTATATATTTCACCATGTCACACTGCCTATTAGTCATCTAATTTATTCTCTCACCCTAAAAGAAAGCTCTTTTCTAAAATACAAATAGATCTGAAAAATGAAAGAAGATAACAAAATATCATGTACTAATGTGGATGGATAAGGTAGTTTTGAGAGGAAGAGAAGAGTGGGTATTAAAAGAAGATGAAGACCTCAAGGACTGAGACAGACCTAGTTAAGATTCTGAAACAGAAAGAGCAGGGAAAACTAAGAATGCTGGGAAACAAACACAAAAATTAGCCTGGCATGGTGGTGAACGCATGGAATCTCAGCTACTCGGGAGGCTGAGGTGGGGAGAATCACTTGAACCTGGGAGGTGGAGGCTGCAGTGAGCCGAGATCGCACCACCGCACTCCAGCCTGGACGACAGAGTGAGACTCCGTCTCAAAAAAAAAAAAAAATAGAAGGCTAGGAAACAGAACAAAGAGCAGCAGAAGATGGGAAAGGGTACAGAAAATGAAGTGACACCCAATTCAGCATTTTTCCCCATTTTCTCCTGTAGAAAAACAGAAGAAAGGGCTCATCTCCGTGGCTTAAGAACACCCGGCATGGTGGCTCATGCCTATAATCCCAGGACTTTAGGAGGCCGAGACGGGCAAATTATTTGAGGCCAAGAGTTCGAGACCAGCCTGGCCAACATGGTGAAACCCCGTCTCTACTAAAAAAAAAATACAAAAATTAGCCGGGTGTGGCGGCACACACCTCTAATCCCAGCTACTCGGGAGACTGAGGCAGGAGAATCGCTTGAACACAGGAGGCAGAGGTTGCAGTGAACCGAGATCACGTCCCGGCACTCCAACCTGGGCAACAGAGCGAGACTCTGTCTCAAAAAAATTAAAAATTAAAATAAAATAGCCAGGCGCGATGGCTCACACCTGTAATCCCAGCACTTTGGGAGGCCACGGGAGGATCACAAGGTCAAGAGATTGAGACCATCCTGGCTAACACGGTGAAACCCCATCTCTACTAAAAATACAAAAAAATTAGCCAGGCGTGGTGGCGGGTGCCCGTAGTCCCAGCTACTCAGGAGGCTGAGGCAGAATGGCGTCAACCCAGGAGGTGGAGCTTGCAGTGAGCCGAGATCGCGCCACTGCACTCCAGCCTGGGTGACAGATCGAGACTCTGTCTCAAAAATAAATAAATAAATAAAAATAAAATAAAATATAAAAAATAAAAATAAAATAAAACCAGTAACAACATAAGAATTGACTCCTGTCTCCATTTCTATTCATTCCATAGCTAGAAATCTTTATAATGGTTGGGAAAAAAGGAGAGCAGGAGTAGCAAACATTAACAACAGGGGAAATAAACATTCGCCTTAATACTGACATGACTCTTCCTAGAAAACCCAAGGAAATTAATTTGAAACTACTAGAATTAATGAATTCGATAATTTGTTAGATTAAAAGGGCATCCATACTTTACAGTAAGAAGGATTCTAAAACTGCACCCATGCCAGCAACACTAAGATTAAAAAGTGGTGGCAAGAGGGTCACGTGCAGTGGCTCCTGCCTGTAATCTAGGTGCTTTCCGAGGCCAAGGCAGGAGGACTGCTTGAGGCCAGAAGTTTGAAACCAGCCTAGGCAATACAGTGAGACACCTGTCTCTATTTAAAAAAAAAAGAAAAAGAAAATAAATTAGCCAGCATGGCTGTGTATGCCTATAGTTCCAGCTACTCAAGAGGCTGAGAAAAGGAGGGTCCCTTGAATCCAGAAATTTGAAGCTACAGTGAGCTGTGATTCTGCCACTGCATTCCAACCCAAGTGACAAAAGGCGAGACTCTGTGTCTTAATTAAAAGAAAAAAAAAAGAAGGCCGGGCACGATGGCTCACGCCTATAATCCCAGCACTTTGGGAGGCCGAGGTAGGTGGTTCACTTGAGGTCAGGAGTTTGACAACAGCCTGACCATCATGGTGAAACCCCATCTCTACCAAAAATATTTTTTTAAAAGATTAGCTGGGTGTGGTGGTGCATGACTGTAATCCCAGCTACGTGGGAGGCTGAGGCAGGAGAATCACTTGAACCTCGGAGGCAGAGGTTGCAGTGAGCCAAGATTGTGCCATTGCACTCCAGCCTGGGCGACAGAGCGAGACTCCGTCTCAAAAAAAAAAAAAAAAAAAAAAAAAAAAACAAATAGTTATTACACAATTAATCTGGATCATATTTCACACTATATTCAACAAAAAAGTTCAGATATATCAAAGAGTTACAAATAAAAAATAATCCATAACATAAACTATTGATCCTAAAACCATATCCTGGCTTTGGGAGAGAGAAGGAGAAAAAATAATTTCTGAGTAAAGAGACAAGAGAGATGAATAGTAAACTTAAAGGAGTTCTGACATACAAAACTTAAACCTTTGCAAAGTTCACTCCTTCAATAACTACTTTTTAAATACATACGACATTTCACACACTGTGCTTAGGCCCTGATTTTTCAGAGTTTGAATAAAGCACATATGAGCCCTCACCTCACAGAACTGAAATCTACCGGAAAACACAGTAAATAGCACAAAAAGTGTACGGAAAGTTGCAATAAATAAGTACTAGAGGAAAAGACACATATCTCCAAGGGAACACGAACTTAGGAGGGACCACAGATGGAACGGTCATGAAAGTCTCCAAGGCATGACATCAAAGCTGACGACAGAAGGAAGAACTCGCACCTTGGCCAGGCACAGTGGCTCAGGCCTATAATCTCAGCACTTTGGGAAGCCAAGGCAGGTGAATCACATGAGACCAGGAGTTTGAGACCAGCCTGGCCAACAGGGTGAAGCCCCATTTCTAAAAGAAAAAAAGAACACATGCCAACCAGATGAAGACTGGGGAAAGCCAGCAGCACAAAGGCCCAAAGCAGGTAAAAGAGGACCAACCTTAGTGACACCAACAAAACAAGGGCGAATAATAAAAGGCAATATTCTAAAGCACCAAGAAAAACACAGCTTCCCACACAACAAATCATCAACAAAGGGAAATGTACATTCCTCACTGCCACCTGAAAAAACTAAACAAAACGTGAAGCCAAAAGCTGAAGGGGATGAAGCAAAACAAGTACATATATACAATCAACAGAACTGTAAATTTGGTTGCTCTTTCTAAAAGACAATCTGAAAATAATGATAGAAACTAGCATTGCTCATAACTTTGGACTCAGATTCCAAATACCTTCTATTTCCAAAAAAAATTACTCTTCCTAACCTTAAAACTAACTGCACAAAAGATATCCACAGGAGGAGAAAACAGTGATATTTAAAAAATAAGTGCTCACTTTGTAGGCCAGGCGCAGTGTCTCATGCCTGTAATCTCAGCACTTTGTGAGGTCAAGGTGGTTGGATCACCTGAGGTCAGGAGTTCAAGACCAGACTGGCCAACATGGTGAAACCCTATCTGTACTAAAAATACAAAACTTAGCAAGGTGTGGTGGTGGGTACCTGTTAAGACCAGCTACTAGGAAGGCTGGGGCAGGAAGACAGCTTGAACCTGGGAGGTGGAGGTTGCAGTGAGCACATATCATGCCACCACACTCCAGCCCGGGTGACAGAGTGAGACTCTATCTCAAAAAAAAAAAACAACAAAAAGCAAGTGCTTGCTTCAGCAGCATATATACTAAAATTGGAACAATACAGAAAAGATTAGCATGGCCCCTGCCCAAGGATGACTCACAAATTCATGAAGTGTTCTAGTAATTTTTTACATAAAAAAATAAGGCCGGGCGTGTTGGCTCACACCTGTAATTCCAGCCCTTTGGGAGGCCAAGGTGGGTAGGTCACGAGGTCAGGACTTGGAGACCAGCCTGGCCAACATGGTAAAACCCTATCTCTACTAAAAATACAAAAATTAGCTGGGCGTGGTGGCACTCGCCTGTAATCCCAGCCACTTGGGAGGCTGAGGCAGAAGAACAGCTTGAACCCGGGTGGCGGAGGTTGCAGTGAGCCCAGATCGTGCCACTGCACTCCAGCCTGAGCGACAGAGTGAGACTCCATCAAACAAACAAACAAATAAATAAATAGAAACAACCAAAAAGCCTAAAACTATGGATGTAAATTGTGATGTATGAAATGTTACATTGGAAATTATAACAATATAGGTTGGATAATACCCAGAAATGTTTATTGTAACAAATATTAAGTAATAACATTTAGCAGTTTGTGTATACAAATAATATACAAAACAAAGACCTTCAAAAATTTCTTATCTGAAGTGACAAATTTAATTAACGTTTAGTAATCATGGATTGCTCTGCTCAGGATTATGTTCAACTGTATACAGTATTTTTAATTCAAACAATACATTACAGAACAAAGAGTATTTTAACATTTATCCCTCATAAATGAAAACTGCTAATATTACAAAAAATAGCTCCATATTCCCTGAAAAGTATGTCCTGAGAGCCAATCTCTTTCCTGCTTTCCAGTAGTAGTTACTTTCTGCTCCCTGCTAGTTCATTTTGTACAGTTTTATGAGGGAGAGAGAGACAGAAGAGAATACACATATACATTTATTAACAATATTTGGTAATGAGCTTTTGGAAAATGTTTATAAACAGTATCATGCTTTATGTACCATTTACCAAACATTCTAGCCTAATGCTGTAATAACTGATCTAAATACCAACTAATATACTATATTTATACCATTATAACATATAAATATACACAGATTTCTTCCAGTCATTTATATCAGAAAATGCTATGATGTTTCTGAGTTTGTTTTTGTTTTGTTTTGTTTTTTTGAGACAGAGTTTCGCTCTTGTTGCCCAGGCTGGAGTGCAGTGGCGCGATCTCAGCTCACTGCAACCTCCGCCTTCCGGTTTCAAGTCATTCTCCTGCCTCAGCCTCCCAAGTAGCTGGGATTAAAGGCGCCCACCTAATTTTATTTTATTTTTTATTTTTTGAGACAGAGTCTCACTCTGTTGCCAGGCTGGAGTGCAGTGGCGCAATCTCGGCTCACCATAACCTCCATCTACTGGGTTCAAGCAATTCTTCTGCCTCAGCCTCCCAAGTAGCTGGGACTATAGGCACACGCCACCATGCCTCGCTAATGTTTGTATTTTTAGTAGAGATGGGGTTTCACCACACTGGCCAGATGGTCTCATCTCTTGACCTCGTGATCCACCCACCTTGGCCTCCCAAAGTGCTGGGATTACAGGCGTGAGCCACCACGCCCGGCCAATGCCTGGCTAATTTTTGTATTTTTAGTAGAGTCGGTGTTTCACCATGTTGGCCAGGCTGGTCTCGAACTCCGACCTCATGATCCACCCGCCTTAGTCTCCCAAAGTGCTGGGATTACAGGCATGAGCCACTGCGCCTAGCCCTGATGTTTCTGGTATTAAAATACGTATACAGTTTGGCTGGGCACGGTGGCTCACATCTGTAATCCCAGTACTTTGGGAAGCTGAGGCAGGAGGATCACTTGAGGTCAGGAGTCCGAGACCAGCCTGACCAACATGGTGAAACCCAGTCTCTACTAAAAATGCAAAAAAATTAGCCAGGTATGGTGGCACATGCCTGTAATCCCAGCTACTCAGGAGGCTGAGGCGGGAGAATCACTTGAACTCGGGAGGCAGAGGTTGCAGTGAGCCAAAATCATGCCACTGCACTCCAGCCTTCCAGCCTGGGATACAGACCAAAAAAAAAAAAAACAAAAAAAAAATTAATTAACTTAAAGAACACTACTTATTGGCTGGGCGCAGTAGCTTATGCCTGTAATCCCAGACTTTGGGAGGCCAAGGCGGGCAGATCACTTGAGGTCAGGAGTTCGATATCAGTCTGGCCAACACGGTGAAACCCCGTCTCTACTACAAATACAAAAAAATTAGCCAGGTGTGGTGGCACATGCCTGTAATCCCAGCTAATCAGGAGGCTGAGGAAGGAGAATCGCTTGAACCCAGGAGGCAGAGGCTACAGTGAGCCGAGATCGCACCAATGCACTCCAGCCTGAGCAACAAGAGCAAGACTCCGTCTCAAAAAATAAATAAATAACACTACTTATTATCAAATAATTATTAAACTTCTAATAAAGGAAGACAAAAAATTCCCAATTCCATGACTGATTATTTATAGCCACAAGATAATAAAGCAAACAATTGCATTATCATTCAGATTTTAAAAGAACTATGAGCAAATAATTCAATTATCAAAAATCAACTCATAGCTTTAAAATGAACCTTGGGCTGGATGTCGTGGCTCACATCTGTAATCCCAGCACTTTGGGAGACAGAAGCAGGAGAACTGGATGAGCCTAGGAGTTCCAGACCAGCCTGGGAAATACAGTGAGACCTCATTTCTACAAAACATTTTCAAAATTGGTCATGGTGTTGTCTGTCTCTAGTTCCAACTACTGGAGATGCTGAGGTGGGAGGCTCGACTGAGCCCAGGAGGTGGAGGTTGCAGTGAGATGGTGCCACTGCACTCCAGCCCGGGTGACAGAACAAGACCATCTTTTAAAAAAAAAAAAAAAAAAGCAGCCGGGCGCAGTGGCTCACATCTGTAATCCCAGCACTTTGGGAGGCTGAGGCAGGCAAATCACCTGAGGTCGGGAGTTCAAGACCAGGCTGACCAACATGGAGAAACCCCGACTCTACTAAAAAAAACAAAAAATTAGCCAAGCGTGGTGGCAGGCACCTGTAATCCCAGCTACTCAGGAGGCTGAGGCAGGAGAATTGCTTGAAGCTGGGAGGCAGAGGTTGCGGTGAGCCGAGGTCATGCCATTGCATTCCAGCCTGGGCAACTAGAGCAAAACTCCATCTAAAAAAAAAAAAACTTTGCTTATCGTATAAAAATAAAATATATACCAAATTTTCAAATTAAATAACATTTACTAAAGCCAAAAGCACAAAATGTTTATTTATGAAAAAAATCAAATGTTATCTTATTTACAATTTATAGTATTTTTCTTGAACTTTTCTTAAAAATAAATTTGGATATTGATTTGTTGCCACCTACTGGTTAAATTCATATTTGAATGGCATTTCACATCAAATATTCACTACAGTTAATAGAAAACACAGAGAAAAAAAGTAATGTTCTTTTCTTTACAACGTTTTACTAAACTACTATGATAAATTCTGCTTTGGAAAAGTCTGTAAAGTTACCTCACAAAATGGTGGCTTGACTTTTGACAGTATCTTCACTCAAATTTTTCTTTAGTGTGTTGGGACTGTTTTAAAATACCATTATAATTTATTAGAAATATAAAACCTTTAATGAAAATACTTTCAAGATGTTATTTTTAAATTTACAACTCAAACATGTATATGTACCAGTTTTTCAGAATATTGGAGTTATATAGAATTTAGGGTATTACCATCTTTTTACAGTTGATTTCTTAGGACTGAAAACCAAAAAAAAAGTTCTCATTACATTTGTTGTTATACGTCTTAAGTAAATTTTACTCTATAGCAATCTCTCCTCTAAATTCCTTTTTCATACTACACATTGAGGAAAGAGTCTGTTGTCTTACTGAACTACTTTTAAAACTACTTCCAGATTTTAAAAGCATAACAAATTTAACACTCTGAGTTCCCAATTCTAATAAATCAACTGTAAAAAGGCATTCCCTACAGTAACTGTGGAAATGTGAACATGGATTGAGTTTCTGTTTTTTGTTTTTTTGAGACAGGGTCTCGCTCTGTTGCCCAGGCTGGAGTGCAATGGTGCCATTTTGGCTCACTGCAACCTCTGACTCCAGGTTCAAGCAATTCTCCTGCCTCAGCCTCCCAAGTAGCTGGGATTACAGGCACCCGCCACCACACCTAGCTAATATTTGTAATTTTAGTAGAGATGGGGTTTCACTATGTTGGCCAGGCTAGTCTCGAACTCCTGACCTCAAGTGAGCCACCCACCTCGGCCTCCCAAAGAGCTGGGATTACAGGCATGAGCCACCCATGCCTTGATTTTTAGATGACACCAGAAAAATTATGTTAATTTTGTTGATTGTGATAATGCATTATGATTATGTAATAAATGCATGATTGCTGTGGGCTGAATTGTGTCCCCCCAAAATTCGTATGTTGAAGCCTTAACCCCCAGTGTGATATCTGAAGGTGGGGCCTTTGGCAGGTAATTAGGGTTAGAGGAAGGCATCAATGATAGTGAGGCTCATGAAGGGATTTTTTTTTTTTTTTGAGATGGAGTCTTGCTCTGTTGCCCAGGCTGGAGTGCAATGGCACAATCTTAGCTCACTGCAAACTCTGCTTCCCCGGTTCAAGCGATTCTCCTGCCTCAGCTTCCCGAGTAGCCAGCATTACAGGCGCCTGCCACCAAGCCCAGCTAATTTTTTTATTTTTAGTAGAGACAGGGTTTCACCATGTTGGCCAGGCTGGTCTCAAACTCCTGACCTCAGGTGATCCACCCACCTCAGCCTCCCAAAGTGCTAGGATTACAGGCATGAGCCACCACCACTGGCCTCATGATAGGATTATATAAAGAGAGACACCAGACAGCTTGCTCCCTAACTCTCCTAAGCGCGATGGCACAGTGAGACAGAAGGCATCTGCAAGCCAAGAACAGGGCCCTCCTGGAACCTGACCATGCTGGCAGCCTGATCTCAGACTTTCGGCCTCTAGCACTGTGAGAAAGAAATGTCTGTTGTTTTAAGCCACCCAGTCTATGGTATTTTGTTATGGCAGCCCGGGTCAACTAAGACAGTGATGTATATAGAAATATGTAAGGGAGAAATAATATGCAAGAGATATAACAATAATATGCCAACTGCTTTTAAATACAGTTGCAAAAAAGAAAAAAAATGGAACAAAATCTTAATGATTGTTAAATTTAGGTGCCAAGTACTTAGGGGTTTCATATGCTATCAGCTCAGTTTCTAAGTCTGAAGTTTCCTATAATTAAAAAAAACTTTAAAAAAGAAAGAATATTAAAAAAAAAAAAAACTTTTTCAATGTAACTCCTAGAACCAAAACCCTGAAAATAAAATGTTTTAAGATAAAGTACTAATTTGAAATTATTACAAGGCAAAAATAAAAGGTGAGTAGAAACTTTACCATCTTTAAATAAATTTAGTAAAAATTGTTACAAGTTTTTTTGTTTTGTTTTGTTTTTTGTTTTTGAGACAGTCTCCCAGGCTGCAGTAGCATGATCTCCGCTCACTGCAACCTCCACATCCCCAGCTCAAGCGATTCTCCTGCCTCAGCCTTCCGAGCAGCTGGGATTACAGGCGCAGGCCACCAGCACCACCACGGCTGACTGATTTTTTTGTAATTTTAGTGGAGTCGGGGTTTCACTATCTTGGCCACACTGATTTCAAACTCCTGACCTCAGGTGGATCCACCTCAGGTGATCCACTCAGCCTCCTAAAGTCCTGGGATTACAGGCATAAGCCACTGTGCCCCGCAGATTTTTAAGATAATATGAAAGTCCAACCTAAGGGTCTCAAGCTAAAAGCACTGACCTTAAAGGCTAGTATTCTGTTGTAATTAAGTGGCCTGTTCAAATCACTTTTATCAGGGGTTAAATTTTCTTAATTATGAAAGAGAAATAATTTTTGAATCCTGTTGTAAATAGGATGATTTTCATTGTATATATCCAATAAATTATTGTTGAAATATTTCACTTTTTTCCTGTAGTTTGGAACTGTTTATTTTGACCCTTTTTGGTTATAATAGTTCTCAAATTAGAATCTTGGATTTTTCAAAAAGATAATACCACCTGAAAATAATAAGTTTTGCTTCTTTCTAACCTGTTTGGGGTGTTTTTGTCTGATTGCACTAACACTACTAAATACCATAATACTACACAACAAAAAGGGAGAGCAGTCAACTCAATATTGTCCCTGATTTTGAAAGGAATAATAATAGTTATGACATTAACTATTAAAACTAATTTTTTCAATAATTTTGAGAAAGTGTCTATTTGTATTTTACAAAGTTTTGAAAGGACAGATATTCAAGTACGCGCCTTTGATCCATTCTTGCGTTAATTAAGTCACAGAAATTTGTTCTAAAGCAAAGATGAATAATTTCATATTTTATGTATAATTCTGAAACATCACTGTAAACTATTCAAAGTTCTATGCCCAAAATACATGCCCTCAGGAATTTTGAATAGAGGTACAAAAAGCCATTCCTCCTCTAGTTAAATAATCCAAACTAGTTTTGGGGTTCTTAAATCTGTTTATTTCAATCACCTCATTCATTCCATAAGCACTTATTAATTATCTGTGATCCAGGGTCTATGAACCAAACATAGAAGAATATAATGATTAAGAGACAACTTCTCATCTTCAAGGAGCTCACCTAATTGTCTTAAATATTGTTAACATAATAATGAAGGAAGAAACATCCACCTGAGATATCCAGAAGAATTCAGAGGAAGGAACAGCAGTCCTGAACACTGAGTGACAATGGTCAATGGCATCTCTCCAAGTATGGGCCATGAACTCCTGTGATCCCTGAGAATACTACTAAAACACTGTTTGCTTTTTTCATTGATAGTGCAATAGCAAAGGTACGTGCCTGACCAGGATCCTGGTCCTAATTCATGCTAAGGCACTAGTATTTCTAGTGCCTTGATTGATGCTAATACTAGTGCCTTGGCATGAATCAAGGACACGATCCTGGCCAGGAGCGGTGGCTCACGCCTGTAATCCTAGCACTCTGGAAGGCCAAGGCAGGCAGATCACTTGGCAGCTGTTTGAAACCAGCCTGGCCAACATGGTGAAACCCCATCTCTACTGAAAACACAAAAATTGTCCTGGCGCAGTGGCACACACCTGTAGTCAAAGCTACTCGGGGGGCTGAGGTGGGAGGATCACTTGAGTCCAGGAGGCGGAAACTGCAGTGTGCCAAGATTATGCCACTGCACTCCAGCCTAGGAGACAGAGTGAAACACTGTCACAAAAAAAAGGAAAAAAAAAAAAAAGGCCAGGATCCGTAACTATAACGATAGTCATTATATGCTTCATCATCATTTTTTAAGTGTCTGTAACAAAGAAGTAAAAAATTATTTTTATTAATCTCTAACCTTTAAGATGTATCTGTTTAAAATTCTGTGCGAGAAAATAGGAAGTACGCATTATGCCGTACCACAAAATACAATGACTATTTCAAGAAAAAGCCAAGTGGGCAGTTGAGTTGTGAGCTAAAGCAGTCAATTTTTTCATGGAGCACCACGAAAGAACAAAAGACATATAAATTATGGTTATGCAAAGTAAAATATACAACATTTTCTTTTCTCTCCTTTTTTTTTTTTTTTTTTTTGAGACAGGTCTTGCTCTGTCACCCAGGCTGCAGTGCAGTGGTGGTGCCATCACTGCTCAACACAGCTTCTATCTCCCAGGCTCAAGTGATCCTCCCAACTCAGTTGCCCAAGCTCCCAAGTAGGTGGGAACACTAGCACACACCACCACGCCCAGCTAAGTTTTTTGGTTTTTGTTTTTTGGTTTTGAGGTGGGTTTGTCTTTTTGTAGAGACTAGGTTTCACTATGTTTTCCATGCTTATCTCAAACTCCTGGGCTCGAACGATCTTCCTGCCTCAGCTTCCCAAAATGCTGTGATTACATGAGTGAGCCACTGTACAAGGCCACAGCAGATTTTCTTAAAAAATGAAGCAAGACTGTCAATTAAAAGATATGGCAGTATTTGTTGTTAATAACATTCAAGCTTTCAAGAGAATCAGAATTTCTTAAAATTTGTATCTGCCACTAAGAAGCATAAAAGGCTGCAATAAAGACTTTTCTAATGAGATATTAATGTTTTTTTAGATATTGTATAATGATATGTGTCAACATTTAAAAGATCTGCATACCTCAGTCAGCCAGTATTTTCCAAGTGATTAACGGATGATGTCACAAAAGCATGCATTGGGGAAAAGGCAATAGATTTATCTCACGCAGGATATGGCCAGAAAAAAAAGAAAACCATAGGCCCGGTGCAGTGGCTCATGCCTGTAATCCCAGCACTTTGGGAGGCCAAGGCAGGCAGACCACAAGGTCAGGAGTTCGAGACCAGCCTGACCAACATGGTGAAACCCCATCTCTACTAAAAACACAAAAATTAACCAGGCGTGATGGCGCAGGCCTATAATCCCAGCTACTCAGGAGGCTGAGGCAAGAGAATCACTGGAACCTGGGAGGCAGATGTGAGCCAAGATCGTGCCACTGCACTCCAGCCTGGGCGAAAGGGCGAGACTCCGTCTCAAAAAAAAAAAAAAAAAAAAAAAAGGGGGAATGTGGCAGGACGCATACCTCATGCCTGTAATCCCAGCACTTCGAGAGGCCAAGGCAGCTGGATCGCTTGAGGCCAGGAGTTTGGGACCAGCCTGGTCAGCATAGCACA
This sequence comes from Homo sapiens, assembly GCF_000001405.40. NCBI lineage: Eukaryota > Metazoa > Chordata > Mammalia > Primates > Hominidae > Homo > Homo sapiens. The sequence continues at coordinate 105,341,497 of NC_000007.14, forward strand.
ACCCCATCTCTACTAAAAATACAAAAATTAGTCAGGCATGGTGGTGCACACCTGTAGTCCCAGCTACTTGGGAAGCTGAGGCACAAGAATCCTTAAGCTCAGGAGGCAGAGGTTGCAGTGAGCCAAGATGGCATCACTGCATTCCAGTCTAGGCAACAAAGCAATTCTGTCTCAAAAATAAAAAAACAGGGGACGGGAGTGGTGGCTCACGCCTGTAATCCAGCACTTTGGGAGGCTGAGGTGGGTGATCACCTGATACCAGGAGTTCGAAACCAGCCTGGCCAACATGGTAAAACCCATCTCTACTAAAAATACAAAAAGTTAGCCAGGTGTGGTGGCCCGCGCCTGTAATCCCAGCTACTCGGAACGCTGAGACAGGAGAATCGCTGGAACCTGGTAGACAGAGGTTGTAGTGAGCCGAGATCGTGCCACTGCACTCCAGCCTGGCTGCCAGAGCGAGACTCTGTCTCAAATAAATAAATAAGGGCTGGGCAGGGTGACTCATGCCTGTAATCCCAGCACTTGGGGAGGCCAAGGTGGGCGGATCAGCTGAGGTCGGGAGATCGAGACCATCCTAGCTAACACAGTGAAACCCCATCTCTACTAAAAATACAAAAAATTAGCTGGGCATGGTGGCACATGCCTGTGAAACCCCGTCTCCACTAAAAATACAAAAAATGAGCCAGGCATGGTGGCACATGCCTGTAATCCCAGCTACTCGAAAGGCCAAGGCAGGAGAATCTCTTGAACCCGGGAAGCAGAGGTTGCGGTGAGCCGAGATCGCACCACTGCACTCCAGCCTGGGCGACAAGAGCAAAACTCCGTCTCAAATTAATAATAATAATAATATTAATAATAATAATTAAATAAAATAAAAATATAAATGGGAAATGTGATTTTTGTAGAATCTGAAACATTCCTAGGACTGTCCAGCTTATTAGCGTTAAAATTACTGCTATGTCAGAGAAGCCTACAACATCAAATATAGCCATATAAAAATTTCCTCAAAAAGAGTTGCCTAGGCCAGGCACAGTGGCTCACACCTGACACAAGAAAAGGATCTTTCCTAACATGCTGTTTGCCTAGCTCCCTGGTCTCACCTCCCAACACTCTCCACAAAGACATTAAACTCAACACATACCAAATTACTTCCAGAATCCACCTTGTTCTCGCTCTCCTCCATGCCCCCGTATATACGCTGCTTTTCTCTCACTGAAAAAGTTACATGCTCTCCCTAACTTTGTCATTCTCCTCCCACACAGCCCCACATACCCAAACTATGGATTTGACCTGGATAGGGAAAAACAGATAAGCTTCAAATAAACAAGAAGAGGAAAGGAGGGACAATAAAATGGAATATATAAAAGTCTAGAATGGGAAAAGGTGAAACAGAGCCAAAAAGAGGCAAAGGAATAAACTGCTGAGCTAGTACCCAAATACAAATGACATAAAAAATGTGCTAAGGGCCTGAAAAATTTATTTCTAAACCCAAACCTACTCCCAAGAGGCCCTGCAGGTAGGATGTGTTCACAAGTTAAATAAAAGTTTGCAGATAAGTGGTAAGAGATGGTAAAGAAGGTGGACAGAAGGCTTCAAGGAGGACTTGAAAGTCCTGAATGTCTGAATGGCAAACATTTGTAAAATGTGTCACTATTGGCAGGAGCAGTGGTTTGCACCTGAAAACCCAGCAATTAGGGAGGCAAAGGTGGGATGATTGCTTGAGTCCAAGAATTTAAGACCAGCCTGGGCAACCTTAATGAAACCCCATCTTTACAAAAAATACAAAAACTAGCCAGGTATGATGGCACGTGCCTGTAGTCCCAGCTATACAGGAAGCTGAGGTGGGGGGATCACTTGAGCCCAGGAGGTTGAGGCTACAGTAAGCCAAGGTTTCACCAATGTACTCCAGCCTGGGCAATAGAGCGAGACCCTGACTCAAAAAAAACAACAACAAAAGTCACCATTATTAAGATAAACAGTACTTTAGCAGTAATGGAGTCTTTGACATAGGACAAGGTGAAGGCCAGGAAATCTGCAGACATCTGTGTGTTCAGGTGTCCAATCCTCCACCAGAATATAGGCTCCATTAGCAAAGAACCCTTGTTCATACATCCTTTAATTTCCTACATACGTTTTCTAACTAACAGTGCATTTCCATTTTAGCACTTTGTGTTTCAATATTCTGTTCAATTATGATTACAAATGAATTATAAGTCCCCATTTTTCATAAATCTTTATCTCTTAGTTTACAATGTCATATCTTTTTTATTTTTTATTTTTTTGGAGATGGAGTTTTGCTCTTGTCGCCCAGGCTGGAGTGCAATGGTGCCATCTTGGCTCACTGAAACCTCTGCCTCCTGGGTTCAAGCGATTCTCCTGCCTCAGCCTCCCAAGTAGCTGGGATTACAGGCATGCGCCACCACACCCGGCTAATTTTTGTATTATTAATAGAGACGGGGGTTTCATCATGTTGGCCAGGCTGGTCTCGAACTCCTGACCTCAGGTGATCCACCCGACTCAGCCTCCCAAAGTGCTGGGATTATAGGTGCGAGCGACCACGCCTGGCCTACAATGTCATATCATTCTATTTTTTCAAAAGCATTCTCCCCAGAGGTTAGCAAATGCTTTCTGCAAAAAGGAAAATGGTGAACCTTACAAAACCATAAGGCTTTGTAAGCAATATGGTCTCTCTCAAAAACACTCCAACTCTGCCACTGTGGCACAAAGGCACACAGACAATATGTAAACAAAATGAATATGCTTGTGTTTCAAAAAAACTTTATTTATGGACATAGAATTTTTTTTTTCTTTGAAGATTATAGCTCAGTGCAGCCTTGAACTCCTGGGCTCAAGTGATCCTCCCACCTCAGCCTCCCAAGTAGCTAGGACCCCAGGTGTATGCAGCCACACCTTTTTTTTTTTTTTTTTTTTTTTTTTGGTAGAGATAGGATATCACTATATTGACCAGGGTGTTCTCAAATTCCTGGTTTCAAGTGATCCTCTTGCCTCAGTCTCCCAAAGAGTACCTGGGCTATGCACTGAAATCTGAATTTCCTGTAATGTCACAAAATCTTCTGAATTTTTTCAATCATTTAAAAAACATAAAAGCTATCTTACAAGCCATACAAACACACATGACAGGCTATATCTGGCCAGCAATCCACAGTTTGCAGACCCCTGCTCTACACTCTAACTTAAAGATTTGACTATACAACCCTTCCACTATTCCATATTTCCAAAGTACCACAATTAACTTTATTTGCAAGTCTTTCTGGCCTCTGGGAAATGAACAATTAGGCATTCTTCTGATTTAAAGCCATTCAGGTTCACCCACACTCACACTTAAAAAAAAAAAAAAGGCCAGGAGTAGTCACTAACACCTGTAATCCCAACACTTTGGAGGCCGAAGTGGGTGGATCACCAGAGGTCAGGAGTTCAAGACCAGCCTGGCCAACATGGTGAAACCCTGTCTCTACTAAAAACACAAAAATTAGCTGGGGGTGATGGCAGCAGCCTGTAATCCCAGCCACTCAGGAGGCTGAGGCAGAAGAATCACTTGAAACCAGGAGGCGGAGGTTACAGTGAGCCAAGATCGCACCATTGCACTCCAGCCTAGGCAACAAGAGGGACACTCCATCAAGGACAGGAGAGGAGGGGAGAGGGCAGGGGAAGGCAAGGGAGGAGAGGAGAGGGGAGGGGAGGGGAGGGGAAGGGAGGAAAGGAAACTTGCTTATCTAGTTTCTGATTTAAAACACTGAAGGAAGGAAAGGGGGATTTTAAGTAGCAGTGTAAATGACACAAAGAACAGTAACAACTGTTCTATTGATGTCAAATGTCAAGAGTCCATTATGATGAATCTCAATTCTCAGTCTCAACTTCTCTCCCGTAGATTGAAAAACTAAAATCTAAACAGTAGCTTTTGAGTTTGATGAGATACCCTAAAGTCATTCTCACATTTTAAAGAAATGCCAAAAACTAAACAAATGAATAATATGACCAAGCATATCGCAAGAAACGAAAAAAAATTCATTATAAGGAAAACACATTATATGTGCTATGTAACAATTGTAAGTTATTACAGGGAATAACATGAAAGACAACTGAAACAGCTTATCTTTCAAAGGATGAAAACTTCTCAAACTCGTTCATCTATATATTCATTCATATTTATTTTACACATGAACATGTCAATGTGTTTGGAATACAAGTAGGGCAAGAAATTGGTGTCCAAAACAGACATGGTCTGTGAGCTCTTGGGCCTATGTTGTTCTACATCTGCTCTTTCCATTATCATAGCCATCAGCCCCATGTAGCTATTTAAATTTAAATTAGAGTTAAATAAAATTAAAAACCGGTTCCTCAGTCACACTAGTCACACTTCACATGGCCAAGGGCCAGCTTTCAGCTATGATACTGGACATCACAGATACAGAATGTTTCCATAATCACAGAAAGTTCTGTTCGGTAGCAAAGGTTTAAAACGTTACATACTTCCCTCTCTCTGCTGACTAGACATTAAGATGAAACTTAACTTCTTTCTTTTAAAAAAGAGTGCAAAATTTTACTGCTGTCTTTTAGGGAAGTACCAGGTGACAGTCTTTCTACAGGTGTACTTTATATCAAAGCTGTAAAAACTTCTAAGGTTTTCTAATCCAGCAAAATAATCACCAAATGCCTTTACCAAGGTTTTAAAGTTTTTTAAAAAATTCCTGGAGGTAAGTATTTCATCATCAGTAACTATTCCAATTTACTAATTGGCTTCAAACCATTCTCAACTGCATTCACAACTGCAGTATTTCCTTTCCTAGAAAGTGAAGGATTCTGCACTTAACTGATTATCACATAACTCTCTATGATGCAGAAAACAGCTCCTGCTTGTCACCTCTGCATGGTGACTGGAACACAGAGGGTACTCAAACAACTGTTATATGAAGGTCAATAAACTGTAAGTCTCCAGCACTGTCAAAAGCAACACAAGGCCAGGTGCAGTGGCTCATGCCTATAATCCCAGCACTTTAGGAGGGCAAGGCGGGCGGATCACGAGGTCAGGAGTTCAAGACCAGCCTGGCCAATATGGTGAAACCCTGTCTCTACTAAAAACACAAAAATTAGCCAGGCATGGTGGTGTGCGCCTGTAGTCCCAGCTACTCGGAAGGCTGAGGCAGAAGAACTGATTGAACCCCAGCAGGCAGAGGAGGTTGCAGTGAGCCAAGATCGCACCACTGCACTCTAGCCTGGGTGACAGCGCAAGACTCCATCTCAAAAAAAACAAGCAACAACAACAAACCCACAAAAGCCACATTCCATTTCACAACTCTAGTTACTGATGGAGCTTCCAGTCTTTGCTGCTTCTCATTTGTTAAAAAAAAAAAAAAAAAACTTTATTCACTGCATGATTTAAGCAGCACCAAACTGCTTGGGTATCGGTTTTCTGGGTCCCTGAAAATCAAGGACTTACTAAACAGTAAAAATTCTACATGAAGAAATAAAATATTGCACACTGCCCGGGAACCATAAAATTAATATAAATTAATTTATCTTTTACTTGGCTATGAGATAGACTGGCTTTTTTTTTTTTTAAGATTAAGGTTTCATTCTGTCACCCAGGCTGAAGTGCAGTGGGCATGATCATGGCTCACTGAAACCTCCACCTCTGGGCTCAAGCAATCCTCCCACCTCTACTCAGCCTTCTAAGTAGCTGGGACTACAGACATGTGCCACCGCGCCCGGCTAATTATTTAATTTAGTAGAGACAGGGTCTTGCTATGTTGCCCAGGCTGGTCTTAAACTCCTGGACTCAAGCAATCCTCCGGCTTCAGTCTCCCAAAGTGCTGGGATTACAGGCCACCATGCCTGGCTAATTTTTTCTTTAATTTTTGTAGAGACAGGTCTCACTAGCCCAAGCTGGTCTCAAATTCCTGGACTCAAGTGATCCTCCCACCTCACCCTCTCAAAGTGCTGGGATCACAGGAGTGAGCCACCATATTGACCACAGACTGGCTTATAAATATGTGTAACTACAGTGAGATATTCAGCCGAAGAATGAGGGGGAGGGGGAGGAGGAGGAAGAATTATGGCTGGGCATGACGGCCCATGCCTATACTCCCAGCACTTTGGGAGACTGAGGCGGGAGGATCGCTTGAGTCCAGGAGTTTGAGACTTGCCTGGGCAGCCTGGCAAGACCCCCATCTCTGCAAAAAAATTTTAAAAATTAGCCAGGCATGGTGGCACAAACTTGTGGTCCCAGCTACTTGGAAAGCTGAAGCAGGAGAATTGCTTGAACCCAGGAGGCAGAGGTTGCAGTGAGCTGAGATGGCACCACTACACTCCAGCCTGGGTGACAGGGCGAGACTCCGTCTCAAAAAAAAAAAAAAAGAAAGAAAAGCGGTAGCTTGCACAATTAATTCTAAATTACATTAACAAAGACATCTCAAATGTCTCAACTACTCATGAAAGACAGCTGTATCAAAATTGCACATTTCCTTGAAAACAGAAATCAAAATGTTTTCAAATTAGTCCATACCAGTGACATATACCATTAATATTAATGAGAATATGGCTGCTTGGCAAACTTTTTTTTTTTTTTTTTTTTTTTTTGAGATGGAGTTTCGCTCTTGTTCCCCAGGCTGGAGTGCAATGGCGCGATCTCACTGCAACCTCCGCCTCCCGGGTTCAAGCGATTCTCATGCCTCAGCCTCCTCAGTAGCTGGGATTACAGGCATGGGCCACCACGCCCGGCCAATTCTGTATTGTTAATAGAAACGGGGTTTCTCCATGTTGGTCAGACTGGTCTGGAACTCCTGACATCAGGTGATCCACCCACCTCGACTTCCCAAAGTGCTGGGATTACAGGTGTGAGTCACCGCGCACAGCAGTCAAACTTAATAAGCCACTATTTGGTATAAAATGCCTTTGAACTTTTTTCTTTCTTTTTTTTTTTTTTTTTGAGATGCAGTCTCGCTCTGTTGCCCAGGCTGGAGTGCAATGGCATGATCACGGCTCACTGCAACCTCCACCTCATGGTTCAAGCGATTCTCCCGCCTCAGCTTCCTGAGTAGCTGGCATTACAGGCACCCGCCATCATGCCGGACTAATTTTTGTATTTTAGTAGAGATGAGATTTCACCATGTTGGCCAGGCTGGTGTTCAACTACTGACCTCAGGTGATCCAACTGCCTCGGCCTCCCAAAGTGCTGGAATTACAGGCGTGAGCCACCATGCCCAGCTGCATTTGAACTATTTTCTAACCAAACTAGTTCTGCCCAATCAGATGATACACTTTAAAAAAAAAAATTTATCTAAAGAAAGTTATCATTCATGCCAGCACTGAAAACAGAAAATAAAAAATAAAAAATGAATATATCAGAGCAGCCGGGCGCAGTGGCTCACGCCGTAATCCCAGCACTTTGGGAGGCCAAGGCGGGCAGATCACCTGAGGTTAGGGGTTCGAGACCAGCCTGGCCAACATGGTGAAACCCCATCTCTACTAAAAATACAAAAATTAGCCGGGCGTGGTGGCGCTTTCCTGTAATCCTAGCTACTTGGAAGGCAGAGGCAGGAGAATCACTTGAACTCGGAGGCGGAGGTTGCAGTGAGCCTAGTTTGCATCACTGCACTCCAGCCTGGGCAACAGAGTGAGATTTTTGTAGAAAGAGAGAAAGAAAGAGGGGGAGGGGAGGGGAGGGGAGGGGATGGAGGGGAGGAAGAAATCAGAGCTTGTCAAGAACCTACGAAAGAATTAAGGGGGCCAAGCATGGTGGCTCACGCCTGTAATCCCAGCACTTTGGGAGGCCAAGGTAGGCGGATCACTGGAGGTTGGGAGTTCAAGACCAGCCCGACCAACATGGAGAAGCCCCATCTCTACTAAAAATACAAAATTAACTGGGCATGGTGGCGCATGCCTGTAATCCCAGCTACTCAGGAGGCTGAGGCAGGAAAATCGCTGGAACCTGGGAGGCGGAGGTTGCAGTGAGCCGAGATCACACCATTGCACTCCAGCCTGGGCAACAAGAGTGAAACTCCATCTCAAAAAAAAAAAAAAAAGAATTAGGAAAAGAGAGTAATAACATATAGTAGCATTAAAGTACAACCACACCTTAATATCCTATGTAATCAGAGATTCTTCACAAATATCCATGTGAAAGTCCTAGGGTCAAGGACTGGCTAAGCCCAAAAAACCAGAGATAACTGAACAGACACAGCAGGAAGAAAAGAGTAAATAGCAAAGTTACTATTTATTGAACGGTGCCTGTCTTTTTTTTTGAGCTGGAGTCTCGCTCTGTCGCCAGGCTGGTGTGCAGTGCCGTGATCTCAGCTCACCGCAACCTCCACCTCCCAGGTTCAAGCGATTCTCCTGCCTCAGCCTCCTGCATAGCTGGGATTACAGGCACATGCCACCACACCTGGCTAATTTTTGTATTCTTAGTAGAGATGGGGTTTCGCCATGTTGGCCAGGATGATCTCAATCTCCTGAACTTGTGATCCACCTGCCTCAGCCTCCCAAAGTGCTGGGATTACAGGCGTGAGCCACTGTGCCTGGCCAAACAGTGCCTGTCTTAATACAGCAGGCATTATGCTAAATATATCACCTGAATTTTTACTTAATCCTCACAATAACCCTGTAGTTGCTATAATTTTTTTTTTTTTTTTTTGGAGACAAGAGTCTCTCTCTGTCACCCAGACTGGAGTACAGTGGCTCAATCTCAGCTCACTGCAACCTCCGCCTCCCCTGTTTTAGGTAATTCTCCAGCCTCAGCCACCCGAGTAGCTGGGATTATAGGCACATGCCACCAAGCCTGGCTAATTTTTGTATTTTTAGTAGAGACAGGGTTTCACCATGTTGGCCAGGATGTTCTCGATCTCCTGAACTCGCATCCACCCACCTTGGCCTCCCAAAGCGCTAGGATTACAGGCATGAGCCACCGCGCCTGGCCGAACAGTGCCTATCTTGATACAGCTGGCATTATGCTAAATATATCAGCTGAATTTTTACTTGATCCTCACAATAACCCTGTGGTTGCTACAATTTTTTTTCTTTTTTTTTTTTTTTTGAGACGGAATCTCTGTCACCCAGGCTGGAGTGCAGTGGCTCAATCTGAGCTCACCGCAACCTCCGCCTCCCCCGTTTCAAGTAATTCTCCTGCCTCAGCCTCCCAGGTAGCTAGAACTACAGGCATACGCCAACACACCCAGCTAATTTTTGTATTAGTAGAGACGGGGTTTCTCCATATTGGCCAGGCTGGTCTCCAACTCCTGACCTCCCCACCTTGGCCTCCCAAAGTGCTATAGTTGCTATAATTAATCCCATTTTACAAATGAGAAAACTGAGGCACACAGATAGCTTAAACATGTTCAGATTACATGGCTATTAAGCCATTACACAGCAGGATTAGGGTAAGAAGCCACGTCTGCCAGCCAACCCTATACTACATTAAAGTTTACAGAGCCTATCTTACGCGCTTTATCTATTTGCTACCACCCTGTGATATGATTTGAATGTTTATCCCATCTGAAACTCACGTTAAAACTTAATCCCCAATGTGGGTATTATGAGGCAGGTCTTTAAGAGGTGACTGTGTCATGACGGTTCTGCCCTCATGAATGGAACCTATTCATGGATTAATGAGTTAACGAATTTTAACGGATTATCCTGGGAGTGCGACTGGTGGCTTTATAAGAGGAAGAGACCTGAGCTAGCACACTCAGCCCCCTAACCATGTGATACTCTAGGCCACCTTGGGACTCTGCAGAGTCCCCACCAGCAAGAAGGTCCTCATTAGATGCACCCCTTGACCTTGGCCTTCCCAGCATGCAGAACTGAAAGAAATAAATTCCTTTTCTTTATAAATTACCCAGTCTTAACCAGGCCCACCCCTGGTTAAGGATGGGCAACAGGCTCACCCCTGTAATCCCAGCACTCTGGGAGGCTGAGGAGGGCGAATCACCTGAGGTCAGGAGTTTGAGACCACCCTAGGTGACAGAGTTACACTCCGTCTCAAAAATAATAATAATAATAATAAATCACCGGCCGGGCGCAGTAGCTCACACCTGTAATCCCAGCACTTTGGGTGGCCGAGGCAGGAGGATCACCTGAGGTCAGGAGTTTAAGACCAGCCTTGCCAAAATGGTGAAACCCCATCTCCACTAAAAATACAAAAAATTAGCTGGGTGTGGTGGCCGGCACCTATAATCCCAGCTACTCGGGAGGCTGAGGCAGCAAAATCGCTTGAACCCGGGGGGCGGAGGCTGCAGTGAGCCAAGATTGTGCCATTGCACTCCAGCCTGGGAGACAAGAACAAGACTCCATCTCAAAAAAAAAAAAAAAGAAGAAGAAGAAGAAGAAGAAATAAATAACCCAGTCTCAGAAATTCAGTTACTGCAACAGTAAACAGACTAAGACACCCTTATAATCCACTGTAAAGCAGGCTGTGCAGTTTGATGATCCCCAGTCTCAGAAATTCAGTTACTGCAACAGTAAACAGACTAAGACACCCTTATAATCCACTGTAAAGCAGGCTGTGCAGTTTGATGATCCTATTTTCCTAGAGAAAATAAGAGATTCAGGAAGGATGAATCATTCCCTCCCTATGGAGCAAGCAGCAGAGCTGGGTCTAGAATCCCCGTCTTTTAACTCTTCACCACTGTTTCTCCTCCTCAATATGCTTAGCTAGTGTGGTGGTTTCAAAAATATGTTCACAAATTACTTAATTTGCATCTCTTCAAAGGGCAGAACCTGAACTCTCCCTTGAGTGTGGGCTGTACCCAGTAACTCCCTTCTAACAAACGTGGCAGAAGTGGCAGTGTGAGGTCTTCTAAGGGTGTGTTATAAAAATGTAACCGCAGCTTCCTCCTTGCTCCCTCTTGATGAAGCCAGCTGACATGTTGTGAGAACATTCAAGAAGAGGTCCACAGAGCAACAGGCAAGGCCTCCTGCCAACAGCCTGGAAGCAGATCCTCCAGCCTCAGCCAAGCCTTCAAAATGACTGCAACCCTGAGCCAGAACCACCCCACTCAACTGCTTCCAAATTCTTAACCCACAGAAACTAAGATGATAAATGTTGCATTAAACCACTATGCTTCACAGTAACTTGTTATGTGGTAATAAATAGCTAATACAACTAGGGGCTGGGTGTGGTGGCTCACGCCAGTAATCCCAGCACTTTGGGAGGCCAAGGTGGGCAGATTACTTGAGGTCAGGGTATCGAGACCAGCCTGGCCAACATAGTGAAACCCAGTCTCTTACTAAAAATACAAAAATTAGCTGGCTGTGGTGGCGCACGCCTGTAATCCCAGCTACTCGGGAGGCTGAGGCAGGAGAATTGCTTGAACCCAGGAGATGGAGGTTGCATGAGCCAAGATTGCACCAGTGCACTCCAGCCTGGGTGACAGAGCGAGACTCTATCTCAAAAGAAAAAAAAAAAAGCTCTTGGCTAGTCATCAGAATTACATGATCCCTCCCTTAATTTCACACAGTAAATGCCAGTACCTCTATTGGTTAACATTCTATTCCACCTTGTGTCACTGCTAGTTGTTTACCTGCCTATCTCTGAGACTAAGTCATAAATCCCTTATTATCTAAGGTTCAATTTTCTCATCAGTAAAATGAAAGGGTTAGATTAAGTAATTGCTAAGGAACTCCCAACTCCAAAGTTCCATAAGGATGACTCTTAATTGAAAAAAGTAAGATAGCACAGTTGTAAGCTTCGACTTGGTAGTTTTAAATCTCAGCTCTACAACCTATCAGCTCTAAACAATGGGCCTGCTGCTGAACATTTCTGTGCCTCAGTTCCTCATCTGTAAAATGAGAATAATAGTGCTGTTAGAATTCTTCCAGGTAATGGTTTTGTTTTTTTGTGTTTTTTTTTGAAACAGTCTCCCTCTGTCACCCAGGCTGGAATGCAGTGGTGCAATCATGGCTCACTGCAGCCTTGACCTCCTGGGCTCAAGCAATCCTCCCATCTCAGCCTCCCAAGTAGCTGGGATTACAGGAGCGTGCCATCCAGCCCAGTTTGTTGTTGTTGTTGTTGTTGTTGTTGTTGTTGTTGTTGTTTGGTGGAGACAGGGTTTTGTCACGTTGCTCAGGCTGGTCTCAAACTCCTGAGCTCAAATGATCCGCCTTCTTTGGCCTCCCAAAGTGATGGGATTACAGACTGCCTTCAAGCAAATTCATCAGGCCCATGTTCCTGAATGCCCCAAGGTGAGCAGTAAGGAACAGAAAAACACTTTCCTTCTCCAGAAAATCCCACTCCTGAGCTGATAGGAGGGGATCTCAGAAAGAATCATCACAAAAGACAGGACAAACTAAAGAAGCTGGCAGACTTTTTTAATTCTTCCCAGTACAAACTGGAACTAGACATGCAGAGAGCCTTCCTAAAGGCAACGCCCAAATCCCACGTGAGGCCAAACTTCTCCCCAGGGAGACTGAGAGCCAATGTTCTTATCATAACACTCCTCCCCACAGTGCACCCACAGACAAGGAAGCCTGAGCAGTTGTGGCTGTCACACAACAGATGCAGCGTTCAGGCCAGAACCTTCCAGGACCTTCCTCTTTGCTGGCCCAACAGCTGCTGCATCTGCCTGGCCTTCGAGGAGCAGCCAGTATGTATGTGGCTGTGTGGAGCAAGAATGTGCCAAAATAAGCAACCAAGTCAATCAGAGATGGGTTTGGGGCTAAGTTGACATGGTAACAGGACCAGTCACAGGTCTCCCCATGTATGGTGGGACCACAGAGCCCTATGTCCTCCATTCATTCTTCTCTGGGCAGTTTCTGTCCAGGACAGCTATGGGGCAAATTCCACCTTATCCTTAAGACTCACCACCTGGGTGTGCGTGGCTCTTGCCCGGCAGCTCATCCAGCTCATCCACCCTGTACTCAGAGATGCTTTTTTCCTCCTGCACAGGCTGTGGGTCCTTTCCCCTAACGAATCACTCCAGGTAGTAGCCCACAGTCCTGGCCACAAAGGCCACAGGGTATGTAACTTAAGTAGCATAGGTAAGCATTACGATCCAAAGCACAAGCCACACATCATCAGGCAGCCTGGCACAATTTACTGGGAATCCACTCATGCATAGCAATGCAAGAGATCACACCCTGTTTTATGCAACAGTTGGGTACCACAAATAATCTGCAGCACAGCCCATACTCCTCTGTCCAGCCCTGGTCTCTACCTGCTGGCTGGGAACAGACATTGCTACTCCTAGCAGCCCACATGGCCTCCTGTTGTTTTTTAATAACAACTACAGTCAGATATATAACTCACATGTACAATTCACCCAATTAAAGTGCACAACTTAATGACTTCAGTATATTCACAGAGCTGTACAACCATTACCAAAATCAATTTTACAGTATTTTTATCACCCCAAAAAGAAACACATACCCATCAACAGGCACGCCCCATATTTCCCCCTCCCCACCAGCTCTAGGTAACCATAAATCTACTTTCTGTCTCTATGAGTTTGCTTATTCCAGATATTTGATATAAATTAAATCATATTAATAAGTGGTCTTTCATGACTGACTTCTTTGATCCAGTATAATGTTTTCAAGATATATCCATGTTGTAGCATGTAACAGTACTTCATTATTTTTACTGCTGAATAATATTCCATTGTAAGGATATGCTACATTTTGTTTATTCATCAACTGACATCTGAGTTGTTTCCATCTGGCTGTGATCAACAATGTTGCTCTTTCAGTTTTAAGTAACAGAAAATACAGCAGGGCACAGTGGCTAACGCCTATAATCCTAGCACTTTGGGAGGCCACAGCAGGAGGAGTGCTAGAGACCAGGAGTTCAAGACTAGCCTGCGCAACACGGCAAGACCTCATCTCTACGAAAAAAAAAAAATTTTTTTTTCATTAGCAAGCAAGGCACAGTGGCTCACGCCTGTAATCCCAACACTTTGGCAAACAGAGGCAGAAGGATCATTTAAGCTCAGGAGTTTGAAACCAGCCTGGGCAACATTACAAGACCACATCTCAACTGAAAATAAAAATTTTTAAAAAATTAGCCAGGCATGGTGGAGCACACCTGTGGTCCCAGCTACTCAGAAGGCTGTGGTGGGAGGACTGCTTAAGCCTGGGAGGTCAAGGCTGCAGTAAGCCATGATAATGTCACTGTGTTCTAACCTGGGTGAGAGAACCTGTCTCCAAGAAAAAAAAGTGATAGAAAATCCAAATCAACCCTGCTTAAACAAATAACTAAACGTCAAGCAGGCAGCCTTTGCATAAGACACAGCCTGAGTTAGGGTTTAAATATCACCATCAGGGCCAAGCACGGTGCCTCACGCCTGTTACCTCAGCACTTTGGGAGGCTGAGGCAAGCAGATCCCTTGAGGTCAGGAGTTTTGAGACCAGCCTGGCCCACATGGTGAAACCCCGTCTCTACAAAAAATACAAAAATTAGCCAGGCGTGGTGGCATCTGCCAGTAGTCCAGCTACTTGGGAGGCTGAGGCAGGAGAATCACCTGAAACTGGAAGGCAGAAGTTTCAGTGAGCTGAGACCATGCCACCGCACTCCAGCCTGGATGACACAGTGAGACTCTAAAATAAATAAATTAAATTAAATAAATAAATATCACCATCAGGATTGAGTTTCTAACTCTTGGCAAGGCTCAGTTCTCTGTTCATTTTCAGGATCTGCATGGTGACAAAATGGCTTCAATACCTCTATTTCACATCCTCTCCATTGAAGCTTATAGGAGAAAGCAAGAGCCTCTCCCAAATCCTCATGCAAAGGCCCTAAGATTAGCTCTGGGTGGGCTCTCCAACTGAAAAGTGGAAGGCACTAAGTAAAATAGGCCGTGCTCCATCCTGGAGCATGAAGGAAACTAGAGAGAAACCCAAACAATGTGAACCAAAAATGGACAAGAGATAATCCCTATACAAAAACTGAGGCCCATTTCGACTAGGATAAATGGAATCTGGGCAGCTGAAAAAATTTTTAAGCCCAGTTTAGAGTGTTGTGACAATTAAACCTGATAAATGCATATTAAAGTATGTAGCAGAATGCCCAATACACAATAAATACTTAATAAATGTTACTCACTATATTAGCTATTTTTTGTAGCTAATATAGTGAGTAATTTAGATAAACCCATGAAATTTGATAGTTTGGGGCAAAAAAAGACAATTTCACACAGTTCAACATCATACATACTCAGCTTAAAATTAAGGCAAGTACAACCTGTATTTGCTTTTTCATAGTGAAATGTAAGTCTGCATCTCTATTAGATATATTAAATACCCAAAAGAAGGAACAGTTATTTCCAAAATTTTCAAAACCTTGGGTTAAAAATGCAAGTATCTCTTCTTTAACAGAGATTTCTCTGGTCCTGTGGAAGATACATGATAGAGGCAAAATATGAGAAATGAAAGACCCTGAGACAGCTAGTACTCCCAAAGCATCTGCTACCCTAACAACACTATGGTAAAGGCCTTATGTGTATCCACCTTCTCCTTTATCAGCTAAAGCTCCCAACTAAGACTATTAAATCTTTTCATAGTAAACCATCACTTGATTTTTTTAGGTAAACACTAATTTTTTTTTTTTTTTTGAGACGGAGTCTCGCTCTGTCGCCCAGGCTGGAGTGCAGTGGTGCGATCTCGGCCTCACTGCAAGCTCCGCCTCCCAGGTTCATGCCATTCTCCTGCCTCAGCCTCCCGGGTAGCTGGGACTACAGGCGCCCACCACCACGCCTGGCTAATTTTTTGTATTTTGTTTAGTAGAGATGGGGTTTCACTGTGTTAGCCAGGATGGTCTCGATCTCCTGACCTTGTGATCCGCCTGCCTCGGCCTCCCAAAGTGCTGCGATTACAGGCGTGAGCCACTGCGCCCAGCCAAATAACACTAATTTTTTAAAAAACTGCTGGAGTCCTCCATTCCTTTCATCATGTCTTAGTCTCCTCCCTGTCCCTTTATTTTAGTTTGAAATTACAAACCTAAATAGAGATGACCTGCTATAAACAATAAATATCTCTTCACTATTTCTAGATCTGATGTAATACCAGCCGAGATTGGTGGATCACCTGAGGTCAGGAGTTCAGGACCAGCCTAGCCAACATGGTGAAACCCCATCTCTACTAAAAATACAAAAAATAGCCGGGTGCGGTGGTGTGCGCTTGTTACCCCAGCTACTCGGGAGGCTGAGGCAAGAGAATTGCTTGAACCCAGGAGGCGGAGGTTACAGTGAGCCAAGATCACACCATTGCACTCCAGCCTGGGCAACAAGAGCAAGACTCCGTCTCAAAAAACAAAAAAAACAATAACAAAACAAAACAAAAAAAAGATTCAAAGATAAATGAGGCTTTGGAGAAATGGGAACTATCAAATCTCTGGTAAATAAGATAGCCTTTGCCCATACAGGGGAAGCACAACTGATCCTTGAACAACGCAGGGATTAGGGAAGCCACCCCCATCTCTGCACAGTCAAAAATCCACATACAGGCCAGGCACAGTGGCTCACGCCTATAATCCCAGCACTTTGGGAGGCTGAGGTGGGTGGATCACAAAGGTCAAGAGATCAAGACCATCCTGACCAACATGGTAAAACCCTGTCTCTAGTAAAAATACAAAAATTAGTTGGGCGTGCTGGCATGTTCCTGGAGTCCCAGCTACTCAAGAGGCTGAGGCAGGAGAATCGCTTGAACCCGGGAGGCGAAGGTTGCAGTGAGACGAGATCACGCCACTGCACTCCAGCCTGGGCAACAGAGCGAGACTCCGTCTCAAAAAAAAAAAAAAAAAAAAAACACCCCACGTACAACTTCTGACTCCCCAAAAACCAGAAGCCTTATCAATAACATAAACAGTAGATAACACACATTTTGTATGTTATATGTATTATACACAATATTCCTACAATAAAACAAGATAAACAAAAGAAAACTTTATTAAGAAAATCATAAGGGGCCATGCATGGTGGCTCACACCTATAATCCCAGCACTTTGGAAGGCTGAAGCAAGTGGATCACTTGAGCTCAGGAGTTCAAAACCAGCCTGGACAACATGACGAAACTCAGTCTCTATTAAAAACACAAAAATTAGCCGGGCATGGTGGTTCTTGCCTGCCGTGTCAGTTACTTGGGGATCTGAGGTGGGAGGATCACCTGAGCCCGGGAGGCAAAGGTTGCAGTAGGACGAGGTCATGCCACTGCACTCTAGCCTGGGCAACAGAACAAGAGACCCTGTCTCAAAAAAGAAAAGAAAGAAAAAATCATAAGGAAGAGAAAATATATTTACTATTTGTCTTAGTCTATTTTTGCTGCTAAAGAAGGAATATCTAAGCCTGGGTAATTTATTAATATAAAGAAAAGAGATGTATGTGGCTCATGGTTTTGCAGGCTGTACAACAAGCATGGCACCAGCACCTAATTTCAGTGAGGGTCTCAGGCTGCTTCCACCCATGCTGGAAGAAAGGGGTGCTAAGAACACAGAGAGAGAGAGAGAGAGAGAAAGCAAGAGTGGAGGTGGAGGTGCCTCTTTTCAACAACCAGTTCTCTGGAAACTAAGAGTGAGAAGCAAGAATGACACCTCAAGCCATTCAAGAGGGATCCACCCCCTACAATCCAAACACCAGGCCCCACCACCAACACTGGGGTATCAAATTTCAACATGAGGCTTGGAGAGGTCAAACAAACCATATCCAAACCACAGCTTTTTTTTTTTTTTTTTTTTTTTTTGGAGACAAAGGCTCGCTCTATCACCCAGGCTGGAGTGCAATGGCGCGATCTTGGCTCACTGCAACCTCTGCCTCCCGGGTTCAAGCAATTCACCTGCCTCAGCCTCCCAAGTAGCTGGGATTGCAAGCGCATGCCACCATGTCCAGCTAATTTTTTTTATTTTTAGTAGAGATGGGGTTTCACTGTGTTAGTGAGGATGGCCTCGAAGTCCTGACCTTGTGATCTGCCCTCCTTGGCCTCCCAAAGTGACAAGATTACAGGCATGAGCCACTGTGCCAGGCCCACAGCACTATTTATTAAGTGGATCATCATAAAGGTCTCCATGCTTATCAACTTCACAGTAAAAAAGACGTCAAAAGCAGTCTTCAATAATCAGAACGCCTCTGCTTAATTGTCTAACGTCAATTTGTTTTATGGCACTGCTGCTGCTATGTCATCTTCCTCATCGTCTGGCAGTGGTATGGAAGCACTCATTTCCATCAAGTCATCTGATAATTCCTGTGGTGTGATGTCTACTGGCTCTTGAATTTCTCACAATCCACATCTGGAAACCGTTCATCCTTCCAACCCCCACCTTTTTTGCCATATCTACAATCTGTTTCATGATTTCCTTGACTATAAATCTTGTGATCAATTTTAGAATAAGTGCGATGTGGTGCTGAGAAGAATGTATATTCCGTTGATTTGGGGTGGAGAATTTTGTAGATATCTATTAGGTCCGCTTGGTGCAGAGCTGAGTTCAAGTCCTGGATATCCTCGTTAACCTTCTGTCTCGTTGATCTGTCTAATATTGACAGTGGGGTGTTAAAGTCTCCCATTATTATTGTGTGGGAATCTAAGTCTCTTTGTAGGTCTCTAAGGACTTGCTTTATGAATCTGGATGTTCCTGTATTGGGTGCATACAGATTTAGGATAGTTAGCTCTTCTTGTTGAATTGATCCCTTTACCATTATGTAATGGCCTTCTTTGTCTCTCTTTTGTTCTTTGCTGGTTTAAAGTCTGTTTTATCAGAGACTAGGATCTCGACCCCTGCTTTTCTCTGCTTTCCATTTGTTTGGTACATCTTCCTCCATCCCTTTATTTTGAGACTATGTGTGTCTCTGAAGGTAAGATGGGTCTCCTGAATACAGCACACTGATAGGTCTTGACTCTCTATCCAATTTGCCAGTCTGTGTCTTTTAATTGGGACATTTAGCCCATTTACATTTAAGGTTAATACTGTGTGAATCTGATCCTGTCATTATGATGTTAGCTGGTTATTTTGCCCATTAGTTGATGCAGTTTCCTCATAGCATCGATGGTCTTTACAATTTTTTTTGCAGTGGCTAGTACCAGCTTTTCCTTTCCATATTTAGTGCTTCCTTCAGGAGCTCTTGTAAGGCAGGCCTGGTGGTGACAAAATCTCTCAACATTTGCTTGTCAGTAAAGGATTTTATTTCTCCTTCACTTATGAAGCTTAGTTTGGCTGGATATGAAATTCTGGGTTAAAAATTCTTTTAAGAATGCTGAATACTGGCCCCCACTGTCTTCTGACTTGTAGGGTTTCTGCCGAGAGATCCGCCGTTAGTCTGATGGGCTTCCCTTTGTGGGTAACCCGACAGGCCTTCATGCTAAAAACTCTCAATAAATTCGGTATTGACAGAACGTATCTCAAAATAGTAAGAGCTATTTATGACAAACCCACAGCCAATATCATACTGAATGGGCAAAAACTGGAAGCATTCCCTTTGAAAACTGGCACAAGACAAGGATGTCCTCTCTCACCACTCGAATATTCAACACGTTGCTGGAAGTTCTGGCCAGGGCAATCAGGCAAGAGAAAGAAATAAAGGGTATTCAATTAGGAAAAGAGGAAGTCAAATTGTCCCTGTTTGCAGATGACATGATTGTCTATTTAGAAAACCCCATCATCTCAGCCCAAAATCTCCTTAAGCTGATAAGCAACTTCAGCAAAGTCTCAGTCAATGTACAAAAATCACAAGCATTCTTATACACCTATATACCAATAACACACAGAGAGCCAAATCATGAGTGAACTCCCATTCACAATTGCTACAAAGAGAATACAATACCTAGGAATCCAACTTACAAGGGATGTGAAGGACCTCTTCAAGGAGAACTACAAACCACTGCTCAATGAAATAAAAGAGGACACAAACAAATGGAAGAACATTCCATGCTCATGGATAGGAAGAATCAATATCGTGAAAATGGCCATACAGCCCAAGGTAATTTATAGATTCAATGCCATCCCCATCAAGCTACCAATTACTTTCTTCACAGAATTGGAAAAAACTACTTTAAAGTTCATACGGAACCAAAAAAGAGCACGCACTGCCAAGACAATCCTAAGCAAAAAGAATAAAACTGGAGGCATCATGCTACCTGACTTCAGACTATACTACAAGGCTACAGTAACAAAAACAGCATGGTACTGGTACCAAAACAGATATATAGATCAATGGAACAGAACAGAGGCCTCAGAAATACCACCGCACATCTACAACCATCTGATCTTTGACAAACCTGACAAAAACAAGCAATGGGGAAAGCATTCCCCATTTAATAAATGGTGCTGGGAAAACTGGCTAGCTATATGTAGAAAACTGAAACTGGATCTCTTCCTTACACCTTATACAAAAATTAATTCAAGATGGATTTAAGACTTAAATGTTAGACCTAAAACCATAAAAACCCTAGGAAGAAAACCTAGGCAATACCATTCAGGACATAGGCATGGGCAAGGACTTCATGACTAAAACACCGAAAGCGCCTGGCAACAAAAGCCAAATTGAAAAACAGGATCTAATTAAACTAAAGAGCTTCTGCACAGCAAAAGAAACTACCATCAGAGTGAACACGCACTACAGAATGGGAGAAAATTTTTACAATCTACCTATCTGACAAAGGGCTAATATCCAGAATCTACAAAGAACTTAAACAAATTTACCAGAAAAAAAATCAAACAACCCCATCAAAAAGTGGGCGAAGGATATGAACAGACACTTCTCAAAAGAAGACATTTATGCAGCCAACAGACACATGAAAAAATGTTCATCATCACTGGCCATCAGAGAAATGCAAATCAAAACCACAATGAGATACCATCTCACACCAGTTAGAATGGCGATCATTAAAAAGTCAGGAAATGGCCGGGCGCGGTGGCTCACGCCTGTAGTCCCAGCACTTTGAGAGGCCAAGGCGGGTGGATCACAAGGTTGGGAGATGGAGACCATCCTGGCTAACTTGGTGAATGGCCTGAACCCAGGAGGCAGAGCTTGTAGTGAGCTGAGATCACGCCACTGCACTCCAGCCTGGGCGACAGAGCAAGACTCTGTCTCAAAAAAAAAAAAAAAAAAAGTCAGGAAACAACAGGTGCTGGAGAGGATGTGGAGAAATAGGAACACTTTTAAACTGTTGGTGGGACTGTAAACTAGTTCAACCATGTGGAAGACAGTGTGGTGATTTCTCAAGGATCTAGAAATAGAAATACCATTTCACCCAGCCATCCCATTAACGGGTATATACCCAAAGGATTATAAATCATGCTGCTATAAAGACACATGTACATGTATGTTTACTGTGGCACTATTCACAATAGCAAAGACTTGGAACCAACCCAAATGTCCATCAGTGATAGACTGGATTAAGAAAATGTGGCACATATACACCACGGAATACTATGCAGCCATAAAAAAGAATGAGTTCCTTTGTAGGGACATGGATGAAGCTGGAAACCATCATTCTAAGCAAACTATCGCATGGACAGAAAACCAAACACTGCATGTTCTCACTCATAGGAACTGAACAATGAGAACACTTGGACACAGGATGGGGAACATCACACACCGGGGCCTGTCGTGGGGTGGGGGGAGAGGGGAGGGATAGCATTAGGAGATATACTTAATGTAAATGATGAGTTAACGGGTGCAGCACACCAACATGGCACATGTATACATATGTAATAAAGCTGCACGTTGTGCACATGTACCCTAGAACTTAAAGTATAATAAAAAATAAATAAAAATAAATAAAAAATAAAAGAAACTACCATCAGAGTAAACAACCTACAGAATGGGAGAAAATTTCTGCAATCTACCCATCTGACAAAGGGCTAATATCCAGAATCTACAAAGAACTTAAACAAATTTACAAGAAAAAATCAAACAACCCCATCAAAAAGAGGGCAAAGGATATGAACAGACACTTCTCAAAAGAAGACATTTATGCAACCAACAGACACATGAAAAAATGCTCATCATCACTGGCCATCAGAGAAATGCAAATCAAAACCACAATGAGATACCATCTCACACCAATTAGAATGGCAATCATTAAAAAGTCAGGAAACAACACGTGCTGGAGAGGATGTGGAGAAATAGGAACACTTTTACACGGTTGGTGGGAGTGTAAATTAGTTCAACCCTTGTGGAAGGCAGTGTGGTGAATCCTCAAGGATCTAGAACTAGAAATACCATTTGACCCAGCCATCTCATTACTGGGTATATACCCAAAGGATTATAAATCATGCTACTAGGCTTACTACACATGCACATGTATGTTTATTATTGCGGCACTATTCACAATAGCAAAGACTTGGAACCAACCCAAATGTCCATCAATGATAGAGTGGATTAAGAAAATGTGGCACATATACACCATGGAATACTATGCAGCCATAAAAAAGGATGAGTTCATGTGCTTTGCAGGGACATGAATGAATCTGGAAACCATCATTCTCAGCAAACTATCACAAGGACAGAAAACCAAACACCGCATGTTCTCACTCGTAGGTGGGAGCCGGACAATGAGAACACATGGACACAGGGCGGGGAACATCACACACTGGGGCCTGTCGTGGGGTGGGGGGCTGGGAGAGGGATAGCATTAGGAGAAATACCTAATGTAAATGACAAGTTGATGGGTGCAGCAAACCAACATGGCACATGTATACATATGTAACAAACCTGCATGCTGTGCACATGTACCCTAGAACTTAAAGTATAATTAAAAAATAATAAAATAATTTTTAATAAAAATCCTTTGAAGTCATGCACATCTGGACAGTCTTCTCCAGCAGGAATTTGTTTCAAGCCTGATGGTTTTCATTGCTTTTTCTGTAACAACAATGGTATCTTCAGTGGTACAACCCAGACATTCATGATGGTCTCTCTATTGAGTTCTCTTCTGCTGCACTGAAAAGCCTTTCCATAGCATACCGTGTGTAACGTTTTTTTTTTTTTGAGAAGGAGTCTCGCACTGTCACCCTGGCTGGAGTGCGGTGCCATGATCTTGGCTCACTGCAACCGCCACCTCCCAGATTCAAGCGCTTCTCCTGCCTCAGCCTCCCAAGTAGCTGGGATTACAGGTACCCGCCATCATGCCTAGCTAATTTTTTTTGTATTTTTAGTAGAGACGGGGTTTCACTATGTTGGCCAGGCTGGTCTCAAACTCCTGATCTCGTGATCCGCCTGCCTCGGCCTCCCAAAGTGCTGGGGTTACAGGGGAGAGCCACCGCGCCTGGCCGAGTCTTAAAGGTCCTTAAGGCTCCCTGATGTAGAAGCTAAATTAGAGACATTGTGTTTGGGGGCAAGTAAACTACTTCCACACCTTCTGTGCTGAACCCCTGGGGTTCTGGATGGTCAGGGGCATTGTCCAAAATCAAAAGAACTTTAAAAGGCAATCTCTCACTGGCTAGGTATTTCCTGACTCCAGGGACAAAGCATCAATGGAATCAATCCAAAAAAGGGTTCTCATTGTCCAGGACTTCTTGTACAACCAAAGGACTGGCAGCCAGTATTTCTCTTATCCCTTCAAGGTTCAAGGTTAGCAGCTTTACAGACAAGGGCAGTCCTGATCATAAACCTGACTACATTTGCACAAAAGAGTAGAGTTAGCCCATCCCTTCCTGCCTTAAATCCTGGTGCTTACTTCTTTTCCTTACAAATTGGATTAATGTCCTCTATGGCAATTTTTTTCCAGAATGGGGCACTTCCATCTAATGGGGCACTTCCATCTGGCATTTAGGGCCAGGCACAGTGGCTCACGCCTGTAATCCCAACAGTTTGGAAGGCTGAGGCGGGTGGATCACCTGAGATCAGGAGCTGGAGACCAGCCCGGCCAATATTGTGAAACCCGATCTCTACTAAAAATACAAAAAATTAGCCAGGTGTGGTGGCGGGTGCCTGTAATCCAAGCTACTCAGGAGGCTGAGGCAGGAGAATCGCTTGAACCCAGGAGGCGGAGATTGCAGTGAGCCGAGATTGCACCATTGCATTTCCAGCCTGGGCAACAAGAGCGAAATTCTGTCTCAAAAAAAAAAAAAAAAAAAAAATTATATATATATATATATTTAGGCCAGGTGCAATGGCTCTCACATCTGTAATCCCAACACTCTGGGAGGTCAAGGCAGGAGAATCGAAGACGAGCCTGGGCAACACAGGGAGACTGAGTCTCCACAAAATGATTTAAAAATTAGCTGGGCGTGGTGGCGTGTACCTGCAGTCTCAGCTACTCGGGGGACTGAGATGGGAGGATCATGTGAGCTTAGTAGGTCAGGGCTGGAGTGAGTCATCATGCCACTTCACTCCGGCCTGGGAGAACAAAACTCTATCTTTTAATTTAAAAAAACAAAAAACAGAAACTATTCAGGCAGATAGCCTTTCTCCTCAATGATTTTATTTCTTCCTTTTTTTTTTTTAGACGGAGTCTCGCTTTGTTGACAGGCTGGAGTGCATGGCGCGATCTCGGCTCACTGCAACCGCTGCCTCCAGGGTTCAAGTGATTCTCCTGCCTCAGCCTCCCAAGTAGCTGCGACTACAGGCGCACGCTACCACGCCCAGCTAATCTTTGTATTTTTAGTAGAGACAGGGTTTCATGATGTTGGACAGGATAGTCTTGATCTCTTGACCTTGTGATCCGCCCACCTCGGCCTCCCAAAGTGCTGGGATTTCAGGCATGAGCCACCGCACCCGGCCTAATGATTTTCTTAATGGTGTCTGGGAACTCATACGCTGCCACTTGGTGGCTTCTCCTGCTATCTCCTCATTTCTTAAGGCAAACCTCTAAAATTATCAAACCATCTTTTGCTGGAATTAAATTCTATAGCTTTAGATCCTTCCTCTTTTGCTTTACAGTTGTCATACAGTGACTTTGCTTTTTCTCTAATTGTATTAGCATCTACAGGTATGCCTTTTTTTTTTTTTTCTTTTTGAGACGGAGTGTCACCCTGTCGCACAGGCTGGAATGCAGTGGCATGATCTTGACTCACTGCAACCTCTGCCTCCCGGCCTCAAGCAATTCTTCTACCTCAGCCTCCCAAGCAGATGGGACTACAGGCGTGCACCACCACAACCAGCTAATTTTTGTATTTTTAGTAGAGGCAGAGTTTCACCATATTGGGCCAGGCTGATCTCAAACTCCTGACCTCGTGATCCGCCCGCCTCAGCCTCCCAAAGTGCTGGGATTACAGGCGTGAGCCACCAGGCCCAGCCAGGTATGCCTTTCTTATTGCAATCCTGCACCCACATAAAAGCTGCATTTTCAATACAAGATAAAAGAATATTTCACAAGAAGTGTGAGATTTTCATGCATGCTGGTATAGCTGCAACAATGGCTTCATGAATTTCCTTTCCTTTTTTTCACTATAGTCATGTATGCTGAATTCATTTATCTTTAAATGGCAGGCAAACATAGAATGCACTCATTCTAAGATGCATATCAAGCAATTTGACTTTTTCTTGTAACATCATGACATTTCTCTCCTTCCTGGGAGCACTTCCAGTATCACTAGTGTCACTCCGTGAGTCCCATGGTGTTATTCAAAGTTTACAGACTTGCACTAAACATAGTGAAATATATGTAAGAAAAATATGAGATCACCTTTTTTTTTGTTTTTTTTTTTGTTTGTTTGTTTGTTTTAGGATAGTCTCGAACTCCTGAGCTCAAATGCTCCTCCCACCTGGGTGTCCCAAAGTGCTGGTATTACAGGTATGAGCCACCACACCTGGCAGAGATCACTTTTTACCAAGATACGCAATTTACTGGAGACAAGCTACCCACATGGAGATAACTGGCATCACAGGGCTTTGTTTTGTTTTGTTTTTGAGACAGGTTCCGGCTCTGTCACCCAGGCTGGAGTGCACTGGCATGATATTGGCTCACCGCAACCTCGGCCTCCTGGGGTCAAGCAATCCTCCCGCCTCAGCCTCCTGAGTAGCTGGGACTATAGGCACGCACCACTACACCCAGTTAATTTTTGTATTTTTTATAGAGACGGGGTCTCACCGTGTTGCCCAGGCTGGTCTCCAACTCCTTGGCTCAAGCAATCCACCCACCTCAGCCTCCCAAAGAGCTGGGATTACTGGCATGAGTGACCACACCTGGCCAGTTACAGGGCATCACAGGGATACTTCCAACACTTGAGCTCACTGCAAAAGCAACAGGAGGTAGCTACAAAGTTATTACAGCAGTATGGCATATACTACAGTTAATTCCATGCAGTTATGATTTAACACTGCACCTTTATGTTTGCACTTCTCTTGACTGCAAATAGTGCCGTGTACAGTCTGTACACACACATTTTGTGTACATTTCATGTTGGTAAATGATAAAACAGGCTAGCATCTACAAATATTTTAAGCATTCATGACATACCTTTTTAATGTTTTTAAATATTTCTAGGGTACATAGTTCAAGTTTTTTCAAACTGCAGAAAATCTCCAAAAAATTTACCAATATATTTATTGAAAAAAATTTCCACAGGACAAACACATGTTGTTGATAGCCAAACTGTATACGCTTTTCAGTAATGGGATTTAAAACTTAAGGAGAGTACAGTTACAAAGCTTAGAATCATCTAAAGTGTACATTTAACTGATCACAAAGAAGAGGCAGTGGGCATCAGTGGAGCCAAGGAAAAGAGGAAATTATTTCTATTACTGGTCATGCCTACAGGGTGTTAGTTACTATAAAGAATATTTAAAGACAACCTTGTAGCTACTGAAAAATAAAATAAAAAAAGTTTTTAAAGCTAAAGTAAAAAACATGGCCTTATTGCTTTTTTAGAAAAACTGTTTTCCTGTATTCTAAGATTTTCTATATAAAGCATCTTCCATCCCACTCTCATAGATGCACATGATAAAACCGTGCAGGTCCATGTGACCTGTTAAGGGTCTCTTCAGAGAAAAAAAATTTTTACTTTTTACTTTTCCTCCCAGCAAAGGAAGGAGTTAAAAGTAAGGTTCTTACAATAATCTCTCTTTGAGGACTAGAAACTATTTTCTGTATCAGTCCCAGAAGGGCTTGTCATCCTGCAGCTTAATGGTAGTACAAAAGACCACTGAATCAGCATCCAGGGCTCTAATCCAGCATTCTAAACTGGCTAAGGCACTAAAAAGATAAGTGACTTTCATCAAGAGCCACGCTCTGCTGGCCACGGCGGCTCAAGCCTGTAATCCCAGCACTTAAGGAGGCCAGGGTTGGTGGATCACTTGAGGTAAGGAGTTCAAGACCAGCCTGCCAACATGATGAAACCCCGTCTCTACTAAAAATACAAAAAATTAGCCAGGCATGGTGGCGCATGCCTGTAATCCCATCTATTCAGGAGGCTGAAGCATGAGAATCGCTTGAACCCGGGAGGCAGAGGTAGGAGTGAGCTGAGATCGTGCCACTGCACTCCAACCTAGGTGACAAAGCGAAACTCTATCTCAAAAAAAAAAAAAAAAAAAAAGACTCAGGCTCCTTCAGTCCTTCATTTTTCCCTCAGTGAAAACATGGAATGGTTTAGGGCAATGGACTTCAAACTGTGTTCTTCAAAGCTGCCTTGGGGAGCACCCCAATGGACAAGGGGAAGGCCAGGCGGCAAGGACCAAGCTCTCACCTGCCAATTCTCTCAGAGTAGAGCCACCTTTTCCGCTTTATACATAATAGAGTTCTACACAAGATTTATTTTATTATTATTATTATTATTATTATTATTATTATTATTCGAGATAGAGTCTCACTCTGTTGCCCAGGCTGCAGTGAAATGGCACAATCTCAGCTCACTGCCACCTCCACCTGCTGGGTTCAAGCAATTCTCCTGCCTCAGCCTCCCGAGTAGCTGAGATTACAGGAGCATGCAACCAGGCCCAGCTAATTTTTTGTATTTTTACTACAGACAGGGCTTCATCACGCTGGCCAGGCTGGTATCGAACTCCTGACCTCAAGTGATTCACCCACCTTGGCCTCTCAAAGTGTTGAGAATACAGGCATGAGCCACTGTGCCCGGCCTACACAAGATTTTATTTCACAAAGCATTCTGCTACTACAAAGTAAGGCTGAAAAACATTGATCCAGGTGCTCTGTAAAGTCCAGGCCACTCCACACATTTTCAGACCCACAGCTATACACGATGTATTTCATCTGTGAAAGATGTAGTCAATTTTACATTAATTCTGCAATTAACATTCAGTAACATCTTATTTTAGGATAAAATACATCATGCCCAATCCCCCCAAAAAACTATCAATAGGATATTCTAGAAATAAAAATAATCAACAGGATAAGATTCCCCATAAAAGTGACTGAAGGCCGGGCACAGTGGCTCACCCCTGTAATCCCAGTACTTTGGGAAGATGAAGCAGGCGGATCGCCTGAGGTCAGGAGTTCGAGACCAGCCTGACCAACACGGAGAAACCCCGTCTCTACTAAAAATACAAAATTAGCCAGGCGTGGTGGCGCATGCCTGTAATCCCAGCTACTCAGGAGGCTGAGGCAGGAGAATCGCTTGAACCCGGGAAGCAGAGGTTGCAGTGAGCCAAGATCACGTCATTGCACTCCAGCCTGGGCAACAAGAGCAAGACTCCATCTCAAACAACAACAACAACAACAACAAAAGTGACCAAAGTAGCTAGCTGGCATCAAACACAGTGGCAACCTTTGTACCCTGGATGTTAGAAGTAATGACAGCACCTGGTGACCAAATGAAGCACCCAGCCACAAAAGTAGGACTGCCAAGTGCCAGGAATTTCTTTTAAGTAAATTATCCATCTTATCTCTACTACATCTCAATGAAACTTCGGCTTCCTGGGGATGTTTATTCCTAGCTTACAGTCTTTCCTTACCCTTTCTCCCACCCTATCTACTAAACCTGCCCAACACACACAGTCCATCCAGAGACACATCTAAATTTCAGGAGTTTGGGGGATACAGGTACCCACACTATATGTTCACAAAGTTGAATGACAGTTGTATGTTACAACATACCCAAGTTTAATGCATTCAATCATGTCATCTAGATGCTCCTTCTTATTCCTATCCTTTTAGGCTCCATATTCTAAGACTGATTTGAAAATTATAATGCCGAAAAATATTTACATTAATAATGTTTCAAAGAGATGCCTGAAACAATGCACTCTGGAACTGACAAGCCAATTTTTTTAATTAATTTTTTTTCTTTCTTTTTTTTTTTTTTTTTGAGACAGACTCTCGCTCTGCACCCCAGGCTGGAGTGCAGTGGCACCATCTCGGCTCACTGCAACCTCTGCCTCCCAGGTTCAAATGATTCTCATGCCTTACCCTCCCAAGTAGCTGGGACTATAGGCGTGCACCATCAAGCCTGACTAATTTTTTGTATTTTAGTAGAGACAGGGTTTTACCATGTTGCCCAGGCTGGTCTTGAACTCCTGACCTCAGGCAATCCACCCGCTTAGGCCTCTGAAAGTGCTAGGATTACAGGCATGATCTACTGCGCCCGGCCGGATTATTAATTTTAAACTTACTAGCAAAGCTTTAACTAGAAAGATGTCTATGTGGAGCGTAATTCAAACATCAGTAACAAAACATGGACATATACATTTTGTAGGATTTATCTAGTGAGGCTAAGAATTCAACATAAAGTATTATATATGCCCAAATGTAAGTCAAGGTATTTTCTCAAACAGTATCCCTCAAAAAAGTAGTTTCGATCAGGCATGGTGGCTCACGTCTGTAATCCCAGCACTCTGGGAGCCCAAGGTGAATGGATCACTTGAGGCCAGGAGTTCAAGACCAGCCTGGCCAACATGGCAAAACCCCATCTCTACGAAAAATACAAAAATCAACCAGGCATGGTGGCATGTGCCTGTAATCCCAGCTACTCGGGAACATGGTGAAAAAAAAAAATCAAGTTAGTCATTAAATTCTGACAGTAATAAATGTAATTTGCAGAAAATAAATTTTTAAAACTGTCCCACTGTTTTGCAAACAGGTAGTTTACAAAAATAAAAAATATCCAGTGTCAGTATCATATATGAATTCAAGAAATACTGTATCAGTAGGGCATGGTGGCTCACGTCTGTAATCCCAGCACTCTGGGAGGTTAGGGTGGGAAGATCACATGAGACCAGGAGTTTGAGACCAGCCTGGGCAACAGTGAGACCCCATCTCTACAAAAAAAAAAAAAAAAAACACTAGTCAGGTATGGTAGGTAGTGCATGCCTGTAGTCCCAGCTACTTGGGGGCCTGAGGTGGGAGGATCACTAGAGTCCAGGAGGTCAAGGCTGCAGAGTGAGACCCTGTCTCAAAAAAAGAAAAAGAAATGCTATAATGCTAACTGTTTAGACTGTGGGAAATATGATGTTCTCTCTCTCTACCATCTCCACAGCTTTGCTGTAAATTTACAGTTCTAAAAACATAATTAAAAAATATGTTCCCTGGGCCGGGCACAGTGGCTCACACTTATAATTCCAGCACTTTGGGAGGCCCAGGCAGGCAGATCACGAGGTCAGGAGATCGAGACCATTCTGGCTATCACGGTGAAACCCCACCTCTACTAAAAATACAAAAAAATTAGCCAGGCGTGGTGGCGGGCGCCTGTAGTCCCAGTTACTCAGGAGGCTGAGGCAGGAGAATGGCATGAACCCGGAAGGCGGAGGCCGCAGTGAGCCGAGATAGCGCCACTGCACTCCAGCCTGGGTGACAGAGCAAGACTCCAACTCATAAAAAAAAAAAAAAAAAAAAAAAAAAGTTCTCTAGAAAACCATTTAACTGATTCAAAAAGCACTTATAATGATAATAGTCATTGCTGTTGCAAATCTGAAATGTCTACATAAAACAGCTTCATAAAACAAGAGTGGAAAAGCAGTATTTCTAAATTAATGTAAAATTTTATTTGTGAATTGAAAAATATTTGTAACTAACTTAAGAAATTAAATATCATAAGTAGACATTTGACTATTTCATGTATATCCATAAAGTTTACATGCTCAAATTGTCATAAAATTTAATCTTCTCACTGGGGAATGAGGAAACTTAGAATTAGGGCTGCCTTATACTGAGCTATATAAAGCATAATACAAACTATGAAAGGTTCCTTTGGAGACATACACAACAACCAAATAAAGCACCCCAACCCAAACAAAGGAAAGAAAAAACTCTCTGAGCACTAACTATTCACACAAGTTGTACTATAGCACCAGAAGATTCCATCAAGTTGCTCTACCTTCACCTTTGGTTGGTGGTCATGCGCCTAGAATTAAAAAAGCCTATAAGCTTAAGAATCTGGCAACTCCAGGTAATGATTTTTTTTAATATTGCCTTATTTGAATATATGTAATAATTTTTCCTCTTTGCAAACAGAATACAAGACAATATTAAAAATCTGTGAGTACGACTGGGCATGGTGGCTCACACCTATAATCCCAGCACCTTGAGAGGCCAAGGCCGGTGGATCACCTGAGGTCAGGAGTTCGAGACCAGCCTGGCAAACGTGGTGAAACCCTGTCTCTACTAAAAATACAAAAATTAGCTGGGCATGGTGTCATGTGCCTGTAATCCCAGCTACTTGGGCCACTGAGGCAGGAGAATCACTTGAACCCAGGAGGCGGAGGTTGCAGTGAGCCAAGATAGCGCCATTGCTCTCTAGCCTCAGCGACAAGAGTGGAACTCCATCTCAAAAAAAATCTGTGGGTCCTATTGGACCTGTAATACAAACAGAGCAAGACAAAACTCTCTCTAATCCTTAGTTCCAACATAGATAATACTACCCACCTATACCAACTAATGAAATAATGATAAATTATTTATAAACTGTCAAGATCAGAAAAAAGATACTAATGCTAATGATATCTGAAGGCCATCAACGATAAACAAACGTAATAAATTTTTCTCAAATCTCATTCTCCTTAGACTTCTCTCCCTCAACCGGTTTATCCTTTAACTTTCCTTCCTTTACTTTGCCACAAAAAAAAAAAATTTTTTTTCTTTTCCTTTTTTTTTTTTTTTTGAAACAAAGTCTCACTCTGTTGCCCAGGATGGAGTGCAGCGGCATGATCTTGGCTCACTTCGACCTCCACCTCCCAGATTCAAGTGATTCTCATGCCTCAGCCTCCCTATGAACTGGGATTACAGGCGTGCACCACCACATCCAGCTGATTTTTGTATTTTTAATAGACATGGGGTTTCGTCATGTTGGCCAGGCTGGTCTCGAACTCCTGGCCTCAAGTGATCCGCTCGCTTCGGCCTCCCAAAGTGCTGGGATTACAGATGTGGGCCACCGCGCCTGGCTCACAAAAGACATTTTCTAAATTTCAGACCAAGCCCTCTTCTCTCCACCATCCTCTTTCCTGCAGTAAGCTGACCTTACTGTCGTAAGTGCTTTAAATGTCTCCTTGAAGTCCCAGCTTCCCACCTGCCCATCAGCTCCCTGTACCATACTTCCTTTTCGGTTCTAGTCACTTTCAACTTGGTTATGCCTAAAACAAAGTCTCCCTCATCTCCAAACAATTTCTCCCGACTTTCTTTCTTTTTTGAGATGGAGTCTTGCTCTGTCGCCCACGCTGGAGTGCAGTGGCATGATCTTGGCTCCCTGCAACGTCTACCTCTTGTGTTCAATTGATTCTCCTGTCTCAGCCTCCCAAGTAGCTGGGATTATGGCACATGCCACCACGCCCAGCTAATTTTTATATTTTTAGTAGAGACGGGGTTTCACCATGTTGGCCAGGCTGGTCTCAAACTCCTCACCTCAAGTGATCTGCCCACCTTGGCCTCCCAAAGTGCTGGGATTACAGGCATGAGCCACCGCGCCCAGCCAGTTTCTGCCAACTTTCTTATTCTTCATTAAGTATAACAGTCTAAGTCAAAAAAACCTTTAATTTTGTCATTTTGTATTGCTTTTCTCTTCATGTCCCATAGTTAATTAGTCCTACTCCTGCTGATTCTTCTTTAAAAGAGCTTTTCCAAAATTTAAGAGCCTTAAAAAGGTTCAATGTCTTTGACCTAATATTTCCATTTGCAGGATTCCACCTAGTCTAAGAAAATCTGAAATGCATACAAAGATATTCACTGAAGTAATACCATGCCAGAAAACTGGAAACATCTGTCTAGCAATAGGGAAATATTTAAGCAAATAAAACAAATTAGAATGTTAGTCATTAATAATTAGTTATGAAGTTTTTAAAGACATGAAAAATATACATATATTTTTTTGAGTCAGAGTCTCATTCGGTCGCCCAGGTTGGAGTGCAATGGCGCCATCTCTGGCTTAATACAACCTCCACCTCCCGGGTTCAAGCAGTTCTCCTGCCTCGCCTACGGAGGAGCTGGGAAGGGATTACAGGCGCCCGCCACCACGCCCAGCTATTTTTGTGTTTTTAGTAGAGACAGGGTTGCACCATATTGGCTAGGCTGGTCTCAAACTCCTGACCTCGTGATCCACCCGCCTCGGCCTCCCAAACTGCTGGAATTACAGGCTTGAGCCACTGCACCCAGCCAGCCCATGAAAAATATTTATAACAAAATGTAAAATAAGGAAAGCAGGATACAAAATCATATATAAGAGATGATAATGTAAGTAACAAAAACACAGGAAGAGAAAAAGGCCAGAAGGAAATATAACAAAATATTAGCAACATCCTATCTGTGCATATCATGCTGGCTGGTGAGAATATGAGTCATTTTTGTTTTTTGTCTTTTTATACTCCTATAATTTCTAGATATGGCATATAATATTTTTAAAACCTGGAAAAAATTTATGTTTAAAAAAATGTGTTGCTAATTCAAGACTCTTCAAGGTCTCCCTAAGTAAACTACAAATTCAATATTAACCCAACCCAATAGCAAAACAATACTGAGATAGGGACTTGAAAATATCATCTTAATGAAAAAATATGCAAGAATGGCCCCCAAAAATATAAAATCAAGTGTAACAAGTGGGTATGGGGGTATAAGAGAGCCCTTGCATTTCCAAAAACTGAAATGTAGTCAGGCCAAGCACACTGGCTCACACCTGTAATCCCAACACTTTGGGGAGCCAAGGTGGGAAGACAGCTTGAAGCCAGGAGTTTAAGACTAACCTGGGCAGCAAAGCAATACCCATCTCTATTTTAAAAAGAAAAGAAAATGTATTCAAAATCACAGCGATCAAGGTAACCTGGAACTAGAGCAAGGACAGAGAAGTCAACACACTCAAGTACAGGTGGAAATACAATTGAGTTAGCACAACTAGATAAGCTATTTAGAAATAAATAAGCAAGCAACAAAAGCCTAACAACCACAAAACGGCCAACCTTTACTGAATATTTACCACAGGTCCACAATCCTTGGGACCAGATGTTTCGCTATTCAAGTTTTTTGGGTTTTCCAAAGGTAATATGGCACCCATATCATGTATTATGCAATATTCCAGAACGGTATGGAGAAGCTCACCATAGGTATTTTAAAACATGCAACTTATAGCTGGGCACAGTAGGGCAAACACCTGTAGTCCCAGCTACTCAGAAGGCTAAAGCAGGATCACTTGAGCCCAGCAGTTTGAGTCCAGCTTGGGCAACGTAATGAGAATTCATTTCTTTTTTTTTTTTTTTTTTTTTTTTTTTTGAGACAGAGTCTCTGTCTGCCACCCAGGCTGGAGTGCAGTGTCGTGATCTCAGCTCAATGCAAGCTCCGCCTTCCCAGGTTCACACCATTCTCCTGCCTCAGCCTCCCGTGCAGCTGGGACTACAGGCGCCCGCCACCACACCCAGCAAATTTTTTGTATTTTGTTTAGTAGAGACAGGGTTTCACCATGTTAGCCAGGATGGTCTCTATCTCCTGACCTTGTGATCCGCCCGCCTTGGCCTCCCAAAGTGCTGGGATTACAGGCACAAATCACCACGCCCGGCCAAAAATTCATTTCTTAAAACACACACACACACAAACACACACCCCTACGGCATTCTTCATCTCAGAGCAAAGAGTTGTAGTCCGTCTACCCTCACCCCATCCCATCCCTATCCATTGAAAACCTGTGCTATAATCCCACTACTTCCTGACAACTCAGGATTTTTGCTCCAAATACCCCTTTTCTTGCCCATATTTTCAACCTCTAACTTTCTACTAGCTCCTTGCCATCCTTTTTTTCTTTTTTTTTTTTGGTGAGGGGAGGGTATAGAGTCTCACTCTGTTGCCCAGGCTTGAATGCAGTGGCACGATCTGGCTCACTGCAACCTCCACCTCTCAGGTTCAAGCAATTCTCCTCCTCAGCCTCCATAATAGCTGGGATTACAGGCGTGCACCACCACTCCCGGCTAATTTTTGTATTTTTAGTAGAGATGGGGTTTCGCCATGTTGGCCAGGCTGGTCTCGAACTCCTGACCTCAGGAGATCCACCCACCTCGGCCTACCAAAGTGCTAGGATTACAGTAGTGAGCCACCACGCCCGCCCCCCCACCCCCCTTTTTTTTTTAATAAAAAGCACCTTTTCTCCTTTACACACACACACACACACACACACACACTAAAAAGCTTATTCAATAACTAATCTTAAGAAAAACAAACAAAACAAAAAGGACCCTGCTCTATCTTCCTATTCACTTTTACAGCTGCAAGGTTGCTTTTATTTTAAAACACTGTGCTAAGATAGTTCCAGCTATAGTCTCTAATGATTTTCTAACTGCCAAAAGCAAAGGCCAAGATTAAGGCTCATCTCACTTGAATTTTATCTGCAGACTAACACTGCTGACCACGCCCTTCTTGAAATGCTGTATTCCCTTGGTTTCTGTAAGACAACTTTCTCCTGGGTCTCCCATCTCTCTGGCTCCTCCTTTACCAACCCTACCTGTAGCCTTCTCTTCACATGTTAATGCACCTTCATTCAGCCAGTTCCCTACCATCAGCTATACCTGACAACTCCCAATATATATCACCCTCAACAGAGCTCTTCCCAGTGCTCTAGCTATAAACACTGACCAAACAGCTCTTAAAGGAATTTATATAGAGACCTCAAAAAGGCTGGCCAGGCTGGGCGCGGTGGCTCATGCCTATAATCCCAGCACTTTGGGGGGCGGAGGAGGGTGGATCACCTGAGGCCAGGAGTTCAGGACCAGCCTGGCCAACATGGTGAAACCCCATCTCAACTGAAAAAAAAAAATACAAAAATTAGCCAGCCGTGGTAGTGGCACTGTAATCCCAGCTACTCAGGAGGCTGAGGTGGGAGAATTGCTTGAACTTGGGAGGCAGATGCTGCAGTGAGAACTGAGATCGCGCCACCGCACTCCAGCCTGAGCAACAGAGCAAGACCCCGTATCAAAAAAAAGAAGAAAAAAAGAGAAAAGCCTGGCCAAAGTCACCATTAATTTTTCCGAAACACATTCTGCATTCCCTATTGCAAAAAATGGCAACACCACCCATAAATTTAGCTAATTCAGAAACATGGAATTAATCCTAGAACCCTCCCACTCTCCTCTCACATTAAACTGGACACTAAGTCTAGTGGATTCTGGCCCCTTAATATACATCAGTCTCCTGAAGCCTCATGCAATAGCCTCCCAATGGAGCCCCTGGCCTCTAAGCAACTCCCCACACAATAGCTAAAGGAATCTTTCTAAAAACCTGAGTGTGTACCCCTTAACAGCTCCCCAGTCCTTCGTTTGACTTCCTCAGAGCCCTATTTATTGCTTACCACACCCTGCACTCCAGCCCTACTAACCTGCTTGACATTCCAAGACTACACGCCATTTTAAACCCCACATGTTGACACCAACTGCAGTGTTTCTTCGGCATGGAAGGTCCTTGCCCTGCCCCCTTATTTTACTTGGAGAATTACTGGTTCTTCCAGAACCAGTTTAGAATGCCCTCCTGATTTCCAGTTTGCTTTTAGATTACAAAATGATATCCATAATGATTAGAAAGATACATAACTTATACATACATCCGAAAAAGAAGTCATCTGAAAATCTACAAATTTTTATAAATCAGTAAGAAAAACTTACGACACAATATTTTTTTTAAAGGGTAGGGGGCAAAAGACTTAAAAAGGCGCTTCACAAAACAGGAAACTCAAATGACCAAGAAACATATGAAAAGATGTTGGCTGGGCCTGGTGGCTCACGCCTGTAATCCCAGCACTTTGGGAGGCCGAGGTGGGCAGATCACGAAGTCAAGAGATCAAGACCATCCTGGCCAACATGGTGAAACCCCATCTCTACCAAAAATACAAAAATTAGCTGGGCACGGTGGCACACACCTGTAGTCCCAGCTACTCAGGAGGCTGAGGCAGGAGAATTGCTTGTACTCAGGTGGTGGAGGTTGCAGTGAGCCGAGATCATGCCACTGCAATCCAGTCTGGCAACAGAGAAAGACTCCGTCTCAAAAAAAAAAAAAAAATGATGTTTAACATCATTACTCAGGAAAATGCAATTGAAAACCATAATGAAATATCAATACACACCCATAATAGGTAAAATTTATTACAATGACACTGCCAAGTGTGGGCAAAAATGTGAAGCAAACTTAAGTGTCTTTACACTTGTGGGAGAGTAAAGTAGTTCAATCAAAACTACATCTTTGAGCCTGGGCAACATAGGGAGATCCCATCTCTACAAAAAATTTTAAAATCAGCTGGGCATGGTGGTGCTCACATGTAGTCCCAGCTACTCAGCAGCCTGAGGCAGGAGGATCATTTGAGGCCAGGAATTTGAGGTGGCAGTGAGCTATGATTGTGCCACTGTCAGCCAACAAAGCAAGACCCAGTCTCTAAAAAAAAATATATATATATATATAAAGTCAGCCCTCTGAAACTGTGGACTCTGCATCCATAGGTTCAACCAATCATGAATCAAAAACAATCAAAAGTAAATAAATAATAACAAAATAAAAACTACAAATTAAAAAAACACCATGTAACAACCATTGACATGGTATTTACATTGTATATATATTATTAGTAATCCAGAGATAATTTAAAATATACAGGAGGATGTGTGAAGGTTACAAGGGACTTGAGTATCCTCAGACTTTGTTATTTGAGGGTGTCCCAGAACCAATCCTCCAAGCGTACTGAGGGATGACTGTATATTCTATATGATTTCATTTATATGAAATTCAAGAACAGACAAAACTAATCAATAATGATAGATATCAAAAAAGTTGTTGCTCCTAGGTGGTAGAGTATAGACTCGGGAGAGGCATGAGAAAACTTATGGAGCATTGAAGGGGTTTTATATACTGATCTACATGGTCGTTACAGGGGTATAAATAAATGTAAAAAAAATCATCAAACTGTACAATTAAGACGAATGCACTGGGCCAGGCGTGGTGGCTCACGCCTGTAATCCCAGCACTTTGGGAAGCCGAGGCGGGCAGATCACAAGGTCAGGAGATCGAGACCAGCCCGGCCAACATGGTGAAACCTCGTCTCTACTAAAAATACAAAAATTAGCTGGGGAGTGGTGGCACGAGCCTGTACTCCCAGCTACTCAGGAGGCTGAGGCAGGAGAATGGCTTGAATCGGGGAAGCGGAGGTTGCAGTGAGCTGAGATAGCGCCACTGCACACCAGCCTAGCGAAAGAGCAAGACTCCGTCTCAAAAAAATATGAGTGCACTGCCAGGCATGGTGGTAGGCACCTGCAGTCCCAGCTACTTGGGAGGCTTAGGTGGGGTATCACCCAAACCCAAGAGGGTGAAAGCGGCCTAGGCAACAAAGCAAGATCCTATCTCTAAAAAAGAAAATTAAAATTAAAAATGATGTTTTATCCTTAAGAGGGAGTTTCACTGCGTCGCCCAGGCTGGCACTAAGTGGTGCAATCTCAGCTCAAAGCAACCTCTATCTCCCGTGTTCAAGCAATTCTCCCACCTCGGACTCTGGAATAGCTGGGACTACAGGCATGTGCCACCACTCCCAGCTAATTTCTGTATTTTTAGTAGAGACGGGGTTTCATCATGTTGGCCAGGCTGGTCTCAAACTCCTGACCTCTAGTGATCCTCACTGATCTTTAAAAGATCAATGCACTTTACATACATGCATATACATGTATGCTAGGACTCAATTTTTGAAAAATGAACAAAACCATGCACAAGTAAAAGAATAACACACCAAAACAATTAGATACCCTAAATTAACATGCTAAAATTTTTTTTTTTTTTTTTTTTGAGATGGAGTCTCGCTCTGTCGCCCAGGCTGGAGTGCAGTGGCGCCATCTCAGCTCACTGCAAGCTCTGCCTCCCGGGTTCAAGCAATTCTCCCGCCTCACCCTCCTGCATAGCTGGGATTATAGGCACATGCCACCACGCCTGGCTAATTTTTGTATTTTTAGAAGAGACGGGGTTTCGCCATGTTGGTCAGGATGGTCTTGATCTCCTGACCTTGTGATCTGCCCACCTCGGCCTCCCAAAGCGCTGGGATTACAGGCGTAAGCTACCACGCCCAGCTGCTAAAAAATTTTTAAATTAAAAATAATTAGTGGAGCCACAGCTGACACTTGCTTCTTAAATCTTCTGTATTATACTGAATTCTGTACTGAATTTTTTACCATGACCATATTACTTTTATTACTTTAAAAAAAAAAAAAAAAAAAAAAAAAGCTGGGCCAGGGGCAGTAGCTCATGACTGTAATCCCAGCATTTTGGAAGGCTGAGGCAGGCAGATCACTTGAGGCTTAGGCCAGGAGTTCCTGACCAGGCTCTACTAAAAATACAAAGAAAATAAGCTGGGCATGGTGGCGCATGCCTGTAATCCCAGCTACTTGGGAGGCTGAGGCATGAGGAGCGCCTGAACCCAGGAGGCAGAGGTTACACTGAGCCAAGATCATGCCACTGCATTCCTGTCTGGGTGACAGAGCAAGACTGCCTCAAGAAAAAAAAAAAAAGTTATTTCATTAAAATGACAATATTAAAATGAAATCTGGCCAGGCGCAGTGGCTCAAGCCTGTAATCCCAACGCTTTGTGAGGCCAAGGCAGGTAGATCATGACGTCAGGAGCTTGAGACCAGCCTGGCCAATATGGCGAAACCCTGTCTCAGTGAGCCAAGACCAGGCCACTGCAGTCCAGCCTGGGCAACAGAGCAAGACTCCATCTCGAAAAAACAAAACAAAACAAAACAAAAACAAAAAAACTAAGCACTACTGTACCTAAATCTTACAGTTCTCATCACACTGTCCTGCAATGGTCTTTTCACAAAGCAATCTCTTCTACTTTAATTATCTTACTCTTCTAGCATCCAACACACACCCTGGCACTAGCTATCTGCAGCACTAGGTATTTGCTTCGTGTCCATTTACTGTATTCTACTGTAGAGGTAGTAAGCAAAAATGTTTGTTGAATAAACAAATGTGTAAAAAAATAAGAAATGAAAATTAGGTAATCCATGAGAAGTATTCCAAAGTCATGGGCTTATGAGCTTGAATTTATACTACAGGGAAGTATAAATTCAAGGGTTGAGGCTTACTGAATAAGGATATAAACTTGTATCATTACATTCCAAAACTGTCTCACCAAGCTGGGCACGGTGGCTCACGCCTGTAATCCCAACACTTTGGGAGGCTAAGGCAGGCAGATCATTTGAGGCCAGGAGTTCGTAACCAGCCTGACCAAGATGGTGAAACCCCATCTCTACTAAAAATACAAAAATTAGCCAGGCGTGGTGGCACATGCCTGTAGTCCCAGCTACTTGGGAGGCTGAGCCAGGAGAATCGCTTGAACCTGGGAGGTGGCAGGTGCAGTGAGCCATGATTGCGCCAGTGCACTCCAGCCTGGGCGACAGAGCAAGATGCCATCTCAAAAAAAAAAGTAGAAGCAAAGTATACCCAGATATCCTTTAGCCTGTGAATAAACTGTTAATCCACACAATGGAATACTTGTTACCAATAAAAAGGAAAGCACAGCCAGGCACGGTGGCTCATGCCTATAATCCCAGCACTTTGGGATGCCAAGGCGGGTGGATCACCTGAGGTCAGGAGCTCGAGACCAGCCTGACCAAAGTGGAGAAACCCCGTCTCTACTTAAAATACAAAATTAGCCTGGCATGGTGGCACATGCCTGTAATCCCAGCTACTCAGGAGGCTAAGTCAGGAGAATCGCTTAAACCCAGGAAGCGGAGGTTACGGTGAGCCAAGATCGTGCCACTGCACTCCAGCCTGGGCAACAAGAGCAAAACTCCATCTCAAAAAAAAAAAAAAAAAAAAAAAAAAGGAATGCTCTGCTCACACAGGCAACAACATGGATGAATCTCAAGGGCATTACGCTGCATGAAAA
Source organism: Homo sapiens (assembly GCF_000001405.40). NCBI lineage: Eukaryota > Metazoa > Chordata > Mammalia > Primates > Hominidae > Homo > Homo sapiens. The sequence goes on from NC_000007.14 coordinate 105,382,643, forward strand.
AAGGCGAATCACAAAAGGTGACATACTGTATAATTCCATTTATATAACATTCTCAAAGTGGCAACATTAAGTGATAGAGAACAGATCAGTGTTTCCCAAGCTTAGATTTGAAGAGAGAGTGACTGTTCTTTGTGGTAATGAAACAGTTTGGCATCCTGACTGTGGTGATTATTCTAATCTACACAAGTGACACAATTTGTTAGAACTACACAGAGAGTGCATGTAAAACTGATAAAATCCAAGTAAAATCTTTCTTGAATTAATAACATTGTCTCAATGTCAATTTATTGGTTTCAACAATGTTCTATGGTTAAGATATCAACGTCAGGGAAGTTGAATAAAGAGTACACAAAGAACTCTGTACCACTTTTGCAAGGTCTTGTGAGTCTGAAATTATTTCAAAAGTAAAAATTTTTTTTTTTTTTTTTTTTTTTTTTTTGGAGACAGAGTCTCGCTCTATCGCCCAGGCTGGAGTGCAGTGGCACAATCTCGGTTCACTGCAAGCTCCGCCTCCTGGGTTCACGCCATTCTCCCGCCTCAGCCTCCCAACTAGCTGGGACTATAGGTGCCCGCCACCATGCCCGGCTAATTTTTTGTATTTTTTTTTTTAGTAGAGACGGGGTTTCACCGTAGCCAGGATGGTCTCGATCTCCTGACCTCGTGATCTGCCCACCTCAGCCTCCCAAAGTGCTGGGATTATAGGCATGAGCCACCGCACCCGGCCTCAAAATTAAATGTTTTAATAAAAATTTTACAAGAACAAAAAACAAAACAGAATTTTTTTTTTTTTTTAATTGAGACGGAGTGTCGCTCTGTCACCCAGGCTGGAGTGCAGCGGCATGATCTCGGCTCACCACAACCTCCGTCTCCCAGGTTCAAGCAATTCTTCTGCCTCAGCCTCCCGAGTAGCTGGAACTGCAGGAGCACACTACCATGCCAGGCAATTTTTGTATTTTTAGTAGAGACGGGGTTTCACCCTATTGGCCAGGCTGGTCTCGAACTATTGACCTCGTGATCCGCCCACCTCATCCTCCCAAAGTGCTGGGATTACAGGCATGAGCCACCACGCCTGGCCAGAAATAGAAAAATTTTAAGGAACAATGGATAAATGGATAAAATGTGGCATATTGACACAACTATTCAACAATATAAAGGAATTAAGTACTAATACGTGCCATAACATGGATGAACCTTGAAAACATTGTTCTAAGGAAACCAGACAAAGCCACATACTGTATATTCCATTTACATGAAATGTTCAGAATAAGCAGATTCATAGAGACTTAGAATGTAAATTAGTTGTTGCCAACGCAGGGGGAAGGGGAATGGAGAATAACTGGGAAATAAATATGGAGTTTCTTTCTGGGGAAGTGAAAATGTTATAGAATTAGATAACGGCTGCACAATTTAATGAATAGACTAAAAATCTGTAAATGGCCTACTTTAAAAGGTAAATTTTATGGTATGTGAACTATATCCCAATAAAAGTTATGAAAAAAATAAATGAAAGAGATATTTTAAAAATTGTACCTCCATATAAACATACTATAAGGCAAAAATTTATCCCAAGCTATGTGATGTAGCTAATTCCTAAGATTTGTGACTAAACAGCACTACAGTCCTTCCGTTCTGCCTGTTACTCACAAAGCAGCACAATTAATAATAAGCAAACTAAACTCACAGGACAATCTAACAGGATTAAAATTTTGACCCACTAAATAATCTTAATCTTATTCCTGACAACTACAATTTCCAGTGTACCATAAAAGTAGCCTCTAGGAACTGGCTCAATTCATAAAAGCTCACAGATTTGAAATGAACTAAAATTAATTAAAAGCCTGCTTGTATATACAAAAGTAGATAATGACAAAAGTAAATCATATTATACCAAGCCAGACCCACAGTCACATAATTCAAGTTTGCCAGTCATCATATTAATAGTTTAAAATTATACCTATTACTCCTTTTCCTCCTCTGGAAAATTAATCAAAAAGCAAAAACCGTGCTTCAAGAGACCTGAATTCTGATCCAAACGAAGCTATTGTGGGCTTAACCTGTCAGAGCTGTCTGTAAAATTCGGGGTACCCTGAAAATACTAGTCTCCTGGAGATTCTTTTACCACTTCTCAGGTGCCACTCCTCACACACTCAACGTCACCCGGTTTCCCATGCACTACTGCAGGCCACTTCTGTTTCCACTACTACCCCCATCCCCACAATCTATTCTCCACATAGCAACCTTTTTTTTTTTTTGAGACGGAGTCTGGCTCTGTCGCCCAGGCTGGAGTGCAGTGGCGCAATCTCGGCTCACTGCAAGCTCCGCCTCCCGGGTTCACGCCATTCTCCTGCCTCAGCCTCCCGAGTAGCTGGGACTACAGGCGCCCACACGCCCAGCTAATTTTTTATATTTTTAGTAGGGACGGGGTTTCACCGTGTTAGCCAGGATGGTCTCGATCTCCTGACCTCGTGATCCGCCCGCCTCGGCCTCCCAAAGTGCTGGGATTACAGGCGTGAGCCACCGCGCCCGGCATTTTTTTTTTTTTTTTTTTTTTTTTTTGAGATGGAGTCTCGCTCTGTCGCCCAAGCTGGAGTGCAGTGGCACAATCCCGGCTCACTGCAAGCTCCGCCTTCCAGGTTCACGCCATTCTCTCGCCTCAGCCTCCCGAGTAGCTGAGACTACAGGCGCCCGCCACCATGCCGGGCTAATTTTGTTTTTGTATTTTTAGTAGAGACGGGGTGTTAGCCAGGATGGTCTTGATCTCCTGACCTCGTGATCCGCCCGCCTCGGCCTCCCAAAGTGCTGGGATTACAGGCGTGAGCCACCGCGCCCGGACAGCAGCCCTCTTTTTAAACAGGAATCAGAACCTGTCCCTTCCACATGTAAGCCTCCAATGGCCTACGAGGGTAGACACGCTCTGACTCCTGCCTCCCATCAACCTCTCTGGGCCACTCAGGCCACTCTTACTTTTGGGTTTCTCGAATACTTCCAGCCCATTCCTCCCCAGGGCCTCTGCCACACTGGATCTCCTCCTCATTCTCGATCCTGCCCAAATGCCATTTCTCAGAGAGTGGACTCTGGTCCCGGGCTGCCTTGATTCAACAGCTGGGCATGTTACTTACTTTTCCTGTGTCCCTGTTTCACCTGTAAAATGTCCGTAATAACGGTGCCTACCTCTTAGGGTTGTCACAAGGTATATGTAAAACAATCGACAGAGTGACTGGCACAGTGTTCAAATGTCATCTATTATTATTACTTAACATGTCCCATCTTCATTTTCTTCCTATCCCTTAGCCCTATCTGAAATTATCTTGTCACCCTCTTTGTGGTTTTCCCCAAACCTCCCAAGGTTAGCTTTGCAAGGAGCTTTGTCTTGTTCAAAACTCTATCACCGGCCGGGCTTGGTGGCTCACGCCTGTAATCCCAGCACTTTAGGAGGCCGAGGCGGGCGAATCACGAGGTCAGGAGATCGACACCATCCTGGCTAACACGGTGAAACCCCACCTCTACTAAAAATACAAAATATTAGCCGGGCGTGGTGGCGGGCGCCTGTAGTCCCAGCTACTCAGGAGGCTGAGGCAGGAGAATGGCGTGAATTCGGGAGGCGGAGCTTGCAGTGAGCCGAGATCGCGCCACTGCCCTCCAGCCTGGGCAACAGAGCAAGACTCGGTCTCAAAAAAAAAAAAAAAACAACCTCTAACACCATCTCCGAAGACAGACATGTAAATACCTATTGAAGACATGAATAAATAAATAACATCAAACAGTTCTTTTAAATAATATCTTGATTCAGGTCGGGCACGGTGGCTCACACCTGTAATCCCAGCTGTGTGGGAGGCCGAGGCCGGTGAATCACCTGAAGTCAGGAGTTGTAGACCAGCCCGGCCAACATGGTGAAACCCCGTCTCTACTAAAAAATACAAAAAAAATAGCTAGGCTTGGTGGCGGGTGCCTGTAATCCCAGCTACTCAGGAGGCTGAGGCAGGAGAATCCCTTGAACCTGGGAGGCGGAGGTTGCAGTGAGCCAAGATTGGGCCATTGCACTCCAGCCTGAGCGACAAGAGCGAAACTCTGCCTCAAAAAAATTATTAAATAAAATTATGACTTGATTCAAAGAGTTAAGTGAAAAATGGCAATGCCTCAATCAGTTATATAATTGGGCTGGTCCCGTTACCTTACAGACTAGAGCCAGTTCGTTTCATCATTAGCTGGTGTGTTATTTTCCCCCTCAAATTCTATCACATATACACAATACACAGTGGGAGAAACTGGCAGATTAATCTGTGAGAGGAAAAGCTGAGTACTGTGGCTATTCACTAAGTCTTCATCAACATACCACATAAATCCAAACTGCGGCCCACCAAAAAGGCCCTCGACCATTAGGAAAATCATACTCTAATATATGCAAATACAAGACACATATTGACTTAATTAGAACTGTTTTTCCACATGTACGTAAAGGTAACATGCACATATACGTGTCTATTTGTATATACATGCACACATAGCCATCTCCGACACTGGGGTCATACTTTTTCCACTTGTTTTTATGTTTCTGAGTATAACAGACTACGTGGAATTAAATCAATGCTTTGAATTAAGAGCTGTGATTAAAACACAGTACTTATTCAGAATCCTAAACATTACAGTTCTCCTTACCACTGGGTAAACTTCCATGGTTCACCAAAGGAAATCTCAAATTTAAGGTTGTAATTCACTTGAAAGCTAGCACTAATTTTTTTAAAAGCAACCAAAACTACCAAAAATCCAGTCCATTTTAACATCTTATGAATTCAATATCCAATTTTTACCGACCAATTAGTTCTTCAACTCTTTAGGAAGTGCTTTCCCCTTACTCTAATGGTTTTTTCTTTTTTTTTTTTTTTTAAGGTATTTTTAAGTCACTATCCACATTTTGTGAAACTGAAGGACCAAGGCCAACGAGAAGGGGAAAAAAGTGAGCGTGCTGCGACGTACCCCTCAAAGGAAACAACCAAAAATGTTTCTGGATTTTATTAAAGATAATGCTGGATTCTCGTTCCCCACAGTACCAAAGATGCCACACAGAGTATTCTTGCTCAAAAGAGCGAAGCAATTAATCTAGAGGAAGAGATAACGATGTCGAACGCTGGTAAATCAAAAAAATTAGGAGAGAGGAGTGGAAAAGGAGAAGACGCGGCGGCGCTGTGCGGTCTCGGAGCAGCTCTCCAGGAAAGGGTTCTTGGGCAGCGGCCCCCCTGCTCGGGTGAGCGGCCAGGCTGGAGGTGGCCGCCACGGGCGCGTTTTCCACTCCGACCGGCTCCCGCGCACACGCCCACCGCCCTGCGCAGCCCGCGACCCCGGCGCCCGCAGCGCACCCAAGTCACGCTCAACCCGAGCGGAAAGTTTCGAATCCAAACCCGAGAGCCGAAACGCACAGGTCTCGGGGCTGAACTCGCGCCAGGAACACGCCCGAGGCAAACCACTTGACAACCAGCTTAGGTTCTCAGCAGAAAGGCCGACAGGCGGGGGCCGGGGAGGAAGGGGAGGCGAGACACACGCCCTCCCGCACACTCGGCCCCTCCGCCTCCTCGGCCCGCGGCTCAGGTGGGAGCAACGCAGCCGCTGCACTCCCGCAGCGGGCGGGCCGGAGCCCAGCGGCAGACGCCGGGGCCCCTTCCGGAAAGGGCCGCGACCCCCGGGCCAGCTCGCGGGCAAGGGACGGGTGCGCACGCCCTGCCCGGCGCCTTTCCGCCGGCCTCCCGCCCGCCGGCCGGTGGCGACCCGGGGCGGGAGGTCGCGGGGTCGAGGCTCCGTGATGCTAGGGAACCGGCCGCGGCCCGCGCGCCCCTCCCCCGCCGCCGCCCCTCCCCCCGGGCCGCCCGCCGGGGGCAGGAGCCGAGCGCCAGCGTCCCGGGGGACCAGCCCGCCCGCCGGCCCGGGGACCCGGACAACTTTCCCCTGCGCGGCCGCGGGCGCCCCCGACGGGGCGGGGGTGGGGAACGGGGACAGGCGCAGCGTGGACTCACTTTTTCGGATGTTTCTCTCTTTTCGGCCTCCGCTTTCGGGCCTGAATGGCCAGCACTGGGGAAGAGAAGACACACATTAACGGTCGGGCCGCCCGCCCGGGCTGGCCGCGTGGCGGGGAGAGGGCGCGCCGCGGGCCACTCACCTTTCCGGGAGCTCATTCCGACGCGGCGGAAGCGGGGCGGGGGGCTTCGCGACGGCGACGCGGGCGCCGAGACGAGCTGGGCTGCAGCCTCCACTCGCTCCGCCGGCCGGGAGGAGACGAGAACCGCGCCTGCGCCGCCGCCGCCGCCGCCGCTCCAGCAGGGACCCAGCAAGACCCGCCCCCGTCCGGCCCCGCCCCCGCCCCGCCCCCACCCGCCGGCCCCGGGGGTCGGGACCCCAGCGCCGCGCGCCCAGCGCCCCGCGCCCCCGCCCCACCCACCTGTGCAGAAGTGGCCGCCGCCCATGGCCGCGCTGGCCCTCGGCCTCCCCCACCCCAGCCCGCGGCCCGGGCCTCCGCCTCCTGCGATCCTGCGGCTGGCCCAGGCCGCCCGCCTCTCCCGGGCACCGGACCCGCGGGACCCTCCCTCCCCGCCGCGGCCTCTCCCCTCCGCACCCCGGCCGGTCGCGCCGCCCGCTGCTCCATGCGCCCGTCCTTGGCCGGCGCCTCCGCGGGTCTCGCACCACCTCTCTTCCCGCGGCCTCTTCTCTCCCTTTGCTCCTCTACATCCTTGCAACCCCATGAGCGCCGCTTCCTCCTCTCCGGCAGGCGTGGAAAGGGCACACGACCAAAAGCTGGGAAACCTGGGTCCGCGATTAGCGGTGTGACCTTGGAGAAGTCATTTTCTCTCCCACCTCTAAGTGCCCTCCAGGATTGCATGAGTTTAATGAAGGAAAAGATACAGATAGCATTCAAGGTAGGACAAAGGTTTTGCACATGAATTGAAACTCGCTTCCGTAAACACCAGGTGTATAACAATTCAAAACAACAATCACACCAAGTAGTTATTTTCTGCATCCTACAATGAGGAAACTGAGTCCCAACGAGGTTAAAAAGTTTAACCAGCCAGGATCGAAATTCAGGCCTGGCCGTCGACAAACCACCTTATCAGGCTGCCTACAAAAGATGTGAATCAAGTTGATAGTGACACAAAAAGATAACTGCAATGTTCTCTTATTTATGTAAATAATTACAATAGTTTTTGAAAGATACGCATTCTGACTATTAACTCCCTCATTGGTCACACAACTGTATCTTTGACAAGGTGGCTTACACTAAGGATGATAAATCAGAACGGGAAACTCTGCTTGGATTTTGAAGAGTCCTTAACTTTTTATATTCAAAAAAATATCAAACCCTATAGAAAAGTTACAAGGAAAATACAATTAACAGCCAAATTAACCCATATTCACCAATTTTTAACATTCTGCCACATTTGCTATCTATGTGTCTGTGTGTATGGTTTATTTTGCTGAATCACTTGAGTTTTTGTAGACACTGTTACCCTTTATCCCTAAATATTTCAGTACATATCTACTAAGAATAAAGATAATCTCCCACATAATCAGAATTCCATGATCACTCCAAGAAACTTTCATACTAATACAATGTAATCATCTGTAACATACAGGCCATATATATTCAATTTTGCAAAATATCCCAGTAATATCCCTTGTCGCTGATTTTCTTTTTTTCCCAATTAGTCTACCATTAAGGATCATCCGTTGCATTTAATTGTCATGTCTTTTTAAACACCTTTAGTCTAGAATCATTCTTGGTTTTGTGTTTTGGTTTTCTTTCTATTTATTTATTTATTTTGAAATGGAGTCTCACTCTATCACCCAGGCTGGAGTGCAGTGGCGCAATCTCAGCTCACTGCAACCTCAGCCTCCCGGGTCCAAGCCATTCTCCTGCCTCAGTCTCCCGAGTAGCTGGGATTACAGGCATACACCACCACATCTAGTTAATTTTTGTTTTTGTTTTTTTTTTTTTTTTTTTTTTTTTAGTAGAGACAGGGTTTCACCCTATTGGCCAGGCTGGTCTCGAACTCCTGACCTCGGGTCATCCACCCACCTCAACCTCCCAAAGTGCTAGGATTACAGGCCTGAGCCTCGGCACCCAGCCTTTTTTTGTTTTGTTTTGTTTTGTTGTTTATAACATTGACTTTTTTGAAGAATCCAGTTCCACCATTTTGCAGAATGTTCCCTGTTTTGGATTTGTCTGTTTCCCTATGATTAGATTCAAGTTAAACAATTTTGTTGGCTATACTATAGATGATGTTGTATTCATCTTAGTGCATCAAAATATGATGTCAGTTTGTTCCATTACTGGTGATGTTACAGTTAATTATTTCTCCAAGATACAGGTACCTTTTCCCTCTGTATTTAAGAAGTCTGTATGAAAAATGAGCAAAGGATTTGAATGGACATTTCTCCAAAGACATGCAAATGACCAAACTAGCATGTGACAAGAGAATTAACATCATTAGTTGTTAGGAAAATACAAAGCAAAACTATAATGAGCTACTACTTCACACCTACTAGGATGACTATAAAATTTATTTATTTATTTATTTATTTATTTATTTATTTATTGAGATGGAATTTCGCTCTTGTTGCCCAGGCTGGAGTGCAATGGCACGATCTCAGCTCTTCGCAACCTCTGCCTCCCAGGTTCAAGTGATTCTCCTGCCTCAACCCTCCGAGTAGCTGGGATTACAGGCATGTGCTACCACGCCTGGCTAATTTTGTATTTTTAGTAGATCTGGGGTTTCTCCATGTTGGTCAGGATGGTATCGAACTCCCAACCTCAGGTGATCCACCTTCCTTGGCTTCCCAAAGTGCTGGGATTACAGGCATGAGCCACTGCGCCCGGCTAAAAATTTTTGTAATGGAAAATAAGGCCAAACGTGATGTCTCACAAGTGTAATCTCAGCATTTTGGAGGCTGAGGCTGGAGGATCATCTGAGTCCAGGAGTTGGCGGCTGCAGTGAACTATGATCGCACCACTGCACTCCAGCCTGGGCAACAGAGTGAGACCCCATCTCAAAAAAAAAATGTTAATGGAAAAAAAGTGTTGGTGGGGATTTTGGAACCCTCATATGTTGGAAACATTGAAACCCTCCTACATTTCTGGTGGGAATGTAAAATGGTGCAGTTATTATGGAAACAGTCTGTTGGCTTCTCAGAAAGCTAATTATAGAATTAACAGCAATTCCACTCCTAGGTATATATGCACAAGGACTGAAAACAGATACTCAAACAAATCTTTGTACATGAGTGTTCATAGCAGCGCTATCACAGCCAAAAGGTGGAAAAAACCTAAATGGTCATCCATAAATGAATGGATAAACAAATTGCGGTATATACATACACTGGAATATTTTTTTGGCCATAAAAAGAATTTAGTACTGACACATGCTACAATGTGGATGAACATCAAAAACATTATGCTAAATAAAAGCAGCCAGACACAAAATGTCACATATTGTATGATTCCATTTATATGAGATATCCAGAATAGGCAAATCTACAGAAAGCAGATTGGTGGTTGCCAGGAGTTGGGGGGTGGGAGAAGGAGGGAGCAACTGCTTAATGGGTACCAAGTTTTATTTTGGTGTGATGAAGATGTTTTGGTGCTAGATAGAGGTGGTGGTGGCACAACATTGCTAATAGACTAAAAGCCACTGAATTGTTCTCTTTAAAGTGGTTTCTTTCATTTAATGTGAATTTCACTTCAAAACAAAACAACAAAGTTACTTGTGTGGGGTGATACTTTGAAACTGTGTGAATATCTCTTCCCTGACAATATCTCAATGGGTTGGCATCCATTGATGATTCTTGCCTAAATCAACTATTACCACACTGGTTGTAGAACAGTGATTTTATAATCCTATCATTTTTGAGATGGGCATCTTGCTCTGTTGCCGAGGCTGGAGTGCAATGGTGTGATCTCAGCTCACTGTAACCTCCACTTCCCAGGTTCAAGTGATTTTCCCACCTCAGCCTCCCAAGTAGCTGGGACTACAGACGCACACCATTTGTATTTTTAGTAGACACGGGTTTTCACCATGTTGGCCAGGCTGGTCTGAAACTCTTGGCCTCAAGTGATCCACCTGCCTCTGCCTCCCTAAGTGCTGGGATTACAGGTGTGAACCACTATACCCAGACTTAAGTGATATTCTTTTTTTCTTTTTTTTTTTTGAGAGAGGGTCTTGCTCCGTCGCCCAGGCTGGAGTGCAGTGGTGTGATCTCCGCTCATTGCAACCTCCGCCTCCCAGGTTCAAACAATTCTCCTCCCTCAGCCTCCCAAGTAGCTGGGACTACAGGCATGTACCACCACACCCGGCTAATTTTTGTATTTTTTTTTTTTTGGTGGAGAGGGGAAGGGAAGTCTCGCTCTGTCGCCCAGGCTGGAGTGCAGTGGCGCGATCTTGGCCTAACGCAACCTCCGCCTTCCAGGCTCAAGTGATTCTCCTGCCTCAGCCTCCCAAGTACCTGGGATTACAGGCACCCGCCACCACTCCCGGCTAATTTTTTTGTATTTTTAGTAGAGACTAGGTTTCACCATGTTGGCCAGGCTGGTCTCAAACTCCTGACCTCAAGTGATCTGCCTGCCTCAGCCTCCCAAAGTGTTGGGATTGCAGGCTTGAGCCACCGCGTCCAGCCTAATTTTTGTATTTTTAGTGGAGATGGGGTTTTACCATGTTGGCCAGGCTGGTCTCAAACTCCTGACCTCAGGTGATCCGCCCACCTTGGCCTCCCAAACTGCTGGGATTAAAGGCGTGCACCACCGCATAAGGAGGAGCTTTTATTTCTCCCTCTGGTTTTTCTTTTTTTTTTTTTTTTTTTTTTTTCCCCTCCTGCTCCTCTGCCTTTTTTCTTTCTTTCTTTGTTTCTGGCTTGTTTTTTGTTTTTGGTATCAATATTGACAAAAATTACTGTCACTATTTTTTTGTTGTTTTCAGAGGACAGGGTCTCACTCTATGGACATGAGCCACCACATTCGGCCTTTTTATTATTTTTAAAAAGGCTTTATTGAGATATAACACATACATGCAATTCAGCCATTTTAAAATATAGAATTCAGTGTTTTTTAGCATATTCACAGCGTTGTGCCAACCACTACCACAATCTCATTTTAAAACATTTCTGCGCCAGATGTGGTGGCTCTCATTTATAATTTCAGCATTTTGGGAGGCTAAAGTAGGAGGATCACTTGAGCCCAGGAGTTCAAGGTTAGGGAGGTTATAGTGAACTATGATCGCGCTGCTGCATTCCAACCTGAGCAATAGAGCAAGACACTGTCTCAAAAAAAAAAATTGCTCCCCCCAAAAAGAACTCCATACAGATTAGCAGACACTCCCCATTTCCTCCAACTTTCCCCTGCACTAGGCCTAGGCAGCCACTAATGTACTTCCTGTCTCTATAGGCTTGCCTGTTCTGGACAGTTCATGTAAATGGAATCATACAATACGTGGCCTTTTGTGGCCAGAGTCTTTCTTTCTTTCTTTCTTTCTTTTTTTTTTTTTTTGAGACGGAGCCTCATTCTGTCGCCCAGGCTGGAGTGCAGTGGCATGATTTCGGCTCACCGCAACCTCTGCCTCCCGGGTTCAGGCGATTCTCCTGCCTCAGCCTCCGAAGTAGCTGGGACTACAGGTGCACACCACCATGCCCAGCTAATTTTTGTATTTTTAGTGGAGATGGGGTTTCACCATATTGGCCAGGCTGGTCTCAAACTCCTGACCTCATGATCCGCCCGCCTCGGCCTCTCAAAGTGCTGGGATTACAGGCGTGAGCCACGCGCCCAGCCAATTTGTGGCCAGAGTCTTTCACTTAGCCTAACATTAAAACCCATTTCTGCTACTTAATTTCTGCACGACCTTTGGCAAGTTACTTAATTACAACATCTGGAAAGTGATAACAACATGTACTAATACTAGTCCTCATAGGTCAGTTCGATAATCAAATAAGATAAATATCCAATAATAGTAATTCTTAACAGTTGGGAGATACATCGCCAATCTGTTTGTTGGATTTTTGCATTCAATTTTCAACAAATACTTATCAAATACCTATTATGTAGCAAGCATTATTCTAGACACTGATTCTATAGCAGTGAACAAAGCACACAGAAATGTCCCTGCCTTCATGGAGCTTACATTCTACTGCCAGAAAACAGAAAATAAACAACATAAATATGTGAAATATATATTATGTTTACTAGATGGTGATCATTTTTATTTAAAAACAAAACAAAACAGCCGGGCGCGGTGGCTTACGCCTGTAATCCCAGCCCTTTGGGAGGCCAAGGTGGGCGGGACATGAGATTGGGAGATCGAGACCTACCATCCTGGCCAACAAGGTGAAACCCCATCTCTACTAAAAATACAAGAATTAGCTAGGCGTGGCGGCACATGCCTATAATCCCAGCTACTCAGGAGGCTGAGGGAGGAGAATCACTTGAACCTAGGAGGTGGAGGTTGTAGTGAGCCAAGATCTTGCCACTGCCCTCCAGCCTGGGCAACAGAGTGAGACTCCATCTCAAAAACAAAACAAAACAAAACAAAAAACAGAAAGTGACTGGATGGAGTGGTTCACACCTGTAACTCTAGCACTTTGAAAGTCCAAAGCAAGAGGATTGCTTGAGCCCAGGAGTTCAAGACTAGCCTGGGGAACATAGTGAGACCCCCCCACCTCTATCAACTAAAAAATAAATTTAAAAAAAAAACTGAAAGCAAAAAAAATCAACAATCTGTTGGGAGTATGGTTCAAGAAGGCCTCACCGAGAAGGTAACACTGAATTAAAGAACTTAAAGCTGGCTGGGCACAGTGGCTCATGCCTGTAATCCCAGCACTTTGGGAGGCCAAGGCGGGCGAATCACCTGAGGTCAGGAGTTCCAGATCAGCCCGGACAACATGGTGAAACCCCGTCTCTACTAAAAATACAAAAATTAGCGGGGTATGGTTGTGCACCCCTGTAATCCCAGCCACTCAGGAGGCTGAGGTGGGAGAATTGCTTGAACCTGGGAGACAGAAGTTGCAGTGAGCCGAGATTGCACCACTGCACATTCCAGCTTGGGCAACAGAGCAAGACTCTGTCTCCCAAAACAAAAAAAAAGAACTTAAAGCTATCTTGCCAGTCCTTTTTACTTCTATAAATTAGAAGAAAACTATCTTTGCAAATCAGATATTTATGAATTGCTTTGAATTTATTGAATTAAAGTATACCAAATTAATTATCAATTAGCTTTACACATACTATAGTGATGTTTTTTAAAATTATTTTTATTTATTTATTTTTTTGAGACACAGTTTCACTCTTGTTGCTCGGGCTGGAGTGCAATAACATGATGTCGGCTCACCGCAACCTCCGCCTCCCAGGTTCAAGCGATTCTCCTGCCTCAGCATTCCAAGTAGCTGGGATTACAGGCATGCGCCACCACACCTGGCTAATTTTGTATTTTTAGTAGAGACGGGGTTTCTCCGTGTTGGACAGGCTGGTCTCGAACTCCCGACCTCAGGTGATCTGCCTGCCTCGACCTCTCAAAGTGCTGGGATTACAGGCATGAGCCACCACGCCCGGCTAGTAGCTTTTAGAAAGAATGGTAAGTGGGGCACAGAGGTGCTCACCTGTCCTGTCAGCTTCAGTCCAGTAGTTTGACTCCAGTAGTTGAGTCCAGCCTGAACAATGAGACCATACATCTTAAAAAGATAAGTTAAATGATAGCCAGGCGTGGTGGCTTCATGCCTGTAATCCCAGCACTTTGGGAGGCTGAGGCAGGCAGATCACGAGGTCAGGAGATAGAGAACATCCTGGCTAACACGGCGAAATCTCATATCTACTATAAATACAAAGCTGGGCGTGGTGGCAGGTGCCTGTAGTCCCAGCTACTTGGAAGGCTGAGGCAGGAGAATGGTGTGAACCTGGGAGGCAGAGCTTGCAGTGAGCTGAGATTGCGCCACTGCACTCCAGCCTGGGCAACAGAGCGACACTCCGTCTTGAAAGAAAGAAAGGGAGAGAGAGAGAGAAAAGAAGAAGAAGAGGAAGAAGAATAGTAGGAGGAGAAGGAGGAGGAGGAAGGGGAGGGGGAGGGGAGAAGGAAGAGGAGGAGGAGGAGGAGAGGAGAGGAAAGAGAGAGAAAGAAAGAGAGAGAAAGAAAGAAAGAGAAAGAGAAAGAAAGAAAGAGAGAAAGAGAGAGAGAGAGAGAAAGAAATAGAGGGAGGGAGGAAGGGAGGAAGGAAGGAAGGAAGGAAAGGAAGGAAGAGAATTACAAACCTAGTCTCTGTTGACTTTGAAATTAAGTATTTCTTCAGAAATGCAGCACAATGTAGAGTGACATTTTATTTTTTTATTTTTATTTTTAGTGGATGCTTTTATTATTGTTTTTACTTATTTTGTTTCTTTGAGATAGAGTTTGCTTCTTGTTGCCCAGGCTGGAGTGCAATGGCGTGATCTCAGCTCACTACAACTTCCGCCTCATGGGTACAAGCAATTCTCCTGCCTCAGCTTCCCGAGTAGCTGGGACTACAGGTGCACACCAGCACACCCAGCTAATTTTTGTATTTTTAATAGAGACGTGGTTTCACCATGTTGGCCAGGATGGTCTCGATCTTTTGACGTCGTGATCCACCCGCCTCGGCCTACGAAAGTGCTGGGATTAAAGGCATGAGCCACCATGCCCGACCCCCTTGAGTGACTTTCTTTTTTTTTTTTTTTTGAGATGAAGTCTCATTCTGTTGCCCAGGCTGGAGCACAGTGGCATGATCTCGCCTCACTGCAACCTCCGCCTCCCAGGTTCAAACAATTCTCCTGCCTCAGCCTCCTGAGTAGCGGGGACTATAGGCACACGCCACCATGCCCGGGTAATTTTTGTATATTTTTTAGAGACGGGGTTTCACCATATTGGCGAGGCTGGTCTCGAACTCCTCACCTTGTTATCCACCTGCCTCAGCCTCCCAAAGTGCTGGGATTACAGGCATGAGCCACCACACCTGGCCTAGAGTGATATTTTAAAGTAATTTTTTTTTTTGGGAGACTGAGTCTCACTCTATCACCCAGGCTGGAGTACAGTGGCACCATCTGAGCTCACTACAACCTCCGCCTCATGGGTTCAAGAGATTCTCCTGCCTCAGCCTTCCGAGTAGCTGGGATTACAGGCACCTAGCACCATGCCCTGCTAATTTTTTTTTGTATTTTTAGTAAAGACGGGGTTTCACCATGTTGGCCAGGCTGGTCTTGAACTCCTGACCTCAAGTGACCCACTCACCTCGGCTTCCCGAAGTGCTGGGATTACAGGTGTGAACCACCGCACCCAACCGGTTTTAAAGGAATTTTTAAGATAAATAATGTAATGAGGATGATTTAAACTTTTTTATTCGACCATATTTATTGCATAAATGAAATTAGTTATGCAAATATTATAATTAATAAAGGGAAGTATTAAATATTTATAAAACTGGATATATTTTGGTCTCCATAGCAGTCCAAAATAAGTGAAAAAGGCAGTACATATGTATTTTTCCCCAATCTGTTACAATGAAACTCAAAATGTCCACATAGTATTAATTTTTCCCAAATGTAATAGAAAATGAAAAGAATGTTGTAAAACCAATTGGATTATGATATCTCCCAGTGGAGTCACTAAATCATGTTGCATCTTAGAAGGTGTATTTAATACGTCATAGAATTGGAAAAAGACGGGAAGTCATATCACCCGTCTTGGGGCCTTTAATGGATGAAAACCCAGCCTCCTTTTTTTTTTTTTTTTTTTGAGACGGAGTTTTGCTCTTGAAGCTCAGGCTGGAGTGCAATGGCGCAACCTCAGCTCACTGGAACCTCCGCCTCCCAGGTTCAAGCGATTCTCCTGCCTCAGCCTCCCTAGGAGCTGGGATTACAGGCATATGCCACCACGCCTAGCTAATTTTTGTATTTTTAGTAGAGACTAAAATTTTAGGGTTTCACCATGTTGGCCAGGCTGGCCCAAGCCTCCTTTTAAAAGCACCTCCAAGGCTTTTAAATTCTTTAAAGTTTATTTATATCTAATCTGCCCATTCAATTATGAAGCTTAAACCTGTCTTTTGTTGTTTCACTATAGCGTACTTCTCAGTGGCAATAGCACCATCATAATAGTGTAACATAGAAGAGAGTGGCAGAGCCAGACTGCCAGAGTTCAAGGGCTAGTTCTGCCATTATTTACCTGGGCCAGCTTGAGCAAATTAGTCTCTCTGTGCCTTAACTGCCTGATCTGCAAAATGTAGATAGTAATATTACCTACCCTACAAATTTGTTGTGAGGATTTAATGAGTTAATTCCCATAAAATACTTGGAGGAGTACCTAAGCATGTCTGTTTGGAGGATTAAATGACTTAGTTCACATGAAACACTTATAGAAGTATCTAAGCATTCAATAAATATTAGCTGATCATATATATGTGCCATGTTAAGCAATGTGTTATTTATCTATTGCTGTATAACAAATTTCTCCCAAATTTAGTAGCTTAAAAAAATAAACATTTCATAACTCACAGTTTTTGTGGTCCAGCAATTTGGGAGCAGTTTAGCTGGTGAGTCAAGATGTCACTTGAGGCCGCAGTCATCTGAAGGCTTGACGGAGGCTGAAAGACCTGTTACCAAGATAATTCACTTGCATAGCTGTTGCAGAGGCCTCATTTCCTCACTGCACGGACCCCTTCATAGGACTGCTTGAGTGGCTGGCTTCCCCCAGAGTGAATGATCCAAGAGATAACAAGGGAGAAACTTCAATGCCTTTTATGACCTACCCTCAGAAGTCACAATCCATCATTTCTGCCACATTCTAATCATCAGAAATAAGTACAGCACATGCTTAAAGAAGGGGAATTAAGTCCCTTTCTGGAAGGGAGGATTATCAAAGAATGCTGGACATATTTTAAAATCACCACAAGGGGTCATTCCTTCTTTCCTTTAAATGCCTCTGATTTCAAGTGAGAATCTTTAGAGGCTCTTATTCTGCTATTTATTTAAGCAGTAGATATCAAAGGGAATTTTCAGTTCAACATTCAGACAAA
Organism: Homo sapiens; assembly: GCF_000001405.40. Classification (NCBI taxonomy): domain Eukaryota; kingdom Metazoa; phylum Chordata; class Mammalia; order Primates; family Hominidae; genus Homo; species Homo sapiens. The sequence goes on from NC_000007.14 coordinate 105,399,677, forward strand.
ACAAAAAGGAATAGGGACTGGATTGTCTAGAGAAAATCACCAATAGTGACAAGTTTGTTATAAATAAAATAGTATAGGAGACTCTTACATAAGCCAGTTCAAAAATGATGCCCAAAGATTTACCTGGGGCTGTATTAAAATTTAGAATAATGTCTAATATGCCAGGACATAATCAAATAGATTAGAAGATCTGGCCATAATCTGTGCTAAGTTTAACACCCTGGGCTCCATTTCTTCCAAGTCTTAGAACATGGATATAGCTCTGATATAATACTCATTTCTCAAATGCTTGAGCTCTCTGAGTATAAGAATTTGCTTGCCGGCCGGGCGCGGTGGCTCACGCCTGTAATCCCAGCACTTTGGGAGGCCGAGACGGGCGGATCACGAGGTCAGGAGATCGAGACCATCCTGGCTAACACGGTGAAACCCCGTCTCTACTAAAAATACAAAAAATTAGTTGGGTGTGGTGGCAGGCGCCTGTAGTCCCAGCTACTAGGGAGGCTGAGGCAGGAGAATGGCGTGAACCCTGGAGGCAGAGCTTGCAGTGAGCTGAGATCGTGCCACTGCTCTCCAGCCTAGGAGACAGAGTGAGACTCCGTCTTAAAAAAAAAAAAAAAAAAAAGAATTTGCTTTCCATTTTATTGTAACTAATGAAAGAGATTCAATGTAAAAAAATTTTTTTTATTTTTTTTTATTTTGAGACCCTCTGTTGCCTAGGCTGGAGTGTAGTGGCACCATCTCGGCTCACTGCAAACTCTGCCTCCCCCAGCACTTTGGTGAGGCCCAGGCAGGCAGATGACTTGAGGTCAGAAGTTCGAGACCAGCCTGGCCAACATGGCAAAACCCCGTCTCTACTAAAAATACAAAAATTAGCCAGGCGTGGTGGCAGGCACCTGTAATCCCAACTACTCAGGAGGCTGAGGCAGGAGAATCACTTGAACCAGGAGGCAGAGATTGTGGTGAGCCGAGATGGTGCCACTGCACTCCAGCCTGAGCAACAGGTTAAGACTCCATCTCAAAAAATTAAGAATAAAAAAAATAGTTTGGGCACGGTGGCTCACATCTGTAATCCCAGCACTTTGGGAGGCCGAGGCAGGCAGATCACCTGAGGTCAGGAGTTTGAGACCAGCCTGACCAACATGGTGAAACCCCATCTCTACTAAAAATACAAAAATTAGCTGAGCATAGTGGCGCGCGCCTGTAATCCTAGCTACCAGGAGGCTGAGGCAGGAGAATTGCTTGAATCTGGGAGGTGGAGGTTGCGGTGAGTGGAGATGGCACCACTGCACTCCGGCTTGGGCAACAAGAGCGACACTCCGTCTAAAAAAAAAAAAAAAAAGACAATTGCATATTACCAGTATCCCAAAAGTCCCCCTCCTCTCTCCTCAGTCACTGCCCCTACCAAGATAGCCTCTATTCTAATTCCTAACCCCACAGATTCATGCTGCCTGCTTTTAAATTTTATGGAAATGGAACCCTACACTAATTACTCTTGTATTTGGCTGGTTTTTTTCAACGTTTTGTTTGTGAGCCTCACCCATGTGTTGTCTGTACAATCTTTTCATTGTTTTATAGTATTTCATTGTATGAATATGCCATATTTTAAAAATGTCTTCACATTATTTATTAAACTACTATCTCAGCCCCAAACCCACCATTCTATTATCAGCTTTGTGAGGGGGGAGTTGTGGCCACATTTGTTTATTTGCTGTTTTGTTTTGTTTTGTTTTGGTTTGGTTTTGAGACAGAGTTTCGCTCTTGTCGCCCAGGCTGGAGTGTAGTGGCCACATCTTGGCTCACTGCAACTTCCGCCTCCCAGTTTCAAGCGATTCTCCTGCCTCAGCCTCCTGAGTAGCTGGAATTACAGGCATGCACAACCACGCCAAGCTAATTTTTGTATTTTTAGTAGAGACGGGGTTTCACCATGTTGGCCAGGCTTGTCTCAAACTCCTGACCTCAAGTAGTCTGTCCACCTAGGCCTCCCAAAGGGCTGGGATGAGCCACGCCAAGCCACATTTATAATAGAGGAAATGTGATCTTATTTCTCCTTTGCCAATGTGCTCCGCCATTAATTCTGCCAGTTGGGGTCACTAGAGGGAGACTGGAAGCCTGGAGAAGAGGAACAGGAGCAGGGAAATGTTACTTCCTGTTTGCTGGCCTTTTGGTCACCGTCGTCTCAGCACTGGCTCTTTATCACAGGGACAGCAATGGTTCCAGTCCCAGGTTTCACGGAGCTCCTCAAATCAGCCTCATTATATTCCCCTAGAAATAATAGCAACTCCTGGGAGTACTCCCTCTTTATACATCTGGGTCCCAGCTCCCTCCTCTAAGCTTCTGAGGTCTGATAACCCTTACTGCTAACTGTGTTTCCCAGCCCCAGATATGGGTGCTGATTCCTGATTTATTAGTGGGTTAGTTCAGTATCCCCTTTACTTAGTTCTCTAATACCTGTTCAAACAAACAATTCGTTAATTTTTTTATTATAAAATAATTGGTCCAGCTGGGCACAGTGGCTCATGCCTGTAATCTCAGCACTTTGGGAAGCCGAGGTGGGCAGATTGAGACCACCCTGGCTAACATGGTCTCTACTAAAAATACAAAAAATTAGCTGGGCATGGTGGCACGCGCCTGTAGTCCCAGCTACTCAGAAGGCTGAGGCAGGAGAATCTCTTGAACCTGGGAGGCGGAGGTTGCACTGAGCTGAGATCGTGCCATTGCATTCCAACCTGGGCGACAGAGCGAGACTCCATCTCAAAAAAATAAAAAATAAAATAAAATAAAATAATTGGTCCAACTTCAATAAAAAGTAAATAATTTCTGTGTCCCCCCTAGATTCTGATGGATAGGTGATTCCACCAGTCATCGGTGATTGGGTTGTCTCCAACTTAAGCTATTATGAATAATGTTGCTGTGAACACCCTTATATGAGGTTTTTGGTGAATATGTGTATATATTTAGAAATGGAATTGCTGAGTCATAGGTTATATCTGTGTGCATTTTTAGCACATACAGCCAAAAGTTTTCTAAAATGGTTATACTAGTGATTGCATTGATTTTAAAGCATTCCCAGTATTTCACATCTAATCCTCAAAACTTTTTAAATTTAGAAAAAAGTCAATACACTTCATACTTTTTTTTCTTTTTTTTTTTTTTTGAGACAGGATCTCATTTTGTCACCAGGCTTGGACTGCAATAGCACAGTCTTGACTCACGGCAGCCTCGACCTCCTGGGCTCAAGTGATGCTTCCACTTCAGTCCCCCAAGTAGCTGGGACTACAGGTGCTACCCACCACGCCCGCTAGGCTTTTTGTTTTTTGATTTTTGAGATGGAGTCTCACTCTGTCGCCCAGGCTGGAGTGCAGGGACGCCATCGCAGCTCACTGCAACCTCCGCCTCCCGGGTTCAAGCGATTCTCCTGCCTCAGCCTCCCTAGTAGCTGGGATTACAGGTACATGCCACCATGCCTAGCTAATTTTTTTGTGTTTTTAGTAGAGGCAGGTTTCACTATGTTGGCCAGGCTGGTCTTGGAGCTCCTGACCTCAGGTGACCTCCCCTCCTCGGCCTCTCAAAGTGCTGGGATTACAGGCATGAGCCACCACGTCCTGCCTTTTTTTTTTTTTTTTTTAAGACAGGGTCTTGCTGTGTCGCCCAGGCTGAAGAGCAGTAGCACAATCTCAGCCTCCCAAGCAGCTGGGATTACAGGTGCCCACCACCAGACGCGGCATATTTTTAGTAGAGGTGGGGTTTCTCCATGTTGTCCAGGCTGATCTCAATCTCCTGACCTCAGGTGATCATCCTGCCTCAGTGTCCCAAAGTGCCATGATGACAGGGCGTGAGCCCTGGCTTCCACTAAATTTTATTGTTTGTTTTTTATTGTTTGTTTTTTGTAGAGACGGGGTTTCCCCATGTTGCCCAGGCTGGTCTCAGACTCCTGAGTTTAAGCAATTCTCCCACCTCAGCTTCCCAAAGTGTTGGGATTACAGGTGTGAGCCACAGCACTCAGCCTGTAATTTAATTTCTACTCCAGAATCAATTTTTCTTTTCCTTCCTTCCTTCCTTTCTTCCTTCCTTCCTTCCTTCCTCCCTCCCTTCCTTTCGACAGCATCTCACTTTGTACTCCAGAATCAATCTTTCTTTTCCTTCCTTCCTTCCTCCGTCCTTCCTTCCTTCCTTCCTCCTTCCCTCCCTCCCTCCCTTCCTTTCTTTTGACAGCGTCTCACTTTGTCACATAAGCTGGAGTGCAGTGGTGAGATCTCAGCTCACTGCAGCCTCGACTTCCCTGGCTCAAGCAATCCTCCCACTTCAGCCCCAAAAATAGCTGGGATTACAGGCGTGAACCACCACGACCAGCTAATTTTTTGTAGAGATGGGGTTTCACCATGTTGCCCAGGCTGGTCTCGACCTCCTGAGCTCAAGTGATCTGCCTGCCTTGGCTTCTCAAAGTGCTAGGATTACAGGCGTGAGCCACTGGCCTTCTATTCCAGAATTTTTATATTGCAATGTTAAGAAAACTAAAGTCTGGGCCAGGCACGGTGGCTCATGCCTATATATGGCGGGGCACAGTGGCTCACACTTGTAATCCCAGCACTTTGGGAAGCCAAGGTGGGCAGATCACCTGAGGTCAGGAGTTCAAGAACAGCCTGACCAATATCGTGAAATCCCATCTCTACTAAAAATACAAAAATTAGTCAGGCGTAGTGGCATGCACCTGTAGTCCCAGCTACTCGGAAGGCTGAGGCAGAAGAATCACTTGAACCCGGGAGGTGGAGTTGTGGTGAGCCGAGATTGCACCACTGCACTCCAGCCTGGGCAACAAGAGTGAGACACCATCTCAAAAAAAAAAAAAAATACAAAAATAGGCCACACATGGTGGTGCATGCCTGTAGTCCCAGCTACTTGAGAGGCTGAGGTGGGAGGATCACTTGAGCCTGGGATATCAAGGCTGCACTGAGCCAAGATTGCACCACTGCACTCCAGCTTGGGTGACACAGCAAGATCCTGTCTCAAAAAAAAAAAGAAAGTTTAAACCTATTTTTTTGTACAGTTGAACCAATGTGAAATAGTAATGTAAATGGAGGCCAATCTTGCCTACAGACTGCTCAGTAACCCCATCACATATACCACTGGGCTGTTGTAGATAGGCAGGTCTCAGTTTCTACAGGTTGCTTCTATTGACCTCTGAGACACATTCCTCTCCTCGCAGTCTGCCTAAATGAATTGATCAGGAGCAGACGCAACACAACTGTGACAGGGATCTGCTTATAGACTGGGCAGCCTTGTATCTGGCTCATCAACCTCATAGTTCAAACCCTCACTGAAGAATCTTTAGAACCGGATCCCTTTAAGATTTATTCTTACAGGGCCTCAGACTTCAAGGTGCCCCCCTAAACCTCTGTGATACTGTAAGAATGATCTGTGTAAGCCCCAAGGCAAAGTTGTTTGCTACATCTGCAGGCCCCACATGAAGCAGTCACAAGCCAAACTCTCAAGCCCCAATGGGTTTCTAGCACCAGCTGGGAGTTCAGGGTTCCTGACCTGAGCTCAACATGGAGAAAAAGTAGCAGCTTGGTGGAAGTTATTAATATAGAAGCCTGACCAGCATCTATAACTCTTAAATCCACTCAAGAATAATCAGGGCAGGGGAGAAGGAGGAGGGGGAGTAAGGCAATATATACATTTGTTTATAAAATAACAGTTATGCTTTCTAAATAACACAGTTACCAATTGCATGAACTTATTTTTTTTTTTTTTTTTTTGAGACGGAGTCTCGCTCTGTCGCCCAGGCTGGAGTGCAGTGGCGTGATCTCGGCTCACTGCAAGCTCCGCCTCCCGGGTTCACGCCATTCTCCTGCCTCAGCCTCCCGAGTAGCTGGGACTACAGGCGCCCGCTACCACGCCCGGCTAATTTTTTGTATTTTTAGTAGAGACGGGGTTTCACCGTGTTAGCCAGGATGGTCTCGATCTCCTGACCTCGTGATCCGCCCGCCTCGGCCTCCCAAAGTGCTGGGATTACAGGCGTGAGCCACCGCGCCCGGCCTTTTTTTTTTTTTTTTTTTTTTTTTTTTTTTGAGACGGAGTCTCGCTCTGTCGCCCAGGCCGGACTGCGGACTGCAGTGGCGCAATCTCGGCTCACTGCAAGCTCCGCTTCCCGGGTTCATGCCATTCTCCTGCCTCAGCCTCCCGAGTAGCTGGGACCACAGGCGCCCGCCACCGCGCCCGGCTAATTTTTTGTATTTTTAGTAGAGACGGGGTTTCACCTTGTTAGCCAGGATGGTCTCGATCTCCTGACCTCATGATCCACCCGCCTCGGCCTCCCAAAGTGCTGGGATTACAGGCGTGAGCCACCGCGCCCGGCCTGCATGAACTTATTTTTATGCGTAAAACACAGGCAATCGCCCTGGCACAGTGGCTCACACCTGTGATCCCAACACTTTAGGAGGCCAAGGCGGGCGGATTACTTGAGGTCAGGAGTTCAAGACCAGCCTGGCCAACATGGTGAAACCCCATCTCTACTAAAAATACAAAAAAAAAAAATTATCCAGGTGTGGTGGCAGTGCATGCCTGTAATCCCAGCTATTTGAGAGGCTGAGGCAGGAGAATCGCTTGAACCCAGGAGGCAGGAGGTTGCAGTGAATCAAGATGGCGCCACTGCACTCCAGCCTGGACATCAGAGCGAGACTCCATCTCAATAAATAATAATGATAATGATAATAGGGTCGGGGGCGGTGGCTCACGCCTGTAATCCCAGCACTTTGGGAGGCCAAGGCTGGCAGATCACGAGGTCAGGAGATCGAGACCATCCTGGCTAACATGATGAAACCCCATCTCTGCTAAAAATACAAAAAATTAGCTGGGCATGGTGGCGGGTGCCTGTAGTCCTAGCTACTCGGGAGGCTGAGGCAGGAGAATCGCATGAACCCGGAAGGCAGAGCTTGCAGTGAGCTGAGATGGCACCACTGCACTCCAGCCTGGACAACAGAGCGAGACTCCATCTCAAAACAAAACAAAACAAAAATAATAATGATAACAAAACACAGGCAACCAAAGTAAAAATTGACAAATAGGATCACATCAAGTTAAAATGCTTCTGCACAACAAAGGAAACACAGACAACAAAGTGAAGAGACAACCCAGAGAATGGGAGAAAATATTTGCAAACTATCCCATCTGACAAGGGATTAATAACAAGAGTATATGAGGAGTTCAAACAACTCAACAGGGAAAAATCTAATAAGCTGATTAAAAAATGGGCAAAAGATCTGAAAAGACATTTCTCACAAGAAAACATACAAATGGCCAACAGGTATTTGAAAAGATGCTTAACATAATTGATCATCAGAGAAATGCAAATCAAAACTACAATGAGATATTATCTCACCTCAGTTAAAATGACTTTTGACCAAAAGGCAGGCAATACAAATGCTATTGAGGACGTCGAGAAAGGGGAACCGTTGTACACTGCTGGTGGGAACGTAAATTAGTAAAGCCACCATGAAGAACAATATGGAGATTCTTCAAAAAACCAAAAATAGAACTACCATATGATCCAGCAATCCCACTGCTGGGTATACACCCAAAAGAAAGGAAGTCAGTATATTGAAGAGATATAAAGTCCCATGTTTATTGCAGCATTGTTCACAATAGCCATGATTTGGAGGCAACCTAAGTGTCCAACAACACACGAATGGATAAAGAAAACGTGGTACAGCTGGGCGCAGTGGCTCATGCCTGTAATCCAGGCACTTTGGGAGGCCAAGGCAAGTGGATCACCTGAGGTCCGGAGTTCGAGACCATCCTGGCCAACATGGCGAAACCCCCATCTCTGCTAAAAATACAAAAATTAGCCTGGCCTGGTGGCAGGCGCCTGTAATCCCAGCTACTCAGGGAGGCTGAGGCATGAGAATCACTTGAACTTGGGAGGCAGAGGTTGCAGTGAGCCGAGATCACACCATGCACTCCAGCCTGGGCGACAGAGCAAGACTCTGTCTCTAAATAAATAAATAAATAAGATCTTGTCATTTGCAGCAACATGGGCGGAACCGAAGTTCATCATGTTTTATGTATTTATTTATTTATTTATTTACTTATTTATGAGACAGAGTCTTGCTCTGTCGCCAGGCTGGAGATCCCGGCTCACTGCAACCTCCGCCTCCCAGGTTCAAGCGATTCTCCTGCCTCAGCCTCCCTGAGTAGCTGGGGCTACAGGCGTGTGCCACCACATCCAGCTAATTTTTGTATTTTTAGTAGAGACGGTGTTTCACCATGTTGGTCAGGCTGGTCTTGAACTCGTAACTTCAGGTGATGCACCTGCCTCGGCCTCCCAGTGTGCTGGGATTACAGGCGTAAGCCACTATGCCTGGCCAGGTCATCATGTTAAGTAAAGTAAGCCAGGCAAGGCTGGGCGTGGTGGCTTGCGCCAGTAATCCCAGCACTTTGGGAGGCCGAGGTGGGTGGATCACCTGAGGTCAGGAGTTCGAGACCAGTCTGGTCAACATGGGGGAACCCCGTCTCTCCTAAAAATATGAAAAAATTAGCCGGGCCTGGTGGTGGATGCCTGTAATCCCAGCTACTGGGGAGGGTGAGGCAGAAGAATCGTTTGAACCCAGTAAGCAGAGGTTGCAGTGAGCTGAGGTCACTCCACTGCACTCCAGCCTGAGCAACAAGAGCAAAACTCCACCTCAGAAAAAAGAAGAAATAAGCCAGGCACAGAAAGGCAAACTTTGCATGTTCTCACTCATTTGTGGAAGCTAAAAGTTAAAACAATGAAACTCATGGAGATAGAGAATAGAAAGATGGCTACCAGTGGCTGCAAAGGTTTAGTGGGGAGAGGGGAGTAAGGATGGTTAATGGGTACAAAAATATAGTTAAAGACCTAGTACTTGATAGCACCACAGGGTTATTACAGTTAACAATAATTTGCTGTACATTTTAGAATAACTGAGAGAGACAATTGGAATGCTCATAACACAAAGAAATGATGAATGTTTGACATGATGGATACCACATTTATCTTGATGTGATTACTACACATTGAATGTCTGTATCAAAATATCTCATGTACACCATAAATATATACATCCAACATATACCCATAAAAATTAAAAATTAAAAAAATTTAAACTTATTTTTATATACTACAGTACTCGTATGTTAGGTGTGCCTTTCTTCTGATTTTAAAAGTAATACAACTTATTGAGATTCCATTTACAGAGTAGTAAAAACAATCCATAAAATACAGACTTTTTCATTGACAAAATGTTGAGGAAGCAGATATACTTGGCTATGAAATACAAATAAATAAATTAATTAATTAATTAATTTATTTATTTATTTATTTATTTTGAGACAGAGTCTCACTCTGTCGCCCAGGTTGGAGCAACCTCCACCTCCTGGGTTCAAGTGATTCTCCTGCCTCAGCCTACCTAGCAGCTGGGATTACAGGCGTGTGCCAACACACCCAGCTAAAAATAAATTTATTTTTGAATCTCTGGTGTGTAAGGCATATTTTGTGACTCATCACTCATGGACTTATAGCAAATGGATGTCTCTTTTCATGCGGTATTTGTTACCGGAGAGGAAGTAAACATGCTGTGAAGTCTTCATGCAAAGTGATAGAGGTTCTTTCTATGTCTGACTTCTCAGACATTTCTTCAGTTCTCATGCTCTCCCTCTCTTTTCTCTTTCCTGTATAATGCTAAATGTATAGTCCCCCAATACTTAAGGAATCTGGTTCTTGCAAGTTGGGTGTTGCCTCAGTTGCCTTTTGGTGCAAAAACAAACAAGCAAAATTAATAGCTTAAGACAACAGTGGTTTATTGTTTCTCACAATTCTGTGTTACGTTGGTTCTCTGGGAGGTTTTTCTTCTGGTCTTATGAGCTCAGTCATCTTGCTGCATCCATCGGATGGGTCAGCTGAAGCTGGTGGTCCAAGAAAGCCTCATCCATATATCTGGAGGTTTGGCAGGACTGACTGGAAAGGTGGGCCCTCTCTGGCCATGTGGTCTTTCATCATTAAATCGTCTGTCTGAGCTTCTTTAAATTTCAGGTCCCAAGAAAGTGGAGGCACAAGCTTTTGCAGGGTCTAGAACTCACAAAATGTTAGTTCAACAATATTCTTCTTCTTCTTCTTTTTTTTTTTTTTAGAAGGGTAATGCTCTGTTGCCCAGGCTGGAGTGCAGTGGTGCAATCTTGGTGCACTGCAGCCTTGACCTCCTAGGCTCAACTTCAGCCTCCCAAGTAGCTGGGACCACAACCAAGCACTGTCACACCATGCTAATTTTTCATTTTTTTATTTTATTTTATTTTGTTTTATTTTATTTTATTTTATTTTTATTTTTATTTTTAATTTTTTATTTTTTATTGATCATTCTTGGGTGTTTCTCGCAGAGAGGGATTTGGCAGCATCATAGGACAATAGTGGAGGGAAGGTCAGCAGATAAACAAGTGAACAAAGGTCTCTGGTTTTCCTAGGCAGAGGACCCTGCGGCCTTCCGCAGTGTTTGTGTCCCTGGGTACTTGAGATTAGGGAGTGGTGATGACTCTTAACGAGCATGCTGCCTTCAAGCATCTGTTTAACAAAGCACATCTTGCACCGCCCTTAATCCATTTAACCCTGAGTGGACACAGCACATGTTTCAGAGAGCACAGGGTTGGGGGTAAGGTCACAGATCAACAGGATAAGAATTTTTCTTAGTACAGAACAAAATGAAAAGTCTCCCATGTCTACCTCTTTCTACACAGACACAGCAACCATCCGATTTCTCAATCTTTTCCCCACCTTTCCCCCCTTTCTATTCCACAAAACCGCCATTGTCATCATGGCCCGTTCTCAATGAGCTGTTGGGTACACCTCCCAGACGGGGTGGTGGCCAGGCAGAGGGGCTCCTCACTTCCCAGTAGGGGCGGCCGGGCAGAGGCGCCCCTCACCTCCCGGGCGGGGCGGCTGGCCGGGCGGGGGGCTGACCCCCCCCACCTCCCTCCCGGACGGGGCGGCTGGCCGGGCACAGGGGCTCCTCACTTCCCAGTAGGGGCGGCCGGGCAGAGGCGCCCCTCACCTCCTGGACGGGGAGGCTGGCCGGGCGGGGGGCTGACCCCCCACCTCCCTCGCGGACGGGTCGGCTGGCCGGGCGGGGGGCTGACCCCCCCCACCTCCCTCCCGGACGGGGCGGCTGGCCGGGCAGAGGGGCTCCTCACTTCCCAGTAAGGGCGGCCGGGCAGAGGCACCCCTCACCTCCCGGACGGGGCGGCTGGCCGGGCGGGGGGCTGACCCCCACCTCCCTCCCGGACGGGGCGGCTGCTGGGCGGAGGGGCTCCTCACTTCTCAGACGAGGCGGTTGCCAGGCGGAGGGTCTCCTCACTTCTCAGACGGGGCAGCCAGGCAGAGACGCTCCTCACCTCCCAGACGGGGTCGCGGCCGGGTAGAGGCGCTCCTCACATCCCAGACGGGGCGCTCCCCACATCTCAGACGATGGGCGGCTGGGCAGAGACGCTCCTCACTTCCTAGATGGGATGGCGGCCGGGAAGAGGCGCTCCTCACTTCCTAGATGGGATGGCGGCCGGGCAGAGACGCTCCTCACTTTCCAGACTGGGCAGCCAGGCAGAGGGGCTCCTCACGTCCCAGACGATGGGCGGCCAGGCAGAGACGCTCCTCACTTCCCAGACGGGGTGGCAGCCGGGCAGAGGCTGCAATCTCGGCACTTTGGGAGGCCAAGGCAGGCGGCTGGGAGGTGGAGGTTGTAGCGAGCTGAGATCACGCCACTGCACTCCAGCCTGGGCACCATTGAGCACTGAGTGAACCAGACTCCGTCTGCAATCCCGGCACCTCGGGAGGCCGAGGCTGGCGGATCACTCGCGGTTAGGAGCTGGAGATCAGCCCAGCCAACACAGCGAAACCCCATCTCCACCAAAAAAATACGAAAACCAGTCAGGCGTGGCGGCGCGTGCCTGCAATCACAGGCACTCGGCAGGCTGAGGCAGGAGAATCAGGCAGGGAGGTTGCAGTGAGCCGAGATGGCAGCAGTACAGTCCAGCTTCGGCTCAGCATCAGAGGGAGACCGTGGAAAGAGAAGGAGAGGGAGACCATGGGGAGAGGGAGAGGGAGAGGGAGGGGGAGGGGGAGCGGGAGAGGGAGAGGATTTTTCATTTTTTTTGAAAAACGGGGTCTTGCCATGTTGCCCAGGCTGGTCTTGAACTCCTGGCCTCAAGTAATCCTCCCGCTTCAGCCTCTCAAAGTGCTGGGATTACAGGCATGAGCCACTGTGCCCAACCCTACAATATTCTGTTGGTTTAAGCAAATCCTAAAGCCAGATTCCCTTCAAGAAGCAACCACACAAAGATGTGAATTCAGGGAGGTGTGATTCATTGGGATCATTTTACAACAATCCACCACGTGTGCGTATATATATACATATGTATACATATGTGTATATACATATATATACACGTGTGTGTATATATACATATACATATATACATATACACACACGTGTATATATATGTGTATATGTATGTGTGTGGATATACATGTGTGTGTGTATATATATATATAGGAATATATATATTCCTGCTGGACCTCATCTGGAGCTTGCTTCCCAATGCATCTATGTCTATATGAGGTCAGCAAGTCAACAGCTTTTTTTGAACAATCACAAGAAACTAAGTAATATAATACAAATACATATTACATTTATTTATTTTTAAAATTTATTATGATGATCGTTAGTTTGAGACAGAATCTCTCTCTGTCACGAAGCCTGCAGTGCAGTGGCACGATCTCAGCTCACTGCAGCCTCAAAGTGATCCTCCCACCTCAGTGTCCTGAGTAGCTGGGACCACAAGTGTGCACCACCACACCCAGCTAATTTTTTTTTGGTAGGGACAGGATCTCCCTATGTTGCCCAGGCTAGTCTCAAACTCCTGGGCTCAAGAAATCCTGCTTTGGCCTCCCAAAGTGTTGAGATTACAGGAATGAGCCTCCTCGCTCAGCCAAGAATATTTTCAAATCCATTTTTTTGTATTGTCTCAAAATCAACCTGTGGAATAGGTAAGGGTGTCTGTTCCCATTTGCAGTAGGCAGGAGAGCTAGGACATATACAATCCTTTTGTTCAACATACACTTCTTTTTGCACATAGATCCCTCTGAAAAAAATTATTTAATGAATAATAAGTATAAAGTATGAGTTATTTAAATGAGTTGTGCAATCTAAAGAAGCTCAAATAAACTACCTAATTGATGAAAGACAATTAAATCTGTGACTAAAAGAAAACAATTGAAGAGTGAGAGTTCTTGTGATAGCCATATCAGCAGGCAGATTCTCCAGCTGCAGTAGACATTTCTGGAGAGAATCAAAGCTCTTATATCCCAGTCCAAAGTTCCAAAGAGAAATTTGAGTTGATAGTGATATGTTTACATATATGCACATATAGCACCACTAAAAATGAGGTATTTAGGCTATCTGAAAACAAACTGAACATCATGACGGCAAACTTAGCTGCTAATAGTTCCTGGCAAACATTAAAATCAATTCAGAGGTCGGGTGCAGTGGCTCACACCTATAATCCCACCACTTTGGGAGGCTGAGGCGGGTGGATCGCCTGAGGTCAGGAGTTTGAGAACAACCTGGCCAACATGGTGGAACCCCTTCTCTAGTAAAAATACAGAAAAATTAGCCAGGCGTGATGGCAGGCACCTGTAATCTCAGCTACTTGGGAGGCTGAGGCAGAAAAATTGCTTGAACCCAGGAGGCGGAGGTTGCCGTGAGCTGTGATTGTGCCACTGTGCTCCAGCCTGGGCGACAGAGCAAGATTCCTTATTAAAAAATTAAAATAGGCCGGGCGCAGTGGCTCACGCCTGTAATCCCAGCACTTTGGGAGGCCAAGGCGGGCGGATCACGAGGTCAGGAGATCGAGACCATCCTGGCTAACACGGTGAAACGCCGTCTCTACTAAAAATACAAAAAAATTAGCCGGGCGTAGTGGCGTGCGCCTGTAGTCCCAGCTACTCGGGAGGCTGAGGCGGGAGAATGGCGTGAACCCGGGAGGCGGAGCTTGCAGTGAGCCGAGATTGCGCCACTGCACTCCAGCCTGGGCGACAGAGACAGACTCCGTCTAAAAATAAATAAATAAATAAAAATAAATAAACAAAAATAAATAAATAAATAAAAAATAAAATTAGCCGGCTGTGGTGGTGTGCGCCTATAGTCCCAACTACTCGGGAGGCTGAGGCAGTAGAATCGCTTGAACATGGGAGGTGGAGCTTGAAGTGAGCTGACATCACGCTACTGCACTCTAGCCTGAGCGACAGAGCGAGACTCTATCTAAAATAAATAAATAAAATAGATTTAGAGACGATGGAAGTGTCCAGAAAATGAGTTAGCTGAGAAATGTAAAAGAAACAAAAAAAGCTTACCAAGCACATTTTTAGTGGCATAAAGTCTGAAAATAGACCGATGTCTTCTAAAAGAACAAATAGGACTCCTTCATTGACCAGTGACAATTACAGAGTAACATCCTGAACTTTAACTTCTATAGTACTTCTGGAGCCCCCTCACTTGCAGTACCTTGGACAGAGATGCGACTGGATCATTTGCCTCAGCAGCTCTTAATTAAGATTCTATCATAGACCCTATGTGTCTGTGAACATGCTCCTCCACTTCCTCATCAAACTGTCCTCTTCATAGTTTTTCCTCTGGATCACTTTGACAACTTAAAATTGTTGTTTTTTGAAATGCAAACATATAATCCAAGAAAAAAAAAGGTAGAAATATTTCCACATTTGAGGCACAGGATTAGTATAATCACTTTCACTGGTTAACTAACCTCCTGATATACAGCCTCTCCTTACTACAGATTTCCTACGCTACTCTTAATAACACTATAGACAGACACTTTCCTCATTCCCTGCTTCAGACTTCTCACTGCTAATCACAGCCTTCTAGACACTTCCCATAATCCTTATAGGAAGAAAAGTTGATTTGCTTTTATTTATCCCGAGCCAGCCTTACATTTACTTCCTTTCTTCCTTTGTCATGTACCAGTTCCAAACCAACTCCTTCCAGTAGCAGATGTCGTTGGATATCTACCCAGAAACCATTTTCCTGTTGCTCCATGCTGGCAGAGCTCTAGTTTTGGCTACATTTTGAATGGTCTAAGCCAGTGGTTCTCAAACTTTTGGTCTCAGGGCCTCTTGACACTCTTAAAAATGGATAAGAACCTCAAAGAATTTTTGTGGGCTATGCACAGTGGCTTATGCCTGTAATCCCAGCAATTTAGGAGGTCAACATGGATCACTTGATTCCAGGAGTTTTAGACCAGTCTGAACAACATAGTGAGACCCTGTCTCTACAAAAAATAAAAAAATTAGCCAGACGTGGTGGCACATACCTGTAGACCCAGCTATTCAGGAAGCTGAGGTGTGAGGATCACCTGAGCCCAGGAAGTCAAGGCTGCAGTGAGCCATGATTGTACCACTGCACCCCAGTCTGGATGACAGAGTGAGACCGTTTCTCAAAAATAACAACAAAAAGAAAAAATGCAAAAAAAAAAAAAAATCCAGTGGTGGAGCTGAGGGGAAATAAATGAAACAAAATTGGTCATAAGTGGATCAGATTGTTGAAGCTAAGTAAGGGGTACATAGGGGTTTAGTTTTTGTTTTTGTATTTGTTTTACAGACAGAGTCTCGCTCTGTCACCCAGGTTGATGTGCAATCATGTGATCATAGCTCACTGCAACCTCAAACTCTTGAGCTCAAGCAACCCTCCCTCCTCAGCCTCCTGAATAGTTAAGACTACAGATGTGCACCACTGGGCTAATTTATTTAAAACTTTTTTGGGGGAGGGGGCTGGGTGCGGTGGCTCATACCTGTAATCGAAACACTCTGGGAGGCCGAGATGGGCAGATTGTTGGAGCTTAGGAGTTCCAGATCAACCTGGATAACATGGCAAAACTCTGTCTCTACAAAAAGTACAAAAATTAGCTGGCCATGATGGTGCACGCCTGTAGTCCCAGCTACTCAGGAGGATCATGAGCCTGGGAGGCAGAGGTTGCAGTGAGCCAAGAGTCTGCCACTGCACTCCAGCTTGGGTGACAGAGTGATACTCTGTTTCAAAAAAAAAACAAAAAACACAAAATTTGTGTATATATTTTTCTGTAGAGACGGGGTCTGGCTATGTTGATCAGGCTGGTCTGGAACTTCTTGGCTCAAGCAATCTTCCTGCCTTGGCCTCCCAAGGTGCTGGGATTACAGGCATGAACCACTGCACACAGATTTCAGGATTTTAAAAAAATTATTCTTTTGGCTGGGCATGGTGGCTCACACCTGTAATCCCAGCACTTTGGAAGGCCGAGGCAGGCGGATCACCTGAGGTTGGGAGTTCGAGACCAGCCTGACCAACATGGAGAAACCCGTCTCTATTAAAAATACAAAATTAGCTGGGCTTGGTGGTGGGTGCCTGTATCTCAGCTACTTGAGAGGCTGAGGTAGGAGAATCGCTTGAACCTGGGAGGCGGAGGTTGGGGTGAGCCAAGATCACGACATCACTCTCCAGCATGGGCAACAAGAGTGAAACTTCGTCTCAAAAATAAAATAATTCTTTTGCATATGTTTGAAATTTCTCATATGAAACTTAAAAAATTGTCTTAAAAACTGGCCAGGATTGGTGGCTCACACCTGTAATCCCAGCACTTTGGGAGGCCAAGGTGGGCAGATCACTTGAGGTCAGGAGTTCAAGATCAGCCTGGTCAACATGGTGAAACCCCATCTCTACTAAAAATACAAAATATTAGTCAGATGTGGTGGCATGCACCTGTAATCCCAGTTACTTGGGACGCTGAGGAAGGAGAATTGCTTGAGCCTGGGAGGCAGAGGTTGCAGTGAGCCTGGGTGGCAGAGCAAGACTCTGTCTCAAAAAGAAAAATTAAAAAATTACCTGAGGTTAACATCTTTTTTTTTTTTTTTTTTTTTTTTGAGATGGAATCTTGCTCTGTCGCCCAGGCTGGAGTGCAGTGGCGCGATCTTGGCTCACTGCAAGCTCTGCCTCCCGGGTTCACGCCATTCTCCTGCATCAGCCTCCGGAGTAGCTGGGACTACAGGCACCCATCACCACACCCAGCTAATTTTTTTTGTATTTTTAGTAGAGACGGAGTTTCACCATGTTAGCCAGGATGGTCTCAATCTCCTGACCTCGTGATCCACCCGCCTTGGCCTCCCAAAGTGCTGGGATTACAGGCATGAGCCACAGTGCCCAGCCAAAAGCATTCTTAACTTAAGCTATGCCAAAACAGGCCAGTGACTGAAGTTGGCCTTTGGTCTACAGTTTGCTCACCCCATCCGAGGGAAAGTCACTTTCTTTGACTCATTATTGATTAAAGACCTAAATTTTGAAGTACATGTAAAATTGTAGATTTTTGTCCAATAGAGGTAAAAATAATTTTTGTCTCGAAGAAGTATAATACCAAAGTTTATTGTCACATATTAACCAGTTGTGTCTGTAACTGAACAATCTGTTTTTTGTTGTTGTTTTGTTTTTGTTTTTGTTTTTGTTTTTGAGATGGAGTTTCACTCTTGTTGCCCAGGCTGGATTGCAATGGTGCGATCTCAGCTCACTGCAACCTCTACCTCCCAGGTGCAAGCGATTCTCCTGCCTCAGCCTCCCGAGTAGCTGGGATTACAGGCGCCTGCCACAAAACCTGGCTAATGTTTTGTATTTTTAGTAGAGACAGAGTTTCACCATGTTGGCCAGGCTGGTCTTGATCTCCTGACCTCGGGTAATCCATCAGCCTCGGCCTCCCAAAGTGCTGGGATTACAGGCGTGAGCCACTAGGCCCGGCCAACAATCTGTTTTTTAAAATTAAACCTTTAGGCCAGGTGCGGTGGCTGATGCCTGTAATCCAAGCACTTTGGGAGACTGAGGCAGGAGGATCACCTGAGGTCAGGAGTTCAAGACCAGCCTGGCCAACATGGCAAAACCTTATCTCTACTAAATATTCAAAAATTAGCTGGACATGGTGGCGGGCACCTGTAGTCCCAGCTACACAGGAAGCTGAGGCAAGAGAATCGCTTGAACCTGGGAGGCACAGGTTGCAGTGAGCTGAGATTGCATCATTGCACTCCAGCCTGGGTGACAGAGCAAGACTCCATTTCAAAAAAAAAAAAAATTAATTGGCCGGATGCGGTGGCTCACGCCTGTAATCCCAGCACTTTAGGAGGCCGAGGTGGGCGGATCACAAGGTCAGGAGTTCGAGACCAGCCTGGCCAAAATGGTGAAACCCCATCTCTACTAAAAATACAAAAATTAACTGGGTGTGGTGGCATGCGCCTGTAATCCCAGCTACTTGGGAGGCTGAGGCAGGAGAATTGCTTGAACCCGGGAGGTGGAGTTTGCAGTGAGCCAAGATTGTGTCACTGCACTTCAGCCTGGGCAACAGAGCAAGACTCTGTCTCAAAAAATAATAATACTTAAACTTTTAATTTTGAGATTTTTATAGTTTTACATTCAGCTGCAAGAAATAATAATGAGGCTGGGTGCAGTGGCTCAAGCCTGTAATCCCAACAAGTTCAGAGGCCGAGGCGGGTGGATTACTTGAGCCCAGGAATTTGAGACCAGACTGGCCAACATATTGAAACCCCTTCTCTACATAAAATACAAAAAATAGCCAGGTGCGGTGGTGCACGCCTGTAGTCCCAGCTACTCAGGAGGCTGAGGTGGGAGGATCACTTGAGCCTGAGATGTCAAGGCTGCAGTGAGCCGAGGTTGCACCACAGCACTCCAGCCTGGGCAAAAGGATGAGACCCTATCTCATAAGAAGAAGAAGAAAAATAAGAAAAAAAAGAAAGATAAAGAATCTTACTTAAAATTTCCCTTTTTTTTTTTTTTTTCCTGAGACGAAGTCTCGCTCTGTTGCCAGGCTGGAGTGCAGTGGCAGGATCTCGGCTCACTGCAACCCCCGCCCCCCAGGTTCAAGCAATTCTCCTGTGTCAGCCTCCCAAGTAGCTGGGACTACAGGCACGTGCCACGACACTCAGCTAATTTTTGTATTTTTAGTAGAGACAGGGTTTCACCATGTTGGTCAGAATAGTCTCGATCTCTTGACCTCGTGCTCTGCCCACCTTGGTCTCTCTAAGTGCTGGGATTACAGTTGTGAGCCACCAAGCCCAGTCTAAAATTTCCCTTTTTCAGGAAAATACTCATTTTGTCAAATACCCTTTGAACTGGCTTTATTATCTTGTTGTTTCTTCATTAATAAGTTGAGAAAACATCTTTGACATGTGTTCATTTTCATTTGTGAGCCATATTTTTAACTCTTTGAAAATAATATTGTCATAATTATTTAGCCCACAGATAATTTGTTCCTACAGTTAGTTTCCAGTTTGGCTCAGTTTTTTATTTAGAAAATTGTATCTGATTAGGAAAGATCAGACCAACTTTTCTCTTCCCCAATCAAAAGAAATGTAATTCACTTTATTTGAGTTTCACAGTGATGATAACATGTTCTGTCTTCAGTGGCAGGTTATTTCTGTGAAATATTTTCGGTGAGATAAGAAGAAAGAAGTTTTAAAATAGCAGATACCACTGGCTCTTTTTTCTTTTTCCTTTTTTAAATGTGAGATGGGGGCTGGGTGTGGTGGCTCATGCCTACAATCCCAGCAATTTGGGAGGCCAAGGTGGGAGGATGGTTTGAGCCTAGGAGTTCAAGACCAGCCTACATAACATAGTGAGACCATGTCTCTACAAAAAATGAAAAAATTGGCCAGGCGCGGTGGCTCACGCCTGTAATCCCAGCACTTTGGGAGGCTGAGGCGGGTGGATCACGAGGTCAGGAGATTGAGACCATCCTGGCTAACACGGTGAAACCCCGTCTCTACTAAAAACACAAAAAAATTAGCCGGGCGTGGTGGCAGGTGCCTGTAGTCCCAGCTACCTGGGAGGCTGAGGCAGGAGAATGGCATGAACCCAGGAGGCAGAGCTTGCAGTGAGCCGAGATCACGCCACAGCACTCTAGCCTGGGTGACAGAGCGAGACTCTGTCTCAAAAACAAACAAACAAAAAAAAGTTAGCTGGGTGTGTGCTGTGGGCCTGTAGTTCCAGCTACTGGGGAGGAGGAAGTGGGAGGATCGGTTGAGCCGGGGATGTCAAGGTTACAGTGAGCTGTAATCACACCACTGCACTCCAGCCTGGGTGACAGAGCAAGACCCTTTCTCACAAAAAAAAAAAAAAAAAAAAAAAAGATGGAGCGTTGCTATGTTGCCCAGGCTGGAGTGCAGCATCTATTCACAGGTGCAATCCCACCACTGATCAGCATGGGAGTTTTGACCTGCTCCATTTCCAACCTGAGCCGGGTCATCCCTCCATAGGCAAGGCTCTTTTTCATTTTTAAAGTAATTATTCTGTCTGGGTGAGATGGCTCATGCCTGTAATCTCAGCACTTTGGGAGGCCGAGGCAGGAGGATTCCTTGAGCCCAGGAGTTCAAGACCAGCCTGGGCAACAAAGCAAGACCCCATCTCTACAAAAAAATAAAAAAAGTTAGCCAGGTGTGATGGTGTGCACCTGTAATCCCAGCTACTCAGGAGGATGAGGTAGGAGGATTGCTTGAACCTGGGAGGTCAAGGCTGCAGTGAGCTGTGATTGCATCCCTGTGCTACTGCCTAAGTAACAGAGTGAGACACTGGCTTAAAAAATAAACAAACAAATAAATAATGATTCCAACAGTATATCAGCATAAATGTTTATGAGTAACTGGAAAAAAAACCTATGTGTCCTTCAGACTTCAATTTTTTGCTTCTAGTGAGAAGCAGGTGGTTAATAATAGAAATCATCACCTAACGGAAAAGGTATGTTTTCTCAGATGGAAAGGTTAGAAGTCATTTAGTCTAGTACACTGTTTCTGAGCATGACTAGAATAAACCTCCTTTAAAAAAAAACTATAAAACTGCGGGGCACGGTGGCTCACACCTGTAATCCCAACAGTTTGGGAACTGAGGCAGGTGGATCACTTGAGGTCAGGAGTTTGAGACCAGCCTGGCCAACATGGTGAAACCCCATCCCTACTAAAAATAAAAAGATTAGCCAGGCATGGTGGTGGGTGCCTGTAATCCCAGCTACTCAGGAGGCTGAGGCCAGAGAATCACTTGCACCTGGGAAGTGGAGGTTGCAGTGAGCCGAGATCGCGTCACTGCACTCCAGCCTGGGCAAAAAGAGCAGATCTCTGTCTCAAAAACCAAACAAAACAAAAAAACCACAAAACAAAATTTTATTATGTGAATCTCAACATACACATAAATAAAGACAATACTATAACAAACCCCATGTAACCACCATTTAAATCCTGTATTAGCAATATTTGGCAAATCTCGTTTCATCCATATTCATCATTTCCCCTAACTTGGCAAATCCCAGATATCTTAGAATTTCATCATTAAATACTTCAGTCTGTATGTGTAAGAGATACTGCTATGGTCTGAATGTTTGTGTCCCCCCAAAAATTCATATCTTGAAGCCTAATCAGCTGAGCGCAATGGTGTGCACCTGTAATCCCAGCACTTTGGGAGGCTGAGGCTGGGGGATCGCTTGACTCCGGGAGTTTGAGGTTGCAGCGAGCAGTAATCATGCCACTGCACTCTAGCTTAAGTGCAGAGCAAGACCCTCTCTTAAAAAAAAAAAAAAAGAAAAAGAAAAAAGAAATCTAATCACGAATGTGATGGTATATGATGGTATATATTAGGGTTCTCTAGAGGGAAATAGGATAGATGTACATATGAAAGGGAGTTTATTTTACTTTATTTTTATTTATTTATTATTTTTTTGAGACGGGTCTCCCTCTGTCGCCCAGGCTGGAGTGCACTGGCGCGATCTTGGCTCACTGCAAGCTCCACCTCCCGGGTTCACGCCAATCTCCCGTCTCAGCCTCCCGAGTAGCTGGGACTACAGGCGCCCACCACCACGCCTGGCTAATTTTTTTTGTATTTTTAGTAGAGACGGGGTTTCAACGTGTTAGCCAGGATGGTCTCGCTCTCCTGACCTCGTGATCCACCCGCCTCCGCCTAACAAAGTGCTGGGATTACAGGCGTGAACCACTGTGCCCGGTCATGAAAGGGAGTTTTTAAAGGAGTATTGACTCACACGATCACCAGGTGAAGTCCCACAATAGGTCGTCTGCAAGATGAGCGAGGAAACCAGCAGTGGTTCAGTCCAAATCCCCAAATCTCAAAAGTACGGAAGGCCACAGTGCAGTCTTCATCTGTGGCCAAAGGTCCGAGAGCCCTTGGCAAACCACTGGTGTAAGTCCAAGAGTCCAAAAGCCAAAGAACTTGGAGTCTAATGTTCAAGGGAAGAAGGCATCCAGCATGGAACAAAGATGAAGGCCGGAAGACTCAGCAAGTCAGCTCATTCCACCTTCTTCTGCCTGCTTTTTCTAGCAGTGCTGGCAGCTGATTGGATGGTGCCCACCCAGATTGAGGATGGGTCTGCCTCTCTCTGTCCACTAACTCAAATGTTAAGCTCCTCTGGCAACACCCTCGAAGACACACCCAGAAACAATACTTTGCATCCCACAATCCAATCAAGTTAACACTTAATATTAACCATTACATATTATTAGAAGATAGAGCCTATGGGAGGTGATTAGTACCTGACGACTTCACCCTCATGAGTGGGGCTAGCTTCCTTATTAAAAAAAGCTCCCAAAGGCTGGGTAAAATGGGTTACACCTGTAATCCCAGCACTTTGGGAGGCTGAGGCAGGAGGATCACTTGACCCAGGAGTTTGAGACCAGCCTGGGCAACAAAAATTAGCTGGCATGGTGTACATGCCTATAGTCCCAGCTACTACTCAGGAGGCTGAGGTGGGAGGATCACTTGAGCCCAGGAGGTCAAGACTGTAGTGATCACGCCACTGCATGCCAGCCTGGGTGACAGAGTGAGACTGTCTCAAAAACAAAACAAAACAAATCAAAACCCAAAAACCCAGAGAGCTACTTTCCCTCTTTCCCTCTTCAACAACATGAGGATACAGGGAGAAGGTATCATTTTTTTTTTTTTATACGGAGTCTTGCTCTGTTGCCCAGGCTGGAGTGCAGTGGCGCGATCTCAGCTCACTGCAAGCTCCACCTCCTGGGTTCACGACATTCTCCTGCCTCAGCCTCCCAAGTAGCTGGGACTACAGGCTCCTGCCACCACGCCAGGCTACTTTTTTGTATTTTTAGTAGAGACGGGTTTTCACTGTGTTAGACAGGATGATCTCGATATTCTGACCTCGTGATCCGCCCATCTTGGCCTCTCAAAGTGCTGGGATTACAGGCGTGAGCCACTGCGCCCAGCCAAGAAGGTACCTTTTATGAACAAGGAAATGGACCCAGACTCTCATGAGACACTGAATCTGTCAATGCCTTTGCTTTTGGCTTTTGTATCCGGAACTGTGAAAAACAAATTTCTGTTGTTTATACTCAGTCTATGGTATTGAGTTATAGCAGCCCAAATGGACTAAGACAGACACATTTTAACATTACAATACCATTCTCACACCAAAAAATAGTAATAATTTCTTAACAGAATCTATTATACAGTCAGTATTTACATATGCCCCAGGTGTCCAGTATCTTTTTATAAATGACTCAAAACAGGATCTAAACAAAGACTGTGTATTTGGTTGAATTTTTTCTTTTAAATGGAGTCTTGCTCTCTCACCCAGGCTGGAGTGCCAGTGGCGTGATCTTGGTTCACTGCAACCTCTGCCTCCCGAGTTCAAGCAATTCTCCCGCCTCAGCTTCCGGAGTAGCTGGGACTACAGGCACCCGCCACCACGCCCAGCTAATTTTTATACTTTTAGTAGAGACAGGGTTTCACCATGTTGGCCAGGCTGGTCTCGAACTCCTGGCCTTAAGTGATTCTCCCACCTTGGCCTCCCAAAGTGCTGGGATTACAAGCATGAGCCACCACTCCCGAACTGATTTTTTTCTTTTTAAAACATTACTTAAAAAAAAACAGATTTAAGGTATAATTGACATACAATAAGTGGTACATCTTAAGGGTGTACAATTTGAGAACTTTGGACATACTATTCACCTGAGAAATTGTTAACACAACCAAGATGATGAACATATCCATCACCTCCAAAGTTTTCTCATACCCTGTGGTAATCTCTCCTAATCTCACCATATGATCCCATCTCTAAACACGTACTGATCTACATTTTACCCTTTTTTGATTGCTTTATGGTAGAATTTGCTTTATTGTGGTGGCCTGGAATTGGACCTGCAATATCTCCGAGGAATGCCTGTATGCTGGGCAAAAAAAGCCAGACAAAAAAGGGTATATATTCTATTATTCTATGTTTAGAAAATTTTAGAAAAGTAAACTAATCTATAGTGACAAAAAGTAGTCAGTAGATCCTATCTCAAGACACCACTTTCTTTGCTCATCCATAAGAAGGAACTCCTCATCTATTCAAGTTTGATCATGAGATTGCAGAAATTCAGCTACATCTTATGGCTCACTTTCTTTCTTCCTTCCTTCCCCCCTCCCTCCTTCCCTCCCTCTCTTCCTTCCCTTCCTTCCTTCCTTCCTTCCTTCCTTCCTTCCTTCCTTTCTGTCTTTCTTTCTCTCTCTCTCTCTCTCTCCCCCCCACCCCCCAACTTTCTTTTTTTCTATTTTTTTTTTTTTTGACAGAGTCTCACTCTGTTGCCCAGGCTGGAGTGCAATGGCGCGATCTTGGCTCACTGCAACCTCTGCCTCCTGCGTTCAAGCAATTCTCCTGCCTCAGCATCTGAAGTAGCTGGGATTAACAGGCGAGCACCACTATGCCTGGCTCATTTTTTAATTTTTTTTTAGTAGAGATGGGGTTCACCATGTTGGCCAGGCTGGTCTCGAACTCCAGACCTCAGGTGATCTGCCCGCCTTGGCCTCCCAAAGTGCTGGGATTATAGGTGTGAGCCACTACACCCGGCCCAGGCTCTACTTCTAATCCTTGTTCTCTCACAATCTGTACCACATCTGCATTTACTTCCCCCACTGAAGTCTTGTACCTATACTCAACCACGAGAGTTGGAGTCAACCTCCAAACTTCCATTAATGGTGATATTTTGACATCCTCCCGTGAATCATGGATGTTCTTCATGGCATTTAGAATGAGTGAATCCCTCCCAGAAGGTTTTCAATTTACTTTACTCAGATTCATCAGAGGAATCACTAACTATGGCAGCTATAGCCTTACAAAAGATAGTTCTTTTTTTTTTTTTTTTTTTTTTTTTGAGATGGAGTCTTGCTCTGTTGCCCAGGCTGGAGTGCAGTGGCACAATCTTGGCTTACTGCAAGCTCCACCTCCCAGGTTCACGCCATTCTCCTGCCTCAGCCTCCTGAGTAGCTGGGACTACAGGCGCCCGCCACCATGCCCGGCTAATTTTTTGTATTTTTAGTAGAGACGGGGTTTCACTGTGTTTGCCCGAATGGTCTCAATCTCCTGACCTTGTGATCTGCCTGCCTCGGCCTCCCAAAGTGCTGGGATTACAGGTGTGAACCACTGCACCCGGCCCAAAAGATATTTCTTAAATAATGAGACTTGAGGCCGGCATGGTGGCTCACGCCTATAATCCCAGCACTTTGGGAGGCCAGGCCAGGCAGATCACCTAAGGTCAGGAGTTCGAGACCAGCCTGGCCAACATGGTGAAACACTGTCTCTACTAAAAATAGAAAAATTAGCCAGGCATGGTGGCAGGTACCCATAATCCCAGCTACTTGGGAGGCTGAGGCAGGAGAATTACTTGAACCTGGGAGGCAGAGATTGCAGTGAGCCGAGATCACGCCATTATACTCTAGTGTGGGAGACAGGGCGAGACTCCATCTCAAAATAAATAAATAAAATAATAGTAAGAATAATGAAACTTGAAAGTCAAAATTACTCCTTGATCCATGGGCCACAGAATGTATGTTATATTAGCAGGCATGAAAATGGGTTTACATGTAAATTTCCACTAGAGTTCCTGGGTGACCAGGTGCGTTGTCAATGAGTGATAATACTTTGAAAGGAATCTTTTTTTTCTGAATAGTAGGTCTCAAGCAGTTGGCATAAAATATTCAGTAAATCATGCTGTAAACAGATGTGCTGTCATCCAGGCTTTGTTGTTCTACTTATAGAGCACACGCAGATCAGATTTAGCATAATGCTTAGGATTAAAAGCCCTAGGATTTTCAGAATGGTGAATGAGCATTGGCTTCAACTTAAGGTCACCAGCTGCGTTAGGCCCTATTGAGAAAGTCAGCCTGCCCTTTGACGCCTTGAAGCCAGGCACTGATTTCTCCTCTCTAGCTAGGAAAGTCCTAGATGGCATCTTCTTCCAAAAGAAAGCTGTTTGTCTACATTGAAAGTCTGCTTAATGTAGTCATCTTCAGCCGGGTGCAGTGGCTCACGCCTGTAATCCCAGCACTTTGGGAGGCCAAGGTGGGTGAATCATGAGGTCAGGAGTTCGAGACCAGCCTGGCCAACATGGTGAAACCCCGTCTGTACTAAAAATACAAAAAATTATCTGAGTGTGGTGGTGGACCTGTAATCCCAGCTACTCAGGAGGCTGAGGCAGGAGAATCACTTGAACCCGGGAGGCAGAGGTTGCAGTGAGCTGAGATCACGCCACTGCACTCCAGCCCAGGTGACAGTGTGAGATTCCATTTCGAAAAAAAAAATGTAGTCATCTTCATCAATGATCTTCATTAGGTCTTCTGGATAACTTGCTGCAGCTTGTACTTGTTTCACCTTGTATTTTCACTATGTAGATAGATGCCTTCTTTCCTTAAACCTCATGAACCATCCTCTGCCAGCTTCAAACTTTTCTAGCTTCCTTACCTCTCACAGTCTTCATAGAGTTGGAGAGAGTGGCTGCGTGTGGTGGCTCGTGCCTGTAATCCCAACACTTTGGGGCACTGATGTGGGCAGATCTCTTGAGCCCAGGAGTTTGAGACCAGCCTGAGCAACATAGTAAAACCCTGTCTCTAATTTAAATTATTGAAAAAAAAAAAAAGTATTGGCCTTGCTCTGGATTAGGTTTTGGCTTATGAGAACATTGTGGCTGGTTTGGTCTTCTGTTTGGACCACTCAGGCTTTCTCCATTTCAGCAATAAGGCTGTTTTGCTTTATGATTCATGTGCTTACTGGAGTAGCAATTTTAACTTCTTTCAAAAACTTTTCCTTTGCATTCACAATTTGGCTGCGTAATGCAAGGAAGGGGCCTAGCTTTTGGCCTATCTCAGCTTTCAACATGCCTTTCTCACTAAGATTAATCATTTCTAGCTTTTGATTTAAAGTGAGAGGCATGTAACTCTTTCCACTTGAACACTTAGGGGCCACTGTGGTGTTATTGACTGGCCTAATTTCAATATCTTTGTGTCTCAGGGAATAGGAAAGTCCAAGTAGAGAAAGAGAGATGGGGGAATGGCCAGTTGGTGGAACAGTCAGACCACATACAACGTTTATTGATTAAGTTCAATGGCTTATGTGGTGCAGTTCATTGTGCCTCAAAACAATTACAATAGTAACATGAAAGATCACTGGTAACAGATTACCATGCAGTTATAATAATACTGAAAAGCTTAACATATTATGAGAATTACCAAAATGTGACATAGAGACATGAAGTGAGCACATGCTGTTGGAAAAATGGCACTGATCAACTTCCTTAATGTACGGTTGCCACAAACCTTCAATTTGCAAAAAATACAATATGTCTGCTGCCTGAGGAACATAGTGAGACCCCATCCCTAAAAAGCAAAACAAAATAAGTCATATAATGTCTGCAAAGTACAATAAAGCAAAGTGCAATAAAATTAGGTATGCCTATATCATAAAACAGAAATAAAGGAAATATAGTAGTTACCAGAGGCTTGGAAGAGTAAGGGAAGGGGGAATAGGAAGAGAATGGTTAATGGATGCAAAATTACAGTTAGAAGGGGGGAATAGGCCAGGTGCGGTGGCTCACACCTGTATTCCTAGTACTTTGGGAGGCCAAGGTGGGTGGATCACCTGAGATCAGGAGTTCAAGACCAGCCTGGCCAACATGGCAAAAACCCATCTCTACTAAAAAATACAAAAATTAGCTCAGTGTGGTGGTGCACACCTGTATTTCCAGCTACTCAGGAGGCTGAGGCAGGAGAATTGCTTGAACTCAGGAGGTGGAGGTTGCAGTGAGCTGAGATCACCCCATTGCACTCCCAGCCTGGGCAACAGAGTGAGACTCCATCTCAAAAAAAAGAAAAGGAGGAATAAACTCTAGCATCCTATAGCACAGCTGGGTGACTATAGTTAACAACATTGTTTTTGTGTATATATATTATTTATTTATTTATTTATTTTTGAGACAGAGTCTCACTCTGTTGCCCAGGTGCAACCTCTGCCTCCCGGGCTCAAGCGATTCTCCTGCCTCAGCCTCTTGAGTAGCTGGGATTATGGGTGTGCACCACCACGCCCAGCTAATTTTTGTATTTTGAGTAGAGACGGGGTTTCACCATGTTGGTCAGGCTGGTCTTGAACTCCTGACTTTGTGATCCACCTGTCTCAGCCTCCCAAAGTGCTGGGATTATAGGCATGAGCCACCACGCCCGGCCGTATATTTTTAAATAGCCACAAGAGAGAAATTTGAATGTTTCCAACACAGCAATATGATCAATGTTGAAGGTGATGGATATCCCAGTTACCTCAATTTGACCTCTAAACATATGCATATATTGAAATATCACATGTACCCCCGTAAGTTTGTACAATTATGTATCAATTAAATTTTTTTAATCTTTAAAAAAGGAAATAAGCATTTCAATATGTACATATCAAGATATGACTATGCAAGAAGGCTTAATGAAATAATCAGATACTTGCGTCTTCACATAGCATCATAGTAAATGTGCCAGCTACAAGCACAGAGTAATACAGGTGTGTTGTATAGTAATGAGTCAATTATCCCACATGGTAGTGATATAGATGTTATGATTGTCTGCAATGGTAGAAAACCCTTGGTAAAGTTCAAGACATCATAAAGTCAAATCCTCCTTTCATATATATAATTGTATTCTTGGAAAAATCAGAATATGTTAACAATCTGCCAAAGGTCCCTGTATTACAGATTTTTTTTTTTTTTTGAATCATGGTCTCGCTCTGTCACCCAGGCTGTAGTGCTACAGTGTGATCACAGTTCCCTGTAACCTTGGCCTCCCAGACTCAAGTGATCCTCCTCACTCAGCTTTCTGAGTAGCTAGGACTACAGGTGTACATGCCACCACGCCCAACTAAGTTTTTATATTTATTTTTATTTGTAGAGATGAGGTCTCCCTATGTTGTCCAGGCTGGTCTTCAACTTCTGGGCTCAAGCAATTCTCCCACCTCAGCCTCCCAAAGTGCTGGTATTACAAGTGTGAGCCACCATGCCCTGCCTGCAGATGTCTTATACATTTGATTTCCACCCATTAAAATGACAGTAGTGCTGACCAATCATTGTGACAATCAATAATACTCTCTCCCACCACATTTTCTTCTTCTTTTTTTTTTTTTTTAGACGGAGTCTCACTCTGTCACCCAGGCTGGAGTGCAGTGGCATGATCTCAGCTCACTGCAACCTCTGCTTCCTGGATTCAAGCGATTCCCCTGCCTCAGCCTCCTGAGTAGCTGGAATTACAGGCATGTTCCACTATGCCCAACTAATTTTTGTATTTTTAGTAGAGACGGGGTTTCACCATGTTGGTCAGGCTGGTCTCGAACTCCTCACCTCATGATCTGCCTTCCTTGGCCTCACAAAGTGCTGGGATTACAGGCGTGAGCCACCGCGTCCAGCCCCCAACCACATTTTCAAAATGCTGAGAGTGCAGTTAGAACTTACGTAGAGAGGAAAGAGCACTGACATAGGAGTCAGACAGGAGACAGCTGTTCACTCTAGCCCAATCACTTTACTGTTCTGGGTTTCATTTCGCTCATCTGAAAAATGTAGAACTTGGTCTGTGTAATCACTAAGATCTATTTGATGCTGAGGTAGACCATATATATATATATATTTGTTTGTTTGTTTGTTTTTTGAGAAATAGAGATGATGTCTCACTATGTTGCCCAGGCTGGTGTTGAACTTCTGGGCTCAAGCAATCCTCCTGCCTTGGCCTCACACAGTGCTGGGATTACAGGTGTAAGCCACCGCGCCTGGCCCTATATCTTTCTTATTGCTAGTTGATGAAACAATAACTGCTAAAAGGTATACAGCCATGTCTCCCTCTGCTGGCTGAGTGACATGTCATAAATGCAAACAGAAGATTTTTAATGTTTTCAGTGCAAGAGCTGTCATCTTTTAGGATTTATTGACCAACACAACATGTTGCCAAGTGATAAATGTAGACAGCATTTGTTTCAAAGCTTGGATACCATCTTCATTTTCACAAATAGATATATATCTATCACAACAAAGTCTCTATATTCAGGTACTCACTATCTAAATTAAATTTGGAAAAGCAGATCAGACTGCACATGAAACTGACATACTGTGTTGATCAAGGGCTTTTGGCTGGAATTATTTGGCTCATTCCCTCAGCCATCTCCAGGGGATAATTATCTCCAAAGAGGGAATTTCCTGTTGGAGTTAACAGACTTTCAAGAAGTATTCGGCAGATCATTAATCTTTTAATGGCTAAACCGTGAAAAAAATTAGTTACATATTAAATAGTTTTAAAATACTGTTACCCCCAGCTTCAGACTTCCTACAGTGTGCTATGGACTGAATGCTTGTGTCCTCCCAAATTCATATGTTGCAATCCCAATCCCCAATGTAATGGTGTTTGGAGATGGGGCCTTTGGGAGGTAATTAGGTCATGAGGATGCAGCCCACATGATGGGGCTAGTGCCCTTATAAGAAGAGCCATGAGAGAGCTTGCTTTCTCTCTCTCTGCCATCTGAGCACACAGTAAGAAGATGGCCACCTGGGCCAGGCACAGTGGCTCACGTCTGTAGTCCCAGCACTTTGGGTGGCTGAGGCGGGTGGATCAACTGAGGCCAGGAGTTCGAGACCAGCCTGGCCAACATGGAGAAACCCTGTCTGTATTAAAAATACAAAAATTAGTCGGGCGTGGTGGCGTGCGCCTGTAATTCCAGCTACTCTGGAGGCTGAGGCAGGAGAATCACTCCAACCCGGGGAGTGGAGGTTGCAGTGAGCCAAGATCGTGCCACTGCACTCCAGCCTGGGCGACAGAGTGACACTCTGTCTCAAAAACAAACAAAACTAAACTAAACAAAAAAACAAACAAACAAAGAGATAGCCATCTCCAAACCAGAAGGAGGGCCTTTACCAGGACGGGACCGTGCTGGCACTCGGATTTTGAACGTTCTCTGGACTGTGAGGTATAAAATTCTGTTGTTTAAGCCACCCAGTCTATGGTATTGTTATAGCAGCCCAAACTGATGAAGACAAATGAGTTTCCCTCTTTCCTGAATTAGTCTAATTATTACTACTATTATTATGGTTTGTATTTTTGTAGGGTACTTTAATTGTTTTGGGAAAAAAATAAGTTATGTGTGTATATATATATTTTTATTTATTTATTTATTTTTTGAGATGGAGTCTTGCTCTGTTGCCCAGGCTGGAGTGCAGTGGCATGATCTCGGCTCACTGAAAGCTCCGCCTCCCAGGTTCACGCCATTCTCTCGCCTCAGCCTCCCAAGTAGCTGGGACTACAGGTGCCCGCCACCACACCCGGCTAATTTTTTGTATTTTTAGTAGAGACGGGGTTTCACCGTGTTAGCCAGGATGGTTTTGATCTCCTGACCTTGTGATCCGCCTGTCTTGGCCTCCCAAAGTTCTGGGATTACAGGCGTGAGCCACCGCACCCGGCCTTATTTTTATTTTTTGAGACAGAATCTCGCTCTGTCACCCAGGCTGGAGTGCAGTGGTGCAATCTCAGCTTACTGCAACCTCCGCCTCCTGGCTTCAAGTGATTCTCCTGCCTCAGCCTCCTGAGTAGCTGGGACTACAGGTGTGCGCCACCATGCCCAGCTAATTTTTGTATTTTGAGTAGAGACAAGGTTTCATCAAGTTGGCTAGGCTGGTCTTGAACTCCTGACCGCAAGTGGTCCAACCGCCTCGGCCTCTCAAAGTGCTAGGATTACAGGCATGAGCCACCGTGCCAGGCCAAGTTCTATATTATTTTAGAGCTATTTTTAAATTACAGTTATCCATGCAAGGTTAAGAAAAAAAGGGCGGGGGTAGAAAGAACTCAAGTCACACTGAGGTGCAGAAATGAAAAATGAAAGTCTCTCCTCCCCCCACACATTACCAGTCCACATCCAGAATCAATCACCATTCATAGTTTCTGGTTTTAATTCATAATCATCGTAATAGTAAATATTATCCTTTCTTGGCATTACTTTTGTATGCTAATTTATCAAGTTTGGGCACTGTATTTTTTACAAATTATTATTATTAAAGAATCCACTTGTATGACAGTGATGAAGCCCAGGCTGAGTTTGGGCATAAGTACATCCCACTCAGGATTTTATAGTTATAATCCCTGTCTTCTCTCTAGACCTCAACTGAAAACCCAGACTCATGAGGCCTCAATCCCTGATGAGCCTAGGTTTTCAGTTGAGGCCGTCCTATACTTGGTACACGCCAAAGGCAACCATGCAGGAGGCTTTTTCAGAGAAAACAACTTTGTCTTCCCAAAAGACAAATGCTCCCCTTTGCTTTATGAGGCAGAGAGCAACCCCAAACCACGGACAGGTTGGGGCCTACACAGCCCTCAATTAATTTATCAACTTTGGACTGTATTTTTCACTCACTGCCATATAAGATAAACGATTTATTACACTTGTAATATATCCCCTTAATTCTTTCCATAGACCTCCCAGTGATTCTAGTTGGCTCCTATTTTACTTCTAATGGTTGTCTTTTTTTTGCCTTTAAATATTATATGATATCATCTATTTCTTTTCTTTTTTTTTTCTTTTTTTTTTTTTTATTTTTGAGATGGAGTTTCGCTCTTGTCGCTCAGGCTGGAGTGCAGTGGCGCCATCTCAGCACACTGCAATATCTCCCTCCTGGGTTCAAGTGATTCTCCTGCCTCAACCTCCCGAGTACCTGGGATTACAGGCGCCCACCACCATGCCTGGCTAATTTTTTGTATTTTTAGTAGAGATGGGATCTCACCATCTTGGGCAGGCTGGTCTCAAATTCCTGACCTCAGGTGATCCACCCACCTCGGCCTCCCAAAGTGCTGGAATTACAGGCATGAGCCACTGCGCCCGGCTAAGTTAATGCATTTATTCTTGTCTTGTCTTGTCTTGTCCTTTCTAGACAGGGTCTTATACTGTTACCCAGGCTGGAGTGCAGTGGCATGATTGCAGCTCACTGCAGCCTCAACCACCTGGGCTCAAGCCATCCTCCCATCTCAAACTCTGGAGTAGCTGGGACTACAGGAATGTGCCACCATGCTTGGCTTATTTTTTATCTGTTGTAGAGATGGGGTCTCACTATGTTTCCAGGTTGGTCTCGAATTCTTGGGCTCAAGCAATCTACCTACCTCTGCCTCCTGAAGTGTTGGGATTACAGGCGTGAGCCACTGCACCTGGCCTGTCTTTATTATTTTTGCCTCCTCCACATTTTTGCTAGTTAAAATATTATCTTACTTGTCAAGACATCATATTTATATGCTGTATTTATAGTTCTGTCTAAGGTTACATTTTCTCTTTGCTACTGCAGGCCATGAATGTTTCTGCCTCAGGACCTTTCCATTTGCTCTTCATGGCTTACTCTTAATTTAGATCTCAGCTCAGACGCCATCTTCCTGAGAAAGTTATCTAAAAAGGCAACTCTTCCTCTCCACCCCATTCATTCCCTTACTGTTTAATTTTCTTTATAGCATTTATCAAGATTTAATATTATATATTCATGATACAATTAATTATAATTTAAAAAAATTCGGCCAGGCATGGTGGCTCATGCCTGCAATCCCAGCACTTTGGCAGACCAAGGCGGGCAGATCACTTGAGGCCAGGAATTCGAGACCAGCCTGGCCAACATGGCCAAATCCCGTCTCTACAAAAAATACAAAAATTACCTGGGTGCAGTGGCTCAGGCCTGTAATCCCAACACTTTGGGAGGCCAAGGCGGGCAGATCACAAGGTCAGGAGTTCGAGACCAGTCTGGCCAACATAGTGAAACCCTGTCTCTACTAAAAATACGAAAAATTAGCTGGGTGTGGTGGTGTGTGCCTGTAATCCCAGTTACCCAGGAGGCTGAAGCAGGAGAATCATATGAACCTGGAAGGCGGAGGTTGCAGTGAGCAGAGATCGCACCATTGTACTCCAGCCAGGGCTATGGTGCGAGACTCCATCTCAAAAAAAAAAAAAAAAGGCTGGGAGCGGTGGCTTATGCCTGTAATCCCAGCACTTTGGGAGCCTGAGGCAGGCGGATCACGAGGTCAGGAGTTTGAGACCAGCCTGGCCAATATGGTGACACTCGTCTCTACTGAAAATACAAAAACTAGCCTGGCGTGGTGGCGCCCCATGCCCGTAGTCCCAGCTACTCGGGAGGCCAAGACAGAAGAATCGCTTGAACCTGGGAGGTAGAGGTTGCAGTGAGCCGAGATCGAGCCACCACACTCCAGCTTGGGCAACAGAGTGAGACTCCGTCTCAAAAAAAAAAAAAAATTAGCTGGGCATGGTGTCCCTCACCTGTAGTCCCAGCTACTTGGGAGGCTGAGGCAGGAGAATTGCTTGAACCCGGGAGGCAGAGGTTGCAGTGAACCAAGATCGTGCCACTGCACTCCAGCCTGGGCGACTGTGCCTGGGCGACTGAGAAAGACTCCACCACACACACAAAAAAACCCACACCAAAAATAATAATAATAATAATAATAATAATAAATATATATATTTTTGAGATGGAGTCGTGCTCTGTCGCCCAGGCTGGAGTGCAGTGGCATGATCTCAGCTCACTGCGAGCTATGTCTCCCCGTTTCACGCTCCTGCCTCAGCCTCCCAAGTAGCTGGGACTACGGGTGCCCACCACCATGCCCGGCTAATTTTTTTGTATTTTTAGTAGAGACAGGGTTTCAACATGTTAGCCAGGATGGTCTTGATCTCCTGACCTCGTGATCTGCCCACCTCGGCCTCCCAAAGTGCTGGGATTACAGGCATGAGCCACCGCGCCTGGCCCAATAATAATAATTTTTTTAAATTGGTCTTCATCACACATTCCTGGCACAGCACTCCTAAAACCTATAAAATTTCCTTGGTGGGCCAGGTGCAGTGGCTCACGTCTGTAATCCCAGCACTTTGGGAGGCCAAGGCGTGTGAATCATGAGGTCAGGAGATCGAGACCATCCTGGCTAACACTTTGAAACCCCGTCTCTATTAAAAATATAAACAAAAAAAAATGAGCCGGGCGTGGTGGTGGGCGCCTGTAGTCCCAGCTACTTGGGAGGCTGAGGCAGGAGAATGGCATGAACCCGGGAGTCAGAGCTTGCAGTGAGCCGAGATAGTGCCACTGCACTCCAGCCTGGGCGACAGAGCGAGACTCAGTCTCAAAAAAAAAAAAAAAAAAAGAATTTCCTTAGTGAAAAGAGGTAAAAAGAGTGTCTTTGGTAATTCATAAGAAGCCCCTTTCAACTACACCTGAATTTAAGTGAATGAAGTGACTTTGGACAGCCCCTAAATAATCCCAGGATGTGGGCTGGCTGCCAGGGGAACCAGTTATGTGACTTAAAGGCTGAAACTTTCAGCACGCCCCACCCCATGCCCAAAGGAGAGGAGCCAATGATTTAATCAATCATGCTCCATGAAACCCCAAAAGTATTGAATTCTGAAAGCTTCTGAGCTGGTGAACATATTGAGGTGCTGGGAAGGTGTTCTGCCCGGAGGGGCCATGGAACACCTTCCCCTCGAGTCTTGCCCTATGCATTTCTATAGTCAGCTGTTTCTGAGCTGCACCTTTTATAATAAACTGGTAAATGTAAGTAAAGTGTTTCCCTGAGTTCTGCAAGCCATTCTAGCAAATTGTCAAACCCATGGATGTCATAGGAAGCTGTGATGTGTAGCAAGTTGGTCAGAAGTGTGGGAGGTCTGGACTTGCCATTAGCATCTGAAATCGGGGCAGTTTTGTGAGACTGAACTCTTTAATTTGTGGGTTCTGACATTAACTACAGGTGAATAGGCCAGGTGCAGTGGCTCACGCCTGTAATCCCAGCACTTTGGGAGGCCGAGGCGGGTGGATCACGAGGTCAAGAGATTGAGACCATCCTGGCCAACATAGTGAAACCCTGTCTCTACCAAAAATACAAAAATTAGCTGGGTGTGGTCGTGGGCACCTGTAGTCCCACCTACTCAGGAGGCTGAGGTAGGAGAATCACTTAAACCCAGGAGGTGGAGGTTGCAGCGAGCCAAGATTGTGCTACTGCACTCCAGCCTGGCAACAGAGTGAGACTCTGTCTCAAACAACAACAACAACAACAACAACAACAACAACAACAACAACAAAAACTACAGGTGGATAGAGTCAGAATTGCATTACATTGGAGGACAGCCAGCTGGTCAGAGATTGGTCGGTGCAGGAAAAAACCCACACATTTGATGTCAGGAGTGTTGTGTACATTTAGGGAAACAGTGTTTCCCCAGAATATTTAAATGTTATCATAGTTTCCTCACTAGAAAGTAAGTCCATGAGGGAGGTTTTGCTGTGTTCATTGAGTATTCCCATTCCCAAGAACAGTTCCTAGCATGCAATAGGTGCTGAACAAACATTTGTTGAATGAATGAATAAATCCTAAAAGAGGAAAACCAAAGAAATATCATAAAAACTGTGAATATGCAAACATTATTATTATAGAACTAGTGTACTGGAACCAATTAAAATATACATATATAACCCTAGTTTATATTTTTTTGACATCCTGATTCACAAAACCTTAGTTCATGAATAGTTGGCCAATCAAAGGAGAACCTTCCTAATACCAATATCTAACATATTTTTTATTTCCATCATTAATCATATTTTACTGTACTTTAATTACTCTTTTCTTTTTTTTTTTTGAGACAGAATTTCACTCTGTCACCCAGGCTGGAGCGCAGTGCGTGATCTCGGCCCACTGCAACCTCTGCCTCCTGGGTTGAAGTGATTCTCCTGCCTCATCCTCCCGAGTAGCTGGGATTACAGGTGCGTGCCACCACGCCTGGCTAGTTTTTGTATTTTTAGTAGAGATGGCATTGGCCAGGCTGGTCTCAAACTCCTGACCTCAGGTGATCTGCCCATCTCAGCCTCCCAAAGTGCTGGGATTACAGGTGTGAGCGACCGAACCCAGCCTTTTCTTTTTTTTTTTCCCTGAGACAAGGTTGATAGGGTTTGGCTGTGTCCCCACCCAAATCTAATTTTAAATTGTAGTTCCTATAATCCTCACGTGTCGTGGGAGGGAACCGGTAGGAGGTAATTGAATAATGGTTGTGGTTACCCCCATGCTGCAGTTCTCATGACAGCGAGTGAGTTTTCACAAGAGCTGATTTTTTTTTTTTTTTTTGAGACAGATCTAGCTCTGTTGCCCAGGCTGGAGTGCAGTGGCGTGATCTCAGCTCACTGCAACCTCTGCCTCCTGGGTTCAAGCAATTCTCCTGCCTCAGCCTCCCAAGTAGCTGGGATTACAGGCATACGCCACCATGTCCGGCTAATTTTTTTTGTATTTTTAGTAGAGATGAGGTTTCACCATGTTGGTCAGTCTGGTCTCAAACTCCTGACCTCACATGATCCACTCACCTCGGCCTCCCAAAGTGGCGGGACCATAGGTGTGAGCCACCATGCCCGGCTGATCTGATGGTTTTATAAGGGGCTTTTCCCTCTTTTGCTTGGCACTTCTCCTTCCTGCCATCATGTGAAGAAAGACGTGTTTGCTTCCCCTTCTGCCATGACTGTAAGTTTCCTGGGCCTCCCCAGCCATGTGGAACTGTGAGTCAATTAAACTTCTTTCCTCTATCAATTACCCAGTCTTGGGCAGTTCTTTATAGCAGCGTAAGAACAGACTAACACAAGGGTCTGGCTCTGTTACTCAGGCTGGAGGATTGCAGTGGCATGATCTCGGCCCACTGCAGCCTTGACCTCCTGGGCTCAAGGATCCTCCCACCTCAGCCTCCAAAGTAACTGGGACTACAGACATGTGCCACTGTGCCTATGTTGTCCAGGTTGGTCTCAAACTCCTGGGCTCAAGCGATACTCCCGCCTCAGCCTCCCAAAATGTTGGGATTACAGATGTGAACCACTGTGCCCGGCCCTATACTTCAATTTCTAGTTGCTACTCCCATGTCATCTTCCTTTCTGGGATTTGTTTAGATTTTTTTTTTTTTTTCGGAAAATCCCCTCAAAAAATTTCTCATGAAGGATTAGGCTTTTTTGAATATCTTTATGTCTGAAAATATCTTTATTTTATCTTCACATTTGATGGATGCCTTAGTTAAGTATAGCATTTTAGGTCTAACGCTTTTCTCCTCCATCTTTGAAGATGTTTTTCCAATTCCTTCCAGCACTTGGTGATGAGAAATCTGAAAGCAGTCTGAATTTGGATACTTTGCAAGTGACATGGTTTTTCAACTCCCACTACTGAAGACTTTTGGATTTCTGAAATCTCACTAGAATATGTAGATGTTTTTAATTAGCCCTGTTTGATACTTGGTGGGTTATTTTTGCCTGAGTTAGGGGAAATTTTCTTTTGTTATTTATTTTCCCACTCTCTTGTCTCTGTTCTCTCCTTCTTTACCTTAAGATATCTTCCATCTGCTGTCTTTATGATTTATGTTCTGAGAGACTTCCTCTACTGTGTCCTCCCAATTACTTGGTTCACAGCTAATCCCCTTGATCATTTTCCCAATCCTTTACAGTATTTTGGCAATCACTCATTCAGTTATCTGATTAATGTCCTTTCACTGAAGACTTTTTGCACTATGCCATGTATCTTAACACTAATACATGGCATAGCGCATTTGCATTCTGCCATAGTATACCGTATACACTGATTAGGACAATTTGAAATTCTCTTGCTTTCAGAGGTATTGCTATTTCTGATGGGGGTCTGTTATTCAGTTAGTTCATCTTGGTCCTTTATTATTGTTTTTGTTTTGTTTTGTGGTTGTTTTTTTTTTTGAGACAGGTCTCACTTCTGTTGCTCAGGCTGAAGTGCAGTGGTGTGAACACAGCTCACAGCAGCCTGGACTTCCGAGGCTCAGATGATTCTCCCACCTCAGCCACCCGAGTAGCTGGGACCACAGACATGCGCCACCATACTTGCCTAATTTTTTTTTTTTTTTTTTTTGTATTTTTAGTAGAGACAAGGTTTCACCCTGTTGGCCAGGCTGGTCTTGAACTCCTGGGCTCAAGAGCTCCACCTGCCTCAGCCTCCCAAAGTGAGCCACCAGGCCTACCCGGTCCTTTTCCTCCATGCTTCTGTGGCCTTTCCTCCTGTTTAGCGAGCTCTGACATTCACTCATAGGTAGGAACAAAGCCCTCCATTGGTTAGTCTGGGCTGAGGTGGGCGTGTGTGTTTCTGTATCAGTGATCTGTTTTCCGGCAGGCCTCTCCCTGAGGGGAGAGCTGGTAGCTTCCATGTAAGTGGCAGGGCATACTTCACTAAATAAAAGATGTGTGGGTGAGCAGTCTGGGGAACCCCACGATTGCTAAATTCAGGAGGGTTGTATTTCCAATGGAACAGGTTTCGTGTGTTTCTTTCCTAGGCAGAGCTGCCTGTCCTGCTCCCCACCCACGTCTTCTATGGAGTTCTAAAGGCAGCGCAAGCTCTGCTCTCCTTCACCTGGGGATGAAGCACTTCACTGGGTGCCCTCCTTGGGCTGCCTGTCCACTTGCTTTAGAAAACTGTTCATGCGCTTTATCCTGAGGGCAAAACACTCAAAACAGTGCCTAGTGCTTTGCAATGTGCTCAACAAATATTCATTGAATGAATCATGGTGGAAGAGGAGAATAGGAGGGAGCTGATAGTCCCTGTAATTCCAAGCATGCTTCCTTAATGAATTACCCTAAAGATGGCTTCCTGGCACAGCCCTGCTCTTTTTGTTGACCGTGGGTTTGCCAGTTGCCAGGATTTCCTTTATTACATACCATGTGTTGGGCTAAGTGCAACTTCCTCTTCTTTTTCTCCATGGATAGGATTCCACCTGCTGGCTCTTTCCTATAATTCCATAATTCATTGAGACCTTGGGAAGGAAAGAAGATGGAGGCGTGTGTTTAGTCTGCCAACTTTTTCTTTTTGAGATGGAGTCTCGCTCTGTCTCCAGGCTGGAGTGCAGTGGCGTGATCTCAGCTCACTGCAACCTCTGCCTCCTGGGTTCAAGCAATTCTCCTGCCTCAGCCTCCAATATAGCTGGGGTTACAGGAACACACCACTGCGCCCAGCTAATTTTTGCATTTTTAGTAGAGACAGGGTTTCGCCATGCTGGCCAGGCTGGTCTTGAAGTCCTGACCTCTGGTGATCTACCTGCCTTGGCCTCCCAAAGTGCTGAGATTGCAGGTGTGAGCCACCGCGCGTGGCCTAGTCTGCCATCTTGAATCAGAAATATGTCTGAAAGTGTAGCTACCAAAAAAATGAATTTTTTTTTTTTGAGACGGAGTTTCGCTCTTGTTGCCCAGGCTAGAGTGCAATGGTGCGATCTCGGTTCACTGCAACCTCCGCCTCCCGGGTTCCAGTGATTCTCCTGCCTCAGCCTCCCAAGTAGCTGGGTTTACAGGCATGCACCACCACGCCTGGCTAATTTTGCATTTTTAGCAGAGACAGGGTTTCTCCATGTTGGTCAGGCTGGTCTCGAACTCCTGACCTCAGGTGATCCGCCAGCCTTGGTCTCCCAAAGTGCTGGGATTACAGGCATGAGCCACCGCGCCCGGCCCCCAGAAAATGTATTTTAAAACATCTGTTGGCTAGGTGCAGTGGCTCACACCTGTAATCCCAGCACTTTAGGAGCCTGAGGCGGCAGATCACCAGAGATCAGGAGTTCGAGACCAGTCTGGCCAACATGTTGAAACCCTGTCACTGCTAAAAATACAAAAATTAGCTGGGCATGGCTAATTTTTAGCATGGTGGTGGGGGCCTGTACTCCCAGCTACTCGAGAGGCTGAGGCATGAGAATCACTTAAATACGGGAGGCGGAGGTTGCAGTGAGCCAAGATCATGCCACTGCACTCCAACCTGGGAGACTGAGAGAGACTCTGTCTCAAAAACAAAAACAAAAACAAAAACATCTCTTGAACCTTCAAAAGATTTTTTTTATTATATGTTAATATTTTATAGAGGAATTAGAAAAATAATGACATAAGTTAATTGAATACTTGCTCAGGCAATTAATGGGAAATGAGTTAAAGATTTATTTGCCTGTGTTTTAAATAGAATCACAAATTTTCTCTTTTTTTCAAGGACAGGGTCTCACTCTGTTGCCAAGGCTGGAATGCAGTGGCACAATCATAGCTTACTGCAGCCTTACACTCCTGGGCTCAAGTGATCCTCCAGACTCAGCCTCCTGAGTAGGTGAGACTACAGGCATGTGCCACCATGCCTGGCTGACTGGCTTATTTATGTTTTTTTGTATTTATTTGTTTATTTATTAGAGACAGGGTCTTGCCATGTTGCCCAGGCAGGTCTTGAACTCCTGGCCTTACGTGATCCTCCCACCTCGGCCTCTCAAAGTGCTAAGATCACAGGTGTACACCACCATGCCTGTCCTAGAATCACAGATTTTTTTTTTTCTTTTGAGACAGAGTCTCGCTCTGTCACCCAGGCTGGAGTGCAGTGGTGGCAACCATGGCTCACTGCAGCCTCCGCCTCCCAGGTTCCAGTGATTCTCCTGCCTCAGCCTCCCAAGTAGCTGGGATTACAGGCGTGTGCCACCGTGCCCAGCTAATTTTTGTATTTTTAGTGAAGACGGAGTTTCACCATGTTGGCCAGGCTGGTCTCAAACTCCTGACTTCAAGTGATCCTCCTGCCTCGGCCTTCCAAAGTGCTGGGATTACAGGCATGAGCCACCACGCCCGGCCATACAAAATTTTATTTATAGATTCAAAGAGACATCAATATTTATTGAAGAAAATTAGTAATTACGAATAGATGAAATTTCAAGATTACTGAGGAAAAATAGTTTTGTCACTTGAATGTAAACTTCATTTGAAATAAATCTAGATTTTATTTAATTAATTAATTTTTTTTGGAGACGGAGTCTCT
Organism: Homo sapiens; assembly: GCF_000001405.40. NCBI lineage: Eukaryota > Metazoa > Chordata > Mammalia > Primates > Hominidae > Homo > Homo sapiens. The sequence continues at coordinate 105,441,871 of NC_000007.14, forward strand.
CTCTGTCACCCAGGCTGGAGTGCAGTGGTGCAATCTCGGCTCACTGCAACCTTCACCTCTCAGGGTTCAAGCAATTCTCCTGCCTCAGCCTCCCGACTAGCTGGGACTACAGGCGCCCACCACCACACTCAGCTAATTTTTTTGTATTTTGGTAGAGACAGGGCTTTCACCGTGTTGCCCAGGCTGGTCACGATCTCCTGAACTCAGGCAATCTGGCCGTCTCAGCCTCCCAAAGCCAAAGTGCTGGAGTTATAGGTGTGAGCCACCATGCCCAGCCTTTATTTTATTTTATTTTATTTTTATTTTTATTTTTATTTTTTTCGAGACGGAGTCTCGCTTTGTCACCCAGGCTGGAGTGCAGTGGTGTGATCTCGGCTCACTGCAACTTCCACCAATTCTTCTGCCTCAGCCTCCTGAGTAGCTGGGATAACAGGTGCGCACCATACCGTGCTAATTTTCTTACTTTTTTTTTTTTTTTAAATCTTTTTTTGGAGGAAGTCTTGCTCTGTAGCGCAGGCTGGAGTGCAGTGGCGCAATCTCGGCTCACCGCAACCTCCATTTCCTGGGTTCAAGTGAGTCTCCTGCCTCAGCCTCATGAGTAGCTGGGATTACAGGCACGCACCACTGCACCTGGCTAATTTTTTTTTGAATTTCTAGTACAGACGGGGTTTCACAATGTTGGCCAGGTTGGTCTCAAACTTCTGGCCCCAGTGATCCACCTGCCTTGGCCTCCCAAAGTGCTGGGATTATGGGCATGAGCCACTGCACCCACCCTAAATTTAGCTTTTAAAGGAAAAGACAGTATAGAGAATATTAAATGGAAAAAGAAGTTACAGCATAGCATTATACACACATCACACCCATGTAAAAAATGTATACGTGGATTTATACACACACACATACAGATATGTATATATGTGCACACATAGCTCTATAGATATATATACACATATCTATATATGTGTATGTATATATATTAATATATATAGATACAGAAACACATAAACATAGAGAAAAAATTAGAAATCACATCAAACTCTTGACAAGGTATTTTAGGTTTAGGATTACTATAATGGTGACCGAAAAGCATTAGCATTATGACATTTATTCCAATTAGAAGAGACTAATTATATATAATTACATATATATTTGAAAAAAATACATTCCAGTTTCATTTCTGACATGCAAAGAGCTTAGAATTTGTCACTCACGTCCTTTCAGTAAGAAAGCTGAAAAACTGAAAATCAATGACTTTAATAATTTTTCTTGGACCCATGAGAGAGTTGAGGTTGCAGGGCAAAGCATCACCTCAAAATCCAGAGAGACAGGAGAATAAGGAGAATCACAGATGAGGTCAGTTTACCTGGAGCAGTCATACACTGGCAGGAATACTTACATGGTAACTGATGAATGGCTAAAGGCTGGGTGTGGACCAGCATAAGAGTGAGAAACTCCTGCGGTGGCTCACGCCTGTAATCCCAGCACTTTCGGAGGCTGAGGTGGCAGATCACTTGAGGTCAGGAGTTCGAGACCAGCCTGGCCAACATGGTGAAACCCCATCTCTACTAAAAAAATTTTTAAAAATTAGCCAGGCGTGGTGGTGGGCGCCTGTAATCCCAGCTACTCTGGAGGCTGAGGCAGGAGAATCGCTTGAAACTAGGAGGCAGAGGTTGCACTGAGTCGAGATCATGCCACTGTACTCCAGCCTGGGCAACAGAGTGAGACTCCATCTCAAAAAAAAAAAAAAAAAAAAAGAGTGAGAAACTCCTGGGGGTTGGAGTCTTAGTGGGTTTTACTTCTAGGAACCCAACCAGATTCTTACTATAAAGAATCAGGAAGGAACACTTGTTTCTGGTAGTGTAAGAGGAAAATTAACCATTCGAAAATATGTCACAGTATTCTCTATAACAAAGGCCTAGTCAGCAGGGCAAAAACGTTATCAGAGCCTTATCTGACCTGGGGAAGTTACCCAAATTCAGCCCCACTAGCCTTTCTGTCTCACCTAAGGATGAAAAAAGTCACAGTCCAGAGATACAAGCCTGAGCTTTATTTATTTTTTTAATTATTATGATTATTATTATCATTATTATTTTTGAGACAGAGTCTCACTCTGTTGCCAGGCTGGAGTGCAGTGGCGTGATCTTGGCTCACTGCAACCTCTGCCTCCCGGGTTCAAGCGATTCTCCTGCCTCAGCCCCGCTAGTAGCTGGGACTATAGGCGCCTGCCACCATGTCCGGCTAATTTTTGTATTTTTAGTAGAGACGGGGTTTCACCATGTTGGCCAGGATGGTCTCGATCTCTTGACCTCGTGATCTGCCCGCTTCAGCCTCCCAAAGTGCTGGAATTACAGGCGTGAGCCACCGCACCCGGCCATGCCTGAGCTTTAATAATAGAATTATAGAATGATTTGTATTTCCCTTGTGTACCTTACCACCACATCAACATGGCTCCAGTATAATAACGATGAATGACAGCTGAAGGAGCTGTGATTGCCGTATAATAACAATGGATTACAGCTGAAGGAGTTGCAAGGTAACGATTCCATTTAAGGAGTTTTTAGAGAAACACAAAGACAACATGGGAGACAAAAACTAGGACACTAGAATAAATTAACAGCTATAGCAACACCTATAGCAACACCTATAGCAACACCTATAGCAACACCTATAGCAACACCTATAGCAACACCTATAGCCTCCAACACCTATAGCAACAAATTTAAACGCAGTCCAACTCCTAGCCAGATTAACACAAAACCTCTGCTTACTTATCTCAGTTCCTCTTACCTGATAAATAATGCACCTATTTCTACACAAAAATCACATGGCATACTATGTTTTAAGGCAAGAGAAAAAACAAAGCAAGCATCAGACCAGACTCAGCTAGGTGTCACAGATTTTGGAACTGAGAATAACTATGATTAATATGTTAAGGGCTCTCATGGAAAAAGTAGATTACATGCAAGAACAGATGCATAATGTATGCAGAGAGATGGAAACTCTAAGAAGCAATAAAGGGAAGTGCTAGAAATTTAAAAAATAACACCGTAACAGAAATGAGGAATGTCAGTGGACTGGACAAAATCAGTGAGCCTGCAGATATGTTAACTGAAACTTCCACATTGAAATACAAAGAGAAAAAATAATGAAAAAATAAAACAAGAAAACCTGAATGGAATGTCCAAGAACTGTGGGACAATATGAAAAAGTATAACATACATGTTTTGGAAAACCAGAAGAATAGAGAACAGAAGAAATATTTGAATAATGACTACAAATTTTCCCAAAATTAATGACAGACATCAAATCACATCCAGTGTCTTAGTCATTTTTGTGCAGCTATAAAAGAATATCTGAGATTGTTTAATTTATACTGGATATACATTTATTTCTCACAGTTTTAGAGGCTGGGACGTTCAAGATCAAAGAGCTGGCAACTGGCAAGGGCCTTCTTGTTATGTTATCCCATGGCAGAAGGTGGGAGGACAAGAGAGGATGAGAGACAGAGAGAATGCAAGAGAAACCCAGACTCCTCTTTTTATAAGGAATTCACTCTGGTGATAACAAACCCATTCCCCAGATAATGGCCCTGCCCTCGTGACCTAACCACCTCTTAAAAGTTAAAGTCCCACCTCCCAACACTGCCACATTGGGGATCAAGTTTCCAATACATGAATTTTGGGGGACCCATTCAAACCATTGTATCCAGAATCCTCAGAGAGTACTAAGCAGGATAAATATTATAAAACTATATTTTAGCATATCATATTCAAATTGCAGAAAATTAAAGATAAAAATCTTTTTTTTTTTTGAGACGGAGTCTCCCTCTGTCGCCCAGGCTGGAGTGCAGTGGCACGATCTCGGCTCACTGCAAGCTCCGCCTCCTGGGTTCACGCCATTCTCCTCCCTCAGCCTCCCGAGTAGCTGGGACTACAGGCGCCCGCTACCACGCCCGGCTACTTTTTTTGCATTTTTAGTAGAGACGGGGTTTCACCGTGTTAGCCAGGATGGTCTCGATCTCGTGACCTTGTGATCCGCCCGCCTCAGCCTCCCAAAGTGCTGGGATTACAGGCGTGAGCCACCGCGCCCGGCCCAAAGATAAAATCTTGAAAGAAGCCAGGAAAAAACACCTTACCCATAGAGCAACAAGCATAAGAATTACATTGGTCTTCTCATCAGAAACCATGAAAATATATAGAGAGTGGAATGAAATATTTAAAGTGTTGACAGAAAAAACCCACCAACTTAGAATTATCTACATCCAGTGAAATTATCTTGCAAAAGTGAAGGAGAAAGAGACTTTTTCAAAAAACAAAAACTGAGGGAATTTATTGCCAGCAGACCTGCCTTGCAAAAACTGTTAAAAGAAGTTCCTCAGTGAAAAGGAAAATGATATAGGTCAGAAACTCTCATGCATATCAAGAAAGGAAGAGAATCAGAGAAGGAATAAAAATAACCTTTTACTTTTCTTATTAACTGATCTAATATATGACCATTCAAAATAATAATAGCAAGAAGGAATTGCATGATTATAGCATGGAAATGTGAAATCAATGAAAGCCGTTTCTTTGCTTTAGAAAGCAGTAGAAAGGAGTTGCAAATACTGTTTTTTTGTTTGTTTGTTTTTGTTTTTTGTTTTTTAGACAGAGTCTCACTCTGTCATCCAGGCTGGAGTACAACGGTGCAATCCCAACTTGGGATGCCTCCCGAGTAGCAGGGATTACAGGTGCCTGGCACCGTGCCTGGCTAATTTTTGTATTTTAGTAGAGACGAGGTTTCACTATGTCAGCCAGGCTGGTCTTGAACTCCTGACCTCACATGATCTGCTCACCTTGACGTCCCAAAGTGCTGGGATTATAAGCATGGGCCACCGTGCCTGGCCAGCAAATACTGTTATAAAGTATCTGTACTATCCATGAAGGACCTGTACTACTCATGAAGCAGTATGGTGTTATTTGAAAGTGGACTTGGTTATGAATGTATATTGCAATTTTTTTTTTTTTTTTCTGAGATGGAGTCTCGCTCTGTTGCCCAGGCTGGAGTGTAGTGGCACAATCTCGGCTCATTGCAACCTCCGCCTCCCAGGTTCAAGCAATTCTCCTGCCTCAGCCTCTTAAGTAGCTGGGACTACAGGCACCCGCCACCATGCCTGGCTAATTTTTGTATTTTTGGTAGAGACGGGGTTTCACCATGTTGGCCAGGCTGGTCTCAAATTCCTGACCTCAGGTGATCCACCTGCTTTGGCCTCCCAAAGTGGTGGGATTACAGGCGTGAGCCACCGTGCCTGGCCAGCAATTTTTTTTTTTTTTTTTTTTGAGACTGAGTCTCGCTCTGTTGCCCAGTCTGGAGTGCAGTGGCGCTATGTCAGCTCACTGCAAGCTCTGCCTCCCAGGTTCCCGCCATTCTCCTGCCTCAGCCTCCCAAGTAGCTGGGACCACAGGCACCTGCCACCACGCCTGGCTAATTTTTTGTATTTTTAGTAGAGACGAGGTTTCACCATGTTAGCCAGGATGGTCTTGATCTCCTGACCTCGTGATCCACCCGCCTCGGCCTCCCAAAGTGCTGGGATTACAGGCGTGAGCCACCATGCCCAGCCAGCAATTTTTTAAAGTAGTGAAAAATTCACATGGTAAGAGAGGAGAGAAAATGAGTTATTGCTCCAAGCACAGATGACAACTCCTGGAAGACTGGGCCCAAGTTCTGGAGGGAAGATGATCCTACTTGGCATCACTTCGTCTTCCTACCTCTGTGGACAGCCAATCCCACCCAGATGGGACTGTGTACAGGCTTCTTCCTTAGCCTGCAACAGTGGGAACTGATGGTGCTGTGATGGGTCCACAAGGAGACATGTGCAATGGAGTTGATGACAATGTTGTTTAGGGTGATGAGGAGTTAGAGGCAAATCTGATGTCCATCCCTGGAGCTCCGTGTAGTCCACGTGTGATGGGTGCACTCCATGGAGTACTCTGCAACAGTTAGCATTGAGGGATTCTCTGGAGAAAGCTGAGGTCCGGAGGAGGGATGTGGATCTCTGAAGGTCTCTGAGCAACAGTCAGTGGCAGGGCCAGGACTTCAGCCTGTGCATTTTGACTCCTGGTTTGACGTCCTTTCCTCTTTATCACAGCAGCCTCCAGTGCTTTATTTACTTTTGGATTTTCACCTTTTGGAGTTATCCACATCATGACTTCCTCCTAATTAATGTGCAGGGGTCCTAAGAAACCAGGATGGCACAGGAAAGAAACAGACTTTAGCTCCACTTTATTAGACAGATATTATTATTAGAAAAAAGGATCAACTAAGACTCTATCATCTTTCCAGCTAATGGAAGGTGGCTAACTCGTTAAGTGGAATGACTCTGTGTCAGCTTGACGAGCAAGTTTTTTGGTAGTGAAACATTTGTCTAGGCCAAAACAGGTAGTAAGATCTTCTATGTTGAAAATTAATTTTGTAAACAGGAAGAGAGAAATGTAGAAAACAGGATGAATGTGGCTAGTAGAGAACAGACGTGGGTGCTGGGCTAAGGAGAGTTATGTTCCCCATTTGCAGCTCTCAGAGGGTGCAGGTGGAGTTGAACTGAGCTGAAACAAAAGCGTTCCCAAGTGCGCCTAAGTGGTTTTTTTTGTTGTTGTTGTTGTTGTTTGTTTGTTTTGAGACGGAGTCTCACTCTGTCGCCTAGGCTGGAGTGCAGTGGCGAGATCTTGGCTTACTGCAACCTCTGCCTCCCGGATTCAAGAAATTCTCGTGCCTCAGCCCAGCAAGTAGCTGGGATTACAGGCGCCCACCACCACGCCCGGCTAATTTTTGTATTTTTAGTAGAGACAGGGTTTCACCATGTTGGCCAGACTGGTCTTCAACTCCTGATCTCAAGTGATCCGTCTGCCTAGGCCTCCCAAAGTGCTGGGATTACAAGTGTGAGCCACCGCTCCTGGCAGTGCCTGACTATTTTCATCCTGTAAAGTTATGGTTGTGAATTCTTGCGCTTAACCCTGAGCCCTCCCAGTCATGAAAATCCATTTTCAGATGGTTACTGTGGACACTGCAGCAATCTAGTTATTATGGACACCATAGGAACTTAGTTTAGAAACAAAATTTCAATAAAGAATAACTCCTACAGCCTTTAAAACCCAACCCTCAGCTGGGCGCAGTGGCTCACGCTTGTAATCCCAGCACTTTGGGAGGCCGAGGCAGGCAGATCACGAGGTCAAGAGATCGAGACCATCCTGGCCAACATGGTGAAATCCCGTCTCTACTAAAAATACAAAAATTAGGTGGGCGTGGTGGCATGTGCCTGTGGTCTCAGCTACTCGGGAGGCTGAGGCAGGAGAATCGCTTGAACCCGGGAGGGGGAGGTTGCAGTGAGCCAAAATCACGCCACTGTACTCCAGCCTGGTGACAGAGCAAGACTTTGTCTCAAAAAACAAAACAAAACAAAAACCCAACCCTCAAGAAAGTAAAGATAGGCCAGGCTCAGTGGCTCAAGCCTGTAATCCCAGCACTCTAGGAGGCCGAGGCAGGCAGATGGCTTGAGCTCAGGAGTTCAAGACCAGCCTGGACAACATGGTGAAACCCCATCTCTACCAAAAATACAAAAATTAGCCTGTAGTGGTGTGTGCCTGTAGTCCCAGCTACTTTTAAGCCTGGGAGGTTGAGGCCTCAGTGATCCGTGATCGTGTTACTACAGACAGCCTGAGCAACAATGAGATCTTGTCTCAAAAGAAAAAAAAAAAAAAAAGAAAGTAGACAACCCATGGAATGGGAGAAAATATTTGCCAATCGTATACCTGGTAAAGGATTTGTGCCTAGAACATACAAAGAACTCTAGATCTCAACAACATAAAGAAAAATAACACCCCCCAAATGGGCAAAAGATCTCAATAGACATTTCTCCAAAGAATAGACAAATGGCCAATAAGCATACAAAAATATTCCACATAGTCATCAGGGAAATGCAAATCAAAACCGTAGTGAGAAACCACTTTATTTTCATTTGTTTAAATTTATTTTTATTTTTGCTTTTGAGATGGAGTCTTGCTCCCTCGCCCAGGCTGGAGTGCAGTGACGCAATCTTGGCTCACTGCAACCTCTGCCTCCTAGGTTCAGCAGTTCTCCTGTCTCAGCCTCCCAAGTAGATGGGATTACAGGTGCCTGCCACCATGTCTGGCTAATTTTTGTATTTTTAGTAGACATGGGGTTTCACCATGTTGGCCAGGCTGGTCTTAAACTCCTGACCTCAAGTGATCTGCCCAACTTGACCTCCTAAAGTGCTGGGATTACAGGCGTGAGCCACCACGTCCAGCAGAGAAACCTCTTTATACCCAAAAGGATGGCTACAATCACAAAGACAGATAACAACAAGTGTTGACGAGGATGTGGAGAAAATAGAACTGTCATACACTCCTAGTGGGAATGTAACATGGTGCAGCTACTTAGGAAAACAGTCTGAGAGTTCTTCAAAGATTAAACACAGTTATATGACACAGAAATTCCACTCCTAGCTTTATACTCAAGAGAAATGGAGACATATGACTGTACAAAAACTCATACCAAAATGTTTATAACAGCATTATTCATAAAAGCCAGAAGGTGGAAACAACCCAAACGTCTATCAATTGATGAACATGAATAAAATGTGGTATATTCATAGATGGAGTATTGTTTGCCTAAATAAGGAATAAAGTACTTTTACGTCACAAACTGGATAAACCTTGAAAACATTATGCTAAGTGAAAGTCAGTCCCGCATATTGTATAATTTCATTTATATCAAATGACTAGAAGAGACCAATCAACAGAGATTGAAAGTAGCAGTTGCCAGGGGCTGGGGCTGAGGTGATAATAGGAAGTCAACGCTAATGCATTTGAAGTTTCTTTTTGAGATTATAAAAAAATGGGCCGGGCACAGTGGCTCACGCCTGTAATCCCAGGGCTTTGGGACATTGAGGCAGGCAGATCACGAGGTCAGGAGTTCAAGACCAGCCTGGCCAATATGGTGAAACCCCTGTCTCTACTAAAAATACAAAAATTAGCTGGCCATGGTGGCACGCACCTGTAGTCCCAGCTACTTGGGAGGCTAAGGCAGGAGAGCCACTTGAACCTGGGAGGCAGAGGTTGTGGTGAGCTGAGATCACGCCACTCCAGCCCGGGCAACAGAGCGAGACTCTGTCTCAAAAAAAAAAGTAAAAATGATTGTGATAATGGTTGCGCAACTCCAAATATACCAAAATCCTTTGTACACTTAAATGAGTGAATTGTATGGTATGTAAATTATACCTCAATAAAGCTATCATTAATAAAAGCCAAAACAAAACCTCAGCCCTGCCTAATCACCTTGCCATCCTGTACAACCTGAGTTCTTAGCTTCATGTGCTGTTTTCACAAATTTTTTTTTACTTCTGACTCTATCCTTATTCTCATCTCCCAAACCTCAATTTATATTCCATGAACATGGAATTTAAAATCTAAATAGAAGGCTGGGCACAGTGGCTCATGCCTGTAATCCTAGCTACTTGGGAGGCTGAGGCACAAGAATTGCTTGAACCCGGGAGGCGGAGGTTGCAGTGAGCCGAGATCACACCACTGCACTCCAGCCTGGGCAACAGAGCGAGAACCTGTCTCAAAAATAAATAAATAAAAAATAAAATAAAATCTAAATAGAGGCTGCACTGAGGATTAGCTTTTCATTATTTATAGGTGAAAGAAAATTGTAGGGTGTTATCTGAATTGCTTGGAAAATTTCAAACACTCTGATAATATTTTAGAACCTAATAACAACCATGTTTGTTATGTGCTCCCATAGCAAAAGTATTTACTCCCAATCAGTATAAAACTTAACAATCCAGTAAACATTTCAAAATCATATTTAACTAGCTGTGCTTCCAACCTACATATTCCCAATTTAAAAAATCAAACCTTAATACTCAAATTTACCATTATACTGGTGACATGCAACAAAGAACAAGTGATCTTTCTGAAGACTCAACGTCCAATGTGGTAGCCATTGGCCACAAGTGGCTATTGAGCATGAAATATACAGCTAGTCCAAATTGATATATATTTTAAGTGTAAAATACACACTGGTTTTTTAAGACAGTACAAAAAAGAGAATGTAAAATATTTTTTATATTACTTATAAGTTGAAACGATATTTTGGATATGTTGCTTTATAGAAACTACGTCATTAATTTTACTTGTTTCTTTTCATTTTCTTAATAAGGCTACCAGAAAATTTCAATCACATACATGGCTCACATTATATTTGTATTGGACAAAGCTGCTCTAAAGATCCATGTAGGGCTTTTGAGGGGACTGTAAATATGCATTAGGAGACAGGGGCTTTGAATAACTTCTCCCACCATGGTTTCCTGTTGTCATCTCTTTTTACATACTGGGTACTTTCCAGGAGTCTAGCACAGCTGGATAAGCCGTAACAGAAAATCAACACAGTATACCCGAAGGACAACACAATAATATGGGCTTTCTGGCCATTCCTGCTTTTTGCAGCTGCTGCTTTCATAAGAAGCTACAGCCAAGGAGTTTTTAATTACAACAATTATGACTTTTTTAGAGGGTGGAGGGTAAATTTTCTGTATGGAGTAACAAGGCCACAGTGCCTTAAGAATGGTTTGACGAAACCTTTGGACAAGGGTAGCAAAGAAAGAAAAGGCGGGGAGCAGTGACCCACGCCTGTAATCCCAGCACTTTGGGAGGCTGAGACGCGTGGATCACTTGAGCCCTGGAGTTCGAGACCCACCTGGCCAACATGGCGAAACTTCTTCTCTACCAAAAACACAAAAACACTAGTCAGGTATGGTGACACGTGCTTGTGGTCCCAGCTACTCGGGAGGCTGAGGTGGGAGGATTGTTTGAACCCAGGAGGCAGGGGTTGCAGTGAGCTGAGATCCCGCCACTGCACTCCAGCCTGGGTGACAGAGTGAGACTCCGTCTCAAACAAACAAACAAGGAAAAAAGAATTATTAGTGATCCTGGAGGAAGCCAAAAAATAAGAAGCATGGAAGTGAGTTTAAGGAAGGCTCTTAGCGATCTCAAGTGTGAAATCTTAGATCATCAATATGAGCCTTGGATCTAATTACAATGTAATCCCTTTTGCACATATATTCATTGTTTGCCTGTAATCATCAGCATCACCAGGTGTTGATAGATGCAAGAGGAAAATACAGGGGAGGGTCCCAGGAGAATCTTGGACCGGCCTGAGCACTGGGAGAACAGGATGGAGTCAAAGAAGTTCATGCTGCTTGCAGGGGGAAGGAGCCTGGGTTCTTCAGTTCCTGTGTATGGCCTGGAATCAATCTGTGAGGTGGGGCCTGTTAGCAGAAACCCCTCTTGCTTTGCTGAGAGTTTTTTTTCTTTTGCCCATTTTGCCCAATATATTCTGTTCTGCTCACCCTTCAATGTGTCTGTGCCTAACTTTTTCCTGGTCATGACATAAGAACTTGGATTTAGCTGAACTAAGGAGCAGAAATTCTGCAACATTTGCAACTGTATTACTTTTTTTTTTTTTTTTTTTTTTCAGATGGAGTTTCCCTCTGTTGCCTAGGCTGGAGTTCAATGGTGTGATCTTGGCTCACTGCAACCTCTGCCTCCTGGGTTCAAGCAGTTCTGCCTCAGCCTCCCGAGTAGCTGGGATTACAGGCATTTGCCACTATGCCTGGCTGATTTTTGTATTTTTAGTAGAGACGGGGTTTCACCATGCTGGCCAGGCTGGTCTTGAACTCCTGACCTCAAGTGATCCGCCCGCCTCGGCCTCCCAAAGTGCTGGGATTACAGGCATGAGCTGCAGCGCCCAGCCTGCAACAGTATCACATCTGATCAGTGTAGACTCTCCTTTGTATCTCAGGTGATTGATTTATTAACTGCGTCAGTGCTGTACACCACAGAGCCACTAGCCATATATTTGGCTATGGAGCAGTTGAAACTGTGACTGAGAAGCTTAAGTCAAGTTTAAGTAGTCACATGGCTAGTGGCCGCTGTGTTGGCCAGTACAGGTCTGGAGCCTGGCTGCTTCGTGTGTAACAGCAGCACATGTAGGGAACTGGTTAGAAATGCAGTATTTCATATTCTACCTGGACTTCCTGAAATACATCCTGCAGTTTAAGAAGATCACCAGGTGACTGTTAAGTACATTAAAGGTTGGAAAGCACTTACCTAGAGTAGGGGGTCTTATTGAATACATTGAAGCCCCTAAAATTGTATAAAAAGTTTGCATGAATTTGTAACACACACACATATGGATACACTTTCCCGCTTTCCTTCTCCTGGAAGCAATGTCTATACTTCTCCCTCAGATTTTCCAAGGTGTTCATGATCCAAAACTAAGTTCTACCCTACACAAAGTGGAAAAGCAGATTTCACTGAACAAAGAAAGCCTTAAAGTTATCCTTTGCTGAGCAAGCAAATGCTTTTGAATTTACAAAGATGAGAAGCTGGCCATATTCAGCTTTGTCATTCTTCCAGTGTGGTTTCATTTCTTCATATATCTGAAATAAAAAACTACATGGTACACTCCAGGTCTGCTTTGGTTTCAAAAAGGCACATGCACATCAGTGCACATTGGTAGCTATAAAACATTTATATGTATTCTATTTTGTATTACACACACGCATCCTTATTTTTTTAAGTGCAAATTGACCACAAAATGCATTCCAGTGCAAATACCAGTCGATGTTAATTCATACAGCCTGGAGCAACTGGTGAAGTTTTAAGTACTGATGTAGTATTGCAGCTGTTACCAATTTTTTGGTTGATTCAGGAATCAACCAGAAATTTTTTAAACTGGTATAATGGCTGTCTAGTTATTACCTACAACATGAAACCATGAAGATTCAGGAAGCAATCAGGATTTTTTTTATTAGTATAATAGCAGTCTAGTTATTATCTACAACATGAAACCATGAATAAAAACATTGGAAAGAACAATTTTGATTATTTAGCTTCCTTTCCTGTTATGGAATAGTGTTGGTTTTACATTATAATAAAAAGAATGATCCTTTATTATTTCTTTTAGGCAAAAATTTAGGAAGCAATGATACTTTTATGTTGAGGATGAGGTTGCTTTCAGGCTTTATAAATTTGTCTAAGAGAAACTTCCTCCCTTTCCAAACAACAAAAAATGTTCTGAATTCTATGCTAAGGCAATGATTTATTTCAGGTTGAGTAAGTCCCTAGAGTTAGGTGGTGTGCCCCCTGAGTCTCAAAACAGCTTGAAGAATCCGCCTTGAATCATTATTTATCCACTGGTGTTTATGAAGAGACATGTACAAACTGGTACTAGCTAACACAGCCAAGAAAGTTAACAATAGAGCCGTAAGTATTTCCCAGATGAAGAAAACACAAGTTTAGCTTCACTTTTGTTTTGGAATGCAAATTTATACTGGTTGAGCATCCCAAATCTGAAAATCCAAAATCCAAAACTTGCTCATTGGAGCATTTTGGATTTTTGGATTCCAACCAGTAAGTTGAAGTACAAATCTAAAAAAAAAAATGAAAATCCAAGACACTTCTAGTCCCAGGCATTTTGTGTAAGGGATACTCAACCTGTAAATGCAGAACTGCTGAATGCAATTGCAACAGAAAGACTTAGATCCCTTCATAAATAATTTTCTGTCAGATGAAGGAGAACTCCAGCTATTACTGGAAGGTACAGACAGGACTACTATACATTTAATACATGTTTAGCTTTTGTAAGACAAAATATATATATATATATATATATATATATATTTGAGACAGGGTCTCACTATGTTACCCAGGCTGATCTCAAGCTCCTGGGCTCAGGCAATCCTCCCACCTTGGTCTCCCAAAGTGTACAGGTGTGAGCCACCGTGCCTGACCTAGGACAAAATATTCTTTCAAAACTAGCTAGCAAAAAGGATAATTTACTGGGCTGGGCATGGTGGCTCACGTCTGTAATACCAGCACTTTGGGAGGTAGCAGTGGGCAGATCACTTTAGGCCAGGAGTTTGAGACCAGCCTAGCTAACATGGCGAAACTCCGCATCTACTAAAAATACAAAATTAGCCAGGCCTGGCAGCGGTGCCTGTAATCCCAGCTACTTACGAGGCTGAGGCACAAGAGTCACTTGAACCTGGTAGTGGGAGGTTGCAGAGAGCCAGGATCACGCCACTGCACTCCAGCCTGGGTGACAGAACAACAATGTCTCAAAAAAAAAAAAAAAAAAAAAAAAAAAAAAAATATATATATATATATATATATATATATATAAAATTTACCATGCTATTTCCAATCTTTTTTAAGCCTCAGCAGTGTGGTGGTGATGGATGTCATTAAAACAAAAGGGTTGAAAAACAGTTCCGAATCTCATTTCTACTACCAGATACGAGACAAATGTCATTCACATTCCCATGGTGCAATGCTCCTGGTACGGTAGCTCTTTTCCATTCCTTTCTTTTCTACTCCATAAAGCACATTGGAAGGTGAGTGAGTGATTCCAATAACCTGGAGTCCAGTCCAACACAGTCAATTATTCGTAGCATTTGACTCAGATTATCCTCATACTTCACAGCTGATCACAACACATTTTGGTGTCACCACCATTTCTGATGAGGATCCCACATTCATTTAGTTCCTTACCTTTAGTCAAGGTCAAGATTCTTATCTGCACTCATTTTGATATATTTATTTGATTTATTTACATAACCAGTAGAAAGGAGATTTTAAAAATATTTATTACATTTGTTTCTAGAAATCATAGAAAATAAAAATTGATACAATTTTGATATACAACTTTAGAAAGGCATATTTATCCTTTCACACCAGAGAAGTTTATGCAATGCCAGACATGGAAATACCAAAGCCACTGGTGACAAAGGGTAAACGCTACTGATAGAAGAAAGCCTTGTCCATTTTTATAGTTTTCTTCTCTACCATTATTTATTTTTGAGCAAATACCAGTCCAGTGGAAAGAGTTCTGAACATAAAAGGCACCTAGAGTAAAAATTAGACCTTAACTAATAAAACAGCTGTACACGTTTACATCAAGAAAAAAAAACCCGGCCAGCACAGCTCATGCCTGTAATCCCAGGAGTTAGCCTCGGCAACATGGCCAAACCCCCGTCTCTACAAAAAAATACAAAAATCAGCTAGGCGTGGTGGTGCGCGCCTGTACTCCCAGCTACTTAGGAGGCTGAGGTGGGAGAGTCACTGGAGCCTGGGAGGTCGAGGCTGCAGTGCAAGATTGAGAATTGCAGGATTGCACTGCAATCCAGCCTGTGCTACAGAGTGAGATCCTGTCTCGAAAAAAAAAATAAAAAAATAAAATGGGCCTATCAATGCAACGTTCCTGCAAGGCATTGATAATATAAATGCAAAAGCCACCGCAACCAAAAAGTCTATAATGCTTGCCTGAATCTAGTACATAAGCAGGATAATGACAATCACTTTTTGTTTATAAATTTGTAGATGTCTTATTATTTCAGTCAGCATGAGTACTGTATTTATATTTGTGGGTGGCAGCTCTCAAATTATTTATCCATAGTCCAGATTTGTTTTGTTGCATTTGCTCTTAAAATGCATTGTTGTATACTCCATCACAGATGTGTCAAATACTCCTGCTGTCTTTTGAGAATGTAGCAAAACCTAAACCTGCTACTTTAAACCAAAGTCCTTTTTTTATTATTGTAAAGCTGACATTTTACTCTGATTTAAGCACCTGAAGTGTATTTTGACTAATTTATATTCTGAGCTAAAATTAAGAACCTCAGGATTTGTGTACATGTACAAATATTGCAAATTATTTCTTTAAGCTAATAAAAACTTAAAAATACAAATAATTTTTATTACAAAGATTTGAAATCCATATATGAGTCTGAACTAAGACAAAAATGCACAGGGAGCCAGGAAGCAAACACTTGTGTACGTTTTCTAATCTGTGGACAAGGTACTGCTCAGCGAAGCCAGGTTGTATTCAGCTGCGTCTGGTTCTTGATACTGGTATCCATTTTTAGCACTTCTCGAATGGCCATGGTGGCGTAAGTAGAAGGGGGTAGAGAAAAATCCATTTTCAGAGCCCTGTATTTGCCTTCTGCAAGGCAAGAAAGAAAACAGTCAGAAAATGAAGGCAGCTGCAGACAGACCAGCGAGAGTCACATAATCTCTAAGCAAATACAAAGAACTGTGCTGCTTTCCTTAGACTCCACTTCCTAGGGGGCCTTGGAGAATGAGACCATGGAAGTAAGAGATCTGTGAGTGTGAACCTGCTGAATGGTTACAGAAATTCTGCCCAGGAACTTTCACAAAAAGGCAGATGACAGAAGAACACAAAAGAGAAACGCATGTAAAGTTAAAGAAATAATAATAAATTACGGCCTGGGAAAAAACAGAACAAGAATTTGATGATGAGAATGCCAATTTAATTAATTAATTAATTTTTTTTTGAGACAGAGTCTTGTTATGTTGCCCAGACTGGAGTGCAGTGGTGTAATCTCAGCTCACTGCAGCCTCCACCTCCCGGGTTGAAGCGATTCTCCTGCCTCAGCCTCCTGAGTAGCTGGGATTACAGGTGCCCACCACCACGCCCGCCTAATTTTTTTTTTTGTATTTTCAGTAGAGACGGGGTTTTGTCATGTTGGCCAGGCTGGTCTGGAACTCCTGACCTCAAGTGATCCACTTGTCTCGGTCTCCCAAACTGCTGGGATTACAGGTGTGAGCCACCACGCCCAGCCACCAATTTTTTTTTTTTTTTTTTTGAGATGGAGTCTCGTTTTGTCACCCAGGCTGGAGTGCAGTGGCGTGATCTTGGCTCACTACAAGCTCCGCCTTCTGTGTTCACACCATTCTCCTGCCTCAGCCTCTCCAAGTAGCTGGGACTACAGGAACCCGCCACCACACCCGGCTAATTTTTTGTATTTTTAGTAGAGACGGGGTTTCACCGTGGTCTCGATCTCCTGACCTCGTGATCCGCCCGCCTCGGCCTCCCAAAGTGCTGGGATTACAAGCGTGAGCCACCGCACCTGCCCAACCAATTTAATTTTTTAGACTCTTCCTGAATTTTCACTCACCTTTGGTAAGTCTCTGTGGGGGATGGGGAGAAATACTCCATCACCTAATATCACAACCATCTATAACATGCACTTATTTTCAGGAGGATTTACTGGTTTTAATCACTAACTTTCAGCCATAATTGTGAAAGTAAGGTCATAAAACACAACAATGAAATCATGGGTGGTGGTAGTGCTTGTAAGAGCAGTTTTCAAAAAAAAATTATGTTTTTGTTTAACAAAACATTTCAAAGTCAACACAGAGCTGATGACTGAGTAAACTTACCAGAAGCAAAAACTGGTGGTGTCTTCCCTTCTAGGTTGTCCACATCTGTGTTGAAAAGTGGAATTTTGGGATCATCATATGCAACGACTTCCCTTCAAAACATATGAATAAAGATAAGTGTGAATGTGAACTTTCATAAAAGGTACTAAGCCACTCATCATCATTTATTTAGCAAGAAAAACAAGTAAGTTTACTGTAAATAATTATAGTTAGGAATCTTGAATAATATAGCAGGGCCAGATTTTATACCTAAGTTTTGCTTATATATATAATTTTTTTTTTTTTTTGAGATGGAGTCTCAACTCTGTCACCTAGGCTGGAGTGCAGTGGTGTGATCTTGGCTCACTGCAACCTCTGCCTCCTGGGTTCAATCAATTCTCCTGCCTCAGTCTCACAAGTAGCTGGGACTATAGGTGTCTGCCACCATGCCTGGCTAATTTTTGTATTTTTAGTAGAGATGGGGTTTCACTATGTTGGCCAGGGAGGTCTCAAACTCCTGACCTCAGGTGATCCACCCGCCACAGTCTCCCCAACTGCTGGGATTATAACGTGAGCCACTGTGCCTGAATATAATAGGCTCAATCCAATTATATTCTATTAGTTATTTAAAAATGCACAACTGGGGCCAGGCATGGTGGCTCATGCCTCTAATCCCAACACTTTGGGCGGCCGAGGTGGGATGACTAAGCCCAGGAGTTCAAGACCAGCGTGGGTAACATGGTGAAACCCCATTTCTTCACA
Organism: Homo sapiens; assembly: GCF_000001405.40. Lineage (NCBI taxonomy): Eukaryota > Metazoa > Chordata > Mammalia > Primates > Hominidae > Homo > Homo sapiens. The sequence continues at coordinate 105,459,909 of NC_000007.14, forward strand.
TTAATAATTAAAATTTTAAAAATGTACAACTGACAAATCTTTTTTTCTTAGACGGAGTCTCGCTCTGTCGCCCAGGCTGGAGTGTAGTGGCGTGATCTTGGCTCACTGCAAGCTCCGCCTCCCGGGTTCACACCATTCTCCTGCCTCAGCCTCCCGAGTAGCTGGGACTACAGGCGCCCGCCACCATGCCCGGCTAATTTTTTGTATTTTTAGTAGAGATGGCGTTTCACCGTGTTAGCCAGGATGGTCTCGATCTCCTGAGCTCGTGATCTGCCCGCCTCGGCCTCCCAAAGTGCTGGGATTACAGGCGTGAGCCACCGTGCCCAGCCGACAATTCTTTTTAAATGAAGTTGAGAGTCAGTAAACTTCACTTTGCACAGCTGTGATCAAATTACTTACGGCATTTACATTTTCTCCAGACTGGGTGCCACAACCAACAACAGCTTGTTACTGAGAAGGAACAGTTCTCTGGAGTGGGGAAGACAAAGTCCAACCATGTGGACCTCTTGCCTATACTCCAGAGAGGAGGAGGTAAGAGAGATGGAGAAGAGAAGGAAATAGGGAATAAAATAATTTCCTGGAAATAGGCAACTAGTTCAGGATTTCATTTTAAAATTATCAAATAAAGCTTTAGATAATACTGAGTATTAAAATTTGTTTTTGAGGCCGGGCGCGGTGGCTCACGCCTGTAATCCCAGCACTTTGGGAGGCCGAGGCGGGCGGATCACGAGGTCAGGAGATCGAGACCATCCTGGCTAACAAGGTGAAACCCCGTCTCTACTAAAAATACAAAAAATTAGCCGGACGTGGTAGCGGGCGCCTGTAGTCCCAGCTACTCGGGAGGCTGAGGCAGGAGAATGGCGCGAACCCGGGAGGCGGAGCTTGCAGTGAGCCGAGATCGCGCCACTGCACTCCAGCCTGGGCGACAGAGCGAGACTCCGTCTCAAAAAAAAAAAAAAAAAAAAAAATTTGTTTTTGAGACAGGGTTTCGTTTTGTCACCCAGGCTGGAGGGCAGTGGCGTGATCACAGCTTACTGCAGCCTCGACCTTCCAGGCTCAAGCAATCCTCCCACATTGGCCTCCCAAACAGCTGGGACTACAGATGTGCACCATCACACCAGGCTAATTTTTGTAATTTTTTGTAGAGATGGTCTTGCTATGTTGCGGAGGCAGGTCTCAAGCTCCTAGGCTCAAGTGATCCTCCCACCTTGGGCTTCCAATAAAGTATTTTTAAACGAACTAACATAAGTATATTTTCCTCTCTAGAAACATGATATTAAAACAACCAGAGCGGTGTTTGGAACTCACAGCTAATTCTAAGTAAGGTAATTTGCTCAGAGATAGCTCTGTAAGCAAATCTAAGTTTTTAGAAATAGGAAAAAAGTTCACTCTACACATTTCTTCAATAATTCAGTGATGCCAATAAAATGTAAATGAACTCACTTCCCATAACTGTTTATATTCAAAACAGCTTCTTTATTTCTTTTCTTTTTTTAGAGACAGGGTCTCACTATATTGCCCAGGCTTGTCTCAAACTCCTGACCTCAAGCAATCCTCCCGCTTCAGCCTCTGGAGTCTCCGGGCTTACTTATGAGACACTGTGCCCGGCTTAGCTTCATTTACTTCTTGATGATTTGAAAAATACAAAGTAGTAGCAGTAGTGGTAACAATAGTAGTAATAACAATAATAACTAACACTTATGAAACACTTAGATGCTAGGTTGTAAGCACTGAAAAAGTACAGTCATGCACTGCTTAACAAGAGGGACATGTTCTAACCCTTGTCAGGCATTTCATCACCGTGTAAACATCACAGAATGTACTTACACAAACACAGATGGTATAGCCTACTACACGCCTTGGTTACAGACTATAGCCTATTGCTCCTAGGCTACAAACCTATACAGCATGTTACTGTACTGAATACTGGAGGCTGCTGTAACACAATGGTTTAAGTACTTGTGCATCTAAACATAGAAAAGGCACAGGCTGGATGTGGTGGCTCATGCCCGTAATCCCAATACTTTGGGAGGCCGAGGTGGGAGGATTGCTTGAGCAGAGGAGCTTGAGGCTGCAGGAAGCCATGATTATGCCACTGCATTCCAGCCTGGGTGACAGAAAGAACCTGCCTCTATTAAGAAAAAAAAAGAAAAGAAAGAAAAGAAAAAGATAGAAAAGGAAAAGAAAAAGAAAAGGAAAAGAAAAGAAGATAAAAGAGAAAAAAGAAAAGAAAAAAGGTAAGGCCAGGTGTGGTGGCTCGTGCCTGTAATCCCAGCGCTTTGGGAGGCCGGGGCAGGAGGATCACCTGAAGTCAGGAGTTTGACACCAGCCTGGCCAATATGGTGAAACCCTGCCTCTACTAAAAATACAAAAATTATCCAGGTGTGGTGGCAGGTGCCTGTAATCCTAGCTACTCTGGAAGCTGAGACAGGAGAATCGCTTGAACCTGGGAGGCAGAAGTTGCAGTGAGCCGAGATCATGCTATTGTGCTCCAGCCTGGGTGACTAGTGAAACTCCGTCTCAAAAAAAAACCAAAAAAAAAACAAAAGGTAAGTAAAAATATGGTGTTATAATCTTATGATACCACCATCATATAAGCAATCTGTCACTGACTGAAAATTCTTGTGCAGTACATGACTCTATATAAAGTGAAGCAAAAGCTTACAACTTATATGGTAATTCAGTTCTATCTCATTCTAGATGATTACTCACCAGCTAACATTCTGAGGACGAATAATGATCTTTCGGTAGGCCCCTGACAAGGAATAATCTCGAATTTTGTGTCTCATGTTGTCAATATCAAGATTGTCAGCTGTGAGCATTTCCCTGTAGGCTTCTTGAACTAATATAAAATACAAAAAGTTAGTTGAAATGCAGCTTGTCAGTCAAGTTATCCTGAACTAGATTATAAAGAGAGTAACAATGTAAGTTCAGTTAGACTGCCCTAATAAAATTAGTCACCTTAATTTATAATCCAAAATCTGTTCCCTGGAATCAAAATTTAGTGACTTAGTAACTAGGACTACAGGGTGTACTGAGCTTTGGTTTGGCCAATTTTTCAGTTATTTTTGCAACCAGTCATAGTACCTGTGGTGTAAGGTTCCCAAGCCAACTACAAAAGGCCATTTCATCCAAAGTTGCTAAACTGCATTTTATATGGGCTGAGAGTTGGAAGACAGCATATACAGAGGCTTCAAACTCTCTCTGGAAGAGGCAGTTATAAATAAATGTATAAAAATAAGAGACCTTGGAAAACCATCTGGCTCACCCGCGCACCTGATGTAGAGTCTTTTTTATAGCACTCAAGAGAGACAGTTTTCCAGCCTTTGCTTGCACAGTCATTAATGGGGAAATACTTCTTTGTGAGGCATGCAATTATTAGAAAGTTCTTCCTATTCCAAGCTGAAATCCATTTTCTTCTAACTTCTGTTGACGCTTTGGAACACAGTGGATTAACTGTCTTCTTCCACATATAGTCATAAGTACTGGATCTTTCAGCCATATCTTCTCTAGACCAAACAATGCTTCCCTTAGCTGTCCCTCCTTTAACATTTCTGTATTTCCCACCAAACCTTTTATCTGCCCCAGGGTAACAGGCTCACATACAACAATAACTCCAGATATTTTAAGCTTTTTATACAAACTACTATCAAACTGGGCCTTTTCTATCGGCATTTGATCACTGGGCATAAATGTGGGAATTTACATTTATTCCTATTAAATACCTTCTGCAGTTCTTTTTTTTTTTTTTAACATCTTACTAAATTATTTATTGCAAACTTGCCCCTCTATTACAACTTTTGCTAGCCTTCTACTCATTCAGTAACTAATATAAGACATTGAATATGAGGTGTCATACATATTTGATAAATTAATGGATGGACAAATGCAAATACATTGAAATTGTGTTTTTAAAATTAATACTGCAATAGAATATTATGCAATTCTTAAATATGTATTTTTCATATAATTAATACTAACTATTTTGCACAATTTGCAAATATAACAAGCAAATTTCTTTGTTCAAGTTACTCATAAAAAATATTGGCTAGAACAGGTCCCTCACCACACACTAAGGACAACAGGGATCCCTCAATCAAGCACTGTCGGGTACCAGGTATGCATGTGTTACATACCCAGAAACCTGAAATATCACCCATCCAGTCTACAAATGGCCATCCTGGCTACAAGGTTTTCATGAATGGCTTTGTCAAAGGCTTTGCTGAGTTTATGTTCTAATTGGTACTGGCAAAGTTCCTGATCCCAAAAGGTTTAAGAGAGAAGAGGAAAATAATGTTTTCTTTCTTATGATAGTTGATTTTGGGTGTCAACTTGACTGGGGTAAGGGAGACCCCAACAGCTAGTAAAACATGATTTATTTTCACTGCTTCAGTAGGCACTGAGCTCAGCCTTCTTCTCAGAGGGAAATCCAGGTGGTTTGGCATTTGATTAGAGTGACCGGACTGTGCCAGCTGTGTCGGTGAGGGTGTTTCTAGAGAAGACTGGCATGTGAGTTGGTGGGCAGAGTGGGGAAGATCTGCCCTCAAGGTGGGCACACACCTCCAGTCGGCTGGGGGCCTGGATGGAACATAAAGGCAGAGGAAGGCTGAATTCTCTCCCTCTCCTTCCCAGAGCCAGATGCCCTTCTTCGCCTGTCTCTGGATGTCAACTCCAGGTTCTCTGGCCTATGGACTCTGGGACTTATACTGGTGGTTCCCCAGGTCTCAAGTCTTTGACCTCCAACTGAGAGTTACATCATTGGCTTCCCTGGTTCTCAGGCCTTCACACTTGGACTAAACCATTCTGCTGGCTTTCCCAGTTCTCCCATTTGCAGATGGCCTGTCGTGGGACTTCTCAACTCCACAATCAAGCAGGCCAATTTCCCTAACAAATCCCCCTCTTCCCTTTTTTTTTTTTTTTTTTTTTCTGAGACAGAGTCTTGCTCTGTCGCTGAGGCTGGAGTGCAGTGGCATGATCTTGGCACACTGCAACCTCTGCCTCCTGGGCTCAAGATATCCTTCCACCTCAGCCTCCCAAGTAGCTGGAACCACAGGTGTGCACTACCAGGCCCAGCTAATTTTTGTATTTTTAGTAGAGACGGGGTTTTGCCAGGTTGCCCAGGCTGGTCTCGAATTCCAGAGCTCAAGCGATCCACCCATCTCAGCCTCCCAAAATGTTGGGATTGATTATAGGCGTGAGCCACCGTGCCTGACCTATTTATTTTATTTTATAATTTCAACTTTTATTTTAGATTCAGAGGTAGAGTTTCTTAATTTAAATTTTCCATGTGAATGCATCCCTTTCTGGGAGACTGTCATAAATAACCAAAGTTTATATATGCTTGAAATAGTAGCTTCATTATGTTAAACTTGTTTTAACTATTTTCCCCATACAGGGAACTTACTTTTATGCTTTGGGTAGATAACATCGAAACCAGGCAAGGGCATTACCACATCATGGATAGAGTAATTATTAACATCATCTTCCTCAATATAGGTGGCTGTGGCTGTAAATTCACAAGTGAACAATAAATTAAGAAAATAGGCAATATTGTTATGAACTCAATCTTCTAAAATTATATACATCTAAGCAAGTCAGAAGTACAAGTTGGTACAGGTTCAGTGACTTAAAAGCTTAAATTATGCCAGGTGCGGTGGCTCACACCTATAATCCCAGCACTTTGGGAGGCCAAGGTGGGTGGATCACCCAAGGTTGGGAGTTCGAGACCAGCCTGACCAACATGGAGAAACCCCGTCTCTACTAAAAATACTAAAATTAGCCAGGCATGGTGGCGCATGCCTGTAATCCCAGCTACTCGGGAGGCTGAGGCAGGAGAATTGCTTGAACCCGGGAGGCGGAGGTTGCGGTGAGCTGAGATCAAGCCATTGCACTCCAGCCTGGGTGACAAGAGTGAAACTCCTCTCAAAATAAAAAAGAAAGAAAAAAAGGAAAAAGAAATTAAGCTGGGGCCAGGAGCAGTGGCTCACGCCTGTAATCCCAGCACTCTGGGATGCTGAGGTGGGTAGACTGCTTGAGCCCAGGAGTTCCAGAGCAGCCTAGACAACATGGCGAAACCCCATCTCTACAAAAAATATAAAAATTAGCTGGGTGTGGTGGCAAACACCTGTAGTCCCACCTACTTGGGAGGCTAAGGCAGGAGGATCACCTGAGCCTGGCAGGTTGAGGCTGCAGTGAGATGTGACTGCACTACTGTGCTCCATCCTGGGTCTTGGAGTGAGACCCTGTCTCAAAGGAAAAAAAAAAAAAAATTAAGTTTGGATATATATCCTTCTGTCTTTTCTACTCTACCCAAGAAATAAAAATCAAGGACTTAGAAAAAGTAAAAGAAATTCTTTTTTTGTTTTTTGAGACAGGGTCTTGCTCTGCCACTAAGGCCAGAGTGCAGTGGTGTGATTAAGGTTCACTGCAGCCTCAACCTCCTGGGCTCAAGTGATCCTCCTGCCTCACCCTCTCGAGAAGCTGGGACTGTAAGTGTGTGCTACTACGCCTGGTTAGTTTTTTAATTTTTTGTAGAGATGGGTCTTTGTTGCCCTGGCTGGTCTTGAACTCCTGGGCTCAAGTGATTCTGCTGCCCTGGCCTCCCAAAGTACTGGGATTACGGGTGTGAGCTACTGCACCAAATCTGAAGTAAAATTTTCAATGAAAATTTAAAAACATTTATCTCTCAGCTGCATCCACATTTTTTTGAATGCCTACTATTTAAAATCAGTTCCTCTATCTTTCTTAAATAAAGTAACACAAGAAAACACTTTGAAAAGCCACCATACTACAAAATCGTATTTGCAGTGGCATCATAAATGGATGCATTTTGCTGGGAAAAAAAAAAAAGTTAAAAAAAAAAACTGGAATGTACTTAAGAGGATGAAACACAGCGGCACCCAGGACATTAAAATACACTGGATGTGACCAACATGGCATGAGGAAAAGAAGCTAAATCAGGAAAAATAATTTAAAATTTCTGAACAGAGTTAGAACCTTAGTGGGTTTATGGGGTCTGCCTGCAGATGAGCAGATCATGTATTCAGCTAATAGATGGTAGCCTAGTATGCCAGAGACACACATGGAGTTTGGAATCAGATAGAACTCTGAATCCCAGTTTTTTCTGTTTTTTTTTTTTTTTTTTTTTTTTTTTTAACTAGCTGTGGAACTTTGGGCAAGTGACTAAACCTCACCTGAAAAAACAGAGAAAATACTTCACAGTAACACTGAGGCTTTAAACTAAAAGACACAGGTACAGGGCTTAGTGCCAAGGCCTGGCACACACAATGGGCTCCATGGAAGATGGGATATTAGGAGTGTCTTGGGAACATTTTGGGCATAGCATATACTAAATGCCCATTCTATTTGAGTTTGAAGAAACTCTTCTTTTTTTTTTTTTTTGAGACAGTCTCCCACTGTCGCCCAGGCTGGAATGCAGTGGTGTGATCTCGGCTCACTGCAAGCTCCGCCTCCCGGGTTCACGCCATTCTCCTGCCTCAGCTTCCTGAGTAGCTGGGACTACAGGCGCCTGCCACCACGCCCGGCTAATTTTTTGTATTTTTAGTAGAGACGGCGTTTCACCGTGTTAGCCAGGATGGTCTCGATCTCCTGACCTCGTGATCTGCCCGCCTTGGCTCCCAAAGTGCTGGGATTACAGGTGTGAGCCACTGCGCCCAGTGACTTGAAGAAACTCTTTAAGGTTGGCTAACAAGACACATCCAGAGGTGTATTTATTTGCTAGACCTAGATCGAAGTTTCGAAAGTGATTTCAGCCATCCATTTAGCCCAAATCCTATTTGAGTTGAGAAAAGGGAGGCCCAGAGAGAGGTGCTTACTCAGGCCGGGCACAGTGGCTCACACTTGTAATCCCAGCACTTTGGGAGGCCAAGGCAGGCGGATCACCCGAGGTGGGGAGTTCGAGATCGAGGTGCTTACTCAAACCAGATATACATTTTTTCTTTAAAAATACAGATACAAACTAGCCAATGTAAGTTTGCATGGTCCCTTCATCTCAAACTTACTAGACATCTCTTTTTTTTTTTGAGATGGCATCTCACTGTGTCACCTAGGCTGGAGTGCAGTGGCACCATCTTGGCTCACTGCAACATCTGCCTCCTGGGTTCAAGCGATTCTTCTGCCTCAGCCTCCTGAGTAGCTGGGATTATAGGCATGCACCACCACACCCAGCTAATTTTTGTATTTTCAGTAGAAACAGGGTTTCTTCATATTGGCCAGGCTGGTCTTGACCTCCTGACCTCAGGTGATCCACCCACCTTGGCCACCCAAAGTGTCAGGATTATGGGCGTGTACCACCGTGCCTCACCACATCTCTCTTTCTTAATTAATAGCCAGGATGGATTTTAAAGCCACTAGTGGCAACTAACTGAACCCTAGCTTAGCTGAGTAACAAAGACATCTGCCTTTTTACCTCCTTTGAGAACGAGGTCCCCTGGAACAGGTTTTAGTCCATAGTCTTCTATCCTCTTGCTTACCATGTTATTCCACACATAGCTTTGGTAGCTATGAATATACATTAAGCGATTATTTCTGGGTATCTGGAGGGAAGGAAAAAAATAGGCAAGAAAACATATTCTAAATATAAAAAGTGCTGTACTTTTTTTTTTTTTGAGATGGGGTCTTGCTCTCTTGCCCAGGCTGGAGTGCAGTGGCACGATCTAGGCTCATTGTAGCCTCCACCTCCCGGGTTCAAGCAATTCTCCCACCTCAGCCTACAGACTAGCTGGGATTACAGGGGTACACCACCACACCTGTCTAATTTTTGTATTTTTAGTAGAGACAGGGTTTCACCATGTTGGCCAGGCTGGTCTCAAACTCCTGACCTCAGGTGATCCGCCCACCTTGGCCTCCCAAAGTGCTGGAATTACAGGCGTGAGCCACCACGCCCAGCCAAAAAGTGCTGTACTTTCTAAGACATTTTGCTTGTTAGTGGTAATCGTAGTAATAAGAAACTTCTACTGTACTTATTTATTTACTTTTATGTATTTATTTTTGAGACAGGTTTTCATTCTGTCACCCAGGCTGGAGTGCAGTGGCATGATCATGGCTCACTGTAGCCTCAAATGCTCAGGCTCAGGTGATTCTCCCACCCCAGCCTCTTGAGTAGCTGTGACTACAGGCGTGCACCACCATGCCAGGCTAGTTCTTTGAATTTTCTTTCTAGAGACAGGGTTTTGCCATGTTGCCCAGGCTGGTCACAAACTCCCAGGTTCAAGCAATCCACCAGCCTCAGCCTCCCAAAGTGCTGGGATTACAGGCCTGAGCCACTGCACCCAGCCAAAACTTCTACTTTAATCTCTCATTTTTTCTTTTTCTTTTTAATCTCTCATTTTTCTTTTTTCCTTCTACTTTAATCTCTCATTTTTTTCTTTTTTATTTTTTTGAGACAAGGTCTCACTCTGTCACCTAGGCTGGAGTGCAATGACACGATCTCAGCTCACTGCAACTTCCGCCTCCCAGGTTCAAGTGATTCTCCCACCTCAGCCTTCTGAGTAGCTGAGGCTATAGGTGCGCACCACCATGTCCAGATAATCGTTTTATTTATTCATTTTGAGACGGAGTCTCACTTTGTTGCCCAGGCTGGAGTGCAATGGTGCCATCCCGGCTGAATGCAACCTCTGCCTCTTGGGTTCAAGCGATTCTCCTGCCTCAGTCTCTCAAGTAGCTGGGATTACAGGCGTCTGCCACCACGCCTGGCTATTTTTTGTATTTTTAGTAGAGACAGGGTTTCACCATGCTGGCCAGGCTGGTCTTGAACTCCAGACCTCAGGAGATCCACCTGCGTTGGCCTCCCAAAGTGTTGGAATTACAGGCGTGAGCCACTGCGCGGGCCTGTTTTGTATTTTTAGTAGAGACAAGGTTTCACCACATTGGCCAGGTTGGTCTCGAACTCCTAGCCTCAAGTGATCTGCCCACCTTGGCCTCCCAAAGTGCTGGGATTACAGGCATGAGCCACCATGCTTGGCCATAATGTTTTAGGAAAAGTTTACAAATTTGTGTGGGGCCACATTCAAAGCTGTCCTGGGCTGCATGTGGCCCGCAGGCTGCAGGTTGGACAAGCCTGCCTTACATCAATGGCACAGTCTTCAAACTTAAGGAATTTACACATCAATTTTCAAGCTAACAGTGCTTTTTTCTCCCATAATTCCACGGTTAAAGAGAGAACCTAAATGATTGAACTGACAACTAATTCCATGCAGCAAGAATTCTGCTTTCTTTGTGCATCTAGGAAAAGTAAGACTTAGGCTTAAGGGTTAAACTTTAACATTTGTTAACTTTAACTTTGTTGCTCAGGCTGGAGTGCATGGAGTCCTGGATTATACATATCCAAATACTGACATAGGCTACTCTTGAATCACCATGATGAAACCAGACTAAAATGCAACTATAGACTGCTTACTGTTCAACCCTTTTACTAAGGCAGTTTACAGTTCTGGTAACGGAATGATCAAGAAATGACTATACAATAGATTCGAAATTTCTCAAATACCAAGAGACTTAATTTACACAGAATTTCCACTGAAGATTATGTTTTCCACATTGACGCTTTTCTTGTGCCCTCAATAAGTAATGCCCGCATCCACCCCCAACATCACCACTCAGGGTCTGAACAAAGACTACTCAGGTGAAACACCTCAGAGATCACCAAAGGATCCTTATTTACCTTCTGCTCTTTCAAAGTTTAGTAAAATCTTTCAAGATGAAATTTAAAAAGCATTAAAACGCCTTGAGCCATTGCCTGACTTCACAAATTGCACTCACTATGCCAAATGCAGAGACTATATTCTTCATTCCATATTTTGAAAGTCCTCGAAGCAGCTGCCCTTCCACACACCTTTTGACAGGTAGTTTTCTGAGGGCAGCAGTTGGGTCTTTGGTCTTTGCCCATTCTTCTCTGCATTTAACCAAGTAGCCCTTTTCAGCTGCGGGGGGAAAAAGCTAGGGTTAAATGACTTACCCAATAGACAGACTTCCATAACTTAAAGTACACTTCACAGAGAACACAAAATTAGAAAATGCTACTTGAAATATAGGTGCTGTTTATAGCTACCACTCATCTGAGGAAGCGCAAAGATGGGAAATGTAGAAAGTTTACAGAACTATTTGGCTTTGTCAACATACAATCACCCTCAGGTCAAAAGTAAAAGCTATTTAACTGTTCATTATAACAGCTGATTCAACATGACAAAAACACGCTAGTACTTTCTTCCTTCTCTCTTTTTCCATTGTAATGTCAAGTTTAACGGGTTACTTTCCTTAAAATTAGATAATTTTATCTTTTTATAGTCTGCAAATGAATTACCCAAAGTGAGCACAATTATTTTGACAATCAGTAGTTTAATCCTTTTCATTCAAGATGATTTTAGAGATACTCTTTGGAAAGTTTTTGGTGACTTCTTCACACTGCAAATCCTCAAGGTGTTTTTGCCAAGTTTTTATATTCCATTACACTATGTTTTAACAAAATAACCACAAGTAAAATGTTTTAGATTCTTATACACTCAGATTTAGTAGTGAGTGAAGAAAAATATATATTCATTTTTAAAATATATTTATATTGAGTTATGAATTAATACACTGAACAAGCTAAAGAGCTAAAATAGAGGCTGGGCGTGGTGCTCACGCCTGTAATCCTAACATTCTGGGAGGCTGAGGTGGGCGGATCACCTGAGGTCAGGAGCTCGAGACCAGCCAGCAACATTCTGGCTGAGCATGGTGGCTCATGCCTGTAATCCCAGCACTTTGGGAGGCCAAGGCAGGCCAATCATTTGAGGCCAGGAGTTCGAGACCAGCCTGGCCAATGTGGTAAAACCCTGTCTCTACTAAAAATACAAAATGACCCAGGCATGGTGCTGCAAGCCTGTAATCCCAGCTACTCAGGAGGCTGAGGCAGGAGAATCACTTGAACCCAGGAGGCAGAGGTTGCAGTGAACTGAGATCATGCCATTGCACTCCAGCCTGGGAAACAAGACTAAAACTCCTTATCAAAAAAAAAAAAAAAAGCTAAAATAGGATATAAATTATAAATCTTAAATATACATATACAACTGTTGAAAAATATAAATAAACTTATACTTTTATTGTAAAAACAAATAAAATACTGAAACAACAACGTCAATTTGCACAAAAGCTTTTATTCAAAGCAATTTCATGAATACCTAGCCATACATTCTATTTATTTTCTTAACATGAATTTTATTCTCACCTCCAGAGCGGGGTTTCAATATTAAATCCATGACTTCTGTCCAGGAATTTTGTAGTATAGCTCTAAAATTAAACAACATTTATTTTACTAAATTTTGCATAAAGATAAAACTTTATATGCACAAATCTTTGAAGAGTCAACAAATCATATTAACTATACACCGAAGCCTTGACCTCCCAGGCTCTACTCCCAGGCTCTAGTCTAGTGATTCTCCCACCTCAGCTTTCCCACCATCCTGACAGTAGCTGGGACTACAGACGCACACCACCATACCTGGCTAAGTTTTTAATTTATTGTAGAGATGGGGTCTCACTATTGGTCTTAAACTTTTGGGCTCAAATGATCTTCCCACCTTGGCCTCCCAAAGTGTTGGGATTACAGGTATTAGCCATTACACCTGGTCCTACATCATCTCATTAAACTTAAAAGTAGGCAGAAAATCTAATATGATACAGATTTGAAATGTAAAAGAACTTCAAGTGCCAAAAGAACTTTCAAAAAAAGAATAAAATGGAAAACATAATGCTTACCCGTAACATTTACTATCATTTCAGTTTAAAAATGTGATAATAGTATAAATACTACATAGTCATGCTTTAAGTAGTAACACATGGTATTATTTATTTATTATTATTTTTTTGAAGTGGAGTTTCGCTCTGTTGCCCAGGCTGGAGTGCAATGATGCGATCTCGGCTCACTGCAACCTCTGCCTCCCGGTTTCACGCCATTCTCCTGTCTCAGCCTCCTGAGTAGCTGGGACTACAGGCACCTGCCACCTTGCCCAGCTACTTTTTTTTTTTTTTTTTTTTTTAGTAGAGATGGGGTTTCACCATATTGGTCAGGCTGGTCTCGAACTCCTGACCTTGTGACCCACCCGCCTTGGTCTCCCAAAGTGCTGGGATTACAGGCATAAGCCCCCGTGCCCGGCCCACATGGTATTATTTATATAAATCGCAGTTAAGTCTTTACGTGTGAAAACTTGTTTGAAACTTCTCAAAAGATTTATCTATGTTAATACCTTCTTGCCTAGGCAAATAGAATAAATACGATTTACTCTTATCATTCTTGTCAAAATGAAAATATCTACATATTTGATGATTATAAAGGTTATATGCTTTTTAAAAAAATTTTATTTGTTGAGACAGTCTCCCTCTGTTGTCTAGGCTGGAATGCAGTGGCATGATCTTGGCTCGCTGCAACCTCTGCCTCTTGGGCTTAAGCAATTCTCCTGCATCATCCTCCTGCACAGCTGGGACTACAGGCTGAGTCAGCATGCCTGCCTAATTTTTTTTTTTTTTTTTTTTTGAGATGGACTCTCATTCTGCTGCCCAGGCTGGAGTGCAATGGCACAATCTCAGCTCACTGCAACTTCTGCCTGCCGGGTCCAAGCGATTCTTGTGCCTCAGTCTCCCAAATAGCTGAGATTACAGGCTTGCGCCACCATGCCTGGCCAATTTTTGTATTTTTAGTAGAGATGGGGTTGTGCCATGTTGGCCAGACTGGTCTTGAATTCTTGGCCTCACGTGATCCGCCTGCCTCGGCCTCCCAAAGTGCTGGGATTACAGGCATGTACCACTGTGCCCGGCCAATTTTTGTATTTTTAGTAGAGACGAGGTTTCACCGTGTTGGCCAGGATGGTCTTGAACTCCTAGCCTCAAGTGATCAGCCCGCCTTGGCCTCCCAAAGTGCAGGGATTATAGGCATGAGCCACCATGCCTGGCCTATATATGCTTTCAAAAAACTGAACGGTACATAAGAAAGGTTATGTATTATTCAATCTCTAAGAAATTAAGCACTGTTAACACTTTAGAGCATATTTTTGTTGGCAAATCTATAAGTGTATGTAATTCTTCCTTTAACTTTTACTATAGTATTGCTGTACAGAAATTATATTTTGTGTATTACATCTGAAAGTTTTCCTTTAAGATTTCTCATCTTGGAGTCATGTTTAGAAAGACCCTTCCCTATCAAAAGAATATAGGAATCCCCTTCTATTAATTTTTCTGTTTTTCCAGTTAATTATGGTTCTTTATTTTCACATTTAAGTTACACAATACTGGGCATTTCTGGATATTAAATGATCTAAAATGCTATTTGGTATCTATCGATGACATCACCTGGATTTTCAATCCAATAATGTAATTACATCAACAGATTTCCTATTGCTGGCCACCACCACAGTCCTGGAACAAGCCATGTTAAATCAGTCCTTAAATATAGTCCTGGGGTGATAAATTATTTACTTGGATAATCTTTTAGCCAATACTGACAAAAAGAGTATAGTACTAGTTGGTACTAGGGACTGATCTGACAGATATAATACACATAGATTTTTACACTAAAAAACCTTTGTTAGGCCGGGCATGGTGGCTCACACCTGTAATCTCAGCACTTTGGGAGGCTGAGGCACGCGAATCACAAAGTCAGGAGATCAAGACCATCCTGGCTAACATGGTGAAACCCCATCTCTACTAAAAATACAAAAAAAAAAAAAAAAAAAATAATCGGGCGTGGTGGCACGTGCCTGTAGTCCCAGCTACTTGGGAGGCTGAGGCAGGAGAACTGCTTGAACCCAGGAGGCGGAGGTTGCAGTGAGCCGAGATGGTGCCACTGCACTCCAGCCTGGGCGACAGAGCAAGACTGTGTCTCAAAAATAAAACACAATAAAACAAAAAAACCTTTGTTAAATATCAATTACAGCCTGCAGGCACAATCTGATTGTCCACCTAATTCTGTAGTTTTATTGGAAAACAGCCATGCTCATTGCTTTGCATATTGTCCATGGCTGCTTTTGCAGTGTAACTCCAGAGCTCAGTACCTGCAACAAATATTGAATGGCCCACAAAGCCTAAAATATTAACTAACTGTTCCTTTACAGAAAACCTTTGCCAACACCTGATATAACATATTGAACAGTTTCTTAACTGCAGGACTTTTCAACACCTTTAAGATGCTACCATATACTGTAAAGGTTTAGTATACAATGCCATATTAAATATACAGAGATTTGGTTTACAATAGGCTGTACTATCTAGCACGCTGCACATTAAGATGTTTTGTACTTTTTTTTTTGAGATGGAGTCTCGCTCTGTCACCCAGGCTAGAGTGCAGTGGCACGATCTCGGCTCACTGCAAGCTCCGCCTCCCGGGTTCACGCCATTCTTCTGCCTCAGCCTCCCAAGTAGCTGGGACTACAGGCGCGCGCCACCACGCCTGGCTAATTTTTTATATTGTTAGTAGAGATGGGGTTTCACTGTGTTAGCCAGGATGGTCTCGATCTCCTGACCTTGTGATCTGCCCCCCTTGGCCTCCTGGAGTGCTGGGATTACAGGCGTCAGCCACCGTGCCAGGCCATTTTTTTTGTATTTTTTTAGTAGAGATGGGGTTTCACTGTGTTAGCTAGGATGGTCTCGATCTCCTGACCTCCTGATCTGCCTGCCTTGGCTTCCCAAAGTGCTGGCATTACAGGTGTGAGCCACCACGCCTGACCAGATGCTTTGTACTTTTCTTACTTTATCTTTCCTTCTTCTACCTTCTTTTATTTTATTGTGGTAAAATACATGTAATAACATTTACCTTTTTGGCTATTTTTAAGTATACAGTTCTGTGGCATTAAGTGCATTTACACTGTCAGGCAACCATCATCACTGTCTACCTCCACAACTTTTTAATCTTCCCCAGCTGAAACTCTATACCCATTAAATAATAAATCCCTATCCACCCAGCCCCCTAACCTCTGTAAGACACCATTCTACTTTCTGTCTATGGCTTTGACTACTCTAGGAACCTCATATAAGAGAAATCGTACCATATTTGTTCTTTTGTTACTGGCTTATGTCAGGTAACATAAAGTTTCCAATGCTTACCCACGTGATAGCACGTGTCAAAATTTCCCTCCTTTTAAATCACTTGAGCCCAGAAGGTGGAGGTTGCAATGGGCTGAGATGGCGCCACTGCACTCCAGCCTGGGCGACAGAGCAAGACTCCGTCTCAAAAAAAAAAAAAAAAAAAAAAAAAATTCCTCCTTTGAAAGGCTTACATATTCCATTGTATGTATGGGCCACATTTTGTTTGGATAAACACTTGGGTTGCCTGGGTATCTCCTACCTTTCGGCTATTGTGAATGCTGCTATTATGAACATGAGTGTACAAATATCTGGTGAGTTCCCACTGTCATTTCTTTTGGGTATATACTGAGAAGTGGAATTGCTGGTTCATAACATAATTTATATATATATATTTTTTGAGACAGAGTCTCGCTCTGTTGCCAGGCTGGAGTGTAGTGCTACCATCTCAGCTTACTGCAACCTCTGCTTCCCGGGTTCAAGCAATTCTCCTGCCTCAGCCTCCTGAGTAGCTGGGACTACAGGCATGTGCCACCACGCCCGGCTAATTTTTGTATTTTTAGTAGAGACGGGTTTTCACCATGTTGGTCAGGCTGGTCTCGATCTCTTGACCTCGTGATCTACCCACCTCAGCCTCCCAAAGTGCTGGGATTACAGGCGTGAGTCACTGCGCCTGGCCTATAATTAATTTCTTAAGAAATCACCATACTGTTCTCCACAATGGCTATACTGTTTTACATCCCCACCAGCAAAGCCCAGGTTTCTAATTTCTCTGTACCCTTATCAACACTTGTTATTTGTTGTTTTGTGATAATAGCCTTCCCAACGGATATGAAGTGGTACCTCGTGGTGGTTTCGATTTGTATCTCCCTAATGACTAGTGATGTTGAACACCAGTCTGTCTATCTTTGGAAACACATTTATTGAAATCCTTTCTCCATTTTTGAATTGGTTTTTCTTTGGTTGTTGTTGAGTTGTTCTTTATATATTCTAGATTTAAGTCTCTTATCAGATGTATGATTTGAAATATTTTCTCCTATTCTGTGGGTTATCTTTTCATTCTGTTGATAGCATCCTTTGATGCACGTTTTTAATTTTGATAAAGTCCAACTTATCTATTTTTTCTTTTGTTTGTTGCCTGTGCTTTTGGTCTCATATCCAAGAAACCACTGACATATCCAATATCATGAATTTTTCCCCATGTTTTCTTCTAAGAGTTTGCATAAGTGCAGCTCTTATGTTTAGATCTTTGGTCCATTTTGAGTTTATTTTATTTTATTATTTTTTTTTTGAGACAGTTTCACTCTGTCGCCCAGGCTGGAGTGCAGTGGTACAATCTTGGGTCACTTCAACCTCTGCCTCCCGGGCTAAAGCAATTCTCCTGCCTCAGCCTCCCGAGTAGCTGGGATTACAGGTGTTCATGCCACCACACTCAGATAATTTTTGTATTTTTAGTAGAGGCGGGATTTCACTATGTTGGCCAGGCTGGTCTTGAACTCCCGACCTCAAGCAATCCGCCACCCACCTCGGCCTCCCAAAGGGCTGGGATTACGGGCGTGAGCCACTGTGCCTGGCTCACTTTCTTTTTTTCAAAGTTTTTGCTGAGTTATTCAATAATTCACATAACATATAATTCACCCATGTAAGTGTACAATTCAATGGCTTTTAGTATTTTTAAAGAACTGTGGAGCATTACACAATTTTACAACATTTTTATTACCCACCCCCACCAAAAAAAAATCCTGTCCCATTAGTAGTCACTCCCCATTGGTCCTGTTCCAGCTCTTTTTCTATAGATTTGCTCACATTGGAAATTTCATAGAAATTGATTCATTCATTCATTCACAGGCAGGGTCTTGCTCTGTCATCTAGGCCACAGTGCAGTGGTGGTACACTGTTCACTGCATCCTCAAACTCCTGGGCTTCAGTGATCCTCCTGCCTCAGCCTCCTGAGTAGCTAGGACCAAAGCCAGGCAGCAGCACACTCAGCTAATTTTTTAAAAATTTTATTTTGTAGAGATGGGGCCTTGCTATGGTGCCCAGGCTGGTCTTGAACTCCTGGCCTCAAGTGATCCTGCCGCCTTGGCCTCTTAAATTGTTGGGATTACAGGCATGAGCCCCTGTGCCCTGCCTACTTAGCAATGTTTTCAAGGTTCATTCACGTTGCAGAATGTATCAGTACTTCATTCCTTTTTATTGCTAAGTAATATTCCACTGTATATTATTGTATATTACATTGTATATTTTGTTTATCCATTCATCAGTAGGTGGACATTTGGGTTGTTTCCAGTCTTTTGGCTGCTATGAACATCTGTATAAACTTTTGTGTGAACATATGATTTTCAGTTGTCCTCAGTATATACCTAGAAATGCCTGGGTCATAGGCTAACTTTATAACCTTTTGAGGAACTGTCAGACTATTTTCCAAAATCGTTATACCATTTTACATTTCCACCAGGAATGTATAAGGGTTCCAATTTCTCTAATCCTAACACTTGTTATTCTCTGCCTTTTTTATTTTAGCCATCCTAGTGGGTAAGAAGTGGCATCTCACTGTGGTTTTGATTTGCATTTCCTAAAGATTAGTGATAAGCATCTTTTTGTGTGCTTATTGGCCATTTGATTACATTATTTAAAGAAAGGTCTGTTCAGACCCTTTGCTAAGTTTTAGAATGCGTTGTCTTTCTGTTCTTGAGTTGTAAGAGCTTTTAATATTTTGGATACAAGTCATTTCTCCACCTATACAATATAAACTGAAAGTCTGTTTTTTCCCTCAGGAAATTCTATGGTGTTAACAGTGCGTTTCCTTGAAAGCAGGAAATATTCTTATGTTGTGAAAATGAATGATTTGGAATTTTGAGCTGACCGTACTGACCTTTGGTCACGCTATGTAATTTTTGTTGTGGGATAAATTTGACCTCATTTTAATTACTTATATTTATTTACACTATCTTTGGCATACACAACGTATAGGATTCCATGGCTGTCCTTCTGCCAAATTAATTACAAATTTACAGGTTGATACAGTGCTCCCTTATTCTGTCCCATAATACAATTAGCATTTTTACTATTTTATCAATGTCCTCTGACCATTAGCAAGGTTGAAAACATATTAGCAATCACTATATTCTAGGCATAAAAATAGATGTAGCATAAACATCATCTCACTTCATTTTCACCATTCTGTGAATTGGTATTATTATCTCCATTCTACAGATGAGTAATTTAAGCCTCAGAACTCAAGTCTGTTTTCACCTGAGCTTTTTAACCTCCTCAAAGAGGCAGAGGAAATATAGATTTTTATCATTTTGCGCTTTTAAAATCACAAAAATGAATGCAACTTCATAGTTTAGATGCTGAAACAATGGACTGGAAGCCCGGAAAACTCTACTCCCAAACTAAAGCCAAGCAATTGATGAGTTCAGGCAGACCTCTCAAAGCCTAAGTTTGCTAACATGAAGGGTCTGAAAGACAAGGAAGAACATGGACGCTTAGATAACTTCCAGCTTGTAACTACCACAATTCTAACTCCCACGCGAATAATTAGTTTATGTAACAGAGTCTCTGCTGGGCAACAGGATTCCAGAAGTAGATTTAGGAACCCAACTATTTATTGATGGGATTCCCACTGTAGGTTACCCTAGAGGGGTTCTTAATTGTTTAAAAGTAAATGACAATTCTTAAATTCCATGTCACTAATTTTATCATTTATTACATTCTTTAAAGAGTGAGGGAAGGGGCCCAGGCACAGTGGCTCATGCCTGTAATCCCAGCACTTAGGGAGGCCAAGACGGGCAGATCACTGGAGGTCATGAGTTCGAGACCAGCCTGGCCAACATGACAAAACCTCGGCTCTACTAAAAATACAAAAATTAGCTGGGTGAGGTGGTGCATGCCTGCAATCCCAGTTACGTGGGAGGCTGAGGCAGGAGAATCACTTGAACCTGGGAGGTGGAGGTTGCAGTGAGCGGAGATGGCACCACTGCACTCCAGCCTGGGCAACAGCAAGACTTCATCTCAAAAAATAAAAATAAAAAATAAAATAAAATTAAGAGCGAGGGAAGGGCAGATCAAAGTTTAATAAACGTGTTAACACAGATCAGAAAATGTGACATCTCTGTCTGGCTACTCTGGGTCTGAGTTACCCAACAGATTACTGTTGAATCACTTACTGAGCCAAGACTTACCTGTTACAAAATAAAAATAAAAATAGGGCTGGGCGTAGTGGCTCACACTTGTAATCCCAACACTTTGGGAGGCTGAGGTAGGCGGATCATTTGAGGTCAGGAGTTCAAGACCAGCCTGGCCAACATGGTGAAATTCCCGCCACTACTAAAAATACAACAAAGTTAGCTGGATGTGGTGGCAAAAGCCTGCAATCTCAGCTACTTGGGATGCCGAGGCAGGAGAATTGCTTGAACCTGGGAGGTGGAGATTGCAGTGAGCCAACATTGCACCACTGTACTTCAGCCTGAACAACAAAGATTCCATCTCAAAAAAATAAAAAATAAAAAAAATAGCTGGGTGTGGAGGCTCATGCCTGTAATCCCAGCAGTTTGGGAGGCTGAGGTCGGGGGATCACCTGAGGTTGGGAGTTCGAGACCAGCCTGACCAACATGGAGAAACCCCATCTCTACTAAAAATGCAAAATTAGCCAGTCATGGTGGCGCATGCCTGTAAACCCAGCTACTCAGGAGGCTGAGGCAGGAGAATCACTTGAACCTGGGAGGCAGAGGATGCGGTGAGCCGAGATTGCGCTATTGCACTCCAGCCTGGGCAACAAGGGCGAAACTCTGTCTCAGAAAAAATAAATATATAAAATAAAATAAAAAAATAAAAATAGAACCCCTGGATGGGTAACCAAGAGTGGTAGGAAAGCTCACTTTTCAGGTCATATCCTTTTGAACTCCGATTTTTTACCCTGTGCACTCATTAACTTAAAACAAAAATCATGAAACTGTGGTTCATTTGCCCCAGACATGGGAGAACGTAGAAATAATTAAAAACACCACCACCAACAAACCCTGCTTTGTTTATGAGAAAGCTATTTTTGATAAAAGAAATTAAATACCAACCTTCCAACCTGATACGTAGGGACAGCTGTGGTTCCAAATCTTTGCATTCCATAGTAGTTAATAAATCCAATCTCCTTGAGAGAGTTCATAGCTTGCTGTACTTGGTCATCAGTTCCTGTTATATTTCTACAGGGACACAAATTATCCAGAGGAAAAAAAGTTACAGTCAAATACTCAGGGATGCAGCTCATAAATGACTACGGCCTGGCTTCCAAGTCTTTCGTTCACTCTCCTGCAGCTTTCTCTCTACCTCCCAAGGGCTCTTTCTTTCTTTAAGTTGTGGTAAGATATTTATAATGTCAAATTTACTATTTTAGCCATTTTTAAGTGTGCAATTTGGCGGTATTAACCCATTTATGGCAGAGGTTGCAATTTTTTGAATTTTTGCAATCAGACCTTGGCGATGACCTTGAGCAGTAGGATATAAATAATTCCTACATGCTTAGTGTTCCAATAATGGAACACTAGCATAAATGGGTTAATTATATGCACAATGTTGGACAATCCTCACCACTATCTACTTCCCAAATTTTTTCCCGTTTCCAAAATGAAACTCTGTACCCCTAAACAGTAACTTTCCATTACCCCTACCCTACCCTTTCCCCAGTAACCACTATTTTACTTTCTATGTCCATGGATTTGCCTATTCTAGGCGCTTTAAGTGGAATCACAGGCTCAGTGTCTTTTTTTTTTTTTTGAGTTGGAGTCTCACTCTGTCCCCTAGGCTGGAGTGCAGTGGAGCGATCTCGGCTCACTGCAAGTTCTGCCTCCTCGGTTCACGCCATTCTCCTGCCTCAGCCTCCTGAGTAGCTGGGACTACAGGTGTCTGCCACCACGCCCGGCTAATTTTTTGTATTTTTAGTAGAGACAGGGTTTCACCGTATTAGCCAGGATGGTCTCGATCTCCTGACCTTGTGATCCACCTGCCAAGGCCTCCCAAAGTGCTGGGATTACAGGCGTGAGCCACTGCGCCCAGCCGGCTCGGTGTCTTTTACTACAATATTTGAAGGAGATGGTGTCTTTCCAAAGGCTGCACTAGGTTTTCAAGGGGCAAGGTGTCCACACAAATCCTACAGAGGTATTTGCTCTCACAGAGGTATCTGCTCTCCCAGCCCTGCCAGGCCCTGCTCTGCCCTCCCTTGCTGCCACTCCTGTTCTGTTAGTACCAGCTCACCAGGACCTTATGACCAACCGTGAGTAACATACTCAAGATGCCCTGGCCAGACCCTCTGGTCTACATTCCCACCTGCAGTTCTTTACCTGAGAACAACAGTGAAGTGGTTTCCTTGAAGCTCTCCCAATTTCAGTGGGTTTTTTTGATAGCTGAAATTCCCTAGCTTAAAGTTCATCAAGCACTTATTCAGGTGGGCAAGTCTTTGTGCAGTTATTCTTTAAAAAAAAAAAAAAAAGCAACAAAACAAAAAAGAGTAGAAAGAGGATCATGAGATACTGATTGTCTGCTTGGAACAGTACAGAAAACAAGATACAGCACACCTATGACCCCCTGAAAGGAAAAGGCACTGCAGCAGGTGAGGTGGGCGTGTCCTTCTCTTCTCTCTGCATTCTTCCTTCAGTGTAATGGTACGTGCTCCTGTTCAAATTGCATACTCCTGGCCATATTTTATATACTTAAAGCCTCTTGTTATTTACATGCTGATGAGTAACAGAACAATAATATCTGTGGAATTTTCTACTTTTTGTGGGGAGAGGGGTGAGAAAAGGGATGGGGACAGAGACAAATCCCATAGAAAGAATGGTATCAAGCATTTAAAAAAAGGTCATTATTTTTGTCAATCAGAAAAATTTTGTAAACTCATTACAGAAAACTTGGAAAATATAAAAAAGAGAAAAGGAAAAGAAATTCATATTTTCATTGCCTGAAAAAAATTTCCACTGACATCTAACTTTTTATTTCCTCCCTTTCTTTTTTTAAAAGACATGTTATATATAGCTGGAATTCTACCCAAATCTGTATCATGCTGCTATCAATATATAGAAATTTTCATTAGAAATTCCTTGCCTTCTTCAATAGGAAATGTATATAGAGAAACAGAGTACTGAAAAGCCTTTCTCCCCTTTTTATCTCTAGTGTCACCACTAACACCCAATGTTGTTTCTTTCTTTCCTTTTTTTTTTTTGAGACAGTCTCTCTCTGTTGCCCAGACTGGAGTGCAGTGGCATGATCTCAGCTCACTCTGCCTCCCTGGCTCAAGTGAATCTCCTGCCTCAGCCTCCCAAGTAGCTGGGCTTACAGGCGCACACCACCATGCCCGGCTAATTTTTTTTTAGTTTTAGTACAGATGGGGTTTCACCATGTTGGCCAGGCTGGTCTTGAACTCCTGACCTCAGGTGATCCGCCCGCCTCGGCCTCCCAAAGTGCTGAGATTACAGGTATGAGCCACCGTGCCCAGCTAATTTTTATATTTTTAGTAGAGACGGGTTTCACCATGTTGGCCAGGCTGGTCTTGAACTCCTGACCTCAGGTGATCCACCCACATTGGCCTCGCACAGTGCTGCGATTACAGGCGTGAGATAAGTTCAAGAGATTCTTCTGCCTGAGCCTCCCGAGTAGCTGAGAATACAGGTACATGCCACCACACCTGGCTATGTTTTTTTGTATTTTCAGTAGAGACAGAGTTTCACTATGTTGGCCAGGCTGGTCTCGATCTCCTGGCCTCAAGTGATCCACCCACCTCAGCTTCCCAAAGTGTTGGGATTACAGCCATGAGCCAGTGCACCTGGCCATCTTTTTGTTTTTTAGGCTGCCAGGATCCAATTGAGGATCACACATTGCAGCTGTGATGTCTGTTTGGTTTCCACTAAGTGATCTGTCTAGCCTTGTTTTTCATGATATCTGGCCCTTAGAAGAATCCAGGCCAGCGCTTTTACACGTCTTTCAATGTGGATTTATCTGATTGTTTCCTCATGCTGAGACTCAGGTAAACACTTTGGTAGAAATATTACTGAGGTGATATGGCCCTTTTCAATGCATCACATCAAAAGGCAGTGATTTTGTCCAACAATGATAATAACTTTAATCATTTAATTAGGATAGTATTTACTAGATTTTTACACTCTAAGAGTCTCTTTGTCTTTGCTTTTAATTAGTCATCAGTGGGGAAATACTTTTGAAATTGTGTAAAAATCCTGTTCCCCCAAAGTCTTTACCCAATTATTTAGGTACCCAAGCATGATTGTTGGCTGAATTGATTATTACTGTGTTGACTGAAACTGTGTTTCTATATTTGTTGGCATTCTTCTGTAAATAAAAACTATGTAGGGGCCAGGCACAGTGGTTTACGCCTGTAATCCCAGTACTTTAGGAGGCCTAGATGGGCAGATAGCTTGAGCCCAGGAGTTCAAGACCAGCCTGGCCAACACAGCAAGATCCCATCTCTAAAATTAAAACAAACAACTATATGGAGAAACTTTAGTTAAATTCATGAATCTTTTTTTCTTAAAAAAAAAAAAAAAAATAGCTCTGGGACCGGGCGCGGTGCTTCATGCCTGTAATCCCAGCACTTTGGGAGGCCGAGGCGGGCGGATTACCTGAGGTCAGGAATTCGAGACCAGCCTGGCCAATATGGTGAAACCCCGTCTCTACTAAAAATACAAAAATTAGCCGGGTGTGGTGGCACACGCCTGTAATCCCAGCTACTTGGGGGCTGAGGCAGGAGAATTGCTTGAGCCCGGGAGGCAGAGGTTGCAGTGAGCTGAGATCGTGCCACTGCACTCCAGCTTGGCTGTCAAAAAAAAAAAAAGCTCTGAGATTTAACTCATACTTAGGATGTCACCAGTCAGAGATTTTTTTTTTTTTTTTTTTTTTTAAGACGGAGTCTTGCTCTGTGTCGCCCAGGCTGGAGTGCAGTGGCATGATCTCAGCTCACTGCCACCTCTGGCTCCTGAAATCAAGGAATTATCCTGCCCTGGCTTCCTGAGTAGCTGGGGCTACAGGCACACACCACCATGCCTGGCCAATTTTTATATTTTTAGCAGAGATGGGGTTTCACCAGGTTGGCCAGGCTGGTCTCAAACTCAAGTGATCTTCCCGCCTCAGCCCCACAAAGTGCTGGGATTACAGGGGTCAGCCACCACACCTGGTCAGAGATTCTTTTTTTTTTAATCTCAAATGTAAGTAGAGTACTGTTTTTTGTTGTTGTTGTCGTCGTTGTTTTTTGAGATGGAGTTTTGCTCTTTGCCCAGGCTGGAGCGCAATGGCGCGATCTTGGCTCACTGCAACCTCCGCTTCCCGGGTTCAACCGATTCTCCTGCCTCGGCCTCCCGAGTAGCTGGGATTACAGGCATGCGGCACCATGCCCGGCTAATTTTGTATTTTTAGTAGAGACAGGGTTTCTCCATGTTGGTCATGGCTGGTCTTGAACTCCTGACCTCAGGTGATCTGCCCGCCCTAGCCTCCCAAAGTGCTGGGATTACAGGCATGAGCCACCTTGCTCGGCCTAAGTAGAGTCCTTTTAAAGTTGCATTTTAATGTTCAAATTTATGATCCACCTGGAATTTATTTAGCAAAGGGAAATGAGGTAGGGGAGCCACACTTAAATGGTTTTTTAGATGGTTACTCAGTTATCCAACATTTTTTGAATCAACCATTATTTTTTGAATCAACCATTATTTTCTCCACTTATCTTAAATGATACTTTGAATACGTACTAAATCCTTGGATGTATCTGGGTCTAGGATTACTCTATTCTACCTAGTCATGTTCCAGTATGAAATTGCTTTAAGTGCTATATCTCTTTTTTGTTTTTGAGACAGAGTCTCTGTCGCCCAGGTTGGAGTGCAGTGGTGCGATCTAAGCTTACTGCAACCTCTGCTTCGTGGGCTTACAAAGTCTCCAGCCTTAGCCTCCTGAGAAGCTGGGACTACCGGCATGCACCACCATGCCTGCCCACCCTGGCCTCCGAAAGTGCTGGGATTACCGGCGTGAGCCACTGCACCTATCCAGGTGCTATATTTATTTTTCTTTCTTTTTTTTTTTTGTTTTGTTTTGTTTTTGAGACAGAGTGTTGCTCTGTCACTCAGGCTGGAGTGGAGTGCACTAGTGTGATCTAGGCTTACTGCAACCTCTGCCTCTTGGGTTCAAGCAATTCTTCTGCCCCCAGCCTCTCAAGTAGCTGGGATTACAGACGCCTGCCACCAAGCCCAGCTAATTTTTGTAATTTTAGCAGAGACGGGGTTTCACCATGTTGGCAAGGCTGGTCTGGAACTCCTGACCTCAAGTAATCTGCCCGCCTTAGCCTCCCAAAGTGCTGGGATTACAGGCGTGAGCCACCGCACCCAGCTGTACATATTGATTTTTGTATATTTTCTTATCTTATATAACTTTTTCTTCCTTTTTTAGAGACAAGGAATTGCTCTGCCACCCAGGTTGGAGTGCAGTGGTGCAATCATAGCTCACTGTAACCTTGAATTCCTGGACTATGTATGGGAGCAATGGTAGAACCCAAGAGCACGAATTAACCCAGGGATTGTATCCCAAGGAATCTAGAAGCGGAGGATCAGTATGAACAGAGTGAGGAACGGGGGACAAAACTCCTCTTCAGCCAGGAACTACTGCTGTAGAAACTGACAGAACAATTCAGGGTCAGGAGCTGTCCTAGAGAGAGTGTTCCGGAGACTGCTTCCTGATGGTGCCACAGAAGTGCCTGATAGTTCTGTCCTTTTTTTTTTTAAGTTGAGATAAAGTTAACATAATATAAAATTCACAAGGCTGGGCATGGTGGCTCACGCCTGTAATCCCAGCACTTTGGGAGGCCAAAGTGGCTGAATTGCTTGAGATGAGGAGTTCGAGACCAGCCTGGCCATCCTGGTGAAACCCCGTGTCTACTAAAAATACAAAAATTGGCAGGGCATGGTGGTGCACACCTGTAATCCCAGCTACTCGGGAGGCTAAGGCAGGAGGATTACTTGAACCTCAGAGGCTGAGGTTGCAGTGAGCCGAGATTGTGCCACTTGTACTCCAGCCTGGATAACAGAACGAGACCCTGTATCAAAAAATAAAATAAAATAAATAAATATATATATACACATGTATAATTCACCATTTTAACTGTTATAAAGTGTACATGCCAGTGATTTTTAGTATATTCACAACAATGTGAAACCATCACCACTATATACTTCAAGAACGTTTCCATCACCTGAAAAAGAAACCCTGTACCTATTCAGCAGTCACTCCCGTTTCCTCTCCCTGCAGACCTCGGCAACCATTAATCTACTTTCTGCCTCTATAGATTTTCCTATTTCAGACACATCATATAAACAGAATCATACAATATCTGGCCTTGTGCGCCTGACTTCTTAGTGGAATGTTTTTAAGGTTTATCCATGTTTTAAGTATATATCAGTATTTTGTTTCATTCTTTTTTGTGGCCGAATAGTAGTATCAATTCTTGAATATACGATAGACATCCATCTCTAAATTCCACTGGCACAGCAAAAAGCAAGAACTATACTCAGTTCTGGTTGGTATGGGTGCTCCCTGAGAAATGGAATGAAGCTGACAATGTCTTCATGATACTATTCACAGTTTTAATTATGATGATCCCAGATCAAGGTCTTTGGTTGTAAATTTACAGCAAATTCAGTGAGTAACTAGGGAATATAAAAATCTTGCTTTTAAACATCAGGAACCAATTAAGCAACATGATGCACAGAAAACCTTAATTAACAAAGCCAGGGAAATACTGGCCCAAGTTCAGAAAGGAGACTGGCAGGAACAGGCAGGAAAAGAAACAAATCATTCTGAATGAGACTGTTCCTGCCTGAGACCCTGTTAAAATTACTAGGTGGCTTTAGAGTTTCATGAAGCTGAAAAGACGTGCTGCTTATCCCCAGGACCGATCAATCCAGCAGTCATTCAAATGCCTGTGTGGCAGAGTGGGTTTCTCCTGTTCACAAGTTCCCACGGGAAAGGCCAATCTGCCTGGCCCCATGTATCCATTAAACAAACTAAGGGTGTAGCCTGTATCCGTGAGATAAGTGCTGTGTGCTTTCAGAGGGCCAACATTTAGGTGTCTAACACAGTTTCTTACTAAGTCAACAGGAAGATGATAAAGGCAGCAAAAATCTGAGGACAGAGCAGTGTCCTGATGAAGTGTGACATCTGCTGGCTGACCAAGAAAAAAAAGAAATATTCTTGGTCTTCAACTATTCTAAGACTTCACATCAGAAAACGCAAAATAAAATAACAAGATGCCATTTTTTGACCCTCAAATTAGCAAATGACTCCCTGTCCCCATCATAACACCATGCTGAGGAAGATTCTAGGGAACCAGAATAAAGGTGGTAAATTGGTACCACTTTTTTGCAGGATAATTAGGCTTTGCTATTAAAAAAAAAGAGAGAGAGAATTTCTCTGTGTTTTGACCAGCAGATGGAAAGAAAAAAGACAAACCACATTAAAATGTCATATTCCCTTTAAGTCAGTAATTTCACTGCTAAGTTTATCTTAATGAAGTTATCACAGATGTGTGCCAAGATTTAGCTACAAATACGTCTGTCATGGACTGGGTTATAACAGCAAGAAACGAGAAACAATGTAACATTCAAAAATAGAGTAATAGTTTAAATTAGGATATATCCATACATTCAAACATATTTTGCTATATACCTACAGGAAATAAGGTACACCATCTATTGTTCAAAATAAGAATACATAAGTATTGCTGTTTAAAAAGGAAAAAAAGTCCCTCAAAAAATATATACCATGTTGTGAATAAGGTGATCTCGGAAGAAGTACAGTTATGGCAGGCCTTTCATTTTCTACCTAGTTCTTTCTGTGTTGAAAACAAAATAGGCAGAGCCCAGTGGCTCACGCCTGTAATCCCAGCACTTTGGGAGGCCAAGACGGGTGGATCACGAGGTCAGGAGATCGAGACCATCCTGGCTAACATGGTGAAACCCCATCTCTACTAAAAATACAAGAAATTAGCTGGGCATGGTGGCGGGCGCCTGTAGTCCCAGCTACTCAGGACGCTGAGGCAGGAGAATGGCGTGAACCCAGGAGGCGGAGCTTGCAGTGAGGTGAGATCCCACTACTGCACTCCAGCGTGGGCAACAGAGCGAAACTCCATCTCAAAAAAAAAAAAAAAAAAAAAGAAAGAAAGAAAAGAAAAAGAAACAAAATAAACTGACTTTTTTTTTTTAATCAGAAACAAAATTCACAGAGCCAGCTAGAAATCACAGGAGGTGACTAGGTATTTTAGATACCAAAAACAAGGCAAAAACCTTCTGTTGTGACCTCTATCCACAGAGGATGAGAAAGCCTGAGCCTTCAAACCCCTGTCCCCCTACCCCCATTCTTCTGAGTTTCTGGGGAGTCCCTGGTCCATTACCCACAAAGGTTATTTCAAATCTCCACTCTCTTTCAAGCTCCCTTACCCACTCCTGCCCCTTCACTCTGAGCAAATGACTCCACATTCTATATGCCACAGCGAGAAAATGAAACCAGGCCACCAGATAGGAACACCATCATCTTCATGTATTTACTCCTGCTCTCTTTCAAATGCTTCAATATTTGTACACACCACCAGTAAAAGCAATGGTGAGATGACTGCTTTTATGACATCATGCCACTGTCTCAAGGTCAAGGAAGAAAAAGAACTGGAATAAACATTACGATACAACCGGTTCAACAACTACATTATTTCAGGGGAATCAGAAAAGTAGTGGGAAAGAAGCCCAATTGTAGGGGATTATGGGGTAAAGAGGAGATACCACCATAAATTCTTTATAAAAAGATGAGGAAATTCAAAATAAATATATGGGCTGGGCG
The DNA here is from genome assembly GCF_000001405.40 of Homo sapiens. Lineage (NCBI taxonomy): Eukaryota > Metazoa > Chordata > Mammalia > Primates > Hominidae > Homo > Homo sapiens. The sequence continues at coordinate 105,489,846 of NC_000007.14, forward strand.
TGGTGGCTGATGCCTGTAATCCCAACACTGTGGGATGCTGAGGTGGGTGGATCACCTGAGGTCAGGAGTTCAAGACCAGCCTGGCCAACATGGCGAAACTCCATCTCTACTTAAAATATAAAAATTAGCCAGGTGCACTGGTGTATGCCTGTAATCCCAGCTACTTGGGAGGCTGAGGCAGGAGAATCACTTGAACCAGGGAGGTGGAAGTTGCAGTAAGCCAAGATCCCACCATTGCACTCTAGCCTGGGTGACACAGCAAGACTAAAAAAAAAAAAAAAAAATCCGAGAAACCAAAATAAATACATGTATTTAAGTAGAGGTAGCAAACATAGCGTACTTTATTTTTAATTGCAGTATGACTGACATACACTGTACACATTTAAAATGTACAAGTTTTGACATGTGTATAAGCCCATGAAACCATTACCATATTAAAGACAATGCATCCATCACCCCCAGAAGTTTCCTTGCCCCTATGTTATTTCTCTCTCCCACCATTCCTTGCCTCTGGAGGTATACTAATAAGACAGCCTAAATGTGTCTGACACAGTACAGCTATTAAATTCATCCTTTCTCTTTTACCTTCACTGTGACTAACTGGGTTCAGACCCTTATTCTCCCTCCCCAGAATACGTCAATAGCCCTGGTCTCTAGTTTTGCATGTCTTGCTCCACCGGCGATCCATAATCCAGCCTCTATACACCAATCCCCATTTAGATTAAGGTTGAGGCAAAGACCCTCAACCTGACCTAACAGGCCCTTCAGGATCTACATCCTGCCTAACTCCTAGATCCTTATTTCTCGCTATGCTCCTCAAAAACTAAAGTACATGCCAGGTACCAAATATGCTTTCCAACGTCTTTTCTTAACCTGCTTTTTTGGTTTGGAAAAAACAATCCTAAATCCTACCCAGCCCCAGGAAATCTCTACTCATCCTTCTAGAATCTAGACCAGTGGTTCCCAATCGGGGGCAATTCTGGCCTCAGGGAATATCTGACAATGCCTAGAGACATTCTTTGCTATCATAACTGGGCAAGGAGTTGCTACTGCTACATAGTGGGTAGAGACTAGGGATGCTGCAAAACATCCTGCAACGCACAGGACAGTCCCTACAACAAAGAATTATCCAGCCCCGAAGGGCAACAGTGGAGAGGTTGAGAAGCCTTGAACTAAATTAAAACTCAGCATCCCATTTTCTATGAAAGCTTTCCTGTGTTCCCTCCACATCAACTCCCATGCTTGTTGACAGGCATACATTAACATCCAAAGTATATCTCTATTTCAGTATTTATCTCACTGCAGGAGAAGTTCTGATTTACATGTCCGTCTATTCCACTAATTATAATTGCTTCAAAAACACAGACTATTGCTTTTATCTGTAGCTCTCGGGTGTACAACAAAACAGCATGTTCACTATGTTGTAATTTTAAATAACATATTTAACAATGAATGAACAAAAGAGAGAAAGAAGCATTATTCTCTTGGCTTTACCAAAAAAATCTTTAAAAATTACACAAATAATACACGTTTCATAGATAAGAAGAAGAAAAAAACAGAATGAAAAGTAATTTTTAAATAGGCAGAAGCACCATCTAAAGCTGAGAGAGAAACCCCCAAAGTAAATTTGAGAATTCTGAAAAGCAGTGCCAGGATATTTACAGTATAAATCCTGTTACGTGCTCTCTACTTACTTGAGAACAGCAATTTCTTGAACTGTTATAGCCCTTTTATCTTTGGTTCCCATGTAGGAGAATATATTTGGCTTGACTCTGGTAAGAGAGAAACAAGATCATCTGAAGTCACATACTGTAATATTATAAGGAAATCCTAATTCTCATAATTTAAGTTTTAATATAAACATACTTACAATCATAACACAGTAAGAGAAGAATGAGGAGAAACTTTATTTTAACATGAATCCAGGGAGGCTGGGCGCAGTGGCTCATGGTCTGTAATCCCAGCACTTGGGAGGCCAAGACAGGTGGATCACCTGAGGTCAGGAGTTCAAGACCAGCCTAACCAATATGGTGAAACCCCATCTGTACTAAAAATACAAAAATTAGCTGGGCGTGGTAGTGTGTGACTGTAGTCCCAGCTACTTGGAAGGCTGAGACAGGGGAATTGCTTGAACTCAGGAGGCTGAGGTTGCAGTGAGCTGAGACCACTCTGCTGCACTCCAGCCTGGGCCACAGAGACTCCGTCTCAAAAAAAAAAAAAAAAAAATCTACTAAAACAACATAAATTCATATGCAAGCTAGAAAAGTAAATGATAGCCAGGTGTGGTGGCATGCACCTACAGTCCCAGTTACTGGGGAGGCCTGAGGCAGGAGGACTGTCTGCGCTCAGGAGTTGGAGGCTACAGTGCGCTATGATGGTGCCTGTGAACAGCCACTGCACACTACACTCCTGCCTGGGTGACGTAGTAAGACCTGCTCTCTTTAAAAAAAAACAAAAAAGGTAAATGATGGCCAAATAATTCTTCGCTTTTTTTTTTGAGACGGAGTCTCTCTCTGTCACCCAGGCTGGAGTGCAGCGGCACAATCTTGGCTCACTGCAACCTCTGCCTCCTGGGTTCAAGCAATTCTCCTGCTTCAGCCTCCCAAGTAGCTGGGATTACAGGCATGCACCACCACATCTGGCTGATTTTTTGTATTTTTTTTTTTTTTTTTTTTTTTGAGACAGAGTCTCGCTCTGTCGCCCAGGCTGGAGTGCAGTGGCGGGATCTCGGCTCACTGCAAGCTCCGCCTCCCGGGTTCACGCCATTCTCCTGCCTCAGCCTCCCAAGTAGCTGGGACTACAGGCGCCCGCCACTACGCCCGGCTAATTTTTTGTATTTTTAGTAGAGACGGGGTTTCACCGTTTTTTAGCCGGGATGGTCTCGATCTCCTGACCTCGTGATCCGCCCGCCTCGGCCTCCCAAAGTGCTGGGATTACAGGCGTGAGCCACCGCGCCCGGCCGATTTTTTGTATTTTTAATAGAGATGGGGTTTCGCCATGTTGGCCAGGCTGGTCTTGAATGCTCGACCTCAGGTGATCCACCCGCCTCGGCCTCCCAAAGTGCTAGGATTACAGGGGTGAGCCACTGCGCCCAGTCAATAATTCCTTTCTTAGCAGTGTAAACATTTGTGGCTATTAGTAAATAACTGATGTTGTTCAAAGACTTGGCTAGCCAGCAACAAAAAAGGCAACAATGCACTTCCTATCCATCATCTACAATTCATTACATTACATAAGACAGTGAAAGCAAAGAAAAATGCATTCTAGAGATATAATGTACCACTATGAAAATTTATCTTCAGTTTTTAAAAAGTTATTGTGTGAATTTTCCATGCTGCTATTGCTTTGTATTAAAAAATGAAAAAAGCCAAATGAAATGCTAAAACTGGGATCTGAATAGTTTTGATATGAAGATAATAAGTAACCTAGTTAACTAAGAAGTATTTTATAAACTTAACCGTTCCATATGAGAAGGAAAAAGCCAGGAAGGATTTCTTAAATCCTGAGCAATCCTCAACTCCCGATCTTGGAGGAACTCCCTCCCCACCCACCTATTCCTGTCAAGAATCGTCTGTTCTCTCTGGCTCAGGTACAGGCATAGTAGCACAGACTCTCTCCCAGGGAGTTAATAAATAGAGCAAAATAAATGTTACTTAATTGGGTACTGTGTATTATGGGCTGAACTGTGTCTCCCCCAAAATTAGTATGTTGAAGCTCTGACCCCCCAGGACCTCAGAATGTGACTGTATTTGGAGATAGGGCCTTCAAAGAGGTGATTCAGTTAAAATGAGGCCATTTAGGGTGGGCACTAATCCAATCTGACTGGTATCCTCCTAAGAAGAGGAAATGGGGACACACACAGATACCAGGGGTGTGCGTGCACAGGGAAAATGCCACATGAAGACACAGTGAGAAGGCAGCCATCTGCGAGCCAAGGAGAGAGGCTTCCGGAAAAAAAACAAACTTGCCGACACCTTGAGCTTGGGACTGTTAGCCTCTAGAAGCATATGAAAAGTAATTTCTGTTAAGCCACCTGATCTGTGGTATTTTGTTATGGAAGTCCTAGCAAATTAATACACTGTTTCCATATTTAAAATGAGTTAAATATATATTGGAAACCAAATTTCCACAGCATACAGACTTGCTGTGGTGTGTAGCCACTTCCATTTTTAAGAAAAGCTTTGGCACCTTGCCGATCCCCAGAGATCCAGTCTCTGCTATATTTACATTCCTGTTAGAAAATCAGACCGGTCTCAGGTTTAGTCAGTCTCCAGGAATTGAGAGCTCCCAGTCTGGCAAAACCAACCTCTGCAACCACGTCAAAGGATAAGTATAGGCTTTCAAAAGAGAAAGTTAATTTTTATTTTCAACCAGATTGTTAACTCTCAGCTGCATGCGAATCATTTACTTATGGAATTTTCATCTTGAATTATTGGCACTACGTATGTGGGGGTCAAAAAAATTAATTCATCCATTGCCTAAGAAAACTATCCTCACGGCCTGGCACAGTGGCTCACGCCTGGAAGAAACAATGCACTTCCTATCCATGATCAGTGATTTTTTTTTTTTTTTTTTTTTTTTTTGAGATGGAGTCTTGCTCTGTTGCCAGGCTGGAGTGCAGTGGCACAATCTCGGCTTACCGCAACCTCTGCTTCCCAGGTTCAAGCAATTCTCCTGCCTCAGCCTCCTGAGCAGCTAACACTACAGGCACATGCCACCATGCCCAGCTAATTTTTGTATTTTTAGTAGAGATTGGGTTTCACCATGTTGGCCAAGATGGTCTCGATCTCTTGACCTCGTGATCTGCCTTCCTCGGCCTCCCAAAGTGCTGGAATTACAGGTGTGAGCCACTGCGCCAGGCCGATCGGCAATTCTTAATCCCAGTACTTTGGGAGGCTGAAGTGTGAGGACTGCTTGAGCACAGGAGTTCGAGACCAGCCTGGGCAATATAGTGAGACTCTGTCTCTAAAACCTAATAAAATTAGCCTGGCATTGTGGCATACGCCTGTAATCCCAGCTACTCAGGAGGCTAAGGTAGGAGGAATGCCTGAGCCCAGGAAGTCAAGGCTGCAGTGAGCCTGATCATACCATCATTCACTCCAGCCTGAGTGACAGAGTGAGACTGTCTAAAAAAAAAAAAAAAAAAAGAAAGAAAGAAAGAAAGAAAACTATCATTGGGAGGAGCATTTACTATCTGTAATCTGTGCTCCTCCTGCTCCTTTTTCCATTAGCATGGAAAAAGGAATATACGTTTCTGTTGCTTTGATTTTGTATAGGCATAACAACAGTAACTCACCTTAAGTATTTGGAGAGTACATTAATAGCATCCATGGTGTCTTTGTTTTCCTTATATAGTACGAAGTGGCAGTAACTTCCCCTAGATTTTGGCCAAGAATGTTTTCTTGGATCTTGAAAGCAAAAGAATTAACATTATATATACCATAATAAAAGTTATAGATGTAAGAGCTCATTTTTCGCTATAGAACCTTTGAGTGGAAAATCAGTTCTAGTCTGATAAAGAAATACAGGTTAAGTGGTTATAGCTGTGTGGACTAGAGGTATTACATTTCCTGTAATTGGACACTTAACATTATCTATCCATATTAAAAATAAAAAGCTAAAATGTGGCTGGGCACGGTGGCTCACACCTGTAATCTCAGGACTTTGGGAGGCCAAGGCGGGCAAGATGGCTTGAGCTCAGGAGTTCAAGACTGGCCTGGGCAACATGGCAAGACCCGTCTCCACTAAAAATAGCCAGGCATGGTGGTACACGCCTGTGGTCCCAACTACTCAGATGGCTGAGGTGGGAGGATCACATGAACATGTAGGGTGGAGGTTGTAGTGAACCGAGATCATGCTACTGCACTCCAGCATGGGTGACAGAGCAAGACCCTGTCTCAAAAAATAAATAAAAGAAAAACATTTTTAATTAAAAAAAAGAACATAAAAAAATTAAGCCAGGTTAAATGTTAACTTCTGAGCAGCTAGTGTTACTTCAGTTGTTCAATCCTGTGTTAAACAATGTAAGATTTAGGCCGAGTGTAATCCCATGCACTGTAATCCCAGCACTTTGGGAGGCTGAGATGGGCGGATCACCTGAGGTCAGGAGTTTGAGACAAGCCTGGCCAACATGGTGAAACCCCGTCTCTACTAAAAATACAAAAATTAGCTGGGCATTGTGGCGAGTGCCTGTAATTCCAGCTACTTGGGAGGCTGAGGCAAGAGAATTGCTTGAACCCAGGAGGTGGAGGTTACCGAGCCAAGATCGTGCCATTGCATTCCAGCCTGGGCAACAAGAGCGAGACTCCGTCTCAAAAAAAAAAAAAAGTATGCATATCTACACACACACACATATATATATATATATATATATATATATATAGAGAGAGAGAGAGAGAGAGAGAGAGAGGGAGAGACACATACATATATATGCTTTAGATTTAAGCTGCTCAAAATGTTTTTTTTTAAGTACTTTGGGAAAAATATGTAAGCCTAAACTGCACTTTATAGACGCTGTACAATAACATTCATGAGTCCTGTGTGGCACAGAGCTGCAGTTGTTACTTAAACAACACATCTAGTTCATTTGATTACTGTAACTCCATGAAAGAAAAACTGAAAAAATGTTTCATACAACAATTCCTAGAAAGAGTCCTCTTCTTTTAAAAATAATCCTTTTTCATGAACTCATGAATCCCTTATCTTCAGAGGCTTAAGATACTGCTGGTACCGAAGCTGGTACTTGGATACCTGGCTTTGTCAAGGCAAAAGCACTGTTTGGTAAGTTAGTGATAAGTTACAATGAAAAGAACAAAAGACTCCATAAACCATTTCAGAAAACTGCCATAGCATGTATGCTTAGTGAATCACCCTTCCTTCTTGATAAATATGTGAGTTTTTTCTGTCTTGGACAGAAAAGTATTACAAGTATTTCTTTAGTCCTTGGTGTGAATTCCTCACAAGTTCTTCAGAAAACTGTTGAGCAGGAATATCATTTTCGGTTTTCCTTCCAGCTCACTATCAGTTAAGCAAAGTTGTCTATACTTAGCACTTGTGACAAAATCTTTGGCATTTCACTTTATCTACATGAAATGCCAAATGCTCTTACCTGCTGCAGTTCTGACCTCTGTCCAAATGCACAGCATAAAGAGCACAAAAGAGCAATGTTTAATTTATAATATTAAAGTGCTTTAGAGGTGAACATGCAAATGATCGCATGGTTAAGTTTACACTGAGGACTTCTACAGCACCCGGTAGTTATGCGGTGGGTTAACAGCCATTTAGACATTAACAATGGAATGTTTTAGAGGCAAACAGTGAACAAGTAGAAAACTCTTCTACAGGTGCAGCCTCCTTGTCTCAATCCCTTCACAATGGGCATGTTAGTTCACGCTCAAAGCTGCACTGTCTGTACCCATGAGATGAAGCAAAAGGTTTAAGGATAGTAAATGCTTCCCCAAAAAGAGATCTGTTTACTTAAATATGGGAGGACATGTACCAAAATGCTATTTGTGATTATCTTTTTTTTGATAGTGAGACAAGTAACTATTGCTTTGCTTTTTCTGCGTTTCATGAATTTCTTGCATTGAATTATAAAGACTTTTAAATTTGAAAAATGTTAAATATTATAGAAAACAGCTAAGTTCTTTATAGATTAAAAAAGATTTAAGAGACGACTTAAGAGGCTTATCAATGAGTGCAATGTTCTGACCTTGTTTTTATCATTCTTTGAACAAGCCATCTGCATATAAAAAAGACATTTTTGAGATACAGCAAAACCAAATATGCAATAGGTATGTGATAGGAAGAAATTATTGTTGATGTTTTTGGATGTGATAATAGTTTGGGGTTTCAGTCCTCATCTGGCAAATAGATACTGAAATATTTATGAGTGAAAAGCCATGCTATGTAGAATTTCCTTTAAAATGCTCCAGCAAGAAAAAAAAGGAGGAAGGATAAATCAATAAAACAACAGAATGTTGATAATCTTAAAGATGGTTTATGGGTACATAGGTTCCATATACTATTTCCTCTATTTGACTGCAAGTTTGAAAATGTCCATAATAAAAACTTTAAAAACACTTGTGATAAAAGTTGATGAAGTGTAGCTACATTTTTCTCAACTACCCCTTTGGAGTATTCATAATTAAGTATAATGACAAGAAATAAATGAAGCCACAAGACTCAAAAACTAAATGCTGCTATACCTTAAGAGAAACCATGACAACAGAGTATGAGTTTTGGCTCACAAGCATGCATCTTCTATTTAGCAAATCCAAGCACTGAGCATGCATACAATTATCTCCTTTGCAAACAACAGATACAAGTATGCATTCTTTTTCTAAGTACACTCAATATACAAAATAGTAAGCATATGCATTGATTAACTGGGAATATTTTAAATAACAGAAAATCAATGAGTCTCCATTTATTTTGGGCAATTTGTGTGACTTTATAAAACTCCACCCCCTAAGAATGCTAAGCAGCATATACTTAGCTTTACAATTTGAATGAATTTAAAATAACTTGCAGACATTTTTGAGACACTGATTTATACTGCAAATGCACAGAATTCCCAGGCTGGGTAATATGGTTCCTATTTGAAGAAGGCTGCATCCAGCTTCTGAGGGCCTAACAAGGCAGTCCCAGTCTAGCAGAAATGGAAACCAGATAAAAGGGAAACCAAGTTCAGGAAGTTTGATTTATTGAGCACAGACATCTCCATGAATAAAGAAGGAAAAATGTTTCTAGCTGAGAAAGATGAAAAGATGGGGTAGCATGCGGAACATTCCTTCCTTCTTATTCAAGGTCATTCCCACCATCACACCCCTGCACACCAACCTTCAGCTTTTTCAGGGATCCTACTCCATCCATTATCTTTATTTTGTTATTTGCCTCCCTGAATTTTCACCTTCTCTCTCCATTGTCTCTTTCCTTTTTGAAAATATATATTTTTCTTTTTATAGAGATGAGGTTTTGCCATGTTGGCCAGGCAGGTCTGGAACTCCAGGCCTCAAGTGATCTGCCCGCCTCGGCCTCTCAAAGTGCTGGGATTACAGGCGTGAGCCACTGCGCCTGGCCCTCCATTGTCTCCCTTGCATATATAAATAACTCACAGCTCTTCCATCTTAAAAGCCTAACCTATGTTCCCCTCTCCTTAATTATGTTCGCTTCTTCTCCTCTTTGCAGGTTATTTGAAAAAGCAGTCTGTATATACTACCTTCCATCTCAACCTACTATGTAAACTGGTTTCCAACCTCATCATTCCACTAGAATGCTCCGGTGAAAAGACACCAACAACTTCCATGTTGCTAAACTGATAGACAGGTTTCAGAGTAATTATCTTGCTGGACCTATCTGTAGCATTTTCCATTGCCACAGGAATGGAAGCAATGGTAGTCCATTGATCACTCTGATTATTGGGATTCCCTATTCCTGTGGATTCTATAACACCAGTCTTTCCCAGAGAGCTTCTTTGTACCTGTCTAGCTCTTCCTCCTGAGTCTCTATGGATTCCTACATACAGGGATCCCTCCTGGGGACCATTCATTTCAGAAAGTATAGAGAACCTGTACCTATCACATGGCAGAATTTTCTTTTTTTTACATAAGTCTTTAAAAACTATGTTCTTAGAAGCATTTGGAATGTATACTGTCTCAAAATATAAATTAATTTATCAGTAATGTTATGATAGTTTAGATGGTATTTTAAAAAAAAATCACATATACATTTTGGTAGGTAAAGCAATGTGCCCTATCAGACTGGCTTAACACATAAAATAATGTCTGAGTTTAAATAGTTGGTAATTTGTGGTGTTTGGGAACAATGATTTAGAATCCACCACATCTATGTTTTAGGATGCACAGTTCTATCTGAGAAAAGTTCAGGTTAAGAATATTGTGAATCTGCTAGATAATGCATAATAACAATTTCTATCAGGATCTGGTAGTAATACAGCTAAAAAAAAACTGTAAATTACAAAGCTTTGTAATGATACTTTAAAAGCTAAATCATTCAAATGCTAGGCAAGATGGCTCAGGAGGACAAGCTGTCGCTGGTAGAGGGCCATGAACAATAATCTTTGGATACCAGCTCTTCCTCCTTTCCTAGGGGTGTTCACTTTAGGCCACTCTCAGCTTGGGGAGAGTGGGGTCTATAAAAATGAATGCAGGCTCCTAAGTGCCCATCTGTGCCAGGGGTGGCCTTCCATGAGGAGGTGGGAGAGATGGCAGAGATTTAGTCCATCTTTGAAGAAATGTCACAACACCACAAGCCCAAGAAGTGTGGTTCTCTATACAAGAGGGAGTTGATCCAATCTGACTTCCTTCTTGCTTCTTTTTAAAGTGAGAAATTCCTTTCTTACTGAAGGTGTCCAAACGAAAATGGGGAAGGGTGGTTCACATCGCACAGCTCAGTACTTCACTTGTAAAATCTTAAGGAAACTTCGTAACAACAACAACAAAAAAAAGAAAGGCGGGTGTCGCATAAGCAGAGAAAATGTGGATAAAAACACAACATGAGAGACCTGGCGCTGTGTTTAATGAAGGGGATGGGTAGAAAGGCTGTAATGGCTGCTTTGGCCTGCAAATGCCCTCCACCCTCTCACAAAACCCGGCATCCTAAGAAATGATTATCACTTCCAAGAAGCCACCAGTCAAAAAAACAGTTTTTGCTTTTTCCAACCTGCTTCCTCATGACCACACCAAGCAGAGTAAGACCTTGCCTTGTCTTCCCGCCTTCATAATGGGCAGCACTGCTGACCAACATGGGCTGTTTCTTGACAAAAAATAACTCCCTAGCAGCCTTCCCAACTGGGTTCCCTGAGAGAATTAGGACCAAGTGCCCCAAGGCATGGCTGTTTGTAGAAGTCACCTCTCCTCTCCATCTACAGTAGTTACTAGCTACACACTATCCTTGGGAGAACTGAACCAACAGTGGCTCCAATCACTTTCCACTGGGCTTACTCCTCTTTGAGCAACCTTGGCTGAAAAAAGGCTGCTCAGGTGACATTTTATACCATGACCCAGACATTAAAGAAACACACAGCAACCACACCATTCGTTTGTGGAGTAAAAAGTAATTCAGGACTCATGCCCCAAGCAGTTCCAGGACACATCATCTGGCTTTTCTTTACAGTGTTCACTGAAAACTGGCCTCTGATCTCCACCTCTTCCTCTGGAACTGCTCAGGTATCTCATCTCTATAGCACTATCCAGACTTGCTGCCTTGACTAGATTATTTCCTCAGGCACAGCGAAGCTTTCCTCCTGTTCTCTTTTTTGTTATACCCTCTCATTTCACTAGAAACATGGTTATAAGCAATTAAGGCTTCATCCATCACAGTATTATCTTTTGAATTAACCTAAAAGAATACTGACAGAGCCCTAATAAATAAACAGTTTTTTGTTATATGGTCTTAGAATTTTGCCCCAAATATATCTAGGAATAAATGTTCATTAATACAGGCCACCGCTAGTAGGAGAGGAGGGTGAGGAAATAACTTTTTCTTGTTGTAATTTTCATTTAAATTTTATCTGTCAATTTGGTAGGTGAAAAAAAAAATTACCTAATTTTCCTGAAAGGTTATATGCAAATAGAAACTTTTGTGGCTGTAGATAACACATTAGAACATAAATATCAGTGACTCACTGGGACTATGCCCATTTCAAATGAATGATACACAACAAAAGATGGGCTGAGATAAAAGGGTGTCTTTCTATATATTCCATATTTTTTATGTGTGACTGAAGAAGATACAGTTGGAAAGCAAAAGCTCTTTCAATATAGGGGCCTGGCAAAAAAATATGCCTCTTTCAATACAGGGGTCTTGGCCGGGCGCACTGGCTCACACCTGTAATCCTAGCACTTTGGGAGGCCGAGACGGGTGGATCACGAGGTCAGGAGATCAAGACCATCCTGGCTAACAAGGTGAAACCCCGTCTCTACTAAAAATACAAACAATTAGCCAGGCGTGGTGGCAGGTGCCTGGAGTCTCAGGTACTCAGGAGGCTGAGGCAGAAGAATGGCATGAACCCAGGAGGCGGAGCTTGCAGTGAGCCGAGATCGTGCCACTGCACTCCAGCCTGGGCGACAGGGCGAGACTCCGTCTCAAAAAAAAAAAAAAAATATATATATATATATATATATAGGGGCCTTGCAAAAAATGTGCCACTGGGATAGGTGACAAGCGTTTTTTGTTCATCTGAAAGCTTTCTTTCCTCCATGAAGAACACAGAATGAGCAATAATCCTTCTATTTTCTTCTTGAATTGCCACTCAGTATGCTCTGCTCTTCAGGGAACATATCAAATCCCTAAGACTCTCTCTCAGGCACTACTATAATTTCAGCAAATCTTTACTCACATAAAAGACCTAATGCCCCTTGCCAGGCAGGCTGCAGGACTGCGCTGGCATCTGAAGTGACAATACTCACCCTCTCTGAAGGAGGGACATGATCAATATTGTTCTCTGAGCAGCACTATAGTAGCCCTTGAACACGAACGGGCAAGGCTAACGAGGAGCGGGGCCTGCCGCTCACGGCTGCCTGGCAGGAGGAAGCTGCTCACAGACACCTACTTGCCAAAGCCTTTTTCCCAGCTGCGTGGTAGGCTACAATGTATTTCTTCCCCTCCCTATCCTCTGTTTTTGTCTCTAATCCTGGAAACAGAGATTTGATAGCCTGATGGATGATGGTTCTTTTCTCTTTGGTGTCCTCGATAACCTATTAAAAAAAACAGATAGCAATACCACCAAGTTAACAAACATTAAATAGGGAAGTAATACAGTGAATTAGTAAAAACACTGCTCACCTTATTAACTACGCAAAATAACAAAAGTGCCTGCATACGATTTCAAAAATCTTTTATTTTTATTTTTTTGACAGTCTCGCTCTGTCGCTCAAGCTGGAGTGCAGTGGAGTGATCTCAGCTCACTGCAACCTCTGCCTCCCGGGTTCAAGGGATTCTTCTGCCTCAGCCTCCTGAGTAGCTGGGATTACAGGCTCACAACACCAAGCCTGGCTAGTTTTTGTATTTTTAGTAGAGATGGGGTTTCACCATGTTGGCCAGGCTGGTCTCAAACTCCTGGCCTCAAGTGATCCATCTGCCTTGGCCTTCCAAAGTGCTGAGATTACAGGCGTGAGCCACCGTGCCCAGTCTCAAAAATATTTCAGAGCTTCCCAATATTGCAAATCCCGGGAGCCTGTTGATGGAGCACATCCATCTGCCAGACACTGTACAAAGCACTGTGGTCATCATTTTATTTAATCTTTGTAATCTCTCCATCATAACACCATTATATCTATTTAGAAGTGAGGAATTGTGTCTGCGGTTATATAGCTGGAAGGTGGTAGAGCTGGATTTAAAATCCAGGCTGTCAAACCCATGGGCCACCAACCCAGATGCACCTTCTCAGGGTCTCTGCTGGACAGACACCTTAGGGATCCTACATGAAAATGCAGGCAAAGCTAGGCCTTTTGGTATGTGAGAAGCTCAGTCCTTTGAACAATCCAACCTACAGCTGCTTCTTATTGAATTATATTCTGAATTATTTTATAATGAGGTTCTAGCACATGGGTTTACAGTAAAGAAAAATCAACATGATATAAACTCACTAGTTACATGATATTTTCAGCGTGTGAGTGCATCTCATACTGAGAATTTTCCCTCCCTCTTTACTCAATACAACCACAAATGTGTGTGTATATACCTCATTTTAAGAATCGAAAAAAAATTCACAAAACAAGATTCATACTATTTGCAATGCACAAGTATTTTCTATGTTATTGCTATTATTATATATATTTTTTGAGATAGGGTCTGGCTCTGTCACCCAGGCTGGAGTGCAGTGATGCGACCTTGGCTCACTGCAACCTCTGCCTCCCAGGCTCAAGCCATCCTCCTATCTCAGCCTCTCAAGAAGCTGGGACTACAGGCATGTGCCTCCATGCCCAGCTAATTTTTTTATGTTTTGTAGAGATGGCGTTTCGCCATGTTGCCCAGGCTGGTCTCGATCTCCTGAATTCAAGCGATCTGCCCACCTCAGCTTCCCAAAGTACTGGAATTCCATGCCTGAGCCACTGTGCCCAGCCCTTATTTTATTCCATTTTTTAAAAATGCTGGTTGAGATCCACTACTAAACTGATTTCATGACCCATTAATGGGTTGTAACCTGCAAGCTGAAAACATCGAGATACACTGCAACTGCTACTGGCTAAACTTGATGACACTTTTTTTTTTTTTTTTGAGACACAGTTTCACTCTTGTTGCCCAGGCTGGAGTGCAATGGCACGATCTCGGCTCACTGCAACCTCCACCTCCCAGGTTCAAGTGATTCTCCCGCCTCAGCCTCCTGAGTAGCTGGGATTACAGGTGCCCGCCACCACGCCCAGCTAATTTTTCGTATTTTTAGTAGAGATGGGGTTTCTCCATGTTGGTCAGGCTGGTCTCGAACTCCTGACCTTAGGTGATCCACCCACCTCGGCCTCCCAAAGTGCTGGGATTACAGGTGTGAGCCACTGCGCCCAGCAACTTAATGATACTTCAACAAAATAAAAAATGAAAAAAATCCACCAAACTACATTACGATTACAGGTAAATGACTTCTTCATAGCAAAAAGTGAGTCTAGATCTGAAATTACTGATAGCAAGGAGAACGACAGTTTGTGTATATGAATACATGTTTAGACCTCAAAAACTCAGAAAGTCCATCTTCATTTTACAAATGAGGAAGCTTGCCCATAGTTTATGCCTTTTAAATGTACAGACTTTCAGTAGATAGGAAAACCTCAGTTTTTAAGACAATAGTAAATTTTACCACATGTATACGAAAATACATATTATAAGCCTAAGATAAACCTCTGCATTGTACAAGCAAAGGAAACTTGGACCATCCTTCTGGATTGCTCTAGAAATCTGCCAGGAATTTTCCTCTTGGCATTGCTAAAGGTTTTGTCTAAAGATTTTTTCAGTAATGGAAGATTTCTAACATTGCAATACCACACGCTTTTGGGAAGCTCAGGTAAGGAGGGAGACAAGGAGCAGATAATGAATTCTGAAAAGTTGTAGTACGCTTATTAACTAGGAGTGCTGGGAGGGGGAATTTCAGACAACCGAAAACCCCATAGCTCATTAAAATGTAGTACAAAATTAATTTAACATAATTTTTTTTTTTTTTTGATATGGAGTCTCGCTCTGCCGCCCAGGCTGGAGTGCAGTGGTATGATCTCTGCTCGCTGCAACCTCTGTCTCCTAGGTTCAAGAGATTCTCTTGCCTCAGCCTCCCAAGTAGCTGGGACTACAGGCCTGCGCTACCACGCTTGGCTAATTTTTTTGTATTTTTAGTAGAGACGGGATTTCGCCATGTTGGCCAGGCTGGTCTTGAACTCCTGACCTCAAGTGATCCGCCCACCTTGGCCTCCCAAAGTGCTGGGATTACAGGTGTGAGCCACCGTGCCCGGCGAACAAAAGCTTTAACAACAAAATTTACTATTCTACTTAGTAGCTGAGCTCTCCTTTTCTTCAATAGCAGAATTGACCCACGATGAGCAAATAAATGCTCCCCTACTTCCTTTCCCCATTTCCTCCCCTTCCCAGAGTCCCAACTGAGGCCAAGAAGCTGCTGAAGCCAGAATCTGACCTGGGTCACATACCTGACAGACAGCAAATGGTGGTCCTGTTACAACGGACATTGTGGTATAATTGGTACTCTGGGATTCTAAACAACATATGTCGCTGTTCATTTGTGGTCCCTAAATTTTTTTTTCAGAGATGATGTCTCACTATGTTGTCCAGGCTAGTCTCCAATTCCTGGGCTCAAGTAAACCTCTGGCTTCAGCCTTCGGAGTAGCTAGGACTTTGGAATAGCATGTAACACTGTACCCAAATAAAAATGTTTTTAAACAAAAATGTAACTTTGGGGGGGGCTATAGTTTATCTGGGATACTAGTTATCTGCCCCAGTAAAAAAATTTTTTAGTGTAATATCCTTTAGATCCAATAGAGCAAAAAGTCACCCTTTGTTAACCATTGTAATTTTTTCCATAAACACTTAACATCCACCCAAAAAGCAACTAAAACCCTAAATAATTTTTCATATATTTTTGCATTAGTTACCTCAATGGCAACACTGGTTTCCTTATTTTTGAACAGCTGGAGCTCTTCCAATCGCTGCTTTTCTTCAGCTGTCAAAACTGTAAATATGTCTTCTGAAGGGTCCTTTAAAATAACCATGAGAACTCACAATGAATCATACATAGAATTCAAGTTTAATAAAGCTCTATATTTCTAAATCTCTAGGAAATGCTATTTTTATACAGAAGGTGACATTTGCTAAAGAGCTACTTCTACCTCCTCATCCACTGGAATGGACAAGTCATTCAAATGGCTGATCCGTCCATCTTTTCCTATTTCATGAACAACGAAGTCGGAGTATCTGATGAAAGAAAACATGAACTTTCAGATAATTAACATCCTGTTTTCTATTAATTTTAAGATAAAGTTGATCAACAGCAAGCCTTACTATTATGCAAAACAAGGAATTTTAAAAAATCTTCAGTGCAAAATCACATGGAGTTAATTTTTTTTTTCTTTTTTTTTTTTGAGATGGAGCCTTGCTCTGTTGCCTAGGCTGGAGTGCAGTGGCTCGATCTCCACTCACTGCAACCTCCGCCTCCTGGGTCCAAGTGATTCTCCCGCCTCAGCCTCCCGAGTAGCTGGGATTACAGGCACGTGCCACCACGCCCAGCTAATTTTTGTATTTTTAGTAGAGACGGGGTTGCACCATTTTGGCCAGGCTGATCTTGAACTCCTGACCTCAAGTGATCTGCCCATCTTGGCCTCCCAAAGTGCTGGGATTACAGGCGTGAATCACCACATCCGGTCTTTTCTGGTTTCTTAATGAATGCTGAGCCATACCTTGGCTCAAGTTTTATATGAGAACTTAAAGAAAAGACCCTCTTAGCTTCTAGAATATTCTTCCAGAGAAATGCAAAAACAAAAGCTTATTAACATTACCCTATGACGATTCAGGCAGCCCACACTAAATTAAATCACAAAATATGCTATATGGTTAATTGAATCAGAACCCAGTAAGTCTACCATGAACTAGCCTGAAGCTTACCTTTATGTTAAATATTTTACATGCATTATTCAAAATCCTCAACAACCCCAATGTGGTAATATGATCCATTTAAAAATTTTATTTTATTACTATTATTTTTTTTGAGACAGAGTCTTGCTCTGTTGCCCAGGCTGGAGTGCAGTGGCTTGATCTTGGCTCACTGCAACCTCCGCCTCCTGGGTTCAAGTGATTCTCCTGCCTCAGCCTACCGAGTAGCTGGGATTACAGGCGCGTGCCACTACGCCAGGCTAATTTTTGTATTATTAGTAGAGACAGGGTTTCGCCATGTTGCCCAGGCTGGTCTCAAACTCCTGACCTCAAGTGATCTGCCCGCCTTGGCCTCCCAAAGTGCTGGGATCACAGGCGTTAGCCACCGTGTCTGGCCTGATCCATTTTTTAAATAAGGATGCTGAGGTTCAGAGAGGCTAAGTAACTACTAAGTAGCGAACTTCACACTGGGATCCACCTGGCTCCAAAGACTACCTTCTTCTAACATAGTTGTGGCACATTCAAATGAAAAAAGAGTTTAAGATTATAAAACAAACTCAGGAGAAAATCTGAAACCATTTAAATGAATTTATTCATTTACTTATTTTTTTGAGACAGAGTCTTGCTCTGTCACCCAGGCTGGAATGCAGTGGTGCAATCTCGGCTCACTGCAACCTCCACCTCCCAGGTTCAAGCTATTCTCCTGCCTCAGCCTCCCGAGTAGCTGGGATTACAGGTGCCCATCACCACGCCCAGCTAATTTTTGTATTTTTAGTATAGATGTGCTTTCACCATGTTGGCCAGGCTGGTCTCAAACTCCTGACCTCAAGTGATCCGCCAGCCTCGGCCTCCCAAAGTGCTGGGATAACAGGCGTAAGCCACTGTGCCTGGTGAATGAATTTATTTGAGGCATGATCATGCCACTGCATGCCAGCCTGGGTGACAGAGTGAGACCCTCTCTCAAAAAAAGGGAAAAAATTAATTAATTAAAATTTAAAAATCCAAGGCTATTTATTCAGGCAGGTTTCCTTCATCCTATTCCTTTTGATCAGTAGTATAAACAAGCCTTGGAGATGGAAAGCTAAGTGGAAGAATATAAAGCTAATTTCTTTCTAAAGAAGAAACCTAATACAATCAAAATAACTTTATTCATAAACTAAATGTACCTTTCTTTTAAGATTCCCGAGAACCCTTGATGAGAACTCACAAACTTGGTGATGCCTACGTCAGCCTCAGTGAGTCCATGCTTCATCATGTCTGCAAAACTCTCTGATTCCTCCTCCTCGCACTCCTCTGAAAGTCCATCTTCCTCCTCTTCTTCCTCATCTTCCAACTGAGCCTCAGAATTCTTTCCACCTTTCCCAGTACTGACAGTGTCAGGAGGCCGAGGCACGTCTTCACTGATGGACAGAAAGTCATTCTGTAGCCCATCTTGACCTTTGGTTAGACTGCATTCCGACAGCTTCTGTTTTTTTGTCTCTTCAACTGGGACTCCACTGTCATTATCTTCGACAACCAGTGCCCCACGTTTCAGCGACACACCAGTCATTTCTGTCATCTCCATCTTTAAGGCTCCAAGAAAACATTTAAGAAAACCTGTTAGGAAAGAGTAGAAAGTAACAATCACCTATATAAAAGCTGGTTTCAGGCCGGGCGCGGTGGCTCACACCTGTAATCCCAGCGTTTTGAGGGAGGTTAAGGCAGGCAGATCACTTGAGGTCAGGAGTTCAAGACCAGCCTGGCCAACATGGTGAAACCTCATCTCTACTAAATATTAGTTAGGCGTGGGTGGCAGGCGCCTATAGTCCCAGCTCTTGGGAGGCTGAGGCAGGGGCATTGCTTGAACCCGGGAGGCAGAGGTTGCAGTGAGTTAAGATAGTGCCACTGCACTCCAGCCTGGGCGACAGAGTGAGACATTGTCTTAAAAAAAAAAAAAAAAAAAAAAAAAAAGGTCAGGCACGGTGGCTCACACCTGTAATCCCAGCACTTTGGGAGGCCGAGGTGGGCGGATCACAAGGTCAGGGGTTCGAGATCAGCCTGGCCAACATGGTGAAACCCCATCTCTACTAAAAATACAAAAAAAAAACTAGCTGGGCGTGGTGGTAGGCGCCTGTAATCCCAGCTAGTCAGGAGGCTGAGGCAGGAGAATCGCTTGAACCTGGGAGGCGGAGTTTGCAGTGAGCAGAGATCGAGCCACTGCACTCCAGCCTGGGGGACCAGAGCAAGACTCCATCTCAAAAAAAAAAAAAAAAAAAAAAAAAAAGGAAAGAAGTTGGTTTCAGCAGATAAAGGCATAGTTAATGTTGTTCATACGATCCTAAAAATCATTTATAGAAATAATTCTTCCAGATGTTGGCATACACTTTTTGTGGGACAGAAAACCGGCATAATACTTCCGCACATCATCACAAGCCTTAAAAATATGTATGCTCTTTGACCCAGTAATACTACTTTTAGGGATTTATCTTAAGAAAATAATTAAGAAATAATAAAGTTTTAGCTCTAAGGATATTCATCTCCATACTTTTTTCTTTTTTTCAGTGACAAGGTCTGGCTCTTTCACCCAGTCTGGTGTGCAGTGGCATGATCACAGCTCACTGCAAACTCCAACTCCTGGGCTCAAGCAATCCTCCTGCCTCAGCCTCCCCAGCAGCTGGGACTACAGCAGCATGCCACCAAGCCTGGCTAGTTTTTTTATTTTTATTTTTCTGTAAAGACTAGGTCTCGCTATTATTGCTCAGTCTGGTCTTGAACTCCTGGGCTCAAGTAATGCTCTCACTTTGGCTTCCCAAAGTGTTGGGAATATAGGTGTGAGCCACCCTGCCTGGCCACAGTGCTTTTATATTAGCAAAACATTAACAGCAATGAAACTTGGGTACATAAACTGAACAATATGTAGCAACATTGACAAGAAACTGGGAAGGGTGGTTACCTCTAGGAGAGGGTCTAGAAGTGGTGGCTGGGGACAGAGGTGGGAAATTTGCTGTTCTCACTCAATAACATGGTTGTAATCATTTGAAGCTTGTTTGATGTATATGTATTATCCTTTCAAAAAACTGATTAATATTGTGGCCGGGATCGGTGGCTCACACCTGTAATCCCAATACTTTGGGAGGCTGAGGCAGGCAGATCACCTGAGGTCGGGAGTTTGAGACCAGCCCGATCAACAAGGAGAAATTCCGTCTCTACTGAAAATACAAAATTAGCAGGGCATGGTGGCACATGCCTGTAATCCCAGCTACTCGGGAGACTGAGGAAGGAGAATCACTTGAAACCAGGAGGTGGAGGTTGTGGTGAGCTGAAATTGTGCCTTTGCACTCCAGCCTGGGCAACAAGAGCAAAACTCTATCTCCAAAAAAAAAATAAATAAATAAAATAAAATATTGTATAACCACGCTTACTGACATGAAAGCCATACCTATGTCATACCACATTAAAAAAAAGGAATGGGGAGGTGTCATACAGGTGGTATATAGTTCTGCAAGATGAAAAGTTCTGGATAGTGATTGCCTAACAATGTGAATACACTTAACTCTACTGAACTGTACACGTGGTTAAAATGGCAAATTTTAATTTTTTTTTTGAGACAGGGTCTCACTCTGTTGCCCAGGCTTGAGAGCAGTGGCACGATCTAGGCTCACTGCAACCTCCACCTCCTGGGCTCAAGCCATCCTCCTACCTCAGCCTCCCGGGTGGCTGGGATCACAGGCGTGTACCACCACGCCTGGCTAATTTTTGTAATTTTTGGTAGAGACAGGGGTTCACCATGTTGGCCAGGCTGCTCTCGAACTCCTGACCTCAAGTGATCTTCCCACACTGGGCTCCCAAAGTGCTGGGATTTCAGGCATGAGCCACCGTGTCTGGTCTAATTTGATGCTCTTGGTAAAATAAGGATAAAAACTTTTTCTATGTTAATTACATACAAGATGCTGAAGGTAACATACTGATGAATGTAGTAAACATATCCATAAATAAAGCAAATGAAAAGAAAATGAATATGCTAGTTCTCCAAGGCATGGTTAACAAGAAAGCCACCTATATAAGCATCTACAGCAAAATAATAATGATGATTAACTAAATGTTATTTATTTATTTATTTTTGAGACGGAGTCTCGCTCTGTCGCCCAGGCTGGAGTGCAGTGGCACGATCTTGGCTTACTGCAAGCTCCGCCTCCCAGGTTCACACCATTCTCCTGCCTCAGCCTCCCAAGTAGCTGGGATTACAGGCACGCCCGCCACTATGCCCAGCTTATTTTTTGTATTTTTAGTAGAGACGGGGCTTCACCATGTTGGCCAGGCTAGTCTCAAACTCCTGACCTCATGATTTGCCCGCCTCGGCCTCCCAAAGTGCTGAGATTACAGGCGTGAGCCACCGCACCTGGCCCCATTCCCGTTTAAACATCTGTATTCCCTGCCATAACATCTTTTGCCACCTATAGCTACTTGAAGTATGGTCTTGGAGCCTGTTGTACATTTAAGAATAAATTTTCATTTAAAAAAAAAAAAAAAAAGTGGTTGGGTACTGTGGCTCAGGCCAGGCGCATGGCTCATGCCTGAAATCTCAGCACTTTGGGAGGCTGAGGTGGGTGGATCACCTGAGGTCAGAAGTTCGAGACCAGCCTGGCCAACATGGTGAAACCCCTCTCTAGTAAAAATACAAAGATTAGCTGGGTGTGAGGGCACACACCTGTAATCTCAGCTGCTTGAGAGGCTGAGGCAGGAGAATCGTTTGAACCCAGGAGGTAGAGGTTGCACTGAGTCAAGATGACGCCACTGCGCTCCAGCCTAGGCAACAGAGCGAGTCTCCATCTCAAACAAAACAAAACGAACAAAACAAAACAAAAAAGTATTATGACAGCTACAAAAAATAGGAGAGAAGGGATTGAAAAAAATGTCAGTTAAAACAATTTCTGGCGGCCTGGTGCAGTGGCTCACGCCTGTAATCCCAACACTTTGGGAGGCTGAGGCGGGTGGATCACAAGGTCAGGAGTTCGAGACCAGCCTGACCAACATGGTAAAACCCCATCTCTACTAAAAATACAAAAAATTATCCAGGCATGGTGGCGGGCGCCTGTAATCCCAGCTACTCAGAAGGCTGAGGTAGGAGAATCGCTTGAACCTGGGAGGCGGACGTTGCAGTGAGTCGGGACTGCACCACTGCACTCCAGCCTGGGTGACAGAGAGAGATTCTGTCTCAAAAAAAAAAAAAAAAAAAAAAAAAAAAATCCTTTGAAAGACAAGAAATTAAATACAGAAAATGGAAGAAACTGAAACTGGAATAGAAGTAGACCACAACTGTAGTTACATAAAAGTATCCCTAATTCAAAGAAAAAAGCATTTACTCTTTGTCCTGAACAGGTGTAGTCAAAAAAAGAACGCTGGTTTATGAAATGCTGACACGATTTCACTCTCACCTTACAGCAACAAAACTACCCTCAGAGGTTTTGTACAAATGAAGGAGACAAAAATGGACCAGGGCTTACACAAGGACCGGGAGAACACACTGAAGACAAAACCTAACCAAAGACTACAATGCCTGGGCCAAATTTTGTGGCATAAGGAAGAGGAAGGAAAAGCAGGAGAAGGTCATTTGGGGTCACAGGTACAGCATGTGCAAAGGCATGGGGGCGTGGGAGCTCACAGAGTGCTGGAAGAGCAAAAGAACTCATCGCCCACTGTGGGGGTTAGACATACAAGGAGAGTCTGGGGTTACAGCTTGGGAGGGGCGGAGGCCACATGAGGCTACAAGGAGGGAGTCACAACCTGAAAACCAGACCAGCACTGAATTTGTAATTCAGAAAGATTCTGTGGCACCCCTTTGAAGAGAAACTGGGGTTAGGCTGGAAGACCAGGTAAGAGGGTACAGCTGTAATCTAGGCAAGAAATTAATATAATCTGATCTAAGGCTGAAGCAAGGGAGACAGAAAAAGGCGACTTTCAAGAACATTTAGGAAGTAGTAGCAGGGACAGGAGAAGGTGACAAATGTGGGAGGAAAGGGGAAATACTTCAGGATGACTCAAGTTTCCATCCCTGGGGAACTGAGAGGACAGTGGTGGTCCTCCTGATATGAGGGTCCCAGAAAGAAGAGCAGGTGTTGGAAGAAGATGAGCCCACCCATAGTCCTGTGGTGTTGCAGGTTCCTGGGGAGACATCCCAGTGGAGACGATCTGCGGGCACTCATCACATTGTGTCACACATGCCCTTACCAAAAACCTGCAATGCCTCCCCAATGACCATACAAGCTTCCCAGCTGGCATCACAGCTCTACCAGGAGATCCTGATGCCCTTCCAGAGGCCAGAACTCTCAGTAAGGAAGAAAGAGTGGCCAATAACGGCCATTCACACAGCTTGGCACAGGGACTTCACAGTCAGCAAAATATTCACCTCCTCTCCTTATGCAGAAAAAACATCAGGCCTCCCCCTCTCAACAATCTTGGAGACAGATCTAGGTTTTGCCATTTACTAAGTGGGTGACTTAACCTCTCGAATCTGTTTCTTTCTCTGTAAAAGTAAAATATGATGACTTGGCCAAAGGTCTGTAATAGCTCCTCTTATTCAACTGTTAGTCCTTAATAGTTATTATTGATGGGCTGGGCGCGGTGGCTCACGCCTGTAATCCCAGCACTTTGGGAGGCCAAGGCAGGTGGATCGCCAAGGCAGGCCGGATCACGAAGTCAGGAGATCGAGACCAACCTGGCTAACATGGTGAAACCCCGTCTCTACTAAAAAATACAAAAAATTAGCCGGGTGTGGTGGCAGGTGCCTGTAGTCCCAGCTACTCGGGAGGCTGAGGCAGGAGAATGGCGTGAACCCAGGAGGCGGAGCTTGCGGTGAGCCGAGATTGTGCCACTGCACTCCAGCCTGGGTGACAGAGCAAGACTCCGTCTCAAAAAAAAAAAAAAAATAGTTATTATGGATGATTTACATAGCTGAACTGTATTGTTGTTATGTCTGGAGGAGTTTAAAAAAAGAAAAAAAGCTGGCTGGGCGCGGTGGCTCACGCCTGTAATCCCAGCACTTTGGGAGGCCAAGGCAGGTGGATCGCCAAGGCAGGCCGGATCACGAAGTCAGGAGATCGAAACCAACCTGGCTAACATGGTGAAACCCCGTCTCTACTAAAAAATACAAAAAATTAGCCGGGTGTGGTGGCAGGTGCCTGTAGTCCCAGCTACTCGGGAGGCTGAGGCAGGAGAATGGCGTGAACCCAGGAGGCGGAGCTTGCGGTGAGCCGAGATTGTGCCACTGCACTCCAGCCTGGGTGACAGAGCAAGACTCCGTCTCAAAAAAAAAAAAAAATAGTTATTATGGATGATTTACATAGCTGAACTGTATTGTTGTTATGTCTGGAGGAGTTTAAAAAAAGAAAAAAAGCTGGCTGGGCACAGTGGCTCATGCCTGTAATCCCAGCACTTTGGGAGGCCAAGGCAGGTGGATCACAAGGTCAAGAGACCGAGACCATCCTGTCCAACACAGTGAAACCCCATCTCTACTAAAAATACAAACAATTAGCTGGGCGTGGTGACGGGCGCCTGTAGTCCCAGCTACTCAGGAGGCTGAGGCAGGAGAATGGCGTGAACCCGGGAGGCCGAGCTTGCAGTGAGCCGAGATCGCGCCACTGTACTCCAGCCTGGGTGACAGAGCGAGACTCCATCTCAAAAAAAAGAAAAGAAAAGAAAAGAAAAGAAAACAGAATCTAAAAGCTGTTGGAATCCCCAAAACACTTTTTAAGCCTTGAGAGAGATGTGACTATGATCTGAGTCACATATGGTTACAATTTGTTTTTCAGATTACAGATTAGCTTACTTTCATTTTTCCTGTTCCATATAATAACTAAAAATTCTCTCTCATTTTTTTTTTTTTGAGACGGAGTCTCGCTTTGTGCCCCAGGCTGGAGAGCAGTGGCGCAATCTCGGCTCACTGCAAGCTCCGCCTCCTGGGCTCACGCCATTCTCCTGCCTCAGCCTCCTCCCGAGTAGCTGGGACTACAGGCGCCCGCCACCACGCCTAGCTAATTTTTTGTATTTTTAGTTGAGACTGGGTTACACTGTGTCAGCCAGGATGGTCTCGATCTCCTGACCTCGTGATCTGCCCGCCTTGGCCTCCCAAAGTGCTGGGATTACAGGCGTGAGCCACCGCGCCTGGCCTACAATGACTAAAAATTCTTAATTAATGACCCTTGTTAGAGAGGAACTTTCCCTTTGGTGTCCTGCTTATGCTTAAACCGTATGACAGAAAACCCATAACTATTACACCTTCCCCAATGTACTCTCCCCAAAAAGAAACACTGCCTATAACCAATCAAATTGCTGTAACTATGTGAAAACCCTGTACGAAAAATGTTGTAATCCTGCTAAAAACTCCTGTCTCTGCCTATATAAAACCTAAACTTCCCTACTTCAGAACTTTGACTCCATTTTTTTAGAACTGGTGTTTCCAGGTGGGACATCCTCAAACTTTGCACTTGAATAATTTCTCTTTGTACTAGATTCTGACGTTTTTGATTATTTTAGGTTGACAACAGGCCTTTAGGTTGCCAGTCTTTTTCTTGATATTTGTGGACATTTGTCTGATCTCTTTTTCTTGATATATCTAACTGAAAAGACAAGAATAAACTAAACTCACTTTTAAATTTCAAATGAAATTACATTTTTCATTGTTTAAGTCAATGGCCCTATCATAGACAAATTAATTTTTTTTTGACACAGAGTCTTGCTGTCACCCAGGCTGGAGTGCAGTGGCACAATCTCGGCTCACTGCAACCTCCAACTCCTGAGTTCAAGCAATTCTCACGCCTCAGCCTCCTGAGTAGCTGGGCCCGACTAAGTTTTGTATTTTATTTTATTTTATTTATTTATTTATTTATTTATTTATTTATTTTGAGACAGAGTCTCACTCTGTTGCCCAGGCTGGAGTGCAGTGGCATGTTCTTGGCTCACTGCAACCTCTGCTTCCTGGGTTCAAACGATTCTCCTGCCTCAGCCTCCTGAGTAGCTGGGATTACAGGCGCGTGCCACCAAGCCCAGCTAATTTTTTGTATTTTTACTAGAGACGGGGTTTCACCATGTTGGTCAGGCTGGTCTCAAACTCCTGACCTGGTGATCCGCCCACCTCAAACTTGTAAAGTGCTGGGATTACAGGCGTGAGCCACCACGCCTGGCCTAATTTTAGTATTTTTAGTAGATACCAGGTTTTACCAGGTTGGCCAGGCTGGTCTGAAACTCCTGGCCTCAAGTGATCCACCCACATTGGCCTCCCAAAGTGCTGGGATTACAGGCATGAGCCACCGCACCCGGCCCAAATTAATTATTAAAGTATATATAGTACCAATGATTTTTAAATCACTTAATATATATTTTTCTAAGTTCTGTCCTATAGGCCTAAAAGCGGAGAGCATATTTACTAGAAGAACTGTTCAGAGCTCTGGACTAGGAAAGGCAAAACTCAAACTAGTGTCATTTTCGCAAGCAGGAACTACGTGAAAGGGAAGCTGAAATGGAATTTTTTTTTTTTTGAGACGGAGTTTTGCTCTTGTTGCCCAGGCTGGAGTGCAATGGCGTGATCTTGGCTGATCTCGGCTCACAGCAACCTCCACCTCCCGGGTTCAAGTGATTCTCCTGCCTCAGCTTCCTGAGTAGCTGGAATTACAGACGCCCGCTACCACGCCCAGCTAATTTTTGTGTTTTTAGTAGAGACGGAGTTTCACCATGTTGGTCAGGCTGGTCTCGAACTCCTGATCTCAGGTGATCCATCCACCTCGACCTCCCAAAGTTCCTGGGATTACAGGCGTGAGCCAGTGCGCCCGGACTGGAATATAATTTTTAAATTGAGGGTTGGGGAGAGGAGAGAGAGGTGATCTTATGAACATAGAAGAGGCCTGAGAGAATTAAATTGCAAAGAGAAAACAAGCCTGACTACCCCAAGGTGAGAGGCCCAAGGAAATCAGTTTTGCAGTCAGGAAAGCCCAAGCATTCTATCTTGAATGAAGATATAAAGTTACTAGATGTGAAAAGGGGGGAGAGGGCAGTTTTATGCATTTTTTGACATATTTAAAAGAAAAAATTTTAAGAAAACATGCTGCACAAATACACTATCCATGATAGTAATGATGGTATCTTAATTGTCAAGTAAAACCCCATAGACCAGAAGCCTGATGTTAAACCAGGAAGAGAATGAACTCCTCTGATACTTTCCCCAAAACTTAAAATCCTTCACATTTCTTTTTTTGGCGATGGAGTCTTACCCTGTTACCCAGGCTGGAGTACAGTGGTGTGATCTCTGCTCACTGCAACCTCCACCTCCTGGGTTCAAGTGATCCTCCCGCCTCAGCCTCCCAAGTAGCTGAGAGTACATACAGGCATGCGCCAACACGCCTGGCTAATTTTTGTATTTTTAGTAGAGACGGGTTTTCACCATGTTGGCCAGGCTGGTCTTGAACTCCTGACCTCAGGTGATCTGCCTGCCTCGGCCTCCCAAAGTGCTGGGATCACAGGCATGAGCCACCACGCCTGGCCAATCCTTCACATTTCTTTGGAGGGAATGCTAAAATAATGTTTTTTGTTTCCTCTGCACTCCAAATGAGACAACTGAGAATAGAAATATTATAATTTTAACAGTATTTTAAAACCCTTTTCATTAAAATACTAGATTCACCAACTAAGCTTTAAGAAGTACTCTTAGCTGGGCATGTGTGCATGTAGTCCCAGCTAACAGGGCGGCTGAGGCAGGAGGATTGTGTGAGACCAGTTTAAGGCTGCAGTAAGTTATGATCACACCACTGCACTCCAGTCTGGGCAACAGAGGGAGACTTCATCTCTGAAAAAATGCAGGCAGGTAGATGGCTTGAGACCAGGAGTTTGAGACCAGCATGGACAACATAGTGGGACCATGTCTCTGCAAAAAATTAAAAAATTAGCCAGGCAGCTGGGTGTGGTGTCTCATGCCTGTAATCCCAGCACTTTCGGAGTCCGAGGTGGGCAGATCACAAGGTCAAAAGTTCGAAATCAGCCTGGCCAGCATGGCGAAACCCCATTTCTACTAAAAATCCAAAAATTAGCCATGCATGGTGGTGTGGCCCTGTAATCCCAGCTACTCAGGAGGCTGAGACAGGAGAATCGCTTGAACTGGGGAGACAGAAGTCGCAGTGAGCCGAGATTGCGCCACTGCACTCCAGCCTGGGTGACAGAGGGAGACTCTGTCTCAAAAAATAAATAAAAATAAGCCGGGCAAGGTGGCATGCACCTGTAGTCCCAGCTACTTGTGAGGCTGAGGTGGGAAGATCCACTGCGCCCAGGACGTTGAGGCTGCAGTAAGCCGTGATGGTGCCACTACACTTCAGCCTGGGTGACAGAAAGACCCTGTCTCAAAAAAAAAATAAAATCCTTTACACCTATAACAAAAATTAAGTTTAGCATTTTCAAAATTTTAATATAACACTAACAACAGTCTCTTGTTTGTTTATTTATTTATTTTTTGAGACAGTGTCTCACTCTGTCACCCAGGCTGGAGTGCAGTGGCGTGATCTCAGTTCAATGCAGCCTCGACCTCCCAGCTCAAGCGATCCTCCCACTTCAGCCACCCGAGTAACTGGGACTACAGGCATGTGCCACCATGCCCAGTTAATTTTTGTATTTTTTGTAGAGACAGGGTTTTGCCATGTTGCCCACTAGTCTCAAACTCCTGAGCTCAAGTGATCTGCCCTGCCTCAACTGGGATTACAGGTGTGCACCACCGCCCAGGCCAAACAGTCCCTTATTAATTAATTCCTCCAAAATAAACATCAGAAAAACAGCCATTAGTCTTTTTTTGAATTATTTTTTATTTTATTTTGTATATTTTTTGAGACGGAGTCTCACTCTATTGCCCAGGCTGGAGTGCAGTGGCGCAATCTCGGCTCACTGCAACCTCTGCCTCCCGGGTACACGAGATTCTCCTGCCTCAGCCTCCTGAGTAGCTGGGATTACAGGCGCCCGCCACAACACCAGGCTAATTTTTTGTATTTTTAATAGAGATGGGCTTTCACCGTGTTATCCAAGATTGTCTCGAACTCCTGACCTCATGATTCGCCCGCCTCGGTCTCCCAAAGGGCTGGGATTACAGGCCTGAGCCACCGCGCCCAGCCTACAAAAACAGCCATTAGTCTTAATTCTATCATATTATATTTCAAAACTATCCACAACTTTCACTTTGTAAATACATCTTTCCTCCATCCCCTGCAAATTATCAGTAATCTCTATAGCTCTCACAATAGTGAGCATTTTCTTTAGGGCCAGAGCACAGAGAACACACTAATTTTTTTTTTTTTGGAGATGGAGTTTTCCTCTGTTGCCCAGGCTGGAGTGCAGTGGTGCAGTCTCGGCTCACCGCAATCTCCACTTCCAGCGTTCCGGCGATTCTCCTACCTCAGCCTCCCGAGTAGCTGGGATTACAGGCATGGGCTAAAATTACCACATCCAGCTAATTTTTGTATTTTTAGTAGAGAGGGGGTTTCGCCATGTTGGCCAGGATGGTCTCAAACTACTGACCTGACCTCAAACGAGCTGCCTGCCTCGGCCTCCCAGAGTGCTGGGATTACAGGCATGATGTCACCAGGCCCGGCAGACACACTGCATTCTAATATGCAAAATCATTAAGTCTATGAGGGTCATTCATTCTGCAAATATTTACTGAGCAAGTGTCCTATGTGTCTGGCATTGTTGTAGGTACTGGAAGAAAAGGGTAATACCATTTCCTGTCCTCATGTAGCTTACAATGTATTTGAGAATATATCTGAGAACAAAATAAATCTCAGGACATGCGAGCTCCAAAGAATTAAAACAGGGTAAGGGGCTGAGAGTAAGAGGGGTGTTCTTCAGTGATGCCTCGTCTAAGGAGGAGACTTCTGAGCAAAGACAAGGAAGAACCAGACAGGAAAAGATGTGTGTGAGGAGAGCTCCAGGCAGCCCGAACAGCACGTGTAAAGGACCTGAAACCGGAGCAAACTTAGTCGACAGTATGACCAGCTGGATTGTTCTCTCTCTCTCCTAGGTAAGGAAAAACGCTGCTTCATTAATACAGTACATGCATGCCCCTGCCTCTATCAAAAGACACGTTCAAGGCCGGGTGTGATGGCACACGCCTGTAATCCCAGCACTTCGGAAGGCTGAGGCGGGTGGATCACCTGAAGTCTGAAGTTCAAGACCAGCCTGGCCAACATGGTGAAACCCCGTCTCTACTAAAAATACAAAAATTAGGCGGGGCGCGGTGGCTCACGCCTGTAATCCCAGCACTTTGGGAGGCAGAGGCGGGCAGATCATGAGGTCAGGAAATCGAGACCATCCTGGCTAACACAGTGAAACCCCGCCTCTACTAAAAATATAAAAAATTAGCCGGGCGTGGTGGCGGGCGCCTGTAGTCCCAGCTACTCGGGAGGCTGAGGCAGGAGAATGGCGTGAACCCGGGAGGCGGAGCCTGCAGTGAGCCGAGATCGCGCCACTGCAATACATCTCCAGCCCTCAAGCTGGGTGAATGCTTAACGAGTGGATGGAGGTGCTGCCTCTGCAATACATGTGGGCGACAGAGCGAGACTGTCTCAAAATAAATAAATAAATAAATAAATAAATAAATAAATAAATAAAAATACAAAAATTAGCTGGGCATGGTGGCGTGCACATGTAATCCCAGCTACTCCGGAGGCTGAGGCAGGAGAATCGCTTGAACCCAGGAGGCTGAGGTTGCAGTGAGCCAAGATCGTGCCATTGCACTCCAGCCTGGGTGATGGAGTGAGACTCCGTCTAAAAAAAATAAATCAAAAAACAAAGATATGTTCAAGGCCGAGTGTGGTTGCTCAAGCCTGTAATTCCAGCACTTTGGGAGGTCAAAGCAGGAGGATTGCTTAAGGTCAGGAGTTTGAGGCCAGGCTGGGCAACACAGCGAGACCCTGTGTGGTGGCACATGCCTATAGTCCCAGCTACTTGGGAGGCTGAGGTGAGAGGATTGCTTGAGCCCAGGAGTTCAAGGCTGCAGTGAGCGATGATCACGCAACTGCACTCCAGCCTGGGCAACAAGAGCAAAATTCTGTCTCAAAAAAATTAAAAAAATAAAAATAAAAAAACCAAAAACATGTTCACAAGGAGTTGTTAAGTACGTACTGTTGGCTACTTTCCTAATGTTTGAACCTAACAATTGCCTAACCAACCCCTTTTCAATAGTGTTGTACAGTCTGATTTTCGACAGATCCCTCAATAGTCGAGGCTCCCCCAGGCCAATGGGGCATAGTCATTTCATAGATGATTAGAGGCTTGGGGATGGGGGGGAGGGAACCTTAGTAACCCTTTATTTTTGGAATGGAAAAAAAAAGTAGTCTGACGGGACCAAATATTTTAAAAACTAAACTCTTTGCCAACCCTACTCGGCAGGCAACGAAGGTGTGCTTCTAAACACCTCTGCGCAGGGCTGACGAGGAGGACTCGAATTTCAGCTTGCACAGCAGCACCTCCATCCACTCGTTAAGCATTCACCCAGCTTGAGGGCTGGAGAAAGCACTCTGAGTCTGCAGCCCGTCCACTCCTACTCTGGGAAATGCATACAAAGCAAGCAGTCCCCAGAGCCCGCGTGGCGCCTAGTAGGCTCCCAGTGAGCGGCGACGCAGGACACAGGGGTGGAACACGTGGGCTGGACCCACAGAAGGCAGGCGCGGCGAAGCAGTGGCACCGTGAAGGGCTTCAGGGCCAGTGTTCCTCTGACGGAGGGACAAGAGTTTAGGGAGCGTCCGGGGCAAAGAAAGGGAGGAGTGGGAAGGGGGCCCCCGGGGGACAGCGCCGCGCGGGGAGGAGGGGAGCGCTCGGGCGCGGCGCCTCCGGACGACTGGCCGGGCAGAGCGGAGCGGGGAGCGGGGAGCGGAGAGCGGCGCCTGCACCGCCGAAGCGCAGGACCCACTGGGTTCCAACCGTGCTCCCGCTGGCACGATCCATAATGGAGGCGCCGCGGGCTCTGACCACTGCGGGGCCGCCTTCCCAGTCCGCCTTCCCAGTCCGCACTGCCTCTTGGGGCGGGGCCCTGGGGCTGGGGCTGGGGCCAGGGCCAGGCCGAGGAGCCCCGGCGGCCGCGGGGAGGCCGCGCACTTACCCGGAGCCTGGGAGCGCGGGCGCGGCGTGAGCTGGGCGGCGAGGTGGCCAGCGCTCTGGTTGGGACGCAAGAGAGCGGCGAAGGCCACTTGGATGAGCCAGCGGCTAGGGCGGCCAGGCAAAAGCAGCGCTTTCCGCGCGGAGGACCAGATGCGCTCCAGCCGACTCACCGGCGGCCGGGCTCGCACACGTGCGGCGCAGCGACGCGCCGCGGCCCGACTGGACCCGCCCCGGGGGCGGAGTCCGCTCCCTGCCGCCGGCCCCGCCCCCGGCCCACCCACTCGGAGCGGCCTGCAAGCCAGGGAGCGCCCCAACGCGGACTCCCAGCCTACGCGCGTTCACCCTGGACCTTCCTCGCGACCGCGCCTGAGTCGCACCAGCGGCAGAGAGCGATTTCACCAAGCATCTAAGAGTTCTTTAGATCTTTAGGAAGTCTAAGGCAGCGATTGCCTCCTTTGGTGTTATATTCTAAGTGTTTCCTTCACATAGTTGTGGCCCTTTCACGTTGCACCGACCACGCAGTTGACAATAATGGAAAGAGAATCACTTTAGGGACTAAATATTGTTCTACATTTGATCCTGGGAATGTAGTGGATCTAAAAGCACCATCTTCCTACTTCTTACCGCTCTGGCTTGATGGCTTGCCATAGGATCTGCTTCAAGAAACCGGATCATAGGTTTTTTTTGTTTTGGTTTGGTTTGGTTTTGACAGAGTCTCGCTCTGTCGCACAGGCTGGAGTGCGGTGGCGTGAACACAGTTCACTGCAGCCTCGACCTCCCAGGCTCAAGCAATCCTCCCACTTCAGTATCCCAAGTAGCTGGGACTACAGGTGCATCCCACCGCACCCAGGCTAATTTTTTTGGGGGTGGGGGGTAGAGACAAGATTTCACTATGTTGCCCAGGCTCTAATAGTTTTTTTGCTTTTTGTTTGTTTGTTTGTTTTTTGAGACGGAGTCTTGCTCTGTCGCCCAGGCTGGAGTGCAATGGCGCGATCGCTGCTCACCGCAACCTCCGCCACCCGGGTTCAAGCGATTCTCCTGCCTCAGCCTCCCGAGTAGCTGGGATTACTGGCGCACGCCACCATGCCCGGCTTATTTTTTGTATTTTTAGTAGAGTACGGGGTTTCACTATGTTGGCCAGGCTGGTCTCGAACTCTTGACTTCGTGATCCGCCCGCCTCCGCCTCTGTGTTGAGATTACAGGCGTGAGCCACCGCTCCCAGCCTCTAATAGTTTTTCCGTTTTGTTTTATTTTGTTTGAGAGAGAGTCTCACTCTGTTGCAGGGTTCAAGCGATTCTCCTGCATCAGCCTCCCGAGTAGCTGGGCCTACGAGTGCTTGACATCATGCCAGACTAATTTTTTTGACGGGGTTTTTGCCTGTTGGCCTTGAACTCCTGACCTCAAGTGATTTGCCTGCCTAGGCCTCCCAAAGTACTGGGATTATAGGCATGAGCCACCATGCCCTGCCCAATTTGTTTTTTTGTTTTGTTTTTTACACAATGAAATATACTATTACCGGCCGGGCGCAGTGGCTCACGCCTGTAATCCCAGCACTTTGGGAGGCCGAGGTGGGCGGATCATGAGGTCAGGAGTTTGAGACCAGCCTGGCCAACATGGTGAAACCCCGTCTCTACTAAAAATACAAAAAATTACCCAGACGTGGTGGCACGCGCCTGTAATCCCAGCTACTTGGGAGGCTGAGGCAGGAGAATCGCTTGAACTCAGGAGGCGGAGGTTGCAGTGAGCTGAGATCGCACCATTGCACTCTAGCTTGGGCAACAAGATGGAAACTCTGTCTCAAAAAAAAAAAAAGAAATATATTATTACCATACAATTCAGCAATTACACTCCTTGATATTTACCTAAAGGAGTTGAAAACTATGTTCACACAAAAACCTGCACAAGTATGTTTATAGCTGCATTATTCATAATTGCCAAAACTTAAGGACGGGCCGGGTATGGTAGCTCACGCCTGTAATTCCAGCACTTTGGGAGCCCGAGGTGGGCAGATCACGATGTCAGGAGTTCAAGACCAGCCTGGCCAAGATGGTGAAACCCCCATCTCTACTAAAAATACAAAAATTAGCCAGGCGTGATGGTGGGCGCCTGTAATCCCAGCTACTCAGGAGGCGGAGGCAGAAAATTGCTTGAACCCAGGAGGCAGAGGTTGTGGTGAGCCAAGATCATGCCACTGCACCCCAACCTGGGGGACAGAGTGAGACTCCGTCTCAAAAAAAAAAAGACCAAGATGTCCTTCAGTAGCTGAATAAACTGTGCTGTATCCAAACAATGGAATATTATTTGGTGCCAAAAAGAAATGATCTTAGCAAGCCATGAAAAGACATGGAGGAAACATAAATAAATATTTTTTATTTTATGTATTTATTTATTCTGAGATCTAAATAGATAAGGTGATCTGCCCACCTCGGCCTCCCGAAGTGCTGGGATTACAGGCGTAAGCCACCATGCCCAGCCTTAAACGCATATTACTAAGTGAAAGAAACCAATCTGGGCCAGGCATGGTGACTCAGGCCTGTAATCACAGCATTTTGTGAGGCTGAGGCAGGTGGATCACTTGAGGTCAGGAGTTCGAGACCAGCCTGGCCAACACCGTGAAACCCCATCTCTACCAAAAATACAAAAAATTAGCCAGGCATGGTGGCACACACCTGTAATCCCAGCTACGCGGGAGGCTGAGGCGGGAGAATTGCTTGAACCTGGGAGGTGGAGGTTGGGGTGCGTCGGGATCATGCTATTGCACTCCAGCCTGAGCGACAGAGTAAGACTGTCTAGAAAACAACAACAACAACAACAACAAAAAAAAAAAACAAAAAAAATCTGAAAAGGACACGAGCTATATGAATCCAACTAAATGACAAAATGACATTCTAAAAAAGGCAAAACTATATAAGACAGTAATAAAATTAGTGGTCGCCAGGAGTTAGGAGAAAGGGAAGGATGAATAGGTGGAGCACAGAGAATTTTTAGGGAAGTGAAACTATTCTGTATGATACTGTAATGCTGGCTGTATGTCATGATACATTTGTCCAAGCCCATAAAATCTACAACAGGGGTCCCCAGCCCCCCCAAGTCACGGACTGGTACCAGTCAGTGTGGCCTTTTGGGAACCAGGCTGCACTGCAGCATTCCCGCCTGAGCTCTGCCTCCTGTCAGATCAGTGGTGGGATTAGATTCTGATAGGAGCGAGAACCCTACTGTGAACTGCACATGTGAGGGATCTAGGTTGCATGCACCTTATGAGAATCTAATGCCTGATGATCTGAGGTGTAACAGTTCATCCTGAAACCCATTCCTACCCCCTAGTCTGAGGAAAAAATGTCTTCCATGAAACTAGTCCTGGTGCCAAAAACATTGGGAACTGCTGATCTACAGAACTAACAGTGATGTAAACTATGGACTCTGGATGATAATGTGTCAATGTAGGTTCATCAATTATAACAAATGTACCACTTTGGTGAGGGAGAGGCTATGCACGTGTGGGGTCAGGAGGTATATGAGAAATCTCTATACCTTCCTCTCAATTTTGCTGTAAACTAAAACTGCTCTAAAAAAGTAAAGGCTTAAAAAAAAAATCTCTGAGAGGCTGGGTGCAGTGGCTCACACCTGTCATCCCAGTACTTTGGGAGGCTGAGGCGGGCGGATCACAAGGCCAAGAGATCGAGACCATCCTGGCCAACATGGTGAAACCCCATCTCTACTAAAAATACAAAAATTAGCTGGGTGTGGTGGCACTCACCTATAGTCCCAGCTACTTGGGAGGCTGAGGCAGGAGAATCGCTTGAACCTGGGAGACGGAGGTTGCAGTGAGCTGACATCTCACCACTGCACTCCAGCCTGGTGAAACAGCGAGACTCCGTCCCAAAAAAAAAAAAAAAAACTCTGAGAGTGCAGCCCAACTCCTCATAAACAGATTTAGAGGAAAGATTTTTCACATTTCTTTGGCCATTTCTAAGGTTTCTTAGACAAACCTTACTCGTTTTGCATTTTAGCCAAAACTGCCTAGGTCAAGGTACAAGTGAAACATGGATTTTTAGTTTTCTGTTTTCCAAAATGGGCAACTCTTTATTGGTTTTTTAATTAAAATAACACAAAAGTGTTCAAAACCTCTTCCTAGTATCAACTTCTTCTAATAAACATGTAACAGTTGAATGTTGTCTTCAACTTCAAAATTCCATTCTAACACGTCTATTATGTATAACGTACAGTATCCTGCTTTTAACTCCACCTCACACTACAGATTGCTAGGTGCCTATCACACACACTTTCTCTCTTCTTTCATCCTTATTATTGACTACTATGCTGTCCACTTCGGATGCCTTTCTCCATGCCCCAGATAGTAGTTCACTGTTTTCTGTGTTCCCTCAGTCATTGCCAACATTTCTGTTGTCAAAACTATACACTTAATCTTAAATTATTTATTTACCTATTTCCTTTATCAGAAAGTGGATTTTTCAGAAGCCAAAATTTGGGTTTAGGGCATTATTTTTTCTCCTTTAATTTTATTTTTAATTGTTATCAGAGTTATACATGTTGTAATTTAGAGTCAAATAATTCTGTAGAAACTTTGTAAGGTTTGCAATGAAGCAGCAGGGACTGTATTCCCACTTCAGCCCTCACCTGTTTCCATCTTCTCAAAAGCAGTCATTTCACCTCTTTTTTTTTTTTTCTTGAGACAGAGACTTGCTCTGCTGCCCAGGCTGGAGTGCAATGGCATGATCTTGGCTCACTGCAACCTCCGCCTCCCACGTTCAAGCTATTCTCCTGCCTCAGCCTCCTGATTAGCTGGGACTACGGGTACATGCTACCATGCCTGGCTAATTTTTGTATTTTTAGTAGAGATGGGTTTTCGCTATGTTGGCCAGGCTGGTCTTGAACTCCGGACCTCAGGTGATCCACCCGCCTTGGCCTCCCAAAGTGCTGGGATTACAGGTGTGAGCCACCGCTCCCGGCCCATTTCACCTCTTTTAACTAATTTTTTTGATATTTACCTTAATCTCTCCATGTAATGTGTTTGTATTGTTATTTCTTGATTTTTCACTTTTAGACATTATTTACTGACTTCACTTAATGGAAAATAAAGATTTAGCTCTCTTTCCTTCCCCTTTCTCCACCAAACTTTCCATTCCTTATACTGTCCTTTTTTTGGATTTATGTTTACTTCATTATGACTAGGTAAATATCATTCACATTTTAGGCAAATAAGAAACTATGATTACTTCTCTTCTGTACTGCTTTTGTTTTTCCTCTAGTTAATAATTATCTTATTTTAGTTTACTATTCATCACTAGACCAAGCCCAAACCCCTCAATGATTGTGTAAATCTCCCCTTTCCAGAGGTTTAGATGAGGTGTTCTATTTTCATCTTTCTGAAGCAGTCTCTTCTGGAACCTCCTGGCCTACGCCAATCTACGCCTATTGCACAGTTGTTCTCAGGGCATCTCTGTTCCTGTATTGAATCTTTCTGTTTCCTATATCCTATGTCATCTTTATTCTTGGTTTACTCTCTTATTTTAGTGGAGTACAACCTTCAGTAGCTTCCCGAGAAAGGAGAAATAAATGAAAGCTTGCTGGGCGCGGTGGCTCACACCCGTGATTCCACTTTGGGAGGCCAAGGCAGGCGAATCACCTGAGGTCAGGAGTTCGAGACCAGCCTGAGCATGGCAAAACCCTGTCTCTACTAAAAATACAAAAACTAGCTTGGCATGGTGGTGGGCGCCTGTAATCCCAACTACTCGGGAGGCTGAGGCGGGAGAATTGCTTGAACCTGGGAGGCAGAGGTTGCAGTGAGCCAAGATCGTGCCATTGCACTCCAGTCTGGGTGACAGAGTGAGACTCTGTCTCAAATAAATAAATAAATAAATAAATAAATAAATAAATAAATAAAACAAAAGCTAAATTTTTTGAGATCTTTAATGTCTATTTTTATTCTTGACTACAAGAGTGTTAAAAAAAACCCCACATTTTTATTCTAACCTCACATTTGATTCATAGTTCACTAATTAAGTACAGAATTCCAGTTTTTGGCCAGGCGTGGTGGCTCACAACTGTAATCCAGCAATTTGGGAGGCTGAGGCGGGCAGATCACTTGAGGTCAGGAGTTTGAGACTAGACTGGCCAACATGGTGAAACCCCATCTCTACTAAAAATACAAAAATTAGCCAGGTGTGGTGGTGCACACCTGTAGTCCCAGCTACTTGGGAGGCTGAGACAGGAGAATCACTTGAACCTGGGAGGCAGAGGTTGCAGTGAGCTAAGATCTTGCCAATAAACTCCGGCCTGGGTGACAGAGTGAGACCCCGTCTCAAAATAAAAACAAACAAACAAAGTGTGGGAAGATAAATGTTGATAAATGTTCTAGGAAAAAAAAGCAAAAAACAAAACAAAACAAAGAAAAGGCCAGGCACAGTGGCTCATGCCTATAATCCCAGCACTTTGGGAGGCTGAGGTGGGCAGATCACCTGAGGTCAGGAGTTCAAGACCAGCCTGGCCAATGTGATGAAACCCCATCTCTACTAAAAATACAAAAATTAGGCGGGCATGATGGCGGGCACCTGTAATCCTGGCTACTAGGGAGGCTGAGGCAGAAGAATCACTTGAACCCCAGAGGCGGAGGTTGCAGTGAGCCAAGATCGTGCCACTGCACTCCAGCCTGGGCAACAGAACGAAACTCTGTCTCAAAGAAACAAACAAACAAATAATAAATAATAAAAGGGGCACTCACTTGTGAAAATGGGGAGGATAAAAATAAATAAATAAAATAAAAAGAGCATTCAGAGAACAAAAAATATGACAGCAGAAATTAAAAGCCTCCTGGGTTCAAGCAATTCTTGTTCCTCAGCCTACTAAGCAGCAGGGACTATAGGTGCACGTGCCACAATGGCCAGCTAATATTTTGTATTTTTAGTAGAGACCAGGTTTCACCATGTTGGCCAGGCTGGTCTCGAACTCCTGGCCTCAAGCGATCCACGTGCCTTGGCCTCCCAAAGTGTTGGGATTACAGGCGTGAGCCACTGCACTTGGCCTATCTTTCCACTCTTGAAATTTTAATTTCTGCTGTCATATTTTTTCATCTCTGAATGCTTTTCTTATTTTATTTATTTTTACCCTCCCCATTTACAAGTGAGTGCTCCTTTTATTATTCATTTATTTATCTATTTAATTATTTATGTTTGAGACAGAGTTTTGCTTTGTTGCCCAGCTGGAGTGCAGTGGTGTAATCTCGGCTCGCTGCAACCTCTGCCTGCTGGGTTCAAGAGATTCTCCTGCCTCAGCCTCCTGGGTAGCTGGGATTACAGGCTCCCACCACCAGGCCTGGCTAATTTTTGTACTTTTAGTAGAGACAGGCTTTCACCATGTTGGCCAGGCTGGTCTTGAACTCCTGACCTCAGGCAATTTGTTCTGCCTCAGCCTCCCAAAGTGCTGAGATTACAGGCAGGAGCCACCGTGCCCAGCCAATGCTCCTTTTAAATAGTATCCTTTTCTCTCATATGTGGGAGCTTAACATTAAACAAATTGAATTCAAGGAGATAGAGAGTAGAATGATTGTTACCAAAGGCTGAAAGGGTAGCAGGGAGGAAGGCATAAATTGGGGATGGTTAATGGGTCCAAAAATACAGTTAGGGGCCAGGTGCAGTGGCTCATGGCTGTAATCCTAGCACTTTGGGAGGTCAAGACAGGAGAATCGCTTGAGCTCAGGAGTAGAGCCCAGCCTGGGCAACATAGCGAGTCACTGTCTCAACAAAAAAAAGTTAGCCAGGAATGGTGGTGCCAGTCTATAGTCCTAGCTACTCAGGAGGCTGAGGTGGGTGGATCCCTTGAGCCCAGGAGTTTGAGGTTACAGTGGGTTATGGCTGCACCACTGCACTCCTGCCTGGGCAACAGAGGGAGAACTTGTCTCAAAAAACAAACAAAAAAACCAAAACCAAAACAAATGACGACAACAACAACAATAAAACAGAGTGACTACAGTTAATAATTTATTGCATATTTTAAAATAACTAAAAGAGTGGAATTGGACTGTTCCTAACACAAAGAAATGATAAATTCTCAAGATGATCAATACCCCAGTTACTCGGATTTGATAGTTACACATTGTATACCTGTATCAAAACATCACATGTCAGACGGCTGGGCAGCCATGGCGTCCTATATCGATGAACACGACTGTGAGCCGTTGGACCCTCAAGCAGGAGACTCGAACCAACATGGTGCTGGAGCTCGTAAGGTCACTTTTGAATAGGATGGACTTTGAAGACTTGGGGTTGGTAGTAGATTGGGACCACCACCTGCCTCCACCGGCTGCCAAGATTGTGGTTGAGAACCTCTCCAGGACAGTCATCAGAGGCTCTCAAGGCTGAGCTCAAGTGCCCCGTGTATCTTTTGGAATCTGAGGAGGAGACTGCCATTGAGATGCTTCCCAACACCTTTTTCATTCCAGTTGCATTCTGCCCTGGCTAAGCAAGACAAATTCCTGTCCCTTGTGCCGCCATGAGCTGCCCACTGATGACTACACTTATGAGGAACACAGACGAGATAAGGCTCGAAAACAGCAGCAGCAGCAGAACCGACTGGAGAACCTCCATGGAGCCATGTACACGTGAGGAGGCTGGGGCTGAGCGCCGGTCCTCTGTGTCTTCCCTACAAACCTTGAATCCTCATTAAAATTTCTTTACCCGTCCCCCGCCCCGCCCCAGAAAAAAAGGCCGGGCGCAGTGGCTCACACCTGTAATCCCAGCACTTTGGTACGCCAAGGCGGGCAGTTCACCCGAGGCCGGGAGTTCGAGACCAGCCTGACTAACATGGAGAAACATCGTCTCTACTAAAAATACAAAATTAGACGGGCGTGGTGGTGCATGCCTGTAATCCCAGCTACTTGGGAGGCTGAGGCAGGCGAATCGCTTGAACCTGGGAGGCGGAGGTTGCTGCGAGCAGAGATAACGCCATTGCACCCCAGCCTGAGCAAAAAAAAAACAAACACACATGTACACTATAAATATATACGATTATGTTCCCATAATAGGTAATTTAAAAAATAGTATCCTTGTTTTTTTTTTTTTTTTTAAATGAGACGGAGTCTTGCTCTGTCGTCCAGGCTAGAGTGCAGTGGTGCGGTCTCTGCTCACTGCACGCTCCACCTCCCGGGTTCACGCCATTCTCCTGCCTCAGCCTCCTGAGTAGCTGGGACTACAGGCGCCCACCACCACGCCTGGCTAATTTTTTGTATTTTTAGTAGAGACGGGGTTTCACCATGTTAGCCAGGATGGTCTCGATCTCCTGACCTCGTAATCTGCCTGCCTCGGCCTCCCAAAGTGCTGGGATTACAGGCGTGAGCCACAGCGCCCAGCCATCCTTGTTTTATGCTTGCAATAGTAATTTGTAGCTCGATTATATATCTCTGTGCACATGTATTTGATTTTTCTTCTCACCGTGTGGTTTCTTTTTCCTCTGAGGGTTGCTTTCCCCCCCCCTTGTTTGTTATGGTCTCTATGGTACTCCTTCCGTGTTAGTTTGTTTAAGAGGCTGTCAAGTCCA
Organism: Homo sapiens; assembly: GCF_000001405.40. Lineage (NCBI taxonomy): Eukaryota > Metazoa > Chordata > Mammalia > Primates > Hominidae > Homo > Homo sapiens. Next base: position 105,531,603 of record NC_000007.14, read on the forward strand.
CAGGTCCTCTACACAACCCTTGCTGCTAGGTAGCTCCCTTTCCTCCTCCCTGGTAAAAGACAGGGTTTTGGGCGAAACACATGTTAGATGCTCTGTTCTCTTCATTCAGCTCCCAGAACGCTTATAACCACCTCTACACCCTCTAGGCAGGAAATCAGAAGCTCATCTCTAGGGACTCTGACCAACGTTAAAAGAAATATCTAAAGATACTGACATTCATTGGAAACCCCCAACTAAATATTCGAACCAAATAACCCTGCACCGAAGCTCCTAGTCAACAAGCCCCCCACACTCTCAGAACATCTGGATATTGCCTAAAATATAAATTTAAATTATTCATATTGAATTTAAGGCGTTGGGAGAGGGATATCTTAAAGTTCCATCATTAAGAGCTTCAATAAAGTGGAGGGGACTTTTACCGCGGTGGAGTGAGCGAATCCCTTCTCTGGAGCTCCATAGGGGAGGGTGCCCGCTTCCTGAGTGGCCGTTCCGACCTCCGGTCAGGAGGGGGAGGAACAGAGCACGGCCGGCGGCTGCACGGGCAGGGCCTCTCTGGGCTGAGAGGAAGAAACCAGTGAGACATCGAGAGGAAGTCGCTGTGGCACTCAGTCCTACGGCCTCCGAGGCTGGGTAGTGAGTGTGTCGCTGGCCTTAGCCAGACTCCACAGGCCACGCTGGCTGCGAATGGAGCCGAGGACTCGCGCGGAGGCGAGATGCTACCAGCCGGCGAGATCGGCGCCTCTCCTGCAGCCCCGGTGAGACGGCCCTGGCGTCCCTGGGAGGGGACATTGGTGGCCCATTGAGGTGGCACAGACCTCCCGGGGGAGATAGTCCCGGTGCGGTGGCCCTGTAAGCTTGTGAAGGTGCTTCCTGCGGCTTAGATTAGAGGCCCTTGTAAGACCTCCTAGAGGAGGCGGTAGTCCCCGTGAAGTGGCTTTGGCGGCCCTGGTGAGATGACAGATTTCTCTAGGGAGGTGGCTCTAGTGAGCAGGCAAGGTAACTCCAGGTCCTGCGGAGGTGACACACACCTCCTGGGAAGGTGGCGGTGGCACCAGGACAGTGGCACTTTGAGGTACCTGATTCGGACGGCCCTGGTCGCTCAGAAAGTGGGAGAGCGTCTGGAACCTCTCTTGCCTCCAGTGGGTGCCCTTTGGGAGCCCCGTATGCTTTCCATCCACGACTTTAATCTTAATGTGCTTGTCACATCTGTTCTTCTTCTAGTGCTGCTCTGAAAGTGGTGACGAAAGGAAGAACCTCGAGGAGAAAAGTAAGCCAGCTCCAAACACCTTAGCTTTTTCTTCCCGCCCAAACTCAGCCTTCCAGGGTCTGCAATATAGAAAGGTTCTTTGCCTATCTTTTAGATGCAGTACCGTTTTCTGCACAATATGCTTATATGGTAATACTGATGACCATGATACACATATTTTTGTCTTTCTAAAATTGTAAAATATGGGATGCTTTGGAGAAGAGCACTTCCCGATCCATACCTAGTACAGGGACTAGAGTGTTTTCGCTGGAAGTCTGCCTATCATACAGTACTCAGAATAATTGGGGCCTGCCTGTCATTTTAATGAAACATCAACTTACTAAGCATCAGGAATTTGGAGGGGCCCATGATCTAGGACAGACGACCACCACCCTAATTGGGTTCAAAGGAGGCAAATGACAGTTGTTTAGTTCACCTTCAGTAAATTGGCAATTTAAAATTGCTCTGGCAAGAGCACAACGGATAACTTGGGTTCTGGATCTTGGACTGGACAGGAAAGGGGGAAAAGGTCAGTACCACCATTTCCTCCCTAGTACGGGAGTATATGTCAGGGTTGTGGACTTTTGCCATTTTACTTTGATGGCAGGTTATTGCAAATCAAGGGCTCTTTAGGGACCTTTGAAGTGACATTTTTTGGGAGAGGAAGGGGAAAAGCATGTGATAGCTCTGCTATTGGGATTTTTGGTTCTTTTGACTGTGGCAAACAGTTGGGAATGTGTAGCAGTAAGAAAAACGGTGCCCACATTAGCACATGGCCCTTAGGAGTAAGATTTGCCCTTAACATTAGCGGCTGATAGAATCTGCCTCAGAAAGAAGGCTCTGAGCAGTCCATAGCACATGACTGTCATAACTGCCACATCTCAGCTCCTTTTTCTTGAAGGATTTCAGAGTGCCTTGTATCTCTCAGTTAAACCCTTCCCTTTCCATTTTCCACCTTTGCCTCATTCAGATGCCTGGAAAGTAGTCTGATGCCTACTGAGCTGTCATTTTAATAAAATAATAGATGTAGACTATCATATCAAGGACTTTGACCTTGTTCCTCTTTCCACAGCTCAAACTGCTTTGCAGTTAGGAGTGCTCTTTACAAAAAATAGAAAAGGAGACACATAAAAACCTCCCAAACCACCGGTGTGTCATTTTGAAGAATGTCATTTCACTAAGAATGTACTATGCCACATTTGAATGGTTACACATCAAGGGTGTAATTTTTTTTTTTTTTGAGACTTAGTCTCACTCTGTCTCTCAGGCTGGAGTGCAGTGGCGCGATCTCGCCTTACTGCAAGCTCCGCCTCTGAGTTCAAGTAATTCCCCTGCCTCGGCCTCCTCAGTAGCTGGGATTACTGGTGCCCGCCAAACACCCGGCTAATTTTTGTATTTTTAGTAGAGGCAGGGTTTCACCATTTTGGTTAGGCTGGTCTTGAACTCCTGACCTCAGGCAATCCACCGTCCTCGGCCTTCCAAAGTGCTGGGATTATAGGCATGAGCCACTGTGCTCAGTGGGTGTAATTTTTTTTAAAAAATGAAGGTAGAATTTCCTCCCTAAGATACAGCAACTTTAGCATTCACAAAACATTTCCTGCCTCCATTTATCTGCAGATACACCACACAAATCACTTGTTTTATTTAAGATTTAAAAAAGGCATTGTGAGTTCTGTACATAATAGTAGATTATTATACGTTAATATTATATATAATTATATAGTATAATTAATATATAATTTGTATTATATAGTCCCATTTATAACCTTGAGATATAGGCTGGGGCAAATGTTACAATTTGTTTTCTAGTTGGAAAATTGAGGCATAGTGTTATGTTAATATTGCCTCTCCTACCCTCTAAATTGTCAATTTAAAATTGCTCTGGGAAGGCACAATGTATAGCTTGGGTTCTGGATCTTGCACTGAACAGGAAAGGGGGAAAAGGTCAGTACCACCTCCTGATTCTCACAGCATGTGAAAAATCTTTTAATTTAATTCATATAAGTTAAGTAGAACAAAGGAAATTTTGTTTGTTGGGGTGTAGGGGTGGAGACAGGAACATACTCTGTATAAAACATTGGTATATATTCTGTTAATCTTTACATAAATAGTTGACCAATATCTGACATTTACATTTTGCACTTAGGCATATCATTATTTAGATATTAATATTAATAAGCCTAATGTGTATTGGACTTATTAAATGTCACAAAACAGGTAGTTTATTTGCCATGGAAAGAATCTCACTTTATACTATTTAGTGGTTGCATTTGTCATTTTGATTTTTTCCTAGTAATTTGTTCTCTCATATTTTCTTTTTTCTGTTTCTGACAAAGATATCTTTGTACAATGACATCGATGACATTTGAAGCTTAAAAACCTTTTTTTTTTTTTTTTTTGAGGCAGAGTCTCACTCTGTTGCCCAGGCTGGAGTGCAGTGGCGTGATCTCGGCTCACTGCAACCTCCGCCTCCCGGGTTCAAGCGATTCTTCTGCCTCAGCCTCCCGAGTAGCTGGGACTATAAGCGTGCACCGCCATGCCCAGCTAATTTTTGTATTTTTAGTAGAGACAGGTTTTCACCATATTGGCCAGGCTGGTCTCGAACTCCTGACCTTGTGATCTGCCTGCCTCAACCTCCCAAAGTGCTGAGATTACAGGCCTGAGCCACCTCGCCCAGCCAAACCTTTTTTACTTTTTTGTTTGTTTGTTTGTTTGTTTTTAAGAGATGAGGTCTTGCTCTGCTGTCCAGGCTGGAATGTAGTAGTGAGATCATGGCTCACTGCAGCCTCCATCTCCCAGGCTGCTCAAGCAATCCTCCCACCTCAGCCCACCTGAGACTACAGGTGTGTTCCACCATTCCTGGCTAATTTTGTTAGATGAAGTCTTGCTTTGTTGCCTAGGCTGGTCTAGAACTTCTGGGCTCAAGTGATCCTCCTGCCTTGGCCTCCCACAGTGCTGGGATTACAGGTGTGAGCCCCTGCGCCCGGTCTTTTTAAAAACACTTTAAAACAAGAGTCTTCTTTTGGTGTTGCCCTAGACCATACTACTGGTTCCTTACACATTTTGAAAAGGTATTATTCCTTGTCTATTGAAACCTGTGGTTACTGGATCACACTTTAGGAATTTTTCCTTTAATACTTCCCTCAGCTCTTAAGCATTTTGCAGTAGTTGTTTGATAGAGTGCTTTAGAGCTATTCTTCTGGGCATTTGTCTGTGTGTGTTGTTCTTTAAATTATTAACTTTGTTTTGTTTTGGTTTTGTTTTTTGATACAGAGTCTCTGTCGCCCAGGCTGGAGTGCAGTGGCGCTTTGTTTTGGTTTTGTTTTTTGATACAGAGTCTGTCTGTGTCGCCCAGGCTGGAGTGCAGTGGTGTGATCTTGGCTCACTGCAACCTCTGCCTCTTGGGTTCAAGGGATTCTCGTGCCTCAGCCTCCCGAATAGCTGGGACTACAGGCCTGTGCCCCCACGCCTGGCTAATTTTTGTATTTTTAGTAGAGACGGGATTTCGCCGTGTTTGCCAGGCTAGTCTTAAACTCCTGGCCTCAGGTGATGCACCTGCCTCAGCCTCCCAAAGTGCTGGGATCACAGGTGTGAGCCACCGTGCCTGGCAAAATTATTAACTTTTGAAGGCAGATAAACTGCTTTTATATGTTTTATATTTTCTTTAACTCCATAGTACTTAGTGGCGTTGAGTAATTGTTATTCTTTTGTTGTAGGTGACATAAATGTTACAGTTCTTATTGGAAGTAAACAAGTCAGTGAAGGTACAGATAATGGTGATCTCCCTTCTTATGTGTCTGCATTCATAGAAAAGGAAGTTGGAAATGACCTTAAATCTTTAAAGAAACTTGATAAACTCATAGAACAGAGGACAGTAAGTAAAATGCAGTTAGAAGAACAGGTAAGTATTGAAACTCACTGAAATAATTATCAGTGGAATACTTTTAACAATATAATATAAACATAATCTATTATATATAGAATTTTAAAGATATAGAACGTGACAAATAGTCTATTATATACTGTTTAAGAGGATTTAAGAACGTACATTGTATTACCTATTTTACAAATTAGGTAAAAGACAAAGTTCCTACTGATATGGTTTGTCTTCAAAACATAGTGAGACCTAACATTTTACATAGATTTTCATAGAGTGACTTTTTTTTCCTTTCAATCTGTTTCTAGTGAACATACAGTGACTTTTAAATTGCTTTTACAAGCAAATAATTTCATGGCATACAAAAATATATACCATGGTGTAAACACCATCATTTCAATTTTTTTTTTTTTTTTTTTTTTGAGACGGAGTTTTGCTCTTGTTGCCCAGGTTGGAGTACAATGGCGCCATCTTGGCTCACTGCAACCTCTGCCTCCCAGGTTCAAGCAATTCTCCTGCCTTAGCCTCCCATGTAGCTGGGATTACAGGCATGTGTCACCCTGCCCAGCTAATTTTGTATTTTAGGTAGAGATGGGGTTTCATCATGTTGGCAAGGCTGGTCTTGAACTCCTGACCGCAGGTGATCCACCTGCCTTGGCCTCCCATAGTTCCGGGATTACAGATGTGAGCTGCTATACCCGGCCACATTTCAGATTTTAATAAATGTACCCATAGGGAGAAGTATAAAGTGAAAAGAAGTATAACGTAACGGTTATTTCTGTGTGGTTGGTTGACAAGTGATGTATTTAAAAAATATTTTTAGGCCTGGCACGGTGGCTCACACCTGTAATCCCAGCACTTTGGGAGGCCAAGGCAGGTGGATCACCTGAGGTCAGGAGTTTGAGACCAGCCTGACCCACATGGTGAAATCCCGACTCTACTAAAAATACAACAAAAAAAATTAGCCAGGTGTGGTGGCGGGCACCTGTAATCCCAGCTACTCGGGAGGCTGAGGCAGGAGAATCGCTTGAACCCAGGAGGCGGAGTTTGCTGTGAGCTGAGATCATGCCATCGCACTCCAGCCGGGGCAACAAAAGTGACACTCCGTCTCAAAAATATATATTTCTATGTATTTATAGGTTTTTTTTTCTTTTACAATGAACATATCACTTAAAATAATTTTTTAAAAACCCAATGAGTATAAGCTTAAACAAAAAAATAAGTAGGCCCCTCTACTTGGCAATGGTGTGTTTGTCAAAGATAAAACATTTTTTTCTTTTTTTTTGAGACGGAGTCTGACTCTGTCGCCCAGACTGGAGTGCAATGGCGTGATCTCGGCTCACTGCAACCTCTGCCTCCTGGGTTCAAGTGATTCTCCTGCCTCAGCCTCCCGAGTAGCTGGGACTACAGGCACGCGACACCACGCCCAGCTAATTTTGGTATTTTTAGTAGAGACAGGGTTTCACCACTTGGGCCAAGATGGTTTCGATTCCTTGACCTCGTGATCCGCCTGCCTTGGCCTCCCAAAATGCTAGGGTTACAGGCATGAGCCACCACACCCGGCCAAGATAAAACATTTTTATCATATAGCTACTAAATTAGGTTAAGTAAATTCTGTGTGGGTTATTTCCAGGTTTTTGGTCATCGTATATTCTCCTGTCCCCATTACCTTAGGCCTCCACACCTTCCTGTCTTCCCACCACAACTACTGCTAGTCTTCAAGTTTAGCCTGGCTTTGTCTGCCTTTTCACTCCTGCAGGCAGGTTGTTGTGGGCCCAGTTGGAGGAAGTCATGCAGCTGAGTAGATTGATGCCAATCTATGTGTGTGGTCTGCCACCCTGGCTGAGTCTTCAGCCCCACCAGCAGTCCTTCCATGGGAACGTCAGCTCCTCTGCTACTCCCCTCAACTGTTCTTTCAGATTCTGTTTGAGACATCTACCCAACCTGTCCATTCTGCCCTTTCCTTTTCCCTAGCAGAAAAAAATAGAAGCCTAGCATGAATTTAGTAGCATTGAATTCAGTCTGTTGAATAGTCTATCCCACAATCGACAAATTTATGTGCAGTCATTTTTAACCTCTTCATTCAGCAAAGGATCAGTCGAAGGCAGACCTTATACCCCAGGTTCTCTCTGCCACCTCAGTAAACTTGTGTCACTCTTATAATTTTACCCTGTGTTCGTCAACCAGTCCTATCCCTTCAGCATGTGCACATAGACAGGTCTTTTCCATAAAACCTTAACAAAGAAACAAAAAAACCCATGATCTTTTAGCAGGTATTAGTTCTTTCCTTTGATTGTCAGGCTTCAGAAAGTAACCTTTGTTATCTATCTCTACTTTTTGTCATTCATCTTTTACCCACTGTAATCAGGTTTGTTTCCCTAATGACCACAGAAACTTTTACTGAAGTTCCTTATTGAACCTTAAATTCAGCATGTCCAAAACTATACTGATCCATTTTTTAGAGGCTTGTCTGTCTTGGTTAGATAATGGCACCACTATTTGCCTGTCACCCAGACCTGAAGCCTAGGAGTCCTAGATTCCTTCTTATCATCCTCTCATCCTCTATCCCATCACCAAGTCATCTGAGTTCAGCCTCAACATCTCTGGTATCCATCCCATCTTTCCCACTCTTTTTTTTTTTTTTTTTTTTTTGAGTTGGAGTTTCACTCTTGTTGCCCAGGCTGGAGTGCAATGGCACAATCTTGGCTCACTGCAACCTCCACCTCCTGGGTTCGAGTGATTCTCCCGCCTCAGGCTCCCAAGTAGCTGGGATTATAGGCATGTGCCACCACGCTCGGCTAATTTTGTATTTTTGGTAGAGATGGGGTTTCTCCATGTTGGTCAGGTTGGTCTCAAACTCCCAACCTCAGGTGATCTGCCCGAAAGTGGATCTTGGCCTTCCAAAGTGCTGGGATTACAGGCGTGAGTCACTGCTCCCGGCCCATCTTTCCCACTCTTGCTGATACCATGTTAGTTTAGGCAGATTGGGAGCTTTGTAGAAATGCAGAATCTCAGTCTTACTTCAGACTTACTGTATCAGAATCTGTATTACAACAAGATCTTTAGGTGATTAATGTGCCCATTCATTAAATATAGCCTGTCTATTTTATTGCATTAATCCCACTGTTGAAATTATTTGCTTACAACACTCTTATATACCAAAGTGACCTGAAGGACGGATGCTGTGTCTTGTTTATCTGCATATTTCTAGCGCAGTGCCTGGTACAGAATAAGTATCTAATCACTGTTGATTGAAATTATTCTATAATGTTCTTTGTATTTTGCTGATGACTAATATTTGTATATGTTTTCCCACATACTATAAGAAAAATTCACTTAATAAATGCCATTTTCTTTTTTTTTTTTTTTTTGAGATGGAGTCTTCCTCTGTCGCCCAGGCTGGAGTGTGGTGGTGTGATCTCAGCTCACTGCTACCTCTGCCTTCCGGGTTTCAAGTGATTCTCCTGCCTCAGCCTCCTGAATAGCTGGGATTACAGGCATGCGCCACCATCCTCAGCTCATTTTTGTATTTGTATTTATTTTATTTTATTTTTTGAGACAGAGTCTCACTCTGTCGCCCAGGCTGGAGTGCAGTGGAGCGATCTCAGCTCACTGTAACCTCCGCCTCCTGGTTTCACCAATTCTCCTGCCTCAGCCTCTTGAGTAGCTGGGATTACAGGCTCATACTACCACACCCGGCTAGTTTTTGTATTTTTATTAGAGACGGGGTTTCACCATGTTGGCAAGTGTGGTCTCAAACTCCTTACCTCAAGTGATCCACCAGCTTCTGCCTCCCAAAGTGCTAGGATTACAGGCATGAGACACTGTGCCCGGCTGAATTTTTGTATTTTTAGTAGAGACAGGGTTTCACCATGTTGGCTAGGCTGGTCTCGAACTCCTGACCTCCAGTGACCTGCCCTCCTTGGCCTCCCAAAGTGCTGGGATTACAGGTGTGAGCCACTGCACCTGGCCACTAAATGCCCTTTCTAAAGGCATTGCCTGGATATCATCTCATCAAGTCAGTGCTTCTTAGCCTGGCCTTAATTCAGAATCACCTGGGGTATGTTGGCAAAATATAGATGCTCAGCCTGTTAGAATGAGATCTTTGTTTCCTTTTTTTTTTTTTTTTTGATATGGAGTCTCGCTCTGTCACCCAGGCTAGATGGCAGTGGCGCAGTCTCGGCCCACTGCAACCTCTGCCTCCCGGGTTTAAGAAATTCTCTGCCTCAGCCTCCCAAAGTGCTGGGATTACAGGTATGTGCCACCATGCTCAGCTAATTTTTTTGTATTTTTTAGTAGAGACAAGATTTTGCCATCTTGGCCAGGCTGGTCTTGAACTCCTGACCTTGTGATCCACCCACCTTGGCCTCCCAAAGTGCTGGGATTACAGGTGTGAGTCACCGCACCCAGCTTGCATTTTTTTTTTTCTTCTTTGAGGAGTCTTGCTCTGTCACCCAGGCTGGATGGAGTGCGGTGGTGCAGTCTCAGCTCACTGCAACCTCCTCCCGGTTCAAGTGATTCTTGCCTTGGCCTCTCTAGAGCTGGGATTACAAGGTGTGTGCCACCAAACCTGGCTAGTTTTTGTATTTTTAGTAGAGATGGGGTTTCATCATGTTGGCCAGGCTGGTCTTGAACTCCTGACCTCAAATGATCCGCCTGTCTTGGCCTCCCAAACTGCTGGGATTACAGGTGTGAGCCACCGTGCCCGGCCCTTCCTTTGCTTTGAAGGAAAATATTTAGCAGGTAGAGCATGTATTAATAAGTTTTCTCGGCCTGGCACGGTGGCTTATGCCTGTAATCCCAGCACTCTGGGAGGCTGGGGTGGGCGGATCATGAGGTCAGGAGTTCGAGATCAGCCTGACCAACGTGGTGAAACCCCGTCTCTACTAAAAATACAAAAATTAGCCGAGCGTGATGGCACGTGTCTATAATTCCTGCTATTTAGGAGGCTGAGGCAGGAGAATCACTTGACCCCGGGAGGTGGAGGTTGCAGTGAGCTGAGATCACGCCACTGCACTCCAGCCTGGGTGACAGAACGAAACTCTGTCTCAAAAAAATAAAATAAGTTTTCTCTAGCTGGATCCTCTGCTGAGCCTATGGAGGCAGACCTCTAGATGCTTACTGGAGCCAGTGAGTTAAGTCCCTTTCTCTACATGTATGTGTATATGTATGTATGCATATATTTTTTATTTTATTTTTATTTTTTTGTTTCACTTATTGTTTTCAACACAAAGGCATACTTCTTCCTGCTATTTGTGTGTATATAAAACAGCATGTTATGTTTGGATTGATTAGTACAGGATGAAGAAATCAAACCTTTTTTTGAAGGTTTTGATGGATGATTTTCAGTTCTGTTACAAAAAATGTGTATTTTGAAGGGAACGAACTAATAAAAAAGGTTACATACAGCCTGGGCAACATAGTGAGACCTTATTTCTATTTAAAGAAAAAAAAAAAAGAAAAGCCAGGTGTAGTGGTGCATATGTGTAGTCCCAACTACTGGGGAGGTTGAGGTGGGAGGATTGGTTGAGCCCAGGAAGTCCAGGCTGCAGTGAGCTATGATGGTACCACTGCACTCCAGCCTGGGCAACAGCGTGAGATCCCCTCTCAAAAAAAAAATTATGAAAATTTTATCTGATTGCTGCTGTTCTTTCTTTCTTTCTTTTTTAAAATTATGGTCAGGTACTTACAATTTCATCAGAAATTCCTAAAAGAATTCGAAGTGCCTTAAAAAATGCAGAAGAATCAAAGCAATTTCTTAATCAGTTTCTGGAGCAGGAAACTCATCTCTTCAGCGCCATTAACAGCCATTTGCTGACTGCGCAACCTTGGATGGACGATCTTGGAACCATGATTAGCCAGATTGAAGAGATCGAACGTCATCTTGCTTACCTTAAATGGATTTCACAAATTGAAGAACTAAGGTAAAATGGGCCTCTTTGTTCTCACAATTACTATTTTCCTTTGAGGCTTCTGTCTTAGAGAGTACATGTGTGCCATTAAATAATTGAGTTAATTAAAGATTATAATAATATAATTTTACCAGTTGTTGTGAAAATAGCATTATGATAATGATTCTTTTCCTTTATTGTGAGTGAACATAAGCTTTTCAGGGAGCTTAATTAGCATTTGAAAGAAGGTAATGTAAGTACGTTAAACTTTTAAGTTTTTTTTTTTTGAGATGGAGTCTCGCTCTGTCGCCCAGCTGGAGTGCAGTGGTGCCATCTCGGCTCACTGCAAGCTACACCTCCCGGGTTCATGCCATTCTCCTGCCTCAGCCTCCCGAGTAGCTGGGACTACAGGCGCCCGCCACCATGCCTGGCTAATTTTTTTTTTTGGTATTTTTAGTAGAGACGGGGTTTCACCATGTTAGCCAGGATGGTCTCGATCTCTTGACCTCACTGTCCGCCAGCCTCGGCCGCTGGAAGTGCTGGGATTACAGGCATGAGCTACCGCGTCCGGCCAAACTTTTAAGTCTTACAGTTGGATTATGAACACATGATAAAAACTATTCTTTGTAATGCCAAATTAATAAAACACAAAGTTTGGTAATAGTTATTCTTATTTAATTTTTAGAACTGGTCAGTTAATGAAATGGATTGCTTTTGTATAATTTGAATATTTTTCAGTGGGAATCATAAGAGCTACACAGTATTCTTGGATGAATAACAAGAGTTCTGCTACCTCTGGGTAGGAAAAACAAAAAAGGAAGTAAGGCTTGACCTTAGTTCTTTTTGAGTTGAATACCTATCACTGGTAGTTAATTGTATCTAGCTTTGCCTTTCAGACAACCCAAAGTAACATTTCCACCTAGATTAGTAGATGATAAGGTCCCCACTATCCTTGCATTGTTTTAACTAGTACTTGCTGCAGAGCTGTCAGCAACCATTAATTTTGCCTGGAAAACCTGAGGGAGAAAAGTCTTCTGGGAGTCTTAATGTCCTGTTTCAAATGTATCATAGTTAATAAACCTGATATTACTTTTGTTATGGATATGTTTTATGTATTTCTTTTTCTTGCATATATTTCCCAAAATTTTAAAGAATTTTACATATCAATATAATATAGAAATCTTTGTTTTTAGGCCAGGTGCAGTGGCTCACACCTGTAATCCCAGCACTTTGGGAGGCCGAGGCGGGCAGATCACGAGGTCAGGAGTTTGAGACCAGCCTGACCAACATGGTGAAACCCCGTCTCTACTAAAAATACAAAAAAAAAAAAGAAATTAGCCAGGCATGGTGGCGCGTGCCTGTAATCCCAGCTACTTGGGAGGCTGAGGCAGGGGAATTGCTTGGACTCGGGAGGCAGAGGTTGCAGTGAGCTGAGGTTGTGCCATTGCACTGCAGCCTAGGCAGCAAGAGCGAAACTCCGTCTCAAAAAAAAAACAAAAAAAACAAAAAAACTTTGTTTTGCATGTATGAGGAGTTTTACATATAAAGTGGTTTAGAACATCTCATTCTTGTTTAGATAAATTATTTGCAGTGAAGGAATTTTAAACCTTGCTTTATTTTACTGCATTTCTCCTTGTCCCTCAGAAAGGAAATATCAGTAAGGGGCAATGTTAATAACTTTATTAAGTAAAATACGTTATTTGAAAACCTCACTCTTGTAGTAGCCAAAGTAATAGATTAACTAAATTAGGTCCATGGTTATTGATAAACTTTTCTTTTTTCTTCTTTTTTTTAACATTTATTTTATTTATTTTAATTTTCTTTTTATTTTTTTTTGAGTTGGAATCTTCCTCTGTTGCCCAGGCTGGAGTGCAGTGGCACAATCTCAGCTCACTGCAACCTCCACCTCCCGGGTTCAAGCGATTCTCCTGCCTTGGCCTCCCGAGTAGCTAGGACTACAGGTGTATGCCACCACGCCCAGCTAATTTTTGTATTTTTAGTAGAGATAGGGTTTCACTATGTTGGCTAGGCTGGTCTTGAACTCCTGACCTCAAGTCATCTGCCTGCCTTGGCCTCCCAAAGTGCTGGGATTACAGGTGTGAGCCACTGCACCTGGCCTTGATAAACTCTTCAGATATCTGAATTGTTTATAAGGGAAATATGCCGAGGGATTTATATTAGAAATAGGGATCAAATTCATAAGCAGGTAGAGCACAGTTATTTTTCTGTCTTTAATAATGTGTTATTTCCCTGAGGTCTTTTATGATAATCTCTCCATTTCCAGCTTTCCTTTAGAGCTTCTGGGATTTTCTTCATCTCTAAATTTTTTTATAATGGCCTATTTTTATTCTGATGTACATTGTCTTTTTTTCAAGTAGTTTCTTCTTGCTAGAATTAGCATCCTTACATTAGCTCTGTTTCTTGGATACTATAGTATAGCACTATCACTCTGAGTGAACCTTGTTTCTCTAGCTTTTCCTATGTTGTAAATGTCATTCATACTTTAGTGTTGTGAGGAAATCTATTTCATTCCTTCCTTAAAAGCAGTACTCCTGCCGGGCATGGTGGCTCATGCCGTAGTCCTAGCACTTTGAGAGGCTGAGGTGGGCAGATCGCTTGAGCTCTGAATTCTGTGACCAGTCTGGGCAACATGGCAAAACCCCATCTCTGTTTAAAAAAAAAAAAATCAGCCAGGCTTGGTGGTGAGCACCCATAGTCCCAGCTACTCGGGAGGCTGAGGTAGGAGGATCGCTTGAGCCCCGAGAGGTTAAGATTGCAATGAGCCGTGATTGTACCACTGCACTGCAGCCTAGGTGACAGAGTGAGACTCTTTTAAAAAAAAAAAAAAGGCAGTACTCATATTCTGTTTGTACATTTGAAATTCTTCTGTAATATTTGTATATATATATATATATTTTTTTTTTTTTGAGATGGAGTCTTACTCTGTTGCTGAGGCTGGAGTGCAGCGGCACCCTGTCAGCTCACTGCAACCTCTGTCTTCTGGGTTCAAGCAATTCTCCTGCCTCAGCCTCCTGAGTAGCTGGGATTACAGGTGCCCATGACCACGCCTGGCTAGTTTTTATATTTTTAGTAGAGACGGGAAGGGTTTCACCAAGTTGGCCAGGCTGGTCTCGAACTCCTGACCTCCGGTGATCCACCCATGTTGGCCTCCCAAAGAGGCCACCACGCCTGGCCTCTTTTTCTTTGAGACGGAGTCTCACTCTGTTGCCAGGCTAGAGTGCAGTGGCATGATCTTGGCTCACTGCAACCTCCGCCTCCCGGGTTCAAGCAGTTCTCCTGCCTCAGCCTCCCGAGTAGCTGGGATTACAGGTGCCCACCACCATGCCTGGCTAGTTTTTATATTTTTAGTAGAGATGGGGGATGGGGAAGGGGGGGCGGGGGGCGTTTCACCAAGTTGGCCAGGCTGGTCTCAAACTCCTGACCTCCGGAGATCCACCCATGTTGGCCTCCCAAAGTGCTGGGATTACAGGGTTGAGCCACCAAGCCCCGCCTGGAATTATATTTCTTTGAAGTGGGAAATCAAGTTCAGCTGGGCAAAGTATGTAACAATTGAAGACCATCATACTTGACTTTACCAGATACTACCACATTATTCCCTTGGATTAAGATACTGAAGACTTTGTAAAAGGCAGATTTATCAGAAATGAGTGGTGCCCAAAGGAATATGACACAAAACAGGTCTGTCAGGAGGAGTAGGAAGGGAAAGGTCCCGGGAGAGGTCTTGAACATAGGCTGCAGGCTGCTGCTCTTAGAAGAATGCAGAAGTAGAGGACTCTAGGCTCCCAGAGAGGCCTTGGTAAAAGGCCTCAGGGTGGTGCTTTGTTAAAAAACAAAGGCTACCTCAGGGTGGTGCTTCATTCTTCCTTGGATGTAACTTTATATAAAACATGAAGAAGAAGCACTTTTTCCGAATTTGAAATTATTCTGAGCAATCCGTTCTTTAAATTTGCTTTCGGCTGGGCACGGTGACTCACGCCTCTAATCCCAGCACTTTGGGAGGCCGAGGCGGTCGGATCACTTGAGGTCAGGAGTTCAAGACCAGCTTGGCCAACATGGTGAAACCCTGTCTCTACTAAAAATACAAAAAATTTAGCCAGGCATGGGGGCGCATGCCTGTAATCCCAGCTACTGTGGAGGCTGAGGCGGGAGAATCACTTGAACCTGGGACACAGAATTTGCATTGAGCCAAATCATGCCACTGCACTCCAACCTGGGCAACAGAGTGAGACTCTGTCTCAAAAGAAAAAAAAATTTGCTTTACTTTGTTTACAGTGATAACATTCAGCAATATCTGATGACCAATAATGTACCGGAGGCAGCCTCCACTCTAGTGTCTATGGCAGAACTTGACATTAAACTTCAGGAATCATCTTGTACTCATCTTCTTGGTTTCATGAGAGCCACAGTTAAATTCTGGCATAAAATTCTCAAGGACAAGCTTACAAGGTAGGGAATTTACCCATATTTTGTGGTAATTGCTTTCCGATGGGTATTTGGTGATCATTTGGTGATGTACTGAAATGTATGTGTTACTTTTCCATTGCAGTGATTTTGAGGAAATTTTAGCACAGCTTCATTGGCCATTCATCGCACCCCCTCAATCACAAACTGTTGGCTTAAGTCGACCTGCCAGTGCCCCGGAGATATACAGTTACCTGGAGACACTGTTTTGTCAGCTTTTGAAACTACAAACCTCGTATCTTTGTTGCAGCTGAAAACTTACTAAAATTTCTTTTTTCTAGAATGGGTTTGTGGCTAGAGAGTAAAACTTTTTCAAAGTGGCCAAGAAAGCCAAATAAGAATCCTGTGTTTGGACTTGGTCTGTAAATGTCCACTGAGTGGTGGACTGTACTCTTGCAAAGTGAATTGCTTGTAGGTGTGAGGGCTGTAAGGAAGAGTTCCGGGATACATGACTGATCCAAGTTCATAGCACAAAAAGGTCTCTTGGGGCAACAGAACAAATGGGCAATTGGGAGGAAACCTTTAGTGTCATAGCGTGAATTTAATCAAATGATACTTGAATTTTTTTTGTTACTATTTTAGGAAAGATTTATAGATTAATTCTAATACCATTTTTGTGCTTTTTTTTTTTTTTTTTTGAGATGGAGTTTCGCTCTTGTTGCCCAGGCTGGAATGAAGTGGCGTGATCTCATGATCTCGGCTCACCACAGCCTCCACCTCCCGGGTTCAAGCGATTCTCCTGCCTCAGCCTCCCGAGTAGCTGGGATTACAGGCGTGCACCACTATGCCCAGCTAATTTTGTATTTTTAGTAGAGACGGGGTTTTTCCATGTTGGTCAGGCTGGCCTCGAACTCCTGACCTCAGGTGATCCACCCGCCTCAGCTTCCCAAAGTGCTGGGATTACAGGTGAGAGCCACTGCACCTGGCTCATTTTTGTGCTTTTTTTAAAGACATGGTCTCACTTTGTCACCCAGGCTGAAGTGCAGTGGTGCAGTCATGGCTCACTGCAGCCTTGACCACCCAGGCTCAGTTGATTCTCCCACCTCTTCTTCCTGTGTAGCTGGGACTACAGGCACGTGCCACCATGCCCCGCTAATTTTTGTTGTTTTTTGTAGAGATAGGGTTTTGCCGTATTGCCTAGGCACGTCTCAAATTCCTGTGAAGTGGCCCAAGTGATTAGCCTGCTTCAGCCTCCCAAAGTGCTGGGATTACAGGCATGATTCACTATCATCATGCCTGGCTTTTTGTGCATTTTAACTGAATGTATATTCAATATAAAGAATTAACTGTATGTTTATTCAATATAAAATTAGGTTACATATTATTTGCATCATAATTAACTCTACTGAGTATCTGATACATTTGTTGGAAAAATTTATTGTGTGTGTATACATACATATGTGTGTGTATATTAGGTATGCTTTTGATTCTTTTTCCTTGACTTGATTATGTCAGAGATGAATTACTTACTGAGCCAAAGCAACTCCCAGAAAAATACTCTCTTCCTGCCTCCCCTTCTGTCATCCTGCCCATCCAGGTTATGCTGACTCCTCTTCAGAAGAGGTTCAGGTATCACTTCAGAGGGAACCGGCAGACTAATGTGTTAAGCAAGGTGTGTTTTGCCAGCTCTTGTCCTTGGTTTTTATTGGTAACAAATGTTAGAGTTTCTATACCTTTGCTGGTTTAAGTTAAAATCTGACTCTCTTCACATTTCTGTTTTTTTTCTAAAGGGCTACATTCCTGTTTTGTTACTGCTGTTCATACATATAATTGAGGACTTGTGTTCATATACTGTAGGAAAAATGGTATTTCCGCTCTTGGGCATCAGATATTGCTGAGTTATCATTGCAAAACAAAGCAAAGCAAATAGTAAGCACTTGGTATTTCTTTTCTTTTTTTTTTTTTGTGAGTTGGAGTCTCGCTCTGTCACCCAGGCTGGAGTGCAGTGGCACAATCTCTGCTCACTGCAACCTCCACCTCCCAGGTTCAAGCGATTCTCCTGCCTCAGCCTCCCAAGTAGCTGGGACTACAGGCACATGTCACCACACTGGACTAATTTTTGTAATTTTAGTAGAGATGGGTTTCACCATATTGGTCAGGCTGGTCTGGAACTCCTGACCTCAGGTGATCCACCTGACTTAGCCTCCCAAAGTGCTGGGATTACAGGAGTGAGCCACTGCGCCTGGCATGTACTTGGTATTTCTGCTCTTAAACCTGTATAAGACATGCGTAGTTTTTGTAATGCAGACTAGCAATTTTTTTTTTTTGGAACGAAGTTTCACTCTTGTTGCCCAGGCTGGAGCGCAATGGTGTGATCTCGGCTCACTGCAACCTCTGCCTCCCGCGTTCAAGCGATTCTCCTGCCTCAGCCTCTTGAGTAGCTGGGATTACAGGTGCCCACCACCACGCCCAGCTAATTTTTGTATATTTAGGTGAGACGGGGTTTCACCATGTTGACCAGTCTGGTCTTGAACTTCTGACCTCAGCTGATCCACCCACCTCGGCCTCCCAAAGTGCTGGGATTACAGGCATGAGCTGCCACGCCTGGCCAGCAATTTTTTTCTTGATTTACTTTTTGAAAATAAAAACCATAAGAAAATAATATTAAAATTATTTTCAAATGCTATTTCAAAAAATATAGGCCATCAGTTCTTTGTAATACTCATCATTTTACATATTATTGAAGTGCTAGGTTTTAAATATATATGGCATTGTAAATTTATGAGTTTATTGACTTAAGTCATATTATTGAAATTTGTTGGGAGTACATTAGCAAACATTTGATTATTAAGCCTTGCAGGAGTTTAAAATTTGGAGTAGAAATTGTGCTCTTACATACAGGAATTTTCAACTAATTTTTATAAGTGTTGTGCATATACAATTAAATAGAACCATGTAATTGTAACTTTCTAATTGGAATGACTTAAGAATTCAAACTATTTTCCTCCTTCCTTAGCCAGAATGGTACTTGGCTCAAGTACTTATGTGGATTGGAAACCATACTGAATTTCTGGATGAGAAGATTCAGCCAATATTAGACAAAGTAGGCTCTTTGGTAAACGCAAGGGTAAGAGACTCAGTCATAAGTGTTTCTGTTTTAGAACTGTATGTGTGCATGGATAACTTTTTATTTACATACCTCATGTTTGTGTATTTTTTTAGCTTGAATTTTCTCGGGGCCTTATGATGCTGGTTCTTGAGAAGTTAGCCACTGATATTCCTTGTCTGCTATATGATGACAATCTCTTCTGTCATTTGGTGGATGAAGTACTCTTGTTTGAAAGGGAGCTACACAGTGTTCATGGCTATCCTGGCACTTTTGCTAGTTGTATGCATATTCTATCAGAGGAAACCTGTTTTCAGAGATGGTTGACGGTGGAGAGAAAATGTAAGTGCTGATGTGGCCAGATGGTAGGGAGATATGTCTGTTTCTGTGGGTATACATTTTTGATATTTTTCTTCTCCAGTTCTAAATAGGAACTAGAGCCATTTGAAATTTCCTTTTCAGGGTTTTCTGTTTCCTTCAGAGATAATCTTTTCTTTACTTCACATGAAACTTCCATTTTTCCTGAAATTACACTCTACATATTTCTAGAGTGGAATAGTCAAGCCAGTGGGGTGTTTGTTTTATAGATTTTATCATATAATTTATTTTATTTTTATTTATTTATTTTGGGACAGACTCTTGCTCTGTTGTCCAGGCTAAAGTGCAGTAGTTTGATCTCAGCTCATTGCAACCTCCACCCCCTGCGTTCAAGCGATTCTCCTGTCTCAGCCTCCCGAGTAGTTAGGATTACAGGCACGCACTACCACGCCTGGCTAATTTTTCTGTTTTTAGGAGTGACAGGGTTACAACATGTTGGCCAGGCTGGTCTGGAACTCCTGACTTCAAGTAATCCACCTGCCTTGGCCTCCCAAAGTGTCAGAATATTTTATTTTTTTATTTTTGAGATAGGGTCTCACTTTGTCACCGAGGCTAGAGTGGAGTGGGCCGATCATGGCTTACTGCAGCCTCGACCTCTGGGGCTCAGGTGATCCTCCTGCCTCAGCCACCCCAGTAGCTGGGAGTATAGGTATATGCAAGCCATGCCTGGCTACTTTTTGTATTTTTTGTAGAGATGGGGTTTCCCTGGGGTTTTGCCCAAGCTGGTTGTGAACTCCTAGACTCAAGCAATCCACCCACCTTGGCCTCCTGGAGTGCTGGGATTACTGGTGTGAGCCACCGTGCCTGGCCAATAGAATATTTTTTACTGTAGCTTATCTAGTCAACATAACTATTTTCAGAATTTGGGGATGGGAGTAAAGTATCCTGTTTAAAGCATTAATTAAGTTAAATTTAGTACAACCAGTGGGATATTGTAGGTTTGTTTCTTTTTTATAGAAAAGCCATCATTCCTAAAAAATTACAAGTTGAATAATTAGGAACGACTGTAACTACTTAATTGACATAATTGTTTTGTCTGCTTATCAGTTGCTCTTCAAAAAATGGACTCAATGCTTTCCTCAGAAGCTGCCTGGGTATCGCAATATAAGGATATCACTGACGTGGATGAAATGAAAGTTCCAGATTGTGCAGAAACTTTTATGACTCTACTCTTGGTTATAACTGGTAAGTATGTCTTTTAAGATATGACTTTGTTTTAAAAGTACTGTTTTCACGTGGTAGTTTTTAAAGTAGCTCAGTAGGCTGGGTGCAGTGGCTCATGCCTGTAATCCTAGCACTTTGAGAGGCTGAGACGGGCAGGTTGCTTGAGCCCAGGAGTTCGAGAACAGCCTGGGGTACATGGTGAAATGCCCTCTCTTCCGAAAAAATACAGAAATTAGCCAGTTGTGGTGGTGTGTGCCTGTAGTCCCAGCTACTTGGGAGGCTGAGGTGGGAGGATTTTTTGAGCATGGGAGGTAGAGGTTGCAGTGAGCCATGATCACGCCACTGCAGTCCAGCCTTGGTGACAGAGTGAGACCCTGTCAATAAAGTAATCAATAAATAAGTGGCTCAGCAAATTAATATTATATGATGGTTGTTATCTTCAAATTCAGTTTCTATATTGGTAGAAATCTAACACAATATTCTAACTTTTGGGTTTTTAATAATTTAAGGATTTAAACATTGGTATACATGAAGGAAAACTTCCTGAATAATTACACAAAAACAATTAAATAGGAATTTAATTTTATTATCCAAACTGTCTTGCTATTGGGCTTTTTAGGTGTCTTCAGTAAATGGTGATTGGCCTATATTTTAAATATTGTCTTGATCTTGATTTATCAAAGATTGCAGAAGAGAGTAAAATAATGAAGTAATTTTAAGGATTGGAGTAGTAATAGGAACTTTTGTTACAGTGCAGGGATTCTCTGGCTGGAGGGTAGCCTAGCATCCTCTGGCCCTGGTTGGTCTTTAGCCAATCACGTTGCCCCCTTGTGGGCCTGCTTGTTGTCCAGGTGCCACTGGACCCTCATTGCCACCATCCCTGGCCCTCTTCACCTTCGTCAACCACTAGCCTGTCCGTTTCTTAGGCTTGTCTGGTAACCTGAAGAAGTATCATTCCAGCCCAGTCAGTAAATAATTCCTTTTTTTTTTTTTTTTTTTTTTTTTGAGATGGAGTCTCACTCTGTCACCCAGGCTGGAGTGCAGTGGCATGATCTCGGCTCACTGCAACCTCTGCTGCCCAGGATCAAGCAATTCTTTTGCCTCCGCCTCCCAAGTAGCTGGGATTATAGGCACCTGCTGCCACGCCCAGCTAATTTTTGAATTTTTAGTAGAGACGGGGTTTCACCATCTTAGCCAGGCTGGTCTTGAACTCCTGACCTTGTGATCCACCTGCCTCGGCCTCCCAAAGTGCTGGGATTACAGGCATGAGCCACCGTGCCCAGTCATCATTCCATATTTTTAACTATAAGAAAAATATGAAAAATACTAAGACAAAAAAATTAAGGAAAATTCATGTCTCTTAAAAACTTTTTATTCAGAAAATTTTCAAACATACACAAAAGTAGGATAATATGATGAACTCTCAGGTACCTATTGCCAAAGTTTAAAGCAATTATCACTTTTCTGTTATATTTTACTCCTCAATTTTTTTTTTCTGGAGTATTTCAAAGAAAATTTCAGACATCTCATCATGTCAATTGTAAATTCTTTTTTTTGAGACAGAATTTCGCTCTTGTCACCCAGGCTGGAGTGCAATGGCGCAATCTCGGCTTACTGCAACCTCCGCCTCCTGGGTCCAAGCAATTCTCCTACCTCAGCCTCCTGAGTAGCTGGGATTACAGATGCCTGCCACCATGCCTGGTTAATTTTTTTTTGTATTTTTACTAAAAATACAAAAATTTACAGGCAGTTGGCCAGGCACGGTGGCTCACACCTGTAATCCCAGCACTTTGGGAGGCTGAGGTGGGCAGGTCACGAGGTCAGGAGATCGAGACCATCCTGGCTAACACAGTGAAACCCCGTCTCTACTAAAAATACAAAAAAATTAGCCAGGCATGGTGGCGGCTCTACTAGAGATGGGGTTTCATATTGCCCAGACTGGTCTCGAACTCCTGACCTCAGGTGATCCACCTGCCTCGGCCTCCCAAAGTGCTGGGATTACAGGCGTGAGCCACCATGCCTGCCTGTAAATTGTCTTTTTTTTTTTTCTTTGAGACAGAGTCTCGCTCTGTCGCCCAGGCTGGAGTGCTGTGGCGCAATCTCGGCTCACTGCAAGCTCCACCTCCTGGGTTCACACCATTCTCCTACCTCAGCCTCCTGAGTAGCTGGAACTACAGGCACCCGTCACCATACCCAGCTAATTTTTTTTTTTTTTTTTTTTTTTTTTTTTGAGATGGAGTCTCACTCTGTCGCCCAGGCTGGAGTGCAGTGGCGCCATCTCAGCTCACCGCAAGCTCTGCCTCCCGGGTT
Organism: Homo sapiens; assembly: GCF_000001405.40. NCBI lineage: Eukaryota > Metazoa > Chordata > Mammalia > Primates > Hominidae > Homo > Homo sapiens. The sequence continues at coordinate 105,553,997 of NC_000007.14, forward strand.
CACGCCATTCTCCTGCCTCAGCCTCCCGAGTAGCTGGGACTACAGGCACCCGCCACCACACTCGGCTAATTTTTTGTATTTTTAGTAGAGATGGGGTTTCACCGTGTTAGCCAGGATGGTATTGATCTTCTGACCTCGTGATCCACCCGCCTCAGCCTCCCAAAGTGCTGGGATTACAGGCGTGAGCCACTGTGCCCGGCGAATTTTTTTGTATTTCTAGTAGAGACAGGGTTTCACTGTGTTAGCCAGGATGGTCTTGATCTCCTGACCTCGTGATCCACCCACCTCGGCCTCCCAAAGTGCTGAGATTACAGGTGTGAGCCACCGTGCCCGGCCAACTGCCTGTAAATTCTTAAATGTGTATCTTTTAATTTATTGAAGTTCTTTCTTTTTTAAAAAAATGCTGTTTATTTGTGTTGAAGAAACTGTCATTTTTTTTTCTTTCTTTTTTTTTTTTTGTTAGATGGAGTCTCACTCTGTTGCCTAGGCTGGAAAGCAGTGGTGCCATGTTGGCTCACTGCAACCTCCACCTCCCGGGTTCAAGCAATTCTCCTGCCTCAGACTCCCAAGTAGCTGGGATTACAGGCACACGCCACTACTGCCCGGCTAATTTTTGTAGTTTTGGTAGAGATGAGGTGTCACCATGTTGGCCAGGCTAGTCTTGAACTCCTGACCTCAGTTGATCCACCTGCCTTGGCCTCACAAAGTGCTGGGATTACAGGCGTGAGCCACCACGACTGGCCAAAACTGTCATTTTTATGTATAATTTTTTCATTTGCCTTTTTGAAAACTTGAGGTATAGTTTACATACAGTGTAATGTGCAGATCTTATTTGTATTGTTCAATGAGTTTTGGCAAATGTATATACTTTTGAAACTCACATCCTTAAGAGAGCTCAGAAATAAATCCATTCTTGACTACTGGTCAATTGATTTTTGACAAAAGCACTGAAGCAGGACAGTAGGGAAAACTTATAACTATATCATAGATGGTACCAAAACCTTCATATGTCTTAATAACTTTTTCCACAGACAGGTATAAAAATCTTCCCACAGCTTCCCGAAAGCTTCAGTTCCTGGAGTTACAGAAGGACTTAGTAGATGATTTTAGGATACGATTAACACAAGTGATGAAAGAAGAGACTAGAGCTTCCCTTGGCTTTCGATACTGTGCAATTCTTAATGCTGTGAACTACATCTCAACAGTACTAGCAGATTGGGCTGACAATGTTGTGAGTTAATATGCTTTTATATTAAGTAATATATACTAGTTCGAACTATTTTATTAATACTTTTCAAAATGTTGAATCTATTGCAAGCAAAAATAAACATGCTAGACAGAACCATAGTGCCATAATTAAAAGGTGTAATTAAAATACACATTTTTCTCAATCAAATCTCAAGTAGTTAAATAGTCCTGATATTTTAATGTATTTAATCATTGGAAAGGCAAGCAAGCCTTTCATGAAATAGTTGTTTATAGAGTGAACCATACTTGGAAATATTCATGTATGGTAATTGCAATCACAGGAAGAGCTAAGATTAAATAATGATGTCAAAAGCAATCCAGGACTTTAAGGAAAATAAAAGAATAATGTTTAATACCTCTTGAATGTCTTCAAAACATGACAGATTATAAAGAGTCATGAAAATAGGAAGAAACATTTAAAGTTTTAATTGTTTCATACATTAAAAATCTATTTGGCTGGGTGCAGTGGCTCATGCTCTTAATCCCAGCACTTTAGGAGGCTGAGATGGGAGAATTGCTTGAGCCCAGGAGTTGGAGACCAACCTGGGCAACATAGGGAGACCCCATTTCTCCAAAGAATAAAAAATAAAATAAAATTAGCCAGGTGTGGTGGCATATGCCTGTAGTCCGAGCTACTTGGGAGGCTGAGGTGGGAGGATCACTGGAGCCCAGAAATTCATGACCAGCTGTGCAACATAGTGAGACCCTGTCTCTACAAAAAATAAAAATAAGAAACTAACATTTCATGTATCAAATTTTCAAATATATGCAAGAGTAAATAGAATAGGAAAATGAACTTCTGTGGCGTGGCTATCACTCAACTTCTTTTTTTTTTTTTTGTGACAGAGTTTCGCTCTTGTTGCCCGGGCTGGAGTGCAATGGTGCGATCTCGGCTCACTGCAACCTCTGTCTCCTGGGTTCAAGGGATTATCCTGCCTCAGCCTCCTGAGTAGCTGGGATTACAGGCACCCGCCACCATGCCTGGCTAATTTTTTTTTTAGTAGTAGAGACGAGTTTTCACCTTATTGGCCAGGCTGGTCTCAAACTCCTGACCTCAGGTGATCCACCTGCTTCTGCCTCCCAAAGTGCTGGGATTATAGGTGTGAGCCACCATGCCCAGCTCACTCAACTTCTTACACCAATTTTGTTTTATTTAAACCTCTTTTCTGCCCCCCAATACTTGATTATTTTGAAGCAGATCTCAGATATCATATTTCATGGTAATATTTATATAGAGAGATATATATTAGTATTTATCTCTAAAAGGTAAGAACTCTTTTAAAAAAAAACAGCACTATGATTGTATCTGAAAAAATTAACTGATTTATTGGAAGGTATATTTTAAATAAATCTATAAATAAAAACCTTGGGTCCAGTTAACAAATACCATAAGGCCTTTTCCCTCCAGATTCTACTGACCCTTGCCTTCTCCATGCAGATTCTGACAAGATTTGATCTGCCTAATTAAGTTAACCTACTGACAGACTTGATATGCCTAAGTATAATTATTAAGTAGTAATTTATTTTTACTGTTTTTATTAATTCAAGGAATATCCTGGCTATCAGGACTCTTTGGCAACCAGATTTTCCAATAGATGCTTCCAAACAAAAGTCTAATTAGCCTTTATAACCTTGACATAGACAGATGAATTCTTTTAGATGTTTTAGATATTAACATAATCTCAGAGGACCTTCAGAACTCCCTTCTTGAACAGGGTGCCCTTAGGTTAAGAATCACTGTTCTGAGATCATCTGTGAGAATACAAAATCAACTTAGGTTTATACCAACTTGGGTGTCCCATAAAGTACATTTCATGACAGAACGCATAAACAGAGAACTAGGATGACTATGAAATGGTAAAATAGAATAGACATTAAATATTAAAGAAACTAACTATACGGAATAAATCTGATAATGACTATGAAAATTTTAATATGAATTATTAATATAAAATATATAATTGTGTCATAAAATGAAAACAGAAAGGTAAACAAGACAAATGCAATTTTAACTAAAGACTTAAATATACTATTAGAATGTGATAGGTAAAGTGAGAATTAAAAAATTGTAAACTTAAACAATTAGATTGATTAACTGAAGATTAGTGATACATTCCATAGTATAACAGGGAAAAACACAATTTTCAAGTGTGTCCAGATGAGTCACAAAGATGGACAAGATAAATTAATTTAAAATATCTGTACATTATCTTAATGCAATAAAACAGGAAATAAAAGCGGAAATGAAATATATTCAAACATGGACATGTAAAAACATTAAATGCCTGGATTAGGAAGGAAGTCTAGAAAGCATTAAATTTTAAATTATGAGTTTAGGAATAAAAATTGTAGTATACAAATTAATACACTATATAGTACATTTTGTTATATGTAGAACAAAAATTTATGGTTACTTCTAAAGCATTGTATAGCAGAAAATGTATTCCTCATAATACCTATTTTAATGTGAAAGAAAAAGCCAAACAAAAACCATTTTTATTTAAATTTTAAATAAGCCAAATAAATAGGGGGCAAAAATAAATATAATAAATATACTCATCATAGATATAAACAAGATAAAAATCTGATAAACACAATCATCATAGTTTATGCTTATCTGTACTCTGTCTGGGACTTAGTAATTAGTTAAAGTTTTTTTCCTATAAAAATAACTGAAATCCATGTGCATAATGTCATTCTGCTGAGCAAGGAAAATAAAACAATTATTTCATAATATGATTATAAGATAGAGGGTAATGATCAGTTTGTTTATAAAGTCAGCTAATCAGTCTGGGTGTGGTGGCTCATGCCTGTAATCCCAACACTTTGGGAGGCCAAGGTGTGTGGATCACCTGAGGTCAGGAGTTCGAGACCAGCCTGGCCAACATGGTGAAACCCTGTCTTTACTAAAAATAAAAAAAATGCCTGTAATCCCAGCTACTCAGGAGGCTGAGGCAGAAGAATCGCTTGAACCCAGGAGGCAGAGGTTGCAGTGAGCTGAGAATACGCCATTGCACTCCAGCCTGGGCAGCAAGAGCAAAACAGTCTCAAAAAAAAAAAAAAAATAAAGTCAGCTAATTAGCATACATGCATTCATTTTGTACTTTTATGTGTTGTGTTTCTAATTTAAGTAAGTATTCTCTCAGCACCCCCACAGCTCCATATTCTGCTAAGCGTTTTTAGTAATATGAAACAAATTGTTATTCTTGATTCTTGTGCCAGAATTTTTTCTTCAATGAAATTATTTGTAGAACATCATCAACTGCTTTACTTGGTGCTATAGTCTGTTTAAGAAAGATGGCTGGGCACGATGTCTCACACCTGTAATCCCAACTCTGGGAAGCCAAGGTGGGCTGATCACTTAAGCCCAGGAGTTCGAGACCAGTCTGGGCAACATGGTGAGACCTCATCTCTACAAAAAATACAAAAAATTAGCTGAGCATGGTGGCGTACCCCTGTAGTCCTAGCTGCTTGGGAGGCTAAGGTGGGTGGATCACTTGAGCTCAGGAGTTGGAGACCAGCCTGGGCAGCATAGGGAGACCCTGTCTCTACATAAAATAAAATAAATTAACTGGGCATGGCAGGCATGCTCTGTGGTCCCAGCTACTTGGAGGCTGAGGTGGGAAGATTGCTTGAGCCCGGGAGGTTGAGACTGCAGTGAGCCTTCATCACACTACTGCACTCCAGCCTGGGCAACTCCCCCCGCCAAAAAAAGAAAGATGAATTAGCCATCATCCCTACCCTTAGAAAACGTATAATCTCATGCTGAATTAACTAGGTTCTCTGTCAGCAGAGAAATAAATTTCAGAGTTGATTGTTCAAATTGTGAATGAATTGTGTCCTAGCATGGTTATGATGGTGCAAATCTGGCCGGGTGTGGTGGCTCACGCCTGTAATCCCAGCACTTTGGGAGGCCAAGGTGGGTGGATCACCTGACGTCAGGAGTTTGAGACCAGCCTGGCCAACATGGTGGAATCCCGTCTTTACTAAAAATACAAAAAATTAGCCAGGCGTGGCTGGGCACGGTAGTTGTCGCCTATAATCCCAGCACTTTTGGAGGCCGAGGCAGGCGGATCACCTGAGGTCAGGAGTTCGAGACCAGCCTGGCCAAGATGGTGAAACCCCATCTCTACTAAAAATACAAAAACTAGCCAGGCATGGTGGTGGGCGCCTGTAGTCCCAGCTACTCAGGAGGCTGAGACAGGAGAATTGCATGAACCTGGGAGGTGGAGGTTGCAGTGAGCTGAGATTGTGCCACTGCACTCCAGCTTGGGTGAGAGAGCAAGACTCTGTCTCAAAAAAAAAAAAAAAAAAAAAAAAAAAAGAAAAAGCCAGGTGTGGTGGCGGACGCCTATAATCCCAGCTACTCAGGAGGCTGAGGCAGGAGAATAGCTTGAACCGGGAGGCAGAGGTTGCAGTGAGCCAAAATTGCGCCGTTGCGCTCCAGCCTGGATGACAAGAGCAAAACTCTGTCTCAAAAAATAAAAAACAATAACTATATAGTGCAAGTTCTGTCTTAACCTCAAACATTCTTTAATCATATTCACAGTCCTTCAGCCAGTGAATACTGTATAAGTAAAAATTATTAAAGCTCTTGTATTGCATAATTAGAAAAAGGAAAAAGAATGGACAGAATTCACTTTCCATTTGTTTCAGGTTCTCTACTGATAACTGTCTGCCAGTTGCCAGATTGTGCCAAGCCTGAAATAAGCAGCCATTCAGAATTAGGAATTTTTCAGTTGTAGGTGACAGATATGAAATTCAAACTGGCCTAAGTTGGGATGTGGGGTGAGATATGGGAGGTGAGGATTTTAACTTTCTAAAAGGATTAGGCATGGCTGTTCTAAAGTTGTCAATTTCTGGTTTTGTTCTGAGGCAGGCTCTGGACGTGTGGCCACAGGTGGTTCCAGGCTCACATGGTCCTTCTGCAATCTCAAAAGAAGAGTGCTGCTTCTCTGATAGTTTCAGCAGAAATACCAAGGTGCCTCTCATATGTCCATCTCTGAACAATTACTAGTGCAGCCAGGGCATGGTATTACCAAGTTATGTGTGCATCCCTGGCACCAAAGGATAGGGCTGACACCACCTAAGTTGTCTCAGATTGGGGAAGTGTTTCCCCAAAGGAAAATTGGGGTACTGTTAAAAGGGGAAAAGTTGCCATGTAAAAGTAGTTGATGCCCATGACACATTGCCATGCAAAAAGATATGGGGCGGGGGCACGGGAGGAGAGAGGGAGATGGGGAGAGACAAAGAGAGATGATTTAGGTTCATGTTGGGTAGTCAGAATTTTAATAGTAAATGTATAAAAAAATTAACCACCAGATTTTATGGTTTGTTCGTTATCCATGAAATCTTTGGGAGAATTCTCAATGGCTTTTGGTTTTTAAAATTTTAATTAGTTTTATTTCAAGAACTTTAAAAGAAAAGCAACTGAAAATTCTTAAGAAACCATTTCAAGGGTAGCCAAATGTTTTTTATTTTGGTTTTTTTTTTGAGACAAGAGTCTCACTTTGTCACCCAGGCTGGATTGCAGTGGTGTGATCTTGGCTCACGGCAACTTCTGCCTCCCAGGTTCAAGTTATTCTCCTGCCTCAGCTTCCTGAGTAGCTGGGATTACAGGTGTGCGCCACCATGCCCGACTAACTTTTCTATTTTTAGTAGAGATGGGGTTTCACCATGTTGGTCAGGCTGATCTCGAACCTCAGACCTCAAGTGATCCGCCGCCCCGGGCTCCCAAAGTGCTGGGTTTACAGGCGTAAGCCACCGTGCCAGGCCATCAAGGGAAGCCAAATGTTTGATGACCTTAATAATGGCTTATGATGTGTTCACGGCCTAATGCTATTCAGAGTTTTAGAGAAAAAAAAAAAAAAACCTTGGCAAGGTGATTTATTTAGTCCTCTGTTAATTTTGGAAAAATAAAATTTCAGACCTTTATAATCTTATGCTTAAATGCTTGTTGATAGTGTCGTTTAAAAAATATTTTTAATTTTATTTAGAACAACGCCAGGCATGGTGGCTCACACCTGTAATCTCAGCACTTTGGGAAGCCAAAGCGAGTGGATCACCTGAGGTCAGGAGTTCAAGATCAGCCTGGCCAACATGGTGATACCCCATCTCTACTAAAAATACAAAAATTAGCCAGGTATGGTGGTGCTCGCCTGTAGTCCCAGCTACTCGGGAGGCTGACACAGGAGAATCGCCTGAACCAGGGAGGGGAGATTGCAGTAAGCCGAGATTGCTCCATTTCATTCCAGCCTGAGGGACAGAGTGAGACTCTTGTCTCAAAAAATAAAAAAAACAAGTAGATAGTGTCATTTTTTTGTTGTCATTTTTTGAGACGGGGTTTCACTCTTGTCGCCCAGGCTAGGGTGCAGTGGCACGATCTCGGCTTACTGCAAACTCTGCCTCCTGGGTTCAAGCAATTCTTCTGCCTCAGCCTCCCGAGTAGCTGGGATTACAGGCACCTGCCACCATGCCCAGGTAATTTTTGTATTTTTAGTAGAGATGGCATTTCACTATGTTGGCCAGGCTGGTCTCAAACTCCTGACCTCAGGTGATCCACCTGCGTCAGCCTCCCAAAGTGCTGAGATTACAGGCATGAGCCACCACGCCTGGCCGATAGTGTCATTTTTTTTAAGTTCATGATTACCGTACACAGAAGTTGAAAGAGAAAAATATTTTTCACTATATGTAATCCATGTGATACAAAATTCAAAAGCCACAAAACTGTATATATTGAAAATATATATATAGTGAAAATAAGTCTTAATTCTAATCTTCCCTAAAGCCAATCACTTTGATCAATTTCTTGTATATACTACTAAAGCTATTTATATAAATACTGGTGTGTGTATGTCAACGTGTGGTAACATACTATGCAAACTCTTCTGCTTTTTCCGGTTAACAATATATCTTGAGATTGTTCCATTTCAGAATAGTTTAACATTGACTAGTGGGAATGTAACATGGTACAGTTGCTGTGGAAAACAGTATGGCAGTTCCGCAAACTGTTTTTTTGTTTTCTGAGATGAGATCTCGTTCTTTCACCCAGGCTGCAGTGCAGTGGCACAATCTTGGCTCACTGCAACCTCTGCCTCCTGGGCTCCAGCAGTCTTCCCATCTCAGCCTCCTGAGTAGCTGGGAGGTCTGTGGCCACCACACTCAGCTAATTTTTAATTTTTTTCTAGAGATAAGGTCTCACTATAAAATGATTCTCTGGCCTCAGCCTCTTAAAGTGCTGGCACTATAGGCATGAGCTACCATGCCTAGCCTTTCAAACTGTTAAAACATAGACTTACCATAAGATCCAGCAATTCCACTCTTCAGTACATACCAAGAGAAATGAAACATATGTCCACATAAAAACTTGTACTGCCAGGCTTGGTGACTCACGCCTGTAATCCCAGAACTTTGGGAGGCTGAGGTGGGCGGATCATGAGGTCAGGAGTTTGAGACCAGTCTGACCAACATGGTGAAACACCATCTCTACGAAAGTTACAAAAAAAAAAATTAGCCAGGTGTGCTGGCACACGCCCGTAATCCCAGGTACTTAGGAGACTGAGGCAGGAGAATCGCTTGAACCCGGGAGGCGGAGACTGCAGTCAGCCAAGATCACCCCACTGCACTCCAGCCTGGGTGACAGAGCGAGATTCCGTCTCAAAACAAAAAACAAAAAAACAAAACAAAAAAAACTTGTACAAAAATGTTCACAGCAGCATTTGTTCATAATAGACAAAGTAGAAGCTACCCAAATGTCCACCAGCTGATGAATGGATAAATAAAATGTGGTCTATCTATATAATGGAATATTACCTGGCAATGTAAAAAAAATGAAGTGCTGATACGTGTTACAATATGATACGTGTTACAATATGGATAGACCTTGAAAATGTACTGAAAGAAGACAGTCACAACCAACCATACGTTGTATGATTTCATTTATATGAAATGTCCAGAACAGGCAAATCCATTGAGACAGAAAGTCAATTAGTGGTTGCCTATGAGTTGAGGGAGTGGGGAGACGGTATTAGAGGATAACGGCTTTTTTCTTGGTGATGAAAATGTTCTAAAATTGTGATGGATATACAACTGAATATATAAAAAAATCATTGAATTATACACTATTATTAGTTTTGAGATGGAGTCTCACTTTGTCGCCCAGGCTGGAGTGCAGAGGCATGATCTCGGCTCACTGCAACTTCCACCTTCCAGGTTCAAGCTAGGATTACAGGCACATGCCACCACACCCGGCTTATTTTTGTATTTTTAGTAGAGTTGGAGTTTCACCATGTTGGCCAGGATGGTTTCGAACTCCTGACCTCAGGTGATCCACCCACCTCAGCCTCCCAAAGTGCTGGGATTACAGGCATGAGCCACCGTGCCCGGTCGAATTATACACTTTAAATGGGTGAATTGTATGACATATGAATTCTATTTCAAACTGTTAAAAAAAAAGTATGCTAATGTGTTAACATGTTTTTGCTTTCAGTTCTTTCTACAACTTCAACAGGCTGCACTGGAGGTGTTTGCAGAGAATAATACTCTGAGTAAATTGCAGCTAGGACAGCTAGCCTCTATGGAGAGCTCTGTCTTTGATGACATGATTAACCTCTTAGAACGTTTAAAGCATGATATGTTGACCCGTCAAGTAGACCACGTTTTTAGAGAAGTTAAAGATGCTGCAAAATTGTATAAAAAAGAAAGGTATGTCCTCTATGTAAGTCAGCTCTTAACACCAGTTTGGTAAAAGTTAAAGAATATGTGGTCAGATTTTCAAGGTGTCTAGATAGAACCCGGTTTGGCCTTATGTACTTTATTGTTGATGGAAATATTTCTAAAGTATGTTCTCTTGGACATTTTTTTTGAGACAGTCCTACTCTGTCACCCAGGCTGGAGTGCAGTTGCACGATCTTGGCTCATTGCAACCTCTGCCTTAGAGGTTCAAGTGACCTTCCCACCTCAGCCTCCCAAGTAGCCAGGACTACAGGCATGCACCACCACACAAGGCTAATTTTTGTATTTTTAGTAGAGATGTGGTTTCACATTTTGGGCAGGCTGATCTCCAACTCCTGACCTCAGGCAAGCCACCTGCCTCGGCCTCCCAAAGTGCTAGGATTACAGGTGTGAGCCACCACACCTGGCTGACATTCTTAATCAGAATAAACTGATTATAATTTAGTTGTTTGTAAATATATCAATAGGATAGTGTGTGATCTGGGGTTGAATAGCCTAACCTGTCTCCCATTTTGCAAAGTAAAGTGCACCTGTGGTACTCTGCATACTTTTGTTGTGGTTTATCCCACTACCATTCACTGTGAACACCTGTGTTACTTTCATCCTTGATAGCAAGCAGTATCTTTTTGTCCTAGCATAGTCCCTGCCACACAGAGTGCTTAAAATTCGTTTATTAGTCCTGTTTTTACTAAAAATTAGAGGATAATATTAGCTGATGTCTTAATTAAAATGCTAAAATCAGGCTGGGTGCAGTGGCTCACACCTGTAATCCCAGCACTTTGGGAGGCCAAGGCGGGCAGATTACTTGAGGGCAGCAATTCGAAACTAGCCTGGCCAACATGGCGAAACCCTGTCTCTACTAAAAAATTCAAAGATTAGCTGGGCGTGGTGGTGGGCACCTGTAATCCCAGCTACTTGGGAGGCTGACACGAGAATTGCTTGAACCCTGTGGCTCTAGCCTGGCCAACAGAGCGAGACTCTGTCTCAAAAAAAAAGAAAAACTACATAAATAAAATGCAAAAATTAAGTGACATTTTAAATTGTAATTGCCTTATATCAGTAATTCACATATTAAAATTTGGGGATATTTTGGATATATCCCCATATTAAAGAGTATTTGAGAGTGAAAATATAAATACAGGTACATTTATTTTCTGATAGAGCTTTTAATGTTAGGCTGTATATTTTTTCTTATCCAAAATGCCCTAGGACAGAACACTTCCTCAAATTTAAAATGATTTAAAAACTTGAAAAATAGAAACTGATGAAAATTTTTTGGTAAAAATGTGTTTTTTCCAGATGGTTGTCCTTGCCATCTCAGTCAGAGCAGGCAGTGATGTCCCTGTCCAGTTCGGCTTGCCCGTTGCTGCTGACGTTACGAGACCATTTACTTCAGTTGGAGCAGCAGCTTTGTTTCTCCTTATTTAAAATTTTCTGGCAAATGCTTGTAGAGAAGCTGGATGTATACATCTACCAAGAAGTAAGTAAGAATAGACTGTTTTTGGGCTGTGATAATAAAGACAACTGTTATATGAATTATTCTTTGTTTCAGATAATTCTTGCTAATCACTTCAATGAAGGAGGAGCAGCCCAGCTGCAGTTTGATATGACTCGGAATCTTTTCCCTTTGTTTTCTCACTATTGCAAGAGACCAGAAAATTATTTTAAACAGTAAGCTCAACATTTAACAATTAATATTAATGTATCAAATTGTTACAGGAGGCTAACTCCTTTTAACTTTAGGGTTCTGGAGATGTTTGGGTGGGATAAGATCAGTTGAAATTTTAAAACATTGTCTATCTACTGTATGCTTACAGCACAATGGGGAAACCAAGATGATAGATGTGACCCATGACCTCAAAAAGTTTCAGAACTAGATATAAATTACCTGTTGGGTTTTGTTTTCTAGTATTTGGTTTAATGCTTCTAGTTGCTTAGTTACTGGAGGAATAAATAGAAAATGAAAACAAGTACAGTTGTGCCCTATTCACTAAATATAAGAAATTACAGGGCCGGGCGTGGTGGCTCACGCCTGTAATCCCAACACTTCGGGAGGCTGAGTTGGGCAGATCACAAAGTCAGGAGATCGAGACCATCCTGGCTAACATAGTGATACCCCCATCTCTACTAAAAATACCAAAAAAAAAAAAATTAGCCAGGCCTGGTGGCGGGCACCTGTAGTCCCACCTGCTTGGGAGGCTGAGGCAGGAGAATGATGTGAACCCGGGAGGCGGAGCTTGCAGTGAGCCAAGACTGTCTCAAAAAAAAAAAAAAATTACAAATATGTTTAATACCTAATAGGCCAGGCCTGAAAGAAATTTGTTTCCTTAAACATTTGACATTAATTTTGGTTCTAAATATAATTATAGTTTCAGAATTTGTTGATCTAAAATTTATAGGCCAGGCATAGTAGCCCACATCTGTAATCCCAGTACTTTGGGAGGCAGAGGTGGGAGAATTGCTTGAGGCCAGCTGTTTGAGACCAGCCTGGGCAACATAGCAAGACTCCATCTCTACAGAAAGTATTAAAATGAACAAACAAAAAAAAGCCAGGTGTGGGGGTGTGGACCTGTAGTCCTAGCTACTTGAGAGGCTGAGGCTGTAGTGAGCTATGATCGTGCAGTTTCACTCCAGCCTAGGTGACAGAGCAAGACCATGTCTCAAAAAAAAAAAGTAAAATTTAAATTATGTTTGGGTTTTGTGAGGTTATAAAGCATTCCTTTTAGACTTATAAAATGAAAGCTTATGTTTACACGTTTCATAGGACTGTTTTTAAAATTTATTTTAATGTTCTTTCTGCTGCTTTCATTTATCTCTTATTTTTGTCTTTTCCCATGTTCTAATCTACCTAAAGTTATAGCTATATTTAATATAGTGTTAATATTAAGTATTGTATTTAGGGAAATAACGGATACATATTGAAATAGGGATCGTATTACCTTATAGTAATCTAAAGAAATAGCAACTCTGCACCTGTGTAGTCTTACCATGTTAAAAGAACCAAATAATAAATCCATAAATATTTTTATAGAGAACATGTGGACCAGCAGTGCAGAGAAGCTGTTTAGGATTCTCAAAATTGTAATATAATTGATGCAGATAATGGAGATCTCATTTCCCTCCTTTGTTTTCCCTAAACAGTATAAAAGAAGCCTGTATTGTTTTGAATTTGAACGTCGGTTCTGCACTACTGCTGAAAGATGTACTGCAGTCAGCTTCAGGGCAGCTTCCTGCCACAGCAGCATTAAATGAAGTTGGAATTTACAAACTGGCTCAACAAGATGTTGAGATTCTACTTAATTTGAGGACAAATTGGCCTAATACTGGAAAATAATGTCTTTCAGAAAAAGGTTTCTTTGGTTTTTGTTTCTAAGAAAGAGGAAGCCAATTGGATTTCAAGTTATATGATGAAATTCTGAATTAATGAAACTGGAAAACTTTATAGAATTACTTATTATCTTGGATTTATGGTGTTATTAAAATGCTGACCATATTTCCTTCATCCTCTTGTTCCTAAGGAAACAAAAACAGAAAACGAAACAATGAAAACTCAATTCTATTTACAAGTATAAATGCTGAGTATGTCTGTTGAAGACGAGCAGAGATATTAAATTATAACCAACTTTCAATTTCCTGTGCTAATTAAGGGAAATTCTGTTGTGGATAATCAAACATAGCCAATAAATTTTTTTAAAACTCCCTTTGAATGCATATTTGTAATTGAGGCACCTGTATCTAGTTTGGGAATTAACTGTATTTCCATGAGGAAACTGGCAGGGCACAGTGTCTCATGCCTGTAATCCCAGCACTTTGGGAGGCTGAGGTAGGAGGATTGCTTGAGGCAGGAGTGCGAAAACATCCTGGCCAACATGTCAAGACCCTGATGCATGCCTGTAGTTCTAGCTACTTGGGAGGCTGAGGTGGGAGGCTAGCTTGAGCCCAGGAGGTCAAGACTACAGTGAGCTCTGATTGTGACACGGCACAGCAGCCTGGGCAAGCGAACAAGACCCTGTCTCTAAAGAACAAAACAAAACACATTGTGAGATGGTGAATAAGATAGGATTGTTCTTCATTTCTCACAAATGCCCTTCTATTTTAAATGCTTCCTAGTTTCATTCTGTGTGACAGTGGGCAACCCTTTCTTTCTGGATGAAACATTTCAGGCCATGGCACTCTGACTCAAACATTCCCATGTGGTAGGGAATGTAATTAAACATTTTTATTATTTATGTAACTTATGAGACAAAAGTCTCAAAAGTTTATTTTTTCTTGTAACTTTTCCTTGTCCTTGGGGTATATTCAATAATAGTTACTTGACTAATAAAATCTCAGAGTAAAACTCTTTAAAAAATTGAGCTAGATTCCCTGGAAACTTTCCACAACTATTAAATTTTATTCCAATGGTTTTTCTCTGACTTAGCAGTGGGTTAGTACTTTTAATCCTGTAATATCTCAAAATCTAAAATTATCAGACTAACATGCAGCCTATGCTTCTGATAAACATTTACTTTGTGATAATTTTGAGGAAATATTTTGAGATAGATTCTATTAGTATGTATTTTATAGAGAGAGTTTCCAGCTAGTGTGTTGAGCTCAAAATGTTTCTGTTTGTTAGTTGTCCTAGCATATTGGTGCTTCTTCACCTCATCCTTTGAGAATTGCTGGGGCTTCCTATTTAGAATGGAGCTGGCTGGGCACAGCCCATTACATGCCTGTAATCCCAGCACTTTGAGAGGCCGAGGCAGTGGATCACTTGAGATCAGGAGTTTGAGACCAGCCTGGCCAACATGATGAAACCCTGACTCTACTAAAAATACAAAAAAATTATCTGGATGTGGTGATGCGCATCTGTAAGCCCAGCTACTGGGAAGCTGAGGCAGGAGAATCGCTTGAACCCGGGAGGTGGAGGTTGCAGTGAGCCGACATATTGCCACTGCACTCCAGCCTGGGCAACAGAGCAAGACTCCATCTCAGGGAAAAAAAAAAAAAAAAAAAGAATGGAGCTGCCTCTGGAACTTCCTCTCTAACCCCAGCATTTTCCCTTCCTATTCCCAAGTTTAGGGACTTTACCGTCAGCCTTACCTGTCCTCACTTTCCAGTCAGCTGAAAGTTTCAAGGGAACAAAATATTTCTTTCAAAAGATAGGAACCTGTTTTAAAGGTATTAATTGTGCTTCAAAATCATGCCACCTTATTAAAATATTTGTCACTTAAAAATAAACTTACACTTCCTCCTTGAATTTATCCAAAGTTATTTTATGTCCATCATCTTGTAAATCTTCATCTTCAGTGCATAGACCCAGGGTTTTTAGGGCTGTAAAATAATGAGAAGAAATGAAGTGAGAATTTTACAAAGTGAGAAGTATTTTCTGCTAGAAAAAACTGTGGAATGACCACAAACTATTACCTCAATTTGTAGAATGTACTGACCTTCTTTATACTGCACAAATGATATGGTGCCTCTGCCTGAGGAGTCCATCATCTCAAACATAGCCACAATGTTAGAGTTATCCATAAAGAAAGGAAACGCCACGCCTGTTACTTTTGCAATTCTCAGTCGTTCCAATAGAGATATTAAATATTCTTTTGGTTTTTCTGCAAAAGAATAGTTCCAGCTCTTTCTGATACGAAATTAAAATATGTCGCAAATAGAAGTAGTCATTTAACAATTATTAAACAGCTATAGCAAAGGCACTGTACTAGGCGCTGGGGACACAGGCCTTAGTTTTCATAAACAGTCCAGCAAGAAGGTAAGACATTGAACACTTAAATAATTACATATACAAATGCCCTATCTCAGATGATAGAATAGAAAACTATAGAGACTGGACCTGGGCATTTTTTAGAAAAACTCCCCAAGTGACTATAAGTTGCAGACAGGGTTGAAAACCAAAAACATAGAGGGAACAGCATAATACAGGGAAGAAGTTGGCAACCTAAATAATTGATAAGATATAAATAATAGGCTGGGCATGGTGGTTCATGCCTGTAATCTCAGCACTTTGGGAGGCCGAGGAGGGCAGATCACCTGAGGTTGGGAGTTTGAGACCAGCCTGACCAACATGGAGAAATCCCATCTCTAGTAAAGTTAGCCAGGCGTGGTGGTGCATGCCTGTAATCCCAGCTACTCGGGAGGCTGAGGCAGGAGAATCGCTTGAACCCGGGAGGCAGAGGTTGCAGTGAGCCAAGATCACGCCACTGCACTCCAGCCTGGGCAACAGAGCAAGACTCTCTCAAAAAAAAAAAAAAAAAAAAAAAAAAAAAATATATATATATATATATATATATATATACACACACACACACATACATATACACATACACACACACATATATATAAATATAATAAAAACAAAGACTGATAAATATGGTCCTCCAGGAAGCACATGTACTCATTTCTAACAAAGCAATTTGGATAAATATTCTGTAGTTTAAGCAATTTTAAAAATAAAAAATCACGATCAACTTACTTTTCAGAAATAATGCAGAACAATCATGATGAAAAAGCCAAAAAGAGTAGTGATAGAGCAGTTTGGATGGTATATACCACTCCTGCTGCCTGACCATTTTATCATTTCAATCTTAAGCTTTACTCTTACATTTTTTTTTTTAAGTTAGAGACAGGATCTTGCTATGTTGCCCAGACCAGTCTCGAGCTCATGGGCTCAAGCAGTCCTCCCACCTCAGCCTCCCAAAATGCTGGGATTTATAGGCATGAGCCACCATGCTTGGCCAACTCATATTTTCTTTCAAAAATTTAAGTAACAGCTGGGCACGGTGGCTCACGCCTGTAATCCCAGCACTTTGGGACGCCGAGGCAGGTGGATCATGAGGTCGGGAGATCGAGACCATCCCGGCTAACACGGTGAAACCCCGTTCTCTACTAAAAATACAAAAACTTAGCCGGGCGTGGTGACGGGTGCCTGTAGTCCCAGCTACTCGGGAGGCTGAGGCAGGAGAATGGCGTGAACCTGGGAGGTGGACCTTGCAGTGAGCTGAGATTGCGCCACAGCACTCCAGCCTGGGCGACGGAACGAGACTCCGTTTCAAAAAAAAAAAAATTTTTTTTAAGTTACATCATTACTGAGAATTTCATGTTTATAAAAGTAGACAGAAAAGTAAAATGAACCCATCGCCAACTTCAACTGTTAAAATTTGTGGCCAATTTCACTACAGCCCTATCCACATCAATTTGTGAGGAACAAAGTTAATCTTGTTTGTGCCCTAATTGAAGAGGACTGACAATTAACAGCATAAACAATAGCCCAAACCATCTCAGTTGGTTCATTTTATGCAATTCTGACTGAAAAGGTTAAGCAAACTTTCCACTCAATCAGTGCCAAAACCATTGCACCAGATCAGCTGCAGACAAAAAAGCACAGCTTTCAATGGAAAATTTTAAACGTGGGATCAAGATCCTGAAGCAATTCTTCAAAGAACTGTTAACAGGAGATGAAACGTAGTTCTACAGTATCATCCCAAAGACAAACCCAATCAAAGCAATGGCTACCAAGAGGTGACATGGTCCAGTCAAAGCACAAGTTGACCGGTCAAGAGCAAAGGTCATGGCAACACTTTTTTGGGATGCTCAAGGCATTTTGCTTTTTGAATTTTTGGAGTCCCAAAGAATGATAGCATCTGCTTATTATGAGAATGTTTTAAGAAAGTTAGCCAAAGCTTTAGTTAAAAAAAGCCCAGGAAAATTTCACCAGAAAGTCCTTCTCTACCACCACAATGCTCCTGCTCATTCCTCTCATGGAACAGGGCAATTTTACAAGAGTTTCAATGGGAAATCATTAGCATCCACCTTACAGTCCTGATTTAGCTCCTTTTGACTTTTTTGTTTCCTGATCTTAAAAAAAATCTTTAAAGGGCACCCATTTTTCTTTAATGATATAAAAAAGACTGCATTGACATGGTTAAATTCCCAGAGCCCTCAGAGTTCTTTAGGGATGGATTAAATGGCTGGTATCGTTGTTTACAAAAGTATCTTGAATTTGATAGAGCTTATGTTGAGAAATAATTTTTAATCTTTTAATTCCATTTTTCCATGAACTTTTTGAAGTCCCCGTATACATACTTTTTCATGGTGAGAACACTTATAATCTACTGTCAGCAATTTTCAAATATAAAATATATTATTAACTGTAGTCACCATGATATACAGTAGATCTCTTGAACTTATTCCTCTTTTGTCTGAAATTTTGTATGCTTTGGCCAACATCTCCCCAATCCCCCTGCCTTTCAGCTCTTGAGCATCATTTAACTCTTTTTATGAGTTTGACTTTTTCAGATTCCACATATAATTAAGATCATGAGGTATTCTTCTGTGCGTGATTTACTTCACTTAATGTTTTCTAGGTTCATCCATGTTGTTGCAAATGACAGGATGTCCGTCTTTTAAGACTGAATAGTATTTCATTGTGTATATATCACATTTTCTTTATCCATTCATCCATGGACACTTAGGCTGATTGTGTATAGTGGCTATTGTGAATAGTGCTGCGATGAATACAAGTGCAGGTATTTCTTCAACATACTGATTTCATTTCCTGTGGATATATACCCAGTGGTGGGAATGCCAGATAAGTTCTATATTTAAGTTTTTGAGAAACCACCATATTGTTTTCCATAATGGTTGTACTAATTCACAATCCCACCGGTAGTGTACAAGGGTTCCCTTTTCTCCACATCCTTGCCAACACTTGAAATCTTTCATCTTTTGTTAGCGTTTTAGAGATGGGGTCTCATTATGTTGCTCAGGCTGGTCTTGAACTCCTGGACCCAAGTGATCCTCCTGCCTCGGCCTTCTGAGTAGCTGGGACTACAGGCATGTGCCATCGTGCTCAGCTCTCTTTTGTTTTTTGATAACAGCCTTTCTAACAGGTGTGAGGTGATATCTCATTGTGGTTCTAATTTGCATTCACCCGATTAGTGATATTGAGCATTTTTTCATATACCTGTAGGCCATTTCTGTATCTTCTATGGAAAAATGTCTATCTATGTCCTTTGCCCATTAAAAAAAAAATTTTTTTTTTTTTTTAACTATTGAGGTCTGACATGTTTTGGATATTAACCCCTTATCAGACATATAGTTTGCAAATATATTCTCCCATTGCATAGGTTGTCTCTTCACTCAGTTTATGTTTTTAAATCTTTTAATTTATAGGTTTCCACTGCATCTTTTTCATCCCTGGGAATTTATGTGTTGAAACCAGAAGTAGACTTTTAAATCTAATATTGTGCCTTACTTGTACAAATAGGCTCTAGCAATAAATAGGCTACTAAAGGCAGTCACATTTTGTATGAGGTCTTCTGTTTCTTCTTCCTGGACCATATATCAAATTCAGAAACTGGAAAAAGGCCAAGTTTGAATTTCAACTCACTACATTTCATTTTAAGGCTTGAATAAGTAAATAATGCTAATGGAACTTGGTGTACCACTTTGATGAAAATCCAAACCAGGCTTATTGTGTATCCTTTAGGCTGCATGGGATGTTACAATGTTTATGTTTGGAGACTACAATTTATACTCTACCTGCTTTTAAAAATGTTTTGAAAATGATCACAACATAAATATATATAATAAAGACAGAATCTTTTTAAATCATGAAAGGAAGAGCCAAATGTTACTAACCACCTATGTTACAATGTCAGCTGATATTAAAAACAATTTTTCAAGGGATACAATGTTCAGGTTCAACATCTTAATCATAATAGCTATCTGAGCCCTTACTATATGCCTGGTACTGTGTGAAGCATTTTCTATGGATCATTTCATTTACTCCTCAGAACAGTCACTTGCTCAAGGCCACACAGCCAGTATGAATCCAGGCAATGTGCTTCTAAAGCTTGCAGACTTTACCACACTCTACTAAAATATGGGAAGCATCTTCAATGGTGAAATCTAGTCAGTCATGATAGTCTCCATTGAGTTTTTTCTCAATAGCTTTCAAATTCATTTTACTCTACCACTCCCACAGCAATCTCTCTCATTTGGGTTACTATTAATATAATTGTCTAATTTTATTAAAGCCATCCCCTAAAAATTCATATTCCCTCTTTATACAGCATAGAATTGTCACTGGGAAATGGCAGCATAGCCAGCAACCATATATATACACACATACACACACACAATGTGTGTGTATATATATATATATATATATACACATACATATATATACACACACACCCATATGTATATATACACACACACGTATATATATAGACACACACACACCCGTATATGTACACACATATATACAGTATATATATATATATATACATATACACAGTATATATAAACAAATACATGTACTCTATTAGTATGTTTTCATGCTGCTGATAAAGACATACGTGAGACTGAGTAATTTATACAGGAAAAAGGGTTTAATAGACTTACAGTTCCACATGGCTGGGGAGGCCTCACAGTCATGGCAGAAGGCACAGAGGAGCAAGTCATGTCTTACATGGATGGCAGCAGGCAAAGAGAGACCTTGTGCAGGGAAGCTCCTTTTTTTTTTGAGACGGAATCTCGCTCTGTTGCCCAGGCTGGAGTGCAGAGGCGCGATCTTGGCTCACTGCAAGCTCTACCTCCCAGGTTCATGCCATTCTCCTGCCTCAGCCTCCCGAGTAGCTGGGATTACAGGCGCCCGCCACCATGCCCGGCTAATTTTTTGTATATTTTTAATAGAGGGGTTTCACCGTGTTAGCCAGGATGGTCTCGATCTCCTGACCTTGTGATCTGCCTGCCTCAGCCTCCCAAAGTGCTGGGTTTACAAGCGTGAGCCACTGTGCCCAGCCAGAAACTCCTGTTTTTAAAACCATCGGATCAGGTCAGGCGCAGTGGCTCACACCTGTAGCTTCAGCACTTTGGGAGGCCAAGGAGAGTGGATCACCTGAGGTCAGGAGTTCAAGACCAGCCTGGCCAACATGGTGAAACTCTATCCCTACTTAAAAAAAAAAAAAAAAAAAAAAATCAAAAAATTAGCCAGGCATAGTGGTGCGTGCCTGTAATCCCAGCTACTCAGGAGGCTGAGGCAGGAGAATCACTTGAACCCAGGAGGTGGGGGTTGCGGTGAGCCAAGATCGTGCCATTGCACTCCAGCCTGGGCAACAACAGCGAAACTCTGTCTCAAAAAAAAAAAAAAAAAGTGGCCATCAGATCTCTTGAGACTTATTCACTATCACAAGAACAGCATGGGAAAGACTTGGCCCCATGATTCAATTACCTCCCACCAGGTCCCTTGCACAATGTGTGGGAATTCAAGATGAGATTTGGGCGGGGATACAGCCAAACTATATCATATACATAAATATATATACACATACATATATATATATTTTTTAGATGAAGTCTCACTTTGTCACCCAGGCTGGAATGCAGTGGTGCAATCTTGGCTTACTGCAACCTTTGCCTCCCAGGTTCAACTGATTCTCTTGCCTCAGCCTCCCAAGTAGCTGGGATTACAAGTGTCCGCCACCATGCTCAGCTAATTTTTGTAACAACCAGCAATTATATTTCCCAATATACCCTAGCTGAGGCAAGTTTTTCCTACCAAATTATTTCAGGTCAGGTCAGGTCTTGCTGTTACACTTAACTTATGAAACTGTTGGTTTTTACAGCTTTCAGAATTTTGGAATTCAGAATGGGGGACTGCGTACCTGTTTCCTCAATAGTAATTGCCCAATTAAACTGTCTAGTCTTATTTTCTGCAACTCCTCTGTAATTCCAAGGTTTTCAAATTGGGACACATATCATAATACCTGGGGCTTCAGCTGGGTGCGGTGGCTCATGCCTGTAATCCCAGCACTTTGGGAGGCCGAGGTGGGAGGATCGCCTGAGGTTGGGAGTTCGAGACCAGCCTGACCAACATGGAGAAACCCCATCTCTACTAAAAATACAAAATTAGCCAGGCATGGTGGCACATGCCTGTAATCCCAGCTACTAGGGAGGCTGAGGCAGGAGAATCACTTGAACCTGGGAGGCAGAGGTTGCAGTGAGCTGAGATCGCGCCATTGCACTCCAGCCTGGGCAACAAGAGCGAAACTCCGTCTCAACAAAAAAAGAAATACCAGGGGCTTCACAAAGACACAGGATAAAGCTAGTGTGTCTTTCTAAGCATCAATCATACCTTGGTGAGTAATATAAAACATTTATATTAAGAAATAGGTATAGCTACGAAAGAACAGATCTCATGTATTTTTAGGACAAAACGACTTCAAAGAAACTTCTTATGCCACATCAGGCTAAGGTCCCAGACACTGAATGGACAAGTCCTTTCTCCTCTGCCATTAGGAGGACTTAGGCAGAAAACTTCAACAGCACTGCATACATACTCTGCATGCCAGCCCACCCCTTCTTTAGCTTCATTACCTTCTTATTCTGGCTCAGTGTTTCTGTACCTATGGTTTCCTCTCCCCAGCTTTGGTGTTTATAAAGATATTTTAAGGAATTCTCATCATCATTATTATTATTATTAAGACAGATTCTCACTCTGTTGCCCAGGCTGGAGTGCAGTGGCACAATCTCAGCTCACTGCAAGCTCCGCCTCCCAGGCTCACACCATTCTTCTGCCTCAGCCTCCTGAATAGCTGGGACTACAGGTGCCTCCCACCATGCTTGGCTCATTTTTTTTGTATTTTTAGTAGAGATGGAGTTTCACTGTGTTAGCCAGGATGGCCTCGATATCCTGACCTCGTGATCCGCCTGCCTTGGCCTCCCAAAGTGCTGGGATTACAGGTGTGAGCCACCGCGCCTAGCCGGAATTCTCATTATTGAAGATGGTACCCAGCCAGGTGCAGTGACTTACACCTGTAATCCAAGCACTTTGGGAGGTCAAGGTGAGAGGATCACTTGAGGTCAGGAGTTCGAGACCAGTCTGGACAACATGGCAAAACCCCGTCTCTACTAAAAATACAAAAATTAGCTGGGCATGGTGGTTTGCACCTGTAATCCCAGCTACTCTGGAGACTGAGGCATGAGAATCACTTGAACCCCAGAGGCGGAGGTTGCAGTGAGCCAAGATGTGCCACTGTACCCCAGGCTGGGCGACAGGGCAAAACTCCGTCTTAAAAAAAAAAAAAAGTGGTACCCATGTCTCAGTTTTAAAAAAACAGCTACACTATTTATGTGATAGGTATATAATTAATGTATGAGTATTCCCAGACTTCCCTTCCACCAAAGAGAATTTTGTCTTTATCTGCTTAGGTTCTTTTCCCCCCATAATGCCTTCTACTGGAAAATTCTGGTTTTGCCAGATGGGTGCAAGGCTTTTTGTGCTGGAGGAAAAAAAGAATCTTCAAGATGCTAAATTGTTTGACATAATAAAGAGCTGAGAAAAACATGCAAGATAGGGAGGAGACAGAAGAGTTGGATGGGCTGAGTGTCATGAATTTGGAACCTGATAGGATCTGCAGCTGCTGTGGAGAATACAGCTGGGAACAAGGAGGAAGGACTTTTGAGTGGTTTTACTGTGGATTATGAATTGAAGTCTTTTTGATTCCTTTCAAATTACTCTTGATTGCTGGAATGACTGTGCTGCTTTGAGTGTGATTCTGTGTTGCAACCGAGATGGCCAAATGGAGGCCTCTGTGTGTATTATAACTGTTTGAGATGCTCAGAGACTATCCTGAAGTTCACTCAGATCAGGTAAGTGGGCTCATGTTGTGACTCAGAAAAATTAAGTTTTCATTCAGTTGACCCATTGGCTGCCATGGTGCTTTTGTCTGTTCAATTTTTTTTTTTTTTTTTCCTTGAGGCAGAGTCTTGTTCTGTCACCCAGGCTGGAAGTGCAGTGGTGCAATCTCAGCTCACTGCAACCTCTGCCTCCGCGTTCAAGCGATTCTCCTGTCTCAGCCTCCCGAATAACTGATTACAAGCATGTGCCACTACACCTGATTTTGTATTTTTAGTAGAGACAGCATTTCACTGTGCCACCATATCTGGATAATTTTGTATTTTTAGTAGAGATAGTTTTTCACCACGTTGGCCAGGCTGGTCTCGAACTCCTGACCTCAAGTGATCTACCCACCTTGGCCTCCCAAAGTGCTGGGATTATAGGCGTGAGCCACCATCCCAAGCCTGTCTTTTTAAATTTTGTTGTTCATATCATGTTTAAGATACCCGTATTCAGGATAATCAAAGGTTCCAGTTGGCCTGGGACAGTCCTAGTTTACCATGTTGTCCTGGCATAATTATTAATAGTACCTATTTTCACTCAAAATATCCCCGGTTTGGATGATAACTCATACAGTCATCTTACCCATAAAGAACGACTAATGAAGACAGGAAATGTAAGTATAAGTCAGTGAGGAGCATCAAAATAACAATTTGGTAAATTCTCAAGAGAATCTGCAGATTCATAAATTGCATTCTTCTGATAAAAATTATACAACATATCAAGATGTAAAGTAAATTAGAAAATCAAGCCAAGATGTCCAATATCCAATAATAATTCCAGAAAGATATAGGTAAGGAAAATAAGAAAAATACTTCCTAGACCTGAAAGAAAAATATCTCCAAATTTAATAAGACCATAAAGTACCTAGAGCACAAACATTAACAGCAACCACAACAAAACCATTCCAAGGCATATATTTAGGACACCAGGGATAAGATAAAAAGACAATCCTAAAAAGTTTCTGGAAAGAATAAACTTGCCTCATAGCCAGATCAAGTATCTGATGACATATGACATCAGAATTCTTCAGAGCAACATGAGAAATTAGAAGACAATGGGGCAATGCCTTAAAAATTCTGAGGGCAATATGTTCCAAGTTAAAATTGTGTCCACTCTTATTTTATTTTATGAGACAGAGTCTCACTCTGTTGCTCAGGCTGGAGTGCAACAGTGAAATCTCAGCTCACTGTAACCTCTACTTCCCAGGTTCAAGTGATTCTCCTGCCAGAGTCTCCCTAGTAGCTGGGACTAGAGGCACATGCCACCATGCCTGGCTAATTTTTGTATTTTTAGTAGAGATGGGGTTTCACCATGTTGGCCAGGCTGGTCTCTAGCTCTTGACCTCAAGTGATCCACCCGCCTTGGCCTCTCAAAGTGTTGGGAGGTGTGAGCCTCCGTGCACAGCCTCCACTCTATTAAAAAGTTTTGAATGTAGGAACTCACATTTTTATATACGTGTGTTCCCAAAATCTTTACCCCTCAAAGCACGCTCTCTCAGGAAGCCACTAAAGGATATGCTCCACCAGAAGAAAGCGGTAAAGCAAGAATGAGGGATTACTGGCTGTGCCATAAAACAGGCTCTGAACACTAGAAAGGCGAGGAGTCGTCTTAGGATCAGAGTGAGGGGAAGCCGTGAATAACCACTGTGTAGCTATCAGTCCAGACTGGAGCAGGAAGACACACAGCTGGGGGTACGGGGTTTGGGTGGTGGTGGTGGGGGTAATTACCCAATGAATGCAAATGTAATGAGAGGACAGCTGTACTGTGGCAAAAGAGGGTATGGATGAATTAGTGATGATCACACAAATTTAAGCCAAAAATGTAAATATATTATTAACCAGGGAAAACAACAAGGGAAATATAATCAGCATACTATAAGGATTATAGATACTTGCCTAACAATATTAAAAATTCTGAATACTGAGGATATCAAAATTGTGATCTAAATTTATCTGGAAGATGGGTGTGAGTGGGAACAGGTGTATGAGGTGTGTGTTTAAGAAAGGCGCATTTTCATCTTCCACAGCATAAAGCTAGTATCTAACCTAGAGGGAAAAACATTAAGCAGCAGCAATATAGGCCTGTTATTTAGAAATCTCAAGATAAATAGCAAAGAATATTGCTAAAAGAGTTGAAATTATTCTGTGCAGAAGCTGGGGATAGCAACAGGAATGCTGTTATTATAAGCTTTGGAGTACTTTTCAATTTTTAAACCCCATACATCCACTTCAATAAAAATGAAATTTAAAAATAAATGTTGACAAATATTTTATATAACGAATGTAACATAATATATCCCTTGTTATGATGAAGAAAATTAACATTTGTCTTTATTTTTAGTTTTTTTTTTGAGAAGGTGTTTTACTCTGTCACCTGGCTTGAGTAGCAATCTCCGCTCAATGCAACCTCCGCCTCCCAGGTTCACGTGATCCTCCCACATCAGCCTCTTGAGTAGCTGGGATTATAGGCACGCACCACCACGTGCAGCTAAGTTTTTTTATTTTTAATAGAGATGGGGTTTTGCCATGTTGCCCAGGCTGGTCTATGAACTCCTGAAGTCAAGTGATCTGCCCACCACAGCCTCCCAGAGCGTTGGTATTATAGGCGTGAGTCACCGCCCCCAAGGAGCTTCACGAATAGCTGGGATTACAGGCATGCGCTACCACACCCGGCTAATTTTTTGTATTTGTAGCAGACACGAGGTTTCACCATGTTGGCCAGGCTGGTCTCAAACTCCTGAACTCAAGTGATCCACCCGCTTCGGCCTCCCAAAGTACTGGGATTACAGGCCTGAGCCACTGCTCCTGGCCTATTTTTTATTTTTATTTTTATTTTTGAGATAGGATCTCGCTTTGTCGCCCAGGCTGCAGTGGCGCCATCTCGTGCCCGGCCTTTTTTTTTCTTTCTAATATTTGTTTTAATACTTTAAAACAACTAGCAAGAACTCTGTCTCCTATACATGATATTGGTTGGGTGTTTTTTGGCAAAATTGGAATGTTTGGTATTTCCACTTCCTTACACAGAAGCAAATGGACAATTTTGGCATTTCGGACGCTCCATATGGAGGTCGGCAAATTACAATTCTGCACCCTGGGGAGGACATAAAACCATTTTCACCTAAATATAACTTTTAAATGACACACCACTCCCAAATTACAAAACGATTCAAATTTTGTAGGGGGTTCAGATGTGTAAAAAAAGTCAGGAAAAGCGATCCCCTCTAGAACATCTTCTATCCTACCCTATCAATTGTTTAGTTGCCAGATTAAAAACTTTGGCCGTGCGCGGTGGCTCACGCCTACAATCCCAGCACTTTGAGGCGCCGAGGCGTGCAGATCACCTGAGGTCAGGAGTTCGAGACCAGCCTGACCAACATGACGAAACCCTGTCGCTACTAAAAATACAAAAATTAGCCATGCATGGTGGCGGGCGCCTGTAATCTCAGCCACTCAGGAGGCTGAGGCAGGAGAATCGCCCCTGAGAATCGCCACCAGGAGGTGGAGGTTGTAGTGAAATGAGATCACGCCATTGTACTGCAGCCTGAGGGACTTTTATTGAAGGCCGCAGAGTTAATCAACAGCAGAAGGGCTCACGTGGCTGGGAGGCAGTGGAAAGCGAATGTGTAAGAGGGGGGTTTCGTGTGGGAAGCGAACCCCACATGGAGGTATGGCTGTACCGGGGCATGGGGGCCCTTACCCGGCCGAAAGAAAAGGAGGGCGCTGGTGAGGTAGCTAACCACCTCCTTGATCTGATGCTTTTCCAAATACTCCGCGGCTTGGAGCTCCCTGCTGCTGGTCTCCATCGCTCCGCGTCCCGCTGTTGCTAGGCGACTGCCTGGCGTCTCAGCCGTGCGACTCTGTCTCCCTCTACCCGGCGCGGTCACGTGACACGCCTGACTGCCCTGTGGCTGCGACCCGGACCTGGAATTTCTAGAGCTCACGGTTCAGGGCAAGCCTGGGGCATGTAGCAGGGCAGAGAGGGCAGGTGAGGTGTGGACCAACGTCACTGTCCGCGATCCAGGCTTAGGGCTGGGCCCAGGTGCCTTTTTCCATCTCTCTCTAGCACCTAGCTCGGTACTTGTTGATCCAATGATTAACAAGGCTTGAAGTGCTGGCATCACAACTCAGCATGAACTAATAACAGAAGGAACTTGTGCAATTTTGAGGGTGCCCAGTGGAGAGTTCTTTTTATTATTATTATTTAAGACCTTTATTAACAGGTGCTTGCAGTTTGTTGACTTTTTTGAAAAAATCAAGTTGTAAACTTTTATTACAAATTAAAAATAAAGTGCTTAAAAATCTCATCTTGACCAGATATGAAACAATTTAAAAACCTTTAAAGGCGTATTGAGAAAAACAAGGCTTTTTAAAAAAAACACGTTTGTTATTACCAAAAAGAGACATATTTAGGTAAAAATAATAAAAACCCCATGCTGCATAGATAATGCAGATAGTTCTATTTATCTGGTCAACGGGCAAAAAGCAAGCACTTAAGGTCTTCAGCTCCAATCTTTTGTTCATTTCTTATTGCTGGAATTTCATATTTCTTCTTGTTGGATGACTAAACCGGATGATGGTAGAGATGGTAAGCCGGCATTTACTCAGCCCCGCCCTGCTCAGCCTCGGGAGCAGACGAATTCTCAGCTGGTGGATTGGCTGATTTTGTCTCTTTGCCATCTTGTGATTTAGGGTTTTCTGGGCATCTGCGTTGGTAATTGAAGTTGCTGCGGTACCGACGTTGAGGTGGCTGCTGACCCTGGGTCTCATCTCCTTGATTTTATCTTCTTCATTGCCGTACTCTCTAGGCTGTCTTTGGCAAGGAGGGCCCCTGCGGAATCGTGGTCTATATCCCCGATACATATTCTGCCTCACTGGTCTACCTTGTTCTCCTGCACCCTGGTTGTCAGCACCCTCCATCACTTCTCCCTGCACAGGAGGGCTGGAATACTGTGGTCGACACCCATAGGGTCTCCGCATGTAGTAAGGTGGGAACCTTTGCCTGCGGTAGGGCCGGCATTGTTGGGCCTGGCCTTCGGGAGCATTCTCCGATCCCTCGGTCTTTTCCCCACTCTCACTGTTCTGGTAATTTTGCTGGTAATTGCGTGGAGGACCCCTATGACGTGGATAGCGTCTATAATGGTTACGATCTGCTGCATATTTACCGCCTTGAACTCGAACACCACCAGGATCTGTAACATTTGCTGCCTCCGCACCCTCTTCTCCTTCAACAACATCAAACTCCACAGTCTCTTCATCTCCTACACTGCGAAGGTACTTCCTGGGGTTATTCTTTATGGCAGTCTGGTGTACAAATACATCTTCCTTGGTGTCATTCCTGTTGATGAAACCATATCCGTTCCTTACATTGAACCATTTTACTGTTCCCAAAACCTTCACTGCGATGACCTTCTTGTCCACGCTGGCAGGCGCCGCCGATGTGAGGCCGCCCGGACCACCGCTCCCTGCGCAGCTGCCCGTAGTGCCGGGCTTGGTGTCGGCGGCGCTGAGGGCGGGGGCGGCGGGGGGACGGGAGGGGGGCGGTGGGGGGAAAGGCGGGGGCGGCGGGTGGCTGCTGGGTCTCGGCCTTGCTGCTCATTGGTTGCGGTGATGGAGACTGGGGCCGGCTGCGGCAGCTGCGGCTCCTCCCGTGGTATGACGGTAACTAGGCCGGCAGCGGCGGGGCTGCTCAGGGTTCTCTGGGGTCCGCTCTCCGGGGTCCGCTCTCCGCTCCCGCTACCGATCGAACTCCCCAGTGGAGAGTTCTAAGTGGCATCTCTGGTGTGAGCGGCCTGCAGGCATGGCGCTGGCCACCAGTCAGGAAGGTCTTGGCCTGTTGGCTCGACTGGGTTGTGGGCCACAGAGCAGCCTGGATCCTGAGCTTCAACCCCTGTTTGCTGGAGCTGGTTTTATGAGATGGAGACCACCTGACATATTTATTTATTTATTTAGAGACGGATTTTCGCTCTTGTCGCCCAGGCTGGAGTACAATGGCGTGACCTTGGCTCACTGCAACCTCCACCTCCCAGGTTCAAGAGATTCTCCTGCCTCAGCCTCCCAAGTAGCTGGGATTACAGGCAGGCACCACTACACCCTAATTTTTTTTGTATTTTTTAGTAGAGATGGGGTTTCACCATCTTGGCCAGGCTGGTCTGGAACTCCTGTCTGTTGCAGGAAGTCAGGCACCCCAAACGGAGGGACCGGCTGAAGCCATGGCAGAATATAAATTGTGAAGATTTCATGGACATTTATCACTTCCCCAGTCAATACTCTTGTGATTTCCTATGCCTGTGTTTACTTTAATCTCTTAATCCCATTGTCTTTGTAAACTGAGGATGTATGTCGCCTCAGGATCCTGCGACGATTGTGTTAACTGCACAAATTGTTCGTAAGCATGTGTGTTTAAACAATATGAAATCTGGGCACCCTGAAAAAAGAACAGGATAACAGCAATGTTCAGGGAACAAGGGAGATAACCATTAGGTCTGGCTGCCTGAGAGCCAGGCAGAACAGAGCCATATTTCTCTTCTTTCAAAAGCAAATAGAAATATCACTGAATTCCTTTTCTCAGTAAGGAACAGACCTGAGAAAGAGAATGCCTTTCCAGGGGTTGGTCTCTAAAATGGCCTGTCTTTCTAAAATGGAATGTCTTTTACAGTTGCAGATAAGGGATGAAATAAGCCCCAGTCTCCTGTAGCACTCCGAGGCCTATTAGGATGAGGAAATTCCCACCTAGTAAATTTTTAGTCAGACGGCTTGTCTGCTCTCAAACCCTATCTCCTGATAAGATGTTATCAATGACAATGCGTGACTGAAACTTCATTAGCAATTTTAATTTCGCCTGGGTCCTATGATCTCGCCCTGCTTCCATTTGCCTTGTAATATTTTATTTCCTTGTAAAGCATGTGATCTCTGTGACCCACACCGTATTCGTACACTCCCTCCCCTTTGAAAATCACTAATAAAAACTTGCTGGTTTTGCGGCTTGGGGGGTATCACGGAACCTGCCGACATGTGATGTCTCCCCCGGATACCCAGCTTTAAAATTTCTCTCTCCTGTACTCTTTATTTCTCGGACTGTCTGACACTTAGGGAAATAGAAAAGAACCTACATGAAATAACATTGAATTATTGGGGGCGGGTTCCCCTGATACCTGTCCTCAGGTGATCCTCCCACCTCGGCCTCCCAAAGTGCTGGGATTACAGGCGTGAGCCACCGTGCCTGGCCCTGACAGTTGTTTTGACGGAGGGTCACTGAGTAAGGTGGGATGCAAGTAGCTAGGAGGGCCTCTACTCAGTCATGGGAAGACCTGAGAAACTAAAACTCTGGGCTGGGCCATCTGTCCTTGAGGGCCTGTGCCCACATGCTTCACCCAAGAGTTAGCGCAGAAGCCCCACTTCAAGAAGGGGAATGACAAGTGGTCAGTGAACATGTGAAAATATTCTAAGCCTCTTTGACAATCCAGTAAACAAAACTATAAGAAAATACCATTTCACATCTACCAGACTGATAAAGATTATGAAGTTGAACAATATTAAGTGCTGGCAAAGATGTCACACAATTAATGAGATGGTCAGTGATCATGGGAGCATAAATTGGAACATCCACTTTGGAAAACGGTTTAGAATTATCTTGGTAATTTAAACATGTTTCTACACTCTGACCCAGAAATTCCACTCCAAGAGCAGCTCTTGTCAGTGTATACCAGGAGACATGTACAAGAATGTTTATAGCAGCACCATTCATAATAGAAATCACTGACAACGGCCCAAATACCAAGAGTAAAATGGATTTTAAAAACTATAGTATATTACACATGAATACTATGAACCATTTCAACAATCAGTTGTAGCTACTTGCAACAATATAGGTGAATTTCAAAAACATTGTTTCAATATATACTATATGAATCAATTTAAAGTTTAAAAACATGCCAAACTGAATATATTATTTACAGATTCAAACATATGTAGGAAATCTATCAAGAAACACAAGAGAATGGTAAACGCAAAATTCAGCACAGTGTTTGCCTTGGAGGTGGGAGAAAAGGGAATGGGTTTAGGGAGGAATATTCTAGGGACTGCAGGATTCATTCTAATGTGATTTTAACTGAGGGGTAGGTTCACAGGTGTTCATCTGATTATGATTCTTTATACCTTATATATGTATTTTATAAAATTTTTTGATCTGTTCAGCATTTAGTAAAAATAATTTTTCAGCAGTTGAAAAATAGAGTGTGTGGTGCTGAAGGCTATTATCCTTAGCTAACTAACGCAGGAACAGAAAACCAAATGCCACATGTTCTCACAAGTGGGAGCTAAATGATAAGAACACATTGACATAAACAAGGAAACAACAGACACTGGGGTTGACTTGACAGGGGAGGGTGGGAGGAGGGAGAGGAGCAGAAATGATAACTACAGGGTACTGGGCCTAATACCTGGGTGACGAAATAATATGTACAACAAATCCCCTTGATATCTGTTTACCTATGTAACAAACCTTCACATGTGCCCCCAAACCTAATATAAAAGTTACAAAAAATAGAGTGGAAACAGGAGATAGAAAATGAATGCTAGGAGACTGAACCAAGTCTGAAACAGAAAGTAGCCATGGTACTGGGGACATGTGAGCACTGTGTCTCCAGAGGGCAGGCCTACCTTGAGAATGCTGAGCTATCTGGCAGGCCAGAAAAGCCCTGATCATCTGGGAGAACTAGAGGAGATTTTAGGGCTAATGTTTGGGTCCTTGGTGCAACTTTGAACAGAGAGAAGGGATAATGCTCTTGTCCTCAAGTCTAGAGGAGGTGTTCTGAGGAGGGAAAAGACTTACTCTCTGAAAAGACTTGAAAGCTGTGTGCCCAGGGCAAGGTGAGGTGGCTTATGCCTATAATCCCAGCACTCTGGGAGGCCGAGGCAGGAGGATTGCTCGAGCCCAAGAGCTTGAGACTAGCCTGTAATGCAGGATTTTCTTCTGGGTCACTTTGCAAGGCAGGGACTTCTAGCCTGTGATGCCCTACCCAGGCCTCACTCTCCTGCTGCAGGAGATGGCCTGCCCACTCGGCCTACCCGGGCTGAGTCTGGCCTGTGCTCCAGTCCCGGAGTTCTTATCCCTAACCCAAGAAGAATGAGGATGCGCTGAGAATAGAAGAGAGAGCAAGGAGGGGAGTTTTATTGAGTGACAGAACAGCTCTCAGAGGCCATTGCGGGGAGGTCAGTCCCCAATCCCAACGGTCAGGTGGTTTCTCCCTGTGCTGCTGGGTCTGGGGCGTTTTATGGACTCAGAATGGGGAGTGTGTGCTAGTTGGTGTGTGAGTATGCAAAAAGGGTTAAAGTGAAGACACCACTCAAAGGTGGGCATGAGAATATAGAAAACCAATTAGGAAAGGGTAGGTATATGTATAATAGGGGAAGGGTGAGGATCAATCAGAGGAAACATGCCAAATGGGAAGACAAGTTCTCAGTCTGGTCTGAGGATTTAACCTGTAGCTTGGCTTTCAGGCTTTAAACTGTCTTTGGCTTGGAGGTGGGGTTTCACAATTGACTTACCCCTATCTGCCCAGGCTTTTGGCTGCCTCCTGTTGCTGTCACTTAAACAACATGCAAAACCCCATCTCTACTAAAAATACAAAAATTAGCCAGCTGTGGTGGTACACACCTGTAGCCCCAGCTATTCGGGAAGCTGAGTCATGAGAATCGCTTGAACCTGGGAGGTGGAGGTTGCAGTGAGCTGAGATTGTGCCACTGTATTCCAGGCTGGGCAACAGAGCAAGACTGTGTCTCAGAAAGAAAACAAAACAAAACAAACAAACAAAACTATGTGCCCAAATCTGCACCACTGGCTTGGGTTTGTAAGAAGGGTCTTTCAGAAGGATGTTGGAGACTGTTCTACAAACTTTTTAATAGCAGAATACTTAAAAAAAAAATCATATGTGGAATCTCTTCCCATTACCCCTGTCCACAAATACATATACAACAGATAAAAGAGCACTACACTGGAATTCACATAGAATAAGATCACATTTTCTTGTGTTTTTTTTTTTTTTGAGACTGAGTCTTTGTCACCCAGGCTGGAGTGCAATGGTGCATCTCGGCTCACTGCAACCTCCTCCTCCCAGGTTCAAGTGATTTTCCCACCTCAGCCTCCCAAGTATCTGGGATTACAGGCACCTGCCATCATGCCCAGCTAATTTTTGTATTTTTGTAGAGATGGGGTTTCACCATATTGGCCAGGCTGGTCTTGAACTCCTGACCTCAGGTGATCTGCCAGCCTCAGCCTCCCTAAATGCTGGGATTACAGGCATAAGCCGCCACGCCCGGCAGCAAGATCACATTTTCTAAGCTCCCTTGTTTTGTATCTTTCTTACAGAAGCATGGCTGGCTGCCTGTGTGATCATAGTGACAGAGTTAACTGGAGCCTGGGGAGCTCTGAGGCAGAGACAGAACTCAGCTGACAAAGTTGATGCATTGCTCTGGTGCCTGTGGATCCGAGGGCCCTCTCTGAAGCCTGGTTCCTGATGGGTTCCAGGGAGAGTTTGAAAACTACTGATGTGGATGTTATTCTTCAGTGGTTTTTTTTTTTTTGATCCACTCCCCTGGGGACTTGCTTTACTTTCAGTGGTAGAAGGGAGAGTAAAGCGTAAACAGGAAGACCCAAATTATGTGCCCCTCCTTCAAATTCTGGCTAAGTGCTTGAACCTGCAGGGTTGACCAAAGCTGTATGATCGCTTGGGAAAGCGGCTCTGGCTCTGCTTAGCGGCCAGTACAGCAGAGGCGAGGCGATGACAACAGGGATGAGAAATGGAGGGGGAGCCTGCAGTGGTGACAGTGACTATGAGAAGCAGGAGACCACAGGCCTGGGGAGGAGGATGCGAGTCACAGCAGACAGAGGGGGCTGCTTTACGTCTGCTGTCATGATATCCTTCAACTTGCCCAAGGCCAGTGTGGCCTAAACAAAACAAAGTGGAAAAAATGTAAGGAATATTCCTTAATAAGGGAGAGAAGACAAAGTCCTGATCCCCTGCATACAGTGGTTTCTGCTCAGTGCTATAAAGCACAAGACATTGGGTCTTCTCCTTGAGAACGTCATATATTATTTTTCTGAGACAGTCTTGCTCCGTCGCCCAGGCTGGAGTGCAGTGGTACCATCTCAGATCACTGCAACCTCCGCCTTCAGGTTCAAGTGATTCTCATGCCTCAGCCTCCCGAGTAGCTGGGACTACAGGCATACACCACCACGCCCGGTTAATTTTTGTATTTTTTTGTAGAGATGAGGTTTCTCCACGTTGCCTAGACTGGTCTCAAACTCCTAAGCTCAAGTGAACTGCCCGCCTTGGCCTCCCAAAGTGCTGGGATTACAGGTGTGAGCCACCGCACCTGGCCTATTTTTTATTTCTATTGAGACAGGGTCTTGCTCTGTCACCCAGGTTGGAGTACAGTGGTATGATCACAACTCACTGCAGCCTCAACCTCTTCAACTGAAGCAATCTTCCTACCTCAGCCTCTAGAATAGGTGTGACTACAGGCATGCACCACCATGCCCAGCTAATTTTTTTTTTTTTGTAGGGTTGGGGTTTCACTATGTTGCCCAGGCTAGTCTCAAACTCCTGGGCTCAATCAATCCTCCCACCTAGGCCTCCCAAGTGCTGGGATTACAGGTGGGAGCCACTGCAC
Organism: Homo sapiens; assembly: GCF_000001405.40. NCBI lineage: Eukaryota > Metazoa > Chordata > Mammalia > Primates > Hominidae > Homo > Homo sapiens. The sequence goes on from NC_000007.14 coordinate 105,589,331, forward strand.
CTGGCTGAGAACATATTTACTTACTCTTCAGGAGTTACTTGGTCCCTGAATAGCTCTGCTCTTTGTACTCTGGAACCTCAAATGACACTGAAACTGCAATAGTCTGATTTCCTCTGGCTATGAAGTTAGGCTGAGGAGAGCACAGCGGGCCCTGCTGACCTCTTGCCAAGTTTCTGGTTGTTTTCTTTTCCAACAAGGCTGGGTCCTTTCTGCATCAGAGGAACGACACTGTGTGCTCAGCACTCTCTCAGCACAACTCAGATGGTGCCCTGCATCTCCCATTGCCCTGGAAACCACGCTGAAGAGAAGTGTCCGGATGCCACCTAGTGGAGTTAGCTATTCTCTGTTGGTGCCATCTGTTAATAAACCAAACTGGGCTTAATGAATCATCTTCAGCATCCTCATAGCACTGCTCCTTCCACAACTTGTCCTCACCTCCTCATCACTCTTAATATTATGACTAATTCTTTTAGTGGTTGTAGGGTGGCTCCAGGTGGGGGGCATTCATGCTGTGGTTCTCAGTCCGGGCAACACCTTAGAACCACCTGGGAGGCTTTAAAAAGTACTGGTATCTGTGCCCATTTCAGGCCGTGAAACACAATCTCCTGGGATGGGGCTGGGACATTGGTGGTTTTGCTGTTGTTGCTTTAACAGCTCTATTGAGGTATAATTAACATTTGATAAAGTGCACATTTTTAAAATGTTCTATGTGGTAAGTTTGTATACAGCCATGAAATCATCACTACAGCAAGATAATGAACATTCATTCCCCAACCCCATCCCCAGGCAACCACTGACCTACTACCTGTAACTAGAGATTTGTTCGCAAATGGAACCATAGTATGTGGTCTTTTTTTTGGTCTGGCTTCTTTCACTCAACATAATTTTTTGAGATTCATCCATGTTGCTACATGTATTAATATTTCATTCATTTTTATTCCTGAGAAGGATTCCACTGAATGTATATATGAGAATTTGTTTACCCACTTACCTGTTGATGCACATTTGGGTTGTTTTCAGTTTTGGACTATTGCAACTAAAGCCACTATGAATATTCATATACATGGATATACAATTTCATTTATCTCTGGGAAATACCTAGGAGTGGAATGGCTGGATGGTCGGTACTTAATTTTTTTTTTTTTTTTTTTTTTTAACAGTCTCACTCTGTCATCCAGGCTGGAGTGCAGTGGTGTAATTAAGGCTCACTGCAGCCTGGACCTCCTGGACTCAAGTGATCCTCCCAGCTCAGCCTACCAAGAAACTGGGACTACAGGCGTGTGCCACTATGCCCAGCTAATTTTTTTTTTTTTGGTAGAGACTAGGTCTCACTATGTTGCCCAGGCTGGTCTTAAATTCCTGGACTCAAGTGATGTGCCTGTCTTGGCCTCCCAAAAGTGCTGGGATTACAGGTGTGAGCCACCATGCCCGGCTTTTTAAATTTTTATTTATTTATTTAAGAGACAAGGTCTCACTCCGTTGCCCAGGCTGGAGTACAGTGGCACAATTATGGCCCACTGCAGCCTTGAACTGAACTCCTGGGCTCAAATAATCCTCCTGCCTTAATCTCCCACGTAGCTAGGAGTACAGACACATGCCACCACACCTGGCTAATTGAAAAAAAATTTTTTTTAAGAGATGGGGTCTTGCTATGTTGCCCAGGCTAGTCTCAAACTCCTGGCCTCAAGCAATCCTCCTGCCTCGGCCTTCCAAACTGCTGGGATTACAGGCATGAGCCGTTGTGCCCGGCCATGTGTCTAACTTCTTAAGAAACTGTTTTCTGGAGTGGCTATACCATTTTGCATTCCCAAGCTGATAAGCATTAAAAGCTTCCCACATGATTCTAATGGACAACCAGACCCGAGTCCCTGCATTACTCCAAGCTGGGTGGGTTGAGGCGAAGGGCTGGGCAGCGTTTGATCAGGAGTCCACAAGAGTTTGAGAGTACACAGCTTCTGCTTGGTGTAGACTTACTGTGATTCTTGACCCAGCACAAACACTGTAGTCTCCTGGGAAGGCTTTTTGAAAATGCAGCATATCCCACTGCTTCATTTGACTAGCCTAAAAAAGAGAAAGAAATTTAAAAAAGGAAAATGCAGTGTCTGCTCCCTCTTCCCCCAGAGAGTCTGATAAAATTGCTTTGCTCTGAAAGTAGGAGTGTGGGCCTGTTTCAGTCATCAGTTCATTAACAGCTCCCCCGCAGGGTTCTAGAGCATAGAGTGACCAACTGTCCTGATTTGTTATGGAGGGAGGGGTTTCCAGTGCCATGAAACTTTCAGTGATAAAACTGGAAAAATCCCAGGTAAACTGGAACACTTGGTCACCCTATGTGTGGACCACCAGCATAAAGACACTGGGCTTTAGTGTCAGGTAGACTTGTCAGTCTGCCTGTCAGCCTTGAGTTATAGCTCAGGGTGTGTGTTGGCAGGGGAGGGAATTGTATAAGATGGAAAATGAGGAGACATGAGTGTCCAGAACAGACTGGGGCCTGATTTCCTCTCTCCATTTTTTGTTTCAACGAGGAACAAGTCAGAGATGGCTCAGCTAGGAGTTTTGGTTGCTATTAAAAAGGAAGGAAAACAATATAAAGGGTAATTTCCTGAGAAAACACGCAGTGTGCCGTAATGGCCTTTGGAGCCACACTGCCTCACTTCCAATCCCAGTCTTACCACTGCCCGTTAACTGTGTCACCTGGGGCAAAAAGCTAGATTCTCTGCCTCAGTTTCCTCATGGATATAATGGGGATAATATATCTACCTCACAGGGGTTGTCTTCAGGACCGAATGAACCAATATATGTAAAGCTCTTAAAATGGTGCCAGGCATGTACTAAATGTTTGCCATTATCATCTTAGTCTTGTTAAAATGAGAGGAAAAGAAAAATTCCTATAGTCTCTATAACCTATGTCCATAGGCTGTCCTGCTTGGTTTCCTATGGAAATGTTTTTGGAGTAACATTTCAGATTTTGTGTGTGTGTGGTTTTTTTCGGTCCCAGGGTCTCACTCTGTTACCCAGGCTGGAGTACAATGATCCAATCACAGCTCACTGCAGCCTTGACCTCCCAAAGCACCACCATGCCTGGCTAATTAAAAAAATTTTTTTTTGCAGAGATAGAAGTGTATGTTGCCCAGGGTTGTCTTAAACTCCTGGTCTCAAGTGATCCTTCTGCCTCAGCCTCCCTAAGTGCTGGGATTACAGGCGTGAGCCACTGCACCCAGCCTTGTGTTGTGTTTTTTCAAAACTCTAGACTCTTGGTTCTATGTGGCAATGTGAGAGGAAGGCAAGATATTTATTATATGCTTAATATTCTTGTGCAAATCATAAGGGAGACATAAGTTTAGAATGTGATTTTACTTTCACCAAGTTGTTTCATTGGTGAGCTGCCTTTTTTTTTTTTTTTTTTTTTTTTTTTAAGATGGAGTCTCGTTCTGCCTTGCCCAGGCAGGAGTGCAGTGGTGCGATCTCAGCTTACTGCAGCTTCCGCCTCCTGGGTTCAAGCAATTATCTTGTTTCAGCCTCCCAAATAGCTGGGAATACAGGCGTGTGCCACCACATCCAGCTAATTTTGTATTTTTAGTAGAGATGGGGTTGTGCCATGTTGGCCAGGCTGGTCTCGAACTCCTGACCTCAGGTGATCCACCCACCTTCGCCTCCCAATATGCTGGGATTACAGGCATGAGCCACTGCGCTCAGCCAGGGAGCTGCATTTTTAAAGTTAAAAACAACCAACCAAGAACATAGACTAATAGTGACAACTATTAGAACTCAAATCTCAAAAGTTCCATCTCAGTCTTTGTAAAATAACATTTAACATCTGAGGCAGTACAAGATGGACTCGAAAAGTGTATCCAGCCTTTGCTCATTCTTCATGGACCTAAAAAGCAAACATGCTTAAAACATTTTAAAACACTAAATTCATTTTACCAAACATGAAAGTGTAGAAAACATCGAGTGGCCACAGTATGAAGGATGGCAGGACAAGGTTGGGATCGTGGGCCTATGATACCCCTTTACAGTACTTCATTAAAAAAACTTGCTTCTCCCGATGCTAATATCTCATAACTGTAGAATCAGTAAATTGACATTGCTACAATGCTATTAACTCAGCTATAGATCTTATTTGGATTTCACCAGTTTTTACATGCACTCTTTTTTTCCTTTTTTTTTTTTTTTTTTTTTTTTTTTTTTGAGACGGAGTCTCGCTCTGTCGCCCAGGCTGGAGTGCAGTGGCGCGATCTCGGCTCACTGCAAGCTCCGCCTCCCAGGTTCACGCCATTCTCCTGCCTCAGCCTCCTGAGTAGCTGGGACTACAGGCGCCCGCTACCACGCCCGGCTAATTTTTTGTATTTTTAGTAGAGACGGGGTTTCACCGTGTTAGCCAGGATGGTCTCGATCTCCTGACCTCGTGATCCGCCCGCCTCGGCCTCCCAAAGTGCTTCCTGTTTCATTTTTGAGGCTACTTCTGAATTTCAGAACATCATATTATAAACTGAGCCTAAATTTAGCTCCCATCACACTGGCTAGTTCTGTTTAAGCTTTAATTAGGTCCACCAAATTGAAGCCCAGAACAAAATTTATGAACACCAACACTCTTTGATCTTCTATATTATTTATATGAAAGGTGACCACAGATGATCTCCTATTTACACAAGTTACATGGGGAAGTCAAGGACCCTTTCCCAAGAGGCTTCCCCACTTACTAGCTGTTATGATCTTGAACAAATTACCTGATCTCTTTAAACTTTGGTTTTCTCACCTGTAAAATGGAGATAATAATCTTACATACCTCACAGTTATTTTGAGGATTAAATTAGAAAAACTGTGAAACACATGATCAATAACATTATTTACCACCACTGCCACCACCAGGGGAATCCTAGCCCTTTAGCTCATTTCTTGATATCAGAGCAGTGCCGGTACTGCTTAGAGCTGGGAGTCTGCCCTGGGTGCAGACTAGAAGTCTTTGCTCTCCTGGCAGATGGCGAGGTGGAAGGGTGTACTTTCTCATAGCTGGGATGATGGCCAGGTGGCACGCAATCCTGTCTTCCCTGGCTGAAACTGAGAATGCATTTCCCAAAATGCTACTGTATTGATATTAGACTTCAGGTGCATCATGGGGCCTTTATGGGTTGTCCTGCAACCTAATCACCCTTGATTTTGCATTTAAATGAAGATTATATTAGGTTGCAAATGAAACATTTGGAGCATAGCCCACAGAGCGGGGATCACTTATACGAGGAAGACAGATAGTTACTCGTATATTATTTTTGAAACTAAGACATCACTTTGCCTGAATACCCTTTTCAAGCAGAAATATGGTTAAAAGTTTAAAATGGTAAAATTTTTAGTATTGAGTGTTGGTCACTTCCAAAGGACAGCCAGGTTCTCATCGGTGGCTCTAGGGGATACATTATTTCACACAGTCGAACATGAATTAATATAGTATTGCTGGTCACAGTATGTCTGCTGCATTGGACAGAATCGGCAGTATACTGGAGCTGGTTTGCACAGCCTCAGGAGCATCGATGGTGTCTCTTTTCAGCTCTGTGTTCAGTGAGGACAGGCTGCTGCTAGCTTGATATTAGCCATGGTGGGCATATTTCTGTCACAGAAATTCACAGACGCTTTCCCTCTCACCCCCCATAGGCTGTTGTTTCACATTTACCAGCATACCACTAGCTCCTTCATTGTTCATTCAACAATCATTTGTTGTATACCAACTGTATGCCTGATGCTATTTAGGAACTGAACAACACTGAACAAGACAGCCCAGGTCCTTCCCTCTTGGAATTTTAAGGTGATCTCTAAAGACAAATTTGATGTTCACAGAAATATGAAATACACATATTTTTGGAATGAAAAAGCCCCAGAATGTCAATGTAACCCATATGGTAATCCACACCAAGCTTTACAATACAAAATCTCCCTTGGAAAATTGAAGCAGATTGCTTTTAAAGACATCCCAGGCATTCCCTTTTTAACCATTTCCAGAGAAATAGATTCCACAACTTTTCACTGTAATTATTTTTTATCACTTTCAGTTTTTCTCTGGTCCTGTATCCATCCAATCTCTTTAAGCTTCGAAGCACAGGGCCAAACACTGTACTTTGGTAAACATGAAGGTAAGATCACCTAATGGCTCCCCTATATTTCTTTTTTTTTTTTTTTTGAGACGGAGTCTCGCTCTGTTGCCCAGGCTGGAGTGCAGTGGGGCGATCTCAGCTCACTGCAAGCTCCTCCTCCCAGGTTCATGCCATTCTCCTGCCTCAGCCTCCCGAGTAGCTGGGACTACAGGTGCCCGCCACCACACCCAGCTAATTTTTTGTATTTTTAGTAGAGATGGTGTTTCACCATGTTAACCAGGATGGTCTCGATCTCCTGACCTCGTGATCCACCCGCCTCGGCCTCCCAAAGTGCTGGGATTACAGGCGTGAGCCACCATGCCCGACCTTCTTCTTTCTAAAATATAGACAAGATCTTGCTATGTTGCCCAGGCTGGTCTCAAGCGATCCTCCTGCTTCAGCCTCTCAAAGTTTTGGGATTACAAGTGTGAGCCACTGTGCCTGGCCTCTATTTTTTTTTTTTTTTTTTAATGTTTTTGCTTCGTTATTTTCATTTATTTTCTAAGGGTATGTTAAATTCCCTGAAGAGCATTTAAATACAAATGCCTGGATTCCTACTCCCTCTATAAATGCTGATTCAACCGGATTATGGGGTGGACCAGGCAACTGGTAACTTCTTATTTTTATTTATTTATTTTTGTTTTTTTTTTTTTGTTTTTTTTTTTTTGAGACAGAGTCTCGCTCTGATGCCCAGGCTGGAGTGCAGTGGGGCGATCTCGGCTCACTGCAAGCTCCGCCTCCCGGGTTCACGCCATTCTCCTGCCTCAGCCACCCGAGTAGCTGGGACTACAGGAGCCTGCCACCGCGCCCAGCTAATTTTTTGTATTTTTAGTAGAGACGGGGTTTCACCGTGTTAGCCAGGATGGTCTCGATCTCCTGACCTCGTGATCCACCCGCCTCAGCCTCCCAAAGTGCTGGGATTACATGCATGAGCCACCGTGCCTGGCTGGTAACTTCTTATTTTTTAATGTTTTATAATTTTTAATTAAAAATTTAAAAATAGGCCTGGTATCCTTGAGTCCTGAACCTCTGAGTGTTCCATTTAATTTCTCCGGAAAATAACCCTCCAGTTCCCTGCTAGGGACTGGGGGAAGTCACCACTGGGCTGCATAGGTGAAGGGGACTTGTGGGGGTCCAACAACCTCATGTGAGACTTTCAAACCTCCTTCTCCATTTTCAACATCTTGTTACACCCCATCCTCTGTGGTACCTACTGCCTCTGGGAGATGGGAGGAGAAAATGGGCTTCTCATCAGTATTCTCCTCAGAGTACTTTAACTTTCTTCTTCTGATAAGATAATTATCACTCCAAGTCTGCCGTTTGCCTTTTGTGTGTGTATAAACTTTCAAATTTAAGAGTGCATAATAAAATGAACATATCTTAAGTATATAACCTGATAAATATTTCACAAACGATTAGATTCATTTAACAAGCTCCCAGGTCGAGATACAGAGCATTTCCAGCACTGCAGAAATCTCTCTTGTGCCCCCACAAAGGTAACCACTGTTCTATAAATCAGTCTGTTTGTATTCATGGCTTTAATTCACCAAGGTTACTTTGAATACCCATTCATTAATTAAAATGTTAAACAATGCTGGGCTCAGCATGGGCCTGGCAGGAACAACCTCCCAGTGCTGGAAGGTGAGCACGGACTTGGAGGCTCCCTCTCCGGGTCTGTCCTACAGCAGAGTCAGCTGGTCCTCTTCATGTGGAACATCTAGCCCATGTCAAAATGTTCTCAGTTTATTGAGTTGCACAGAACCAAAAGACGTGTACACATTGAAAACAAAACCTGCCTCTGATTCTTTCCAAAAGAAAAGCTCCAGGATCCCCAAGATTTTCCTCCCCATGCCCTTCTGTTCCCTGGGGCTCTGCTTTGCCCTATTCCAATAATATGCAAGAATTATTACTCTCCTCCCCTAGCCTGCAAGTCGTGTTTGGATTGAGGAACATGGAAGAGATTTTTGGGGTACAAAGGGGACTAAAGGTTGGCTATGAAATCAGTAAGGTAAGTGAAGTAGGTTGAAAGAAAATGAAAATTCTAATAGACTTTAGAAGCTAATTTTTTTTTTTTTTTTTTGAGACGGAGTCTCACTCTGTTGCCCAGGCTGGAGTGCAGTGGCGCGATCTCAGTTCACTGCAATCTCTGCCTCCCAGGTTCAAGCAATTCTCATGCCTCAGCCTCCTGAGGTAGCTGGGACTACAGACACGTGCCACCATGCCTGGCTAATTTTTGTATTTTTAGTAGAGTCATGGTTTCACCATGTTGGCCAGGCTGGTCTCAGACTCCTGACCTTGAATGATCCACCCACTTTGGCCTCCTTAAGTGTTGGATTACAGGCATGAGCCATCACACCCAGCTACTTTTTTGAGACAGGGTCTCTCTGTTGCTCAGGCTGGAGTGCAGTGGCGTGACCTTGGCTCACGGCAACCTCCACCTCCCAGGCTCGAACCGTTCTCCACCCCAGCCTCCTGAGTAGCTGGGACTACAGGCTCCCATCAAGTCTGGCTAATTTTTGTATTTTTGGTATAGGCAGGGTTTCACCATGTTGCCCATGCTGGAGAAGCTCCTATTTTAATAGCAGCTTTCTCAGTACTTGTTCAGGTTGCAAAGGAAGCAAACACTTTTGTGATGATGCTGTTTGCTTTACAAATTTACTAAAATATTTGATGGCTGAAGGGGAAACCCAGAAAAGTTCCACCATTTTAAAAATGGAGAACCTTCCTAAAGTTAATGACCTTAGATCAGATTCAAGTTTTGAATTATCTCAATAAATGCAGCACCTCCAAATTGTTACAAGCTTCCCACAATGATTCTCCAATGATTCAGTCTTGAATAGGATTGATTTGGTTTTTGAGGCATTCAGCTTTCTTGGCATCTTTTTCATTTACTTTTCTAGTTGAATGGCTTATGAAGATGTGACGAATAGAAAATAAACTTATTAAAATAAATTCCTGGGAACTTTATTAGAAACATGGGTACTTAAAACCTGCTGCTCTGAATAGCCCCAATGAGATCAGAAAGCAAGAAATAATCCATTAGGCAAGTGGTTATTGCCTAATGGAAAAAAACAAAAAGGAGAAAAATATTTAAGTATAGTAAAACCTAAGTAAACCAACTAGAGGACACATTGAATTTTTTTTTTTTTTTTTGAGACAGAGTCTTACCCTGTCACCCAGGCTGGAGTACAGTAGTGTAATCTTGGCTCACTGCAACCTCTGCCTCCTGGGTTCAAGTGATTCTCCTACCTCAGCCTCCCAAATGGCTGGGATTACAGGTGCCCGCCACCATGTCTGGCTAGTTTTCGTGTTTTTAGTAGAGATGGGGTTTCACCATTCAGTGTGCCTGGCTGATACACTGAATTTTGAAACACCTTTATGGAAATACAGTGGTATAGGAAGAACAGTCTGTGGGTAGAGTTTTCTTTTTTTCTTTTTTTTTGAGACAGAGTCTTGCTCTGTCACCCAGGCTGGAGTGCAGTGGCAAGATCTCGGCTCACTGCAACCTCTGCCTCCCAGGTTCAAGCGATTCTCCTGCCTCAGCCTCCCAAGTAGCTGGGATTACAGGCGTATGCCACCACGCCCAGCTAATTTTTGTGTTTTTAGTAGAGATGGGGTTTTGCCATGTTGTCCAGGCTGGTTTTGAACTCCTGACCTCAGGTGATCCACCCACCTCGGCCTCCCAAAGCGCTGGGATTATAGGTGTGAACTACCGTGCCTGGCCGGTAGAATTTCTTTCTACAGGAAATGGAAAGAGCACTGTTTTGAAAGAACAATCGGGCTTGACCAACAGCCAGCTGTGAGGTCTTAGTATCTCATTTAAACTGTCCCAGTCTTGGCCAGGCGTAGTGGCTCATGCCTGTAATCCCAGCCATTTGGGAGGCCAAGAAGGGTGGATCGTTTGAGTACAGGAGTTCGAGACCAGGCTGGGCAACATGGTGAAACCCCATCTCTACTAAAAATACAAAATGTTAGCTGGGTGTGGTGGCATGCACCTGTGGTCCCAGCTACTCAGTGAGCTGAGGCCGGAGGATCACTTGAGCTTAGGAGGTTGAGGTTGCAGTGAGCCCTGATTGTGCTAGTCTGGGTGACAGAGTGAGACACTGTCTCAAAAAAAAAAGCCCCCCACGTAAACAAAAATAAGCTGTCCCACCTGTAGAAGAGGGTTCTAGGGTTAAGATCACTTCCAGCTTCCTATGGTTTTTCTAGGCCTATGACTAGTTTTGCAAGAGGCTTCACAGAGTTCTGGCTTTGGAAAAAAACAGAATGTACAGGCCCCTTTCACAACAGAGCTTGATGTTACCCAGGCCAGTGCATGGTGATGGACTGCCAGCCACAGACAAGGCTCTCAGTGAACTGGTGGGCAAAAGAAGTCCTTGGTGCAGGAAGTGCCACACTGCCGTTTTGTGACAGTGGGCAATATACAATGTTACAAACATTTATTCAACGTGCCTACTATGTGTCAAGTTTCAAGTCTGCTTCCTCTGGCTTTCTGTTCTGCACCATAGTGAAAATATTCACTCGGGACTGAAGCAAAATGGCAAAAAATCGCCTTAGTTTGCCTGACAGCTTTGGCTCCGAGTGGCCTTGCTCTGCTCTTCGGGCACTCCAACTACTCCCCAAGATGATCTTCTCCATGTCAGGATCTTAGACATGAATTTCAAATGTGCTCTCAGCACTGTCTGTCTGGCAATTTAGTTCTTTACTTTTTTTTTGAGACAGGGTCTCGCTCTGTCACCCAGGCTGGAGTGCCGTGGCTTGATCAGAGCTCACTGCAGCATTGAACTCTTGGGCTCAAAGAATCCACCCGCTGGGACTGCAGGTGCCCGCCACCATGCCGGGCTAATTTTTGTATTTTCTTTTATAGAGACGGGTTTTTGCCATGTTGCCGTCTTGAACTCCTGGACTCAAGCAATCCACCCACCTTGGCCTCCCAAAGGGCTAGGATTACAGGTGTGAACCACTAAGCCCAGCCCTTAATTCTTTCTTTACTTTTCTCAAACTTCTCCCAAGCTTTCATACACATTCATCTTGCCTCATGGTCACTCAGAAAACGGAAGCCATCAGCTGGGCATTCCCTCATCTTCCCAGCAATAAATCTATAAGCTGACTTCCTCCCCATTGCCTTAGAGGTGTCCCTCTTTCTACAAAGGCCAGCATCTCCCTCCCTCCTGCCATCTCAAGGACTTTTTTTTTTATTTAGTCAGATAACTCTCTTTTAAATCACCCTGTATGAGTCTGTTTTCATACTGTTATAAAGAACTACCTGGGATTGGGTAATTTCTAAAGGAAAGAGGTTTAATTGACTCACAGTTCAGCATGGCTGGGGAGGCCTCAGGAAACTCACAATAATGGTGGAAGGCGAAGGGTAAGCAAGACACATTCTTCACAAGGCAGCAAGAAGGAGACGTGCCGAGCGAATGGGCGGGGAGTCGAGGGCGGGGGTTGGGAGGGAAGAGCCACTTATAAAACCATCAGATCTCGTGAGAACTCACTCACTATCAGGAGAACCACATGGGAGAAACCGTCTCCATGATTCAATTACCTCCACCTGGTCTCCCCCTTAACACGTGGGGATTCTGGGGATTCTGGAGATTACAATTCAAGATGAGATTTGTATGGGGACACAAAGCCTAACCATTACCACACCTCTTTCTCTTGCTTTCTTAACCTCTCCCTCTCCTATTTACCTCAGTCTTACCAGCATATGGATTATAATCTGGTCTCTCCTCCCTTGAAAAACAAAAAACACAAAATCCAAAGCCTCCCTCGTGCTAAGCTCCTTAGGATTTGTCTGTCTACAAAAGGAATTCCCTTGCTTAGCTCTCACACACCCTCCAAACCACTCCAGTTTGGCTTTGCCCATGCTCCGCCCTCCCATGCCAACGCTACTCTGTCATACCTGTTTTGCTGAGGCCACTGTGGTATGTTGAATAGTGGCTCCCAAAAGATATGTCCTAACCCCCAGGCCCTGCCAGTGTGACCTTATTTGGAAAACCAGAATTTGCGGATGTTAGGCATCTCCAGATGAGATCATCTAGGATTTAGGGTGGGCCTTAAGTTCAGTAACAGTTATCCTTGTGAAAGAAAGGCAGTGGGAGATTTAAGACATGGGAGAAACAGGGAAGAAGGCCATGTGAATGTGGAAGCAGATTTGAGGGTTGAGCCTCTAAACCAGGGAAGCCAAGGACAGCAGTCACCAGAAGCCGGAAGAGGCAAGGAAGGATTCTCTGCTAGAGCCTTGGAAGGGAATGCAGCCTGCGGACGCCTTGATTTTGGACTTCTGGTCTCTAGAACCATGGGATAATAAATGTGTGTTGCTTTAAACCAGCACATTGTGGTCATTTGTCATGATAACCCTAGGAAACTAATAATTCACCAGTGACCGCCACGTTGCTAAGCCCTAGACACGCCGCCATCCCTGTCTTCCATTTTGCAGCAGCATTTGGTTCAGCTAACTGCTCCTTCCCCAAAACATGTACAGTCCTGGCTTTCAGGGAACCACTTTCTGCTGGGGTCACTCTTTGCTTTGAAGGGCTTCATCTTAGGGTTCCCTGCCAGCTTTCTGGCTCTACCCAATCTCTCTTCTCTTCTCCCTTTACATTCTCTCAGGTAATCACAACAATATTTTTTTTAGTAGAGACGAGGTTTCACCATGTTGGCCAGGCTGATCTTGAACTCCTGACCTCAGGTGATCTGCCCACCTTGGCCTCCCAAAGTGCTGGTATCACAGGTGTGAGCCACCGTACCCGGCCTGCTTCCGATCTTCACTAAACACTCCTGCTGCCAGCCCCTCAAAAAGCCTCTTCCTCCTTTGGTTTTCCATATCTGAAGAAATGACAACTCCACCCAAACTAATTGCTCTACCAGAGACCTGGGAGTCGTTCTTTACCTAAACAAATCTTATCAATTTCATATCTAAAATACATATATCTTGAATCCACTTCTTTTTTTTTTTTTTTTTTGAGATGGGGTCTCTGTTGCCCAGGCCGAAGCACAGTGGTGTGAGCACGGCTCATTGCAACCTTTGTTACAGGGGGCAGCTAATTAGGCACGGGCAGGGCAGGAGAGAGCTCCCTCACCCCCCACACACCAGGAGAGTTGGGTGGCCCTCAGGTCATGTTCGGGCAGTTGTTAACTGTTTCGCTAAAGTAATAATTGGTCACAGCCGGTGCCAGGGAAAGGCAGTCTCCTAATAGAAAACACTTGAAACTATCAGCCGCTTCCCAGTAAGATCTCAGCAGTGGGGAGAAGTAATGCAAGATCCTGGAAGTAGGCCAATGGATAAAACACCCAAGTCAAGAGATCAAGCTGCATGCTTGGTTTCTCAAGTCGCCTGCTTGGTCCACTTCCAATTGCACTTTCCTTCTTTCCTTTCCTTACTGCTCTAAAGCTTTTCTTTTTTTGAGATGGAGTCTTGCTCTGTTGCCCAGGCTGGTGTGCAGTGATATGATCTCAGCTCATTGCAACCTCCGCTTCCCAGGTTCAAGCGATTCTCGTGCCTCAGCCTCCTGACTCCTAGCTGGGATTACAGGCACGTGCAACCATGCCCGGCTAATTTTTTTTTTTTTTTGGAACAGTCTCTCACTCCTTCACCCAGGCTGGAGTGTAGTGGTGCAACCTCCGCCTCCCGAGTTCAAGTGCTTCTCCTGCCCCAGCCTCCCACGTAGCTGGGATTACAAGCGTGTACCACCATGCCCAGCTCATTTTTTGTATTTTTAGTAGAGATGATGTTTTACCATGTTGGCCAGGCTGGTCCCAAGCTCCTAACCTCAGGTGATCCACCTGCCTCGGCCTCCTGAAATGTTGAGATTACAGGTGTGAGTCACTGAGCCCATCCAGCCTCTAGAGCTTTTTAATAAACTTTCACTCCTGCTCTTAAACTTGCCTCGATCTCTTCTTCTGCCTTATGCCCCAGTTGAATTTTTCTGAGGAGGCAAGAACTGAGGTTGCTGCAGATCTGTATAGGTTTGCCACCAGTAACTTGGATACCTTCCACTGGTAACACCTTGACCTACCTCCCAAGCTCAAGCGATCCTCCCGCCTGAGCCCACCAAATAGCTGGGATCACAGCTGCGCACCACCATGCCCGGCTACCTTTTTTTAGGGACAGGGTCTCCCTGTATTGCCCAGGCTGGCACACACTTTTCTTTATAGCTACTGTCATCATCTTTCGATCACACTGATGTTCTTCACTTTGTCTCTTGCAATAGCTTCCCACTGATTCACCACACAGTGGCTAGAGTGCCCTTTTAACAGATCACAGTACCGTGGCCCTCCTTAAAGCCCTTCCAAGGATTCCCACTGAATTGGACACAAAATTCAAACTCCCTAAAGGCCTTCTGTGGCCTCGTCCCTGCCCTCTGTCCATCTCTCTGCCCCTGGTCTGTCCACAATGGACGCTCTTTAGGCTTCAAGAAGTGATCTCTGCCTTCAGATCACTTCTTCAGAGAGAACTTCCTGAGAGCTGCCTCCTCTCCATCGTAAATGTCTCTCCTGTTACTTTCTCTCACAGAATTCAGTTCTTTCCACCATAGCATTTGCCACAATCCGTAATTACACATCTGATCATGTGTGTATTTATTTGCTTTCCTTCTCACTGGGTTGCTTCCAGAAAGCAGCTGGGATCGTGTTTCTCATCCCTGCGCACAGAGCGCCTGGCTCAGGGGCAGGCACAGAGAGGGTGCTCTCTAAGTACTCGCTGAATGAATCCACTGTCTTCTCTTCTCCTCACAGTCGTCTCCTGCCTCAAACGCAGGTCTAGCAGAAAGGCTCTTTTGGTGAGAATACCTTCACCCCCGGCAAAAAAAAAAAAAAAAAAAAAAAAAAAAAAAAAGAAATACCAAAAATTTAAATTTTATGAAAACCCGAAGACTTTGTTTTACAAACATATAAATTATTTTATTTACAAAGCCATGTTACAAAAAAAAAAAAAGCAAAAAAAAAAAAAAAATACAATTGCTTACTGGAGAATATTTCCAGGCCTGGTGAGGAACCATGGCAGTATCAATAGATACATGTTTGTTCTTTCCTTTTAAAACTGTAAGCCATAGAATTTACTATTTACACCTACTTTAGACATTTATTCTGCTTACAATATCACAGGCATGGAATGAACTCTATCTGATAGTGCTAATACATAGAGGTGCGGGACGAAGAAGGAAAATACTTAGTGTTACAAAATATGGATTGTAGAAAAGAAACCCACTCCACAAGTGTGGCATTTGTTTAGAATGATCGGACATGCTTTCTTCAAAATTTTTCTGGAAAAGGTTCTAAAATTGGTAGTAGGAAAGGACAAATGAGCAGGTGCAAATTCTTGTCTGTGCAACAACAGTTATTTAATATACCCCATGACTGACCAGCTACGTAAAACCCACAGAGTTTTGTTAAAGTGCCATGGGCCGACAGCATAACAAAATATAAGGTGTAAATAGAAAATTTCTTTTTTTCCTTTTTTAAAACAAGAGTTCACTGAGAATCAGCAATAATAGAATATGCTGTATAAACTATTCTCTACAAAGGTTGATCAGCATTATTTACAATTGGTACATTGATACAAAAGAAGGCATACAAGTTATCCAAGTCGCTTTTTTTTTTTTTTTTTTTTTTTTATGGCTGACAGGTCTATGCATTGCGTTATGCTTCACAACCAGAGCTTTCGAGCCTCTATGGCTGGCGACAAGTCAGGAGATCTTCAGGCAAAGAGGGGTGTGTGCAGTCAAGGGGCTGGGAGAGAAGACTGAGTGGGTGTGCAGAACAGAAGGACCCAGAGGACATCACCCTAAAAATGTTTTATAGGCTGCTCCAGTTTAACTCCATTAAGACAAACCCAAAGAGAACCTTTTATTTGCATTCCATTTTTCAAGCTGCAAGTTTTTAATACATCATTGTAAAGTAAACCTGTGGTTGACTGCCAAGGAAGAATACTGTGGGCTTTCCCTTTTTGCCCAGTTTTCCAGAAATATCCTCACCTTGGTCATAGCCAGTCTTTTGACAAAGTAAGCAGCATTCGATGAGGGTGGGGGGGGGGGTGGGGGCTCTTTATTCCAGCTTCCAATTCAAGATGTAGAGAGCTACAATGTCTAAACCTATTGAATTGCTCCTTTAGTCCTTGAGACATTATTTCTCAGAAGCAGCCACTTAATCTCTCAACCTTTGTTTTCCCTCTTTGACTATAAGAGTTTATAAATCAGAGGGTTATTTTGTTGTGGAGATTTTGTTTTTTGTTTTTACTCCTGCAAGTTTTACAACTCAAAATAAATTATAAAAAACAACAGACCTCTGAAACCGAACAAGACAAAATTGTGCAAAAATAACAAAGATATGTACATACTTTTCAGTCTGAAGAAATGTACAATAAAAACATAATTCAAAGAACATTTTAAAAATATAAACATTGCTTAAACTTTCCTAAGTTTCATATTGTTTCTGAAACTATTCTGGTCAGTTAGCTCTGTAATATAGTAAAACATAAATTATTACAAAATTAACACTATAAAAATTTACTTTAAGAATATCTTCTAAACTTTTTTTCAAAGGGTCTAACCTTGTTTATAATTTCTTAAACATTTATAAGTCTTAAAATCTCCTTAACCTTTTTTTTTTAAAAAAAGAAAAAGTAACAATCATCCCTTCAATTTGCAGTCTCTTTTCCCAAGACGTAAATAAACCAGCATATAAGTGCACTTTTAACACTGTAGAAATAAAAATGAAATCATCCGAACTAATGTCCTGGTACTTAATATCAACTCCTGATTTTTAAACAAATCATTTTATATTAAAAAATTTAGTAATCCTATAAGAAACACTCACTGTCAGTGCAATTCCATTGATGAAAATCACTCCATTTGCCTCCCGTCTTTGCAATTCCAATTGTGTGGTGAAACTTAACAGTAGTCTGATCTTTGGGTTGGGGGAACGGGAAAGAAAAGGAAAACTTTGGGGTGGGGATGAGGGTTCTGCCCAGCTATGAAACTAGCATTCATTTCTGATTTAAGGATGAAACAAAACCTCCCAGTATCTTTGCTATACATCATATACAAAGTTACATGATTAATAGCACAGAACACCTATTTTATGTTGTGAATTCCTTTCCTGATTATGATTCCCTACTAGAGCTTATGGTATTGCTGTTTCTTTTAAAACTCCAGTGTGAATAGTTCTATGGCTGCAGGGCTCCAGCGTGGCTCTTCCAAATGGCTGTTCTTCACTGAGCAGTGGCTGTCCTTACCATTCCTTCATGGGGATGGCTGTCTCTAAGACAGCAAAAGCTGATCCATGGGTGTGCTGATCCCACCAAGTCCCTGTGGCCCAGGGCATGGGGGTGGGTGGGAAATGCTATTATTTATTCTGACAAAAGGTTTGACACATACCCTTTTGTGGAAGCTCTCCCTGGGGGGCTCTTCCTAGCCCAGGAAGGCAGCCTAAGAACCTTTAGCAGCTGTGGTCACCGTGCCTCCTCATGGAGTGGCTTTCTGGGTTCTCACGACCTTTTTCCTGGGATTTCTCCCTCCTAGCTCACCCTGCTGTGGGCACTGGCACACTGATTCCTGGAAGGGATTCTGCAGATTCCTGACCAGCTCAGACCACCACAGTCTCCAGTTTTTTTAGGGATCATCTCCTACCCACCATGCTCTGCTTGCTGCCACCTTCCCAAACCTGTTCTGGCCCCTGTCCCTGACTGGTTTATCCTTTCTGAGCTGCACAGCTGGACAGTGGTATTAGGTAAACCACATCACTAAACGGCCACTGTTCTCAATCTCGCTTCTAGCATTTGGCTCCAGCCATGGTGGGCTGTGGAAACTGGATGAGGGAACCCCACCCACCCTCCAACTCTCCACTCCCAGCTCCTCCCCAGCAAAGCCCCCTCTCCCTGCACACAATCCTGAGGGGATCCTATGAGAGCCAGGTCCTTTGAAGACCAGTGAGGACCCAGAGAGTGGTAGACGTAGGGATGGAAGGAATCGGGTGGAGATGACAGGAAGAAAAAGGGCTCTGCCTGTGCTACAGTTCAAGAGCTTCAGAGCATGCCAACCTGGAACCAACATTCTGCAATGTCTGCTCTCATGGCTGGAGCAAAAGGATGGTACAGTAGCAGCATCAGGAGCTAGGGGAGTGACCCCAAATTTGGAAGAATGTAAAAACATGGCAAATGAAAGGAAAGACAGCGGAAACCAAACACTGGAACTGTTTTCTGTAAATCTCAAATTCACCTTCTTTTGCCTTTTTAACTAAAAATTGGTCAATTAAAAAAAGAAGAAGAAAGGCCAGAGTCACAGGGAGTGCACAGAAAACAGACTCTCCCCCCAGCCCACTCCCCTCCCTCCTCCTCCCCATGGCCTCCTCGGATGGGATTAGGTGGCCTGGAATTGATGTGGAAGTGGCTTCATAGTCTTGTTATGGAAGAGTCCTTATCCTGCCCGTTCTGTTTGTGTTCTTCTAGGAAAGAAAAGAAAAACTTGTTTCAAAACCATACAGTTGAGATTACCCATGAGAATTCAAGGATGGAGACTTAGTTTTCTCATCTATAATAGAAAGGACAATATCCCACCTCCCATATCCAGCAAAGGGCAGCTGGAATAGCAAGAGATGATGGATCTAAAGGACCCAATAGCAAATGAGGTGACGGATCCATGCATGTAAGGCAGTCACAGAGGTCCTCACTGTGGAGGAAAACACAAGGACGAATGCCGCGGACATTCCTGGGAGTCCTCTTTGGGAGAGTGGACAGAATAATTGATGCCTTCATTTTTGTTCTCCATTAGTTCACCTTTTCCTACCTAACCTATAGATGACACTGCAAATTATCTCAGGAAGGATTCTAGTGTTGGGTTAAACACAGAGGCTCTGGAGAGAGAGATTTTGGGTTCAAGTTACTTGGCTTCTTAGTGTAGCCATCTTCATCTGTAATCATCTTGTCCCTCACAGGGTTGTGAAAAGGTTTAAATGTGTGTAGCGTGTGTAAAGGACACAGCACGTAGCCCTCTCTCTGCAGGCAGAGAGTGCTACACAAGTGGTGGCCATTTGTGTTTGTCAGGGCTGATTGCTGGCATTTTGGGTTCCCAGCAGGTGTACCCGGAGCTATGGGCACATGCAGGCTGTGTTTGGTGAGGGTGAAGTGTAGTCTGTAGGTACACATGACAACCTCTACAAGAGGCCCCATCAACAGAGGCTGACGGCCTGAGTATAAATGTGCCTTCCCACCCCAGCACACATGAAGGGCTGCAAGTGTTCTGGCACAAAAAGGACTCAAAATGGTGAGGAGACTCTCCCTGGCCTGGGGATACAAAAACCATTTCCCCATAATCTTTACCCAAACTCTACCCAAGATTTGTGGGAAAATCCCAAAGGGCAAAATACACACACGTTGCTATTTTGTTATTTGGTGTCTACAAAACATGCGGTACATCTCAGGCAACATAACAACACGGTTATATATACACGCACACCCACACATTTTCCAATCATGTGTAAGGGGCAAAACCCCACCCCCCAATCCTTCCTGGTCCTCCCTAGACACATATGCACACACTCCATTGAGAAAATCATTTATCACAGGTGTACACACCGACTACTCTTATACATCAAGTTTATAAAAACTACTAAGTCTACCCTGAATACTGCTGCCATGAAACTGCATCCTGAATGGTGGCTGCAGCTCATCAGAGGCTTTTGAGAGAGTGCTGATGGACAGACACCATGGGCAAGGCCTCCCCCTCCTCTTTTTTTTTTTGAGACAAAGTCTCACTCTATTGCCCAGGCTGGAGTGCAATGGTGCGATCTTGGCTCACTGCAACCTCCATCTCCCGGGTTCAAGTGATTCTCCTGCCTCAGCCTCCTGAGTAGCTGGGATTACAGGTGCGCACCACCATGCCCAGCTAATTTTGCATTTTTAGTAGAGACGGGGTTTCACCATGTGGGCAAGGCTAGTCTCAAACTCCTGACCTCGTGATCTGCCTGCCTTGGCCTCCCAAAGTGCTGGGATTACAGGCATAAGCCACCATGCCTGGCCTAAAAAAAATTTTTTTTGAGATAGGATCTCGCTCTGTTGCCCAGGCTGGAGTGCAAGGTGCAATCACAGCTCACTGCAGCCTCAACCTCCCAGACTTCAGTGATTCTCCTGCCTCAGCTGCCTGAATAGCTGGGACTACAGGCATCTGCTGCCATGCCTGGCTATTTAAAATTTTTGTAGAGATAGGGTCTCACCATGTTCCTTAGGCTGGTCTCAAACTACTGGGCTCAAACCATCCTCCTGCCTCGGCCTCCCAAAGTGCTGGGATTATAGGTGAGGCATCATGCCTGGCTGGCAAGTCCCTTTTTTACAATTTTTTTCTTGAGACACAGTCTCACTCTGTCACCCAGGCTGGAGTGCAGTGGTGCAATCTCAGCTCACTGCAACCTCCACCTCCCTGGTTCAAGCAATTCTCCTGCCTCAGCCTCCCGAGTAGCTGGGACTACAGGAACGCACCACCACGCCCGGTTACTTTTTGTATTTTTTAGTGGAGATGGTGTTTCACTATATTGGCCAGGCTGGTCTCGAACTCCTGACCTTGTGATCTACCTGCCTCAGCCTCCCAAAGTGTTGGGACTACAGGCATGAGCCACCATGCCCGGCCGCAAGTCCCTTTAATCAAATCATCTTCTTTAATTTTCACAATAGCCTTAGGAGGGAAGCATTAATTTTGCCTTTTAACGAATGAAAAAAACTGAGACTCAGAGAGGTAATGTGCGTACGCTCATACAGCTGGTAATAATAGCTAACACTTGTGGGTTTACTGTGTGCCAGGCATTTTCTAGTGGCTTTACATGAATAGGCTAATCCTCACAAAAGCCATAAAAGGTAGGGGCCAGTATGATCCCCACTTTATAGACAGAGGAAATGGAAGCACAGAGAAGTTAAGTAACTTGCCCAAGGGCACACAGCTAACTAGAAGGCCTAGGTTTGGAAGCCAGGTAGCCATGCTCTTAACTGGAGATGAGGTTTGAATCAGGGTCTGACCCCAGTGTCCAAACTCTTTCCACTCTGCTGATGACCATATGAATTTTTGCCCCACCCCCACCCTCAGTAACTTACCTGTCGGCTGTGTCCTGGGCTGGATATACTTGAAGGACTGGATTGTGACAAAGCTAGGCTGCTATTTTTCCCAACCTGAAAGACACCATTGAAGCCCCACTCAGACACACGAGCCAGCCTGGGAAGGGCCCGCCGATGCCACATGTTCTAGGGGAAAGAAGGGCTGCACAATGCCTCCTTCATTCCCTCAGATTGGCTCGGAACTGGTGTTTCCATCTTAAGTGGCAGAGAAAATGAAAATGTTGCAGAGGGTGCCTTGAGGGATGCCCTCTCCTTCCCAGAGGAAAAGTAGAATTGTGGGGACTCCTCATACTGCTCCCTAGCTGGCCGGGACAGAACAGGGAAGGATGAGGACAAAGGCATCTGGTGGAGATGCCTGGCCCCTCCTGGGAGCTTCACTCAGCAGAGGCTGGGCTTTTCTACCTGTGGCCAAACGGTCACACAGCTCATATACCTCTGACCCTCCGTCCCAAACCCATCTTGTTTCCAGCCCAGACTCCCTCAGCCTGGCTGCAGATAAAACACCTGGATCTTTTGCTGGGTCAGTTTTCCCGGCTAGGAGATGTAACGCACACGCAACTGTTCTTTAGGAAAATAGCACGATGGTGCTGGGCTTCTCCTTCATGTGGATGGAGGACAGGAACGCTATGCATGCGGGTGTGGCCACTGTGCCCTTCCCCTTCCTCTGGGACTGTCCTTCACACAATGGGCCCGGTCCTTGGGGAAGCTGATGCCAGGCACTAACCAGTCCCTGTCTAGTCTGCAAAGGCAGCTTGAACTTTCATCCTATAAACCGCTCCTCTTCTCCATTAACTTGCCTTTATGTAAAGATGTTTGCCTTACATTATTTTATTTATTTTTGAGACACAGTCTCACTCTGTTGCCTAGGCTGGAGTGCAGTGGCACGATCTTGGCTCATTGCAACCTCTGCCTCTGGGGTTCAAGTGATTCTCCTGCCTCAGCCTCCCGAGTAGCTGGGATTACAGGCACGTGCCACCCCACCCAGCTAATTTTTGTATTTTTAATAGAGACAGGGTTTTGCCATGTTGGCCAGGCTGGTCTCCAACTCCTGACCTCAGATAATCCACCCATCTCGGCCTCCCGAAATGCTGGGATTACAGATGTGAGCCACCACACCTGGCTACATTCACAGTCTTGATTTTTTATTCAGTTTAATAGCCCTGTGGCAACTTCTGGCCTTATATCAACCAGATACAATTAAATGGATCCCCAAATTGTTCTCAAAGCAAAGGTTTATCTTGGATTTCTCAATCTCATGCGTTGCCCCGACCCCGATCTCCTAGCAGAATTAACACAGATCCCAAGGGCCTTTGCCTTTACTGAATACTTGGAAATCACCAGTGATAAAGCCTTTTCTTAATGCCCTGCTGACAAGCACCGAGGTATCACCTGCGTTAGAGAACCAATGCTGACCATATCCAAGGCAGCCGTTAAATGCATCCGTTTTTTTGAATTCCCTCCTGATGAGTACTTGGCTGCTCCTTTCACCACCGCTTCTGGCTGACTCAGCATTTACTAAGCATTTCCTACAGTCCTGCAGACCAAAGTATCAACAGAGCCACATCTACTCAACACAGAGGGACTCTGTTAATGGCATGGAGGCTAAGAGGCCAGACTCCAGAGCCAAAATGCCTGGGTTTAAATCCTAGCCTAACTACTGCTTCGCTGTGTGATTTTGGGTGCCTTGCTTAACCCTCCTGTGCCTTGGTTCACCCATCTGTAAAAGGAGAGTAACAGCAAGTAATTATAAAATGAGTTAATACACCTGAAGTGCTTGGAACAGAGCCCATCATCTACGTGTTAGCTGCTGGGACTGTATCTAAAATGAGTGAGATACCACGGCCTTGCTGTTCAAGGCGTGGCCTGGGAGGCTGTTAGAAATGCAGACTCCCAGGCCCCTGCCCAGGCCTGCTGATTGAGAATCTGCATGTTCACAAGCCCCCCGGGGGATTCGTGTATATGTTCAAACTTGAGAGGCCTTGGCTCTGCCCTCCATCCTGGGACCTGGCGGTGGCACCCACCAGCAGTTTAGCCTCCAGGGAGAGCCCTGTGGGTGCCAGCCCCCCTCCCTCACACCCCTGGCCATGGGGAGTCAGAACAGTGCCCTCAGCTCGAGCGAGAGGACCTGTGTCTCCCGCTCCTCTCACCTTGGCCTCGGTTTGCAGCTTGTCTGGCCCTTGGGTTCCAAACTTGCTGTTTCTCATGTGTTTGTGATTTGTGAATCCCCCTCAGGCTGTGCTCTTCATGAGGTTATAACAAGTCTCATAAGTGGTGACATAAAACATTAAAACATCTTTTAACAACTGCCTCCCATTGCTCCAAAGTCCTCAGGTCCCTAGATGGGGCTGGGCTTGGGGTTTGGTGGCCTTGATTCTGTGTAACGGTCTCTGGACACACTGCCCTGATGGGTCTAGGCTCCCGGGCAGGTTGGCCGGCCCTCTCGTCAGACCTGGCTCCCCAGAGAATCCGAGGCCAGGCCCTTCCCCACGTCTGCTCCCTCATCTCTATGCCCAACTGGCCCCCAGAGGCTGGGGCGGGGGTGGTGGTGGGCTTTCCTAAGTAGCCCCCCAGCCGGAGGAGAAGGACTAGACTCAGGGATGAGAACAGAGCTCAAGGGAAAGAAACATGTATCCTTCCCAGACTGCGCCACACTCTCTCAGCTTCCTCACCATACACACTCCTATCTGCACCATGGCATTGAACACTTCTTTGCCAGCTGGTGACAGTTGCAGTTTTTCTTTAGGAAGGAAAGAATTCTATTAGGAGGAGGTGGGGGTCGAGGCAGCCTAGGAAAGTGGGAAGGACAATCACCCGGGAGCCGGGCACAGGCGCTCCCACTCCCAGGTGGGACCCTGGGTCAGCATTTAACCTGCCTGGGCCTCAAGCTCTTCCTAAGGGGGTTCCAACAGATCAGATCAAACCTCTTAGCAACAGAACTCTTTAATGACAATGTTCTCAGAACCTCAAAAGATAAAACTGACCGATGTGGAGTGGGGAACTCAGAATCTCTCTGTGCCTCAGTTTACTCATCTGTAAAGTGATAACTGCACTCACTGCACTGGGGTGTCGTGAGGACTCAGTGAGGTAATAACCGTAAAGTGCCGAGAACAGTGTCTAGCACATAGTGAGCGTGGTATCAAGTACTTGTTCAGTAAAGTGCTCTCAAAGCAGAGGGTGAAAACTGCCTTCGGGGAAAACGAGAACAGGAATCAAGCTTGTGTTACCTGTCGGAGCCGCCCGGCTAAGCAGGGGCGCTGCCCAGCTCCCCCTGCCCCCCAGAGCCGGTGAAGGCGGTGCCAGGAGGTCCCTTACCTGCCGAGAGGAGGTGCTGTTAACGGGATCGGGCACCGGTGCGAGAAGGCTGGGCGGGTTCTTTTTGTGAACGCTATTCATACCAGGCATTTTAGTGATTTTACAGGCTTTGCTACTAGAACTCGAGTTCTTACGCTTTTTTCCTTCTGATTTGTCAAAAGAGAGGGGCAGAGAAGACACAGCATTGTGTGAGGCCAGAGAGAGGTCCCCTGCGTGGAGCGCAAGGGAGGGCACAGAGAGGGGACAGGAGTCACTGCTGCCTCCCACCGCGCCCACCTGTCTCACTATGTCCGCGGGGCCGCCGGGCAGCGAGGTCCGTCCTGAGGGCTCCAGTTTGGCACTGAGTGGGCTCACCCCATTGTTTGAGTTGTGCACAGACAGGCTGTTATAGGGAGGGGCCGCCTGATAGGAGTTCAAAGCAGAACTGGCATTCAAAACACAGTTCTTTTTGTGAGGCCCTGACAGTGGAGACGAGAGGGATGTCTGCAAGGAAGAGGAGGAGGAGGAGGAGGAGGAGGAAGTCGAAGACTGTGGCTTCCTTTTTTTGTTACTTGGAGACTCGTCGCTACGGGTGGACAGGTCTTTGACTTTTGAGGATTTGCTGGTTTTGGTTTTGGATGGCTTGTGGGATGGGGAAGGGATGACGGCTGGTATCGGGGACACGGCGGATGGGGCCTTGAAGGTTGAGTCCATGATGCTGAGGGTTGCGGCCACATGAGGGAAAGCTGTGGTGTGGGACATGAGGGCGCTCGGGTCCGGCGATGTCACGAAAGCTGCGTTTGAGAGCATGGCTGATGTCATTATGTAAGAAGAGGTGAGCCTCGAGCTGATGGGAGCTGAAGGAAGATACACAGCACTGGGGTTGCTGAAAGGCTGCAAAACGGATGCTGGAACGGGGGTGGTGATGTGGGCTGCTGGCGAGGGCAGGGGGCTATCTGCCGCAGGAGGGATCTTCCTAAACATGAGAGAAGAGTGAAAGAGAATCAGTGAGACATCGGGTTGGCATTGCTCAGGAGGCTCGATGACGTTTGAGGATCAGGGCTACAGAGGACACCCCGGCAGAACCAGACTATGGAGAATGGAGCCTTGAAGGATGGGAGAATCTGAAGCATGGCCCCTCCTTATGGCACCCCCCATTGCAACATCCAGCAACCTAATTTTCATCACGCACAGTCTTTCAGATCCTTTTCTCCAGGCTTGGCTACTGGAGAAGGCCTGATTTGGGTTCATGAATAAAAGGTCAATGTTATTTAGAATAGAAATCTCCCCAGTATTCTCCTCTCTCAACCACTGCCCCCACCCCCCAACTCTCTTTTTTTGGCAGCAATGAAGGTGGTTTTTAATGAGAAGTGATCATTTCACATGTAGGTCCTGGTTGCAAGTAAGAAATGTGAGGACAGGGCTTTGCTACCTGGACACAGGGGCCGGAGCTTCCCCTCTCCACCCACTCCAGCTTCTGCCCAGAGACTCTCGGGGCTTTCCCCACCCTGCTCTGGGCTGGAGGCAGTTGGGGAACGGCCCTCTCCAAGGCCAGCATCCTCTCGCCTTTGCTGTCTGCAGCCTCTGGTTCCCTCTGCAGAGAGCCATTTCCACACTGACTCGCGGCTGCTGGCTCCTGGTGGCTGGGCCGTGGAGGGTTAGGGGTTTGGGAATGGTGAGATGGCAAGTTGCCCATTCCCAGGACTAGCTTTGTTTTTTCCTATTCAGCCCATTCTACCTTAGCTCTTGCTCAGAGGAGCTGTCTGGGGTGTGGCTGCTGACCACACCCCACACGGGTCTTCTTGTCCCGTGTTAGGAAATGGTGAGTGTGGGGACCCTCATATGTCCAGAGAAGGAGATCAGGGATTTCTAGTTTGTTCTGAAGATAAATGTAGGATGTGGACAGGAGGAGAAAAACAGGAGGGAAGGGGAAACCCACTGTTTTCTTCTTTGGTCTTCTTGGAGGCTGGGGGGTACCTCAGAGCAAACTCCCTGGAGCCAAGACCAGCACTAGGCTGTGGCTTACTCTTGGGGCCTCCCTGCAAACTCCATCTTCTGATTTGCGCTGGGAGTGACTCCTCCTTCCATCCTACAGCCTGGGGTGCTGCTGCTGCTACTCTGGGGACCGGGAGGAGGCACACGGCCACAGGGACGTTTGTTCGTGATTTTGCAGGAAAGCACATGGCCCTCGGGAGCCAGGTAAATGTGTTCAAGCTGGTCCTTTCCCATTTCTCACCTTGCTCCCTCTCCCGGTTTCCCTGGGAAATCATTTTCACTGTAGCTGGGGCTCACTAGCGATTAGGAACTAGCTTTCCTTCTTTGAAAGCAGCACATGAAGGTGAGCAGGCCCAGAGCCTGTGCCCCAGTGGGCTAGAACACGTGCAAGACAGGGCCTCACACCGTCCTTTCTCTTCTTTGGAGGCCACTCTCCCAGCTGTAGCATCAGGACCAGGTGCCAGCGAACTCTGGAAAGAGGCACTGCTGAGAGATAAATGTCTCTCCTAGCGTTCCTCTCTGAAGATTCTGCTTTTGGCCTGCACTTTGGTGGAGCCTGTGGCATCCATCTTTAGGGTAGAATCCAGAGGAATCCTTGTCCTTGAAAACGTCAGACCAAAGGGATCAAATACAAGAGAAAAATGTTGCCAAACTCACAATGGCCATGATGGCATTGAGAATTTACATTCTCTCAAGCCTAAAGAAGGTAAGAGATCCTGTAAGCACTCAGCAAGGTGCCCCATAAATACTTGTTGCAATGAATGAATGAGTGAATGAATGGATGGATGAATGGGTAGGTGGATGGGTGAGCAGGTGGATTCTCAGCAGCACCATACCCATATTGTCAGGAACTATGCATGGTGGGCAAGGACTCCCATATGATCAGACTGGAAATGTCTACACACATCCTTAGAACTGTCTGGCCCTGCACAACCCCTTCCTAACAGGGGCAGGGAACATTTCTTAGAGGGGGAGGAACCTCCCAACTTTCCTGCTGCTTTTGTTGCCTTGCTGTGGTACTATAGGCAACCCACTCCATCTTTCCTTGACTCAAGTTTGCTTACACTAAAGTATAGATAGAAATACATGTGGGCAGAGGTTTGGCAGTTACTTGGAATAAAAAGTTATTTACAAATACCAGATGGCTCATTTAGAGAGGATCCCAATCAATGACTTTGAATGGGATCCATTTTTTCCATTTTTTTTTTTTAGATGGAGTCTTGCTCTGTTCCCCAGGCTGGAGTGCAGTGGTGTGATCTCAGTTCACTGCAGGCTCCGCCTCCCGGGTTCACGCCATTCTGCTGCCTCAGCCTCCTGAGTAGCTGGGACTACAGGCACCCGCCACCAGGCCCGGATAAATTTTTGTTTTTAGTAGAGACGGGGTTTCACCGTGTTAGCCAGGATGGTCTCGATCTCCTAACATCGTGATCTGCCTGCCTCGGCCTCCCAAAGTGCTGGGATTACAGGCATGAGCCACTGCACCCGGCCTGAATGGGATCCATTTTTAATGTCTCAATTTATAATTTTCCAATTAAATAGTATAAATTCACACTTCAACTTGTGCTGACTAGCAGAGTTGAAGCCCTAAATCTTAACCTGGCTGACACTCAGGATTGGGATGGGTGCTATTTTTAGGCACGCTTTCTATCCTTTTCTTGCCTCACTACTCACAAGTGGATAGCAGGGGCAGGAGGGGAGATAGGGCAGGGGAGAAATAGGGTGAGGGGCATGTGGCAGCTCCCTGTCCCCAGGAGTCCCTTCCCCGCCAAGGCTAAACAGTTTATGTGTTTTTCTAGGTGTCAAATGGCAGTGGATTTCAGCTTTGCTGGGCTGTGCCCTGGTTTAAGCTTTGCACACTGGCCCAGGGAAGTCCCACACTAAAGCCCACAGATGCGAATAAATTACTGACAGTGCCCAACCTCCCCTGCCAGGTGGCATGGAGGTCCAGATGCTGACCTGGCTGAAAGAGAATACTGTGTTGGCGGCTCCTGATGCAGAGTTAAATGCTTGTTAAAGAAAAAAGAGTCTTGGCCGTTCCTTTTCTTCCTAATGTCTTCCACGCCCCCATCGGCTGCCATCCCTCCAGGTTCGGGCCCGCCGGGGCCTGGGGTTTGGGCAGCGAGGTTGAGAGGGTAGCGGGGTGCTACGCTCTCCAGAGTTGACACCCAGGCAGCCCCAATGTTGCTCAGTGACAGCAGATTGGTTAGGCAAGTCCTGAACAGGGGGGAGGGACCTGATGCCCTGTGGCTCGGGTTTCTGTGCCTGAGGAGGAAAGGAATATGGAGCTTGAGCTGACAGGACACCAGGGAGTGAAATACAGATCAACACATTCCTTCCACGTGTCCGGGATTGACACTTCCATAACACAGGGAGCAAAGAGCTGCGAGGATCACCAGGGCTGGCTGCCGTCTTGGGGAACAAGAGCAGAGGCTCAATCACCAAGTAACTGAGAGCACAGTCACCCCACGTGTAGCACCAATTTGTTGCTGTTTGGAATGGACACAAGTAAATATCAAGGGTGCCCTTTACACACACTGGGCAGTCACTTAAATGGGAAGAAATGATAAGCTTCTCTTGTGGCCCTTACCTACCTTATAGTAAATGTTAACATTTAGTACTAAGTCTGCCATGAGAGCTCAATTCAGACACAAATGGGGCTCACTTCTCCTAGAAGTTCAGGTCTGGAAGCTCTTTAGGCTTCCAGAAAGGGGCCTAAGGTGTCGTAGCTGCCTGGGGGAGAGGAGGAATCCTGGAAGAGGGGCAAATTTTGACTTCTGTTCCCTCCCGTTTCTTAGGAATCCCTTCCTTGCCTCTACTGGACCTCAGTGGGCAGCTGGGGGGCCTCAGCTGTTGTCCTTCCTGGACTGTCTAGGCCCAGATTTATGTGATCCATGACTCCAATGGATGATGATATCTTGAGAGCTCACCTTTGTAGGAGTGGGGGATGGGGATACCCAGTGGGCCGGCCTTACATTATCAAGCGGCCTATTATTTCTTACCAATAGCATTCTTCCAGATTAAGGCTTCTTCCCTGTTTATGAATCCCCTATTAAAATGTAAGTACACTGGGAAGTGGATAGTAAAGGAACTTAAGAGAAAGGGAACCTAAGTTGGAGTTTAGGGTAGAGAAGTACAAGTAGAGGTGGGTGGGGAGTCCTAAGGAGGCGGGAAGGGCCAAAGACAAACTTAACCAACTTCACAGCATTGCTCAGGATCTGCCCTGTTGGCAAGTGTACAGATGTTTTCACAGGACAGCAAACAACTAGAAATTAGCAATTGGTCCACAACCATAATGAAATCTTTAGTTTTTTTTTTTTTTTTTTTTTTTTTGAGACGGAGTCTCCCTCTGTCACCCAGGGTGGAGTGCAGTGGTATGATCTCAGCTCACTGCAAACTCTGCCTTCCGGGTTCAAGCGATTCTCCTGCCTTAGCCTCCTGAGTAGCTGGGATTACAGGTGTGCGCCACCACACCCAGCTAATTTTTGTATTTTTAGTAGAGACGGGGGTTTCACTATGTTGGCCAGGCTGGTCTTGGACTCCTGATCTCAGTTGATCCGCTCGCCTCAGCCTCACAAAGTGCCAGGATTATAGGCGTGAGCCACCGTGCCTGGCTGAAATCTTTAGTTTTGATATTGTAGTATTAACATCACAAACAGAAGCATATATATATATATATATATATATATATATATATATTTTTTTTTTTTTTTTTTTTTTTTTTTTTTTTTTTTTAAGAGAGAGGGTCTTGCTCCATTGCTCAGGCTGAGTGCAGTGGCACAATCATAGCTCACTGTGACCTTGAACTCTTGGCCTGAAGCGATCCTCCCACCCCAGGCCTTTCAAGTAGCTAGGATCATAAGTGTGTGTCATTACACCCAGCTAATTTTTAAAAATTATTTTTTGTAGAGATGGGGGTCTTGCTATATTGCCCAGGCTGATCGCAAACTCCTGGCCTCAAGCAATCCTCCTGCTTTGGCCTCCCAAGCGCTGGGATTACAGGCGTGAATCACTGCACTCAGCCAGAAGCATGTTCTTAACATCCTTAGATTCTCTAGGAGCAATAAAAAGGCCCTTTAACTTAGGTAAACAGACAATATATTATCTAACATCCTTCTCATTTAGGAGATTACCAACACAAAAATGGTCTCCAAAAAAGACAAAGCATGTAACACATCATTCGTGTTTCTCAAAACCTTCAGGCAAACCATTAAGAAGAGCTGGTATTTAAGAATTAATCAAGCATCCTGACTTCAGAATCATTTTGTTCTATGAAAAGTCAGCCACTGACATTTATTTAGAAAGTTAAGTTTCAGGTAACTGTGGGGCAGCTTGGATCTTATATTGCACAAAAGCTGCTCACTTACTTCCACATCTGTGAATTCAGGTGTTTTTCTACCATGGAGTTTAGTGCGAATCGAAAACGATCCCATCTTCTATCAAACACATAGTACCCTCGTCCCATGAGGCGACTCCCAAATGAGCAAAACTGTGAGGAAAAAAAAATTTTAATTTTGATTACAGGTTAATAAGCTAATATAAACTATACAGAGAAAAATAACATTTACATAAAAACATACAAGGGCACAGTTTTACTCAAAGAAGCAAACCGTACTGAAGCCAAAAATACTTCTGCAGTTCTGTAGTTTGAGCTCTGGATTTTCTGCAGAACCTCATATTACAACTCAACAATAGCTACATTCAATTTTCTGTGGCACAGAAGGGGCTACGTTTTCTACTTCTGGGATTGAGCCAGCATTTTTGGTTAAGAAACAAATAATGCCAGGCACAGTGGCTCATGCCTATATTGCCAGCACTTTGGGAGGCTGAGGTGGGCGGATCACTTGAGGTCAGGAGTTTGAGACCAGTCTGGCCAACATGGTGAAGCCCCGTTTCTACTAAAAATACAAAAATTAGCCAGGCATGGTGGCACGTGCCTGGGATCCCAGCTCGTAGGGAGGCTGAGGCAGGGGAATAGCTTGAACCTGGGAGGTGGAGGTTGCAGTGAGCTGAGACTGTGCCACTGCACTCCAGCCTGGGTGACAGGCTGAGACTGTCTCAGAGAAAAAAAAAAAAAAGAAACAACAACCAACACCCAGGGTGACTTTTCAGGACCATCTGTTTGTCCTATTATCAGCCACATTTTCTCAAGGAACTTGGTGGTTCCCTGCTTCTCATGATAGTAATGGAAACTGCTTGTGCTGGTGTCCCAGGTCCCACCTTTCCTATCTGATGTCAACAGAGCCACTTTGCTTCCAGCCAGGCTAAATGCCTTCGTTTCCCAGTCTCGACCACATTTCTGCCTCCAATCAGTCTTTGTAGGCTGTCCTGGGACACAGCACCACCTTGAAGCTTTTGCTCCTGCTGTTCCTTCTCCCTGTTGTCTCCTTCCTTCTTCTTTTTGTCAATCCCAATTTCCCCCTCTCTCTCCTGGTTCCCTTATCAAGACTCTCATTTCCAGTGGCTCTCATCTGAGTGATCTTCCCACTGTGAATTCCCATGGCACACCCATTGCCTGCTTTATTACATTTTGCCTTGGACTTATGACATGGCTGTTTTACGTTATACACAGGATGCCTACATACCTGATTCGACTATCAGTGTATAGACAGGGGAGCCCATCCTCTTCCTTCTCCTTAGTATGAGGATAGTAGGCATTTGGGCTAACAAATAGATGGGGGAGACAGGGATCCACAAAATGTTTAAAGCACACTATCTCTCTTAAAATATGTGGATGAAATATTGGCATTCAGATGTTTAATAAACATTTGATTATGATGTTAGGGCAACCGGAAGGCTAGCAGACAGAAATGCAAGAAGCAGCCTCAGAGAAGGTGACATTTGGCTGGTTTAGGGCTCAGGCAAGTCTGCAAATGACTCTATAACTCAAAAGCAGCTCTCCCCCTTCCTCCAGGCCTCCCAGCAGCTCCCTGGCCTCTCTCCCAGACACAGGGCTGGATTGGCACTCATTCCACAAACCCGTCCTGGAACCAGACTTTGGAACAACAGTTCTCAGGAGGAAATGCAAGACCTTCCCTTTGTTCTGTTTCTATTGGTGTTTTGGGGGGTTTCGCATTAAAATCTTATCACCCATCAAATCTGGTACTGCTGATGAAAAACACTTTTCTGCACCTTCATGTTAAGTGCTTACTGACCAAGCAAGAAAACACACAAAGGGAATTTTCCGACATAGAAGCTGGTCCCCGGCAGCATGTGGGAGCTGTTCCAGGTCTAGACATCATTTCTTCCCTCATCCCAATTGCTAAAGATGCACCGAGCAAGCATTCATTACAAACAATGATTTAATGTATCAACTGGCCATGAGAGAAAGGACAAAGCAAAGACACAAATCTGTGGCCTTTCCATTTAAATCAGCAAAACATTAAGGGCACACAGCTGCGCCACATCCCGAGTTTAGCGAATCCACTGCAGCCTGGCAGGTTGTCATCTGGACAAATGTCTTGATGTGCTCCAGAGTCTGGCCTTCTGGCAGAGCCTCATATTTCTTTCAGACTCAGGAGCTGGAGGCACCGTTTTGTCTTTGCTACCTGTGTATCTGATTCCGTACAGATGCGAGGCTAGGCCCTGAGAGGCTCCAGTTCCCGGCTGGCATGTTACGCCTCCAGCAGAGCTGTAGATCCTCACTGCGTGGGCCACCGTGGCAGACCCTACTGGTTGCCAACCTCACCAACTACCACCCACTCCCACCTCTCTCTGTCTTTTCCTTGCTAACAGAACCACACTTTTATTCTGATATCTGACACAGAGCAGTAATCAAGTGGGTCTCCTCCCAGAACCTTGGGATGAATCATGGCTGGTTCCTCCTGCGTCACTGCAACCCCTTCCTTCTCTGCTGCGAATTGATCCGGCGGGGGCATGTGACCCATTTCTGGTAGATATAAGGGGAAGTCTGCTGGGGTTTTCATAGGAAGATTTTCTTTCCTAACATAAGGCAACATCTTGGAAGAAGACCCCTTTTCTGTTTGTCCCTTTCCAACCTGAGTAGCACACCACTGGGTGAGGATGTAATATCGGAGCAGCAGCTGACGTACAGGGACCATGCGTGAAAAGTAGAGGGAATTGCAGAGATTGTCCCTCGGCTCCATGACATCGTGGAGAAGCTGAACCAAGCTTGGGAGCACCTGCCTCTACACGCCCTGCTACGTGAGATGATTAAATGACCTTAGCGCTTGTGCCAGATGAGTTGAATGTTCCACTTCTGGCAGTCAAAGGCATTCTTAATCGTCCCTATTTTCTGTACTAAACAAGAGGCAAAGTCTCAGGCTGATGGTGAGCCACAGGTAAGCATTATCCCCAGGAAAGGAAGTGAACTTGGCCTTCGTTCATGACATGGATAGGAGGGAAGAGGGATTCACTCGATCTTGATGCGGGACCAGGATGGATTTCACTTACACAGTCTAGAGACAGAGCTGATCCTGCAGGACTCAGGCTGGCACCAGAGTAAACCACCATGGGGTCCCATGTTCTAGGCCCCTGCATTTGGCTCTGCAATGGCAGCACCAGGCATTCCCTCCTCAAGTGCTCGTACGCAAACAATAAACAAGCCTCCAGGGGATGCCTCCTGTGAGGTGGGAAACTAAGGTCCCACCTCAGTGTCAATGACCTTCTGAACTGTCAGTGTGCACTCATTCAAGGAAATGGAAAGAAAGTGCCCTTCTTACTAATCAGCAATCATGGTGACCTGAAATGCTTCCTCTTTCCTTCAACACACACACACGCTCAGTTCTGGTGCCATATGGTCACACAACAGTAACACTTAGAACCAACAGGGGAGAATACCAACAAGGGCTGGCCCCTGACACGCTGCTAAGACAGTTTCCAGAGTAGGTGAACCGAGCTAACCCTGGACATCAGAGGCTCCGTTTTTAGATGGACAAGGCCAGAGGGTCAGCTCCTGAGTGCACTTACAGAAACACTATTTCTCACGCGTGCTCGCTTCAAAGCGGGCCATAAATACTCGGGATTATCCATTTTTTCCCCTTTTTTCTTTTTAGTAGTATGTGGAAGTACTTGGGATTATAATAAGCTGGGAGCCCATTCCTTTCCTTTTGTAATGTTCAAGGGTATTTCTAAGGCAATCATTCAAACTCATGGTAAGCCTTTTTGTAAAACACTGCGCAGGCAGCCTTGCCTTAGGAAGGATCATGCCTCTGGTATGATCACCTAAGTGTCTGCAAAGCACAGGCGAAGAACGCATGGCAAGGAACGGAAGGAGGCCTACCGCCAGAGGTCTGGGGTGGTGCGTGGAGAACTGACAGTCTAGCTTCTCGGATTCGTCGGCTCCGTCCATCTCCCCTTCATCACTGGACAGTCGGCTGGCGAGGTCACCTCCAACCGGTGGGAGTGGGGGCTCTGGAGTGTGGCCGCTATGATTTGAAGATGTGCTGCTGCTTATGCTATTTGCAGATGATGGTCTAAGGGCAAGAGCGGAGAACAAACAAAATAAACCAAATGAACCTTTTCTGAGGTAACAAGATCCACCCAGTTTAATGGTGCTCAGAAAACAGCCTGATTAAGGCCAGGTTCGGTGGCTCACGCCTGTAATCCCGGCACTTTGGGAGGCCAAGGCGGGCAGATGACGAGGTCAGGAGATCGAGACCATCCTGGCCAACATGGTGAAACCCCGTCTCTACTAAAATACAAAAAATTAGCTGGGCATGGTGGCGCGTGCCTGTAGTCCCAGCTACTCAGGAGGCTGAGGCAGGGGAATTGCTTGAACCCGGGAGGTGGAGGTTGCAGTGAGCCGAGATCATGCCACTGCACTCCAGCCTGGGCGACAGAGCAAGACTCTGTCTCAAAAAAAAAAAAAAAAACAGCCTGATTAGCCTTGCCAGTACCTCAGGGAGGGCACATTGGTGGTGACTTTGCATAAGGGAAAACAATCAAGGCTGAAGGGTTTGCAGTGACCAGCTCTCTCCAGTGACACAGTCAAGTTAGGTTCTGCCCCACTTGTTGTCCCTGGCGCAGATGACAGGAATGATGGGAAAGCCCAACAGTGTAAGTGGAACATGAGATATGGGAACGTGACAAAGTGAACTGAACCTACACCAGTCTTCTATGAATTCAGTTACAACTATTCACCCATTTGCAGGTAAGTAAGTTGTACTTGCCATACAGTTGCTTTCCTTTGAAAGTGGAACCTGACAGGAAGATCAACCAGGTAAACAAGATCAGGGCAATCACCAAAAATATCAGTAATGAAGAAATGCAGTCCTATGCATACGTTCTTTGATACAAAGCTATGATTTTAGGAAACTGTTATACTGGCATGAAAAAAAGTTTTGTCCTGGTGATGGGCCACTCATTAGTACCTTACTCGGCACCCATGCCTGTTACTTAATATTAAGTTGTAGTTTAATTGTATTTTCTGAGGATGAGTGTTTCAATTTACATTTATTTATTTATTTGTTTGTTTACGAAACACTCTCACTCTGTCGCCCAGGCTGGAGTACAGTGGTGTGATCTCGGCTCACTGCAACCTCTGCCTCCCAGGTTGAAGCAATTCTCCTGCCTCAGCCTCCCGAGTAGCTGGGATTACAGGCGCACACCACCATGCCTGGCTAATTTTTGTATTTTTAGTGGAGACAGGGTTTCACCATGTTGGCCAGGCTGGTCTTGAACTCCTGACCTCAGGTGATCTGCCCACCTCAGCCTCCCAAAGTGCTGGGATTACAGGTGTGAGCCACCGTGCCCAGCTTCAATTTACTTTTTGACAAGCCCTTTTACGCACTGTGGGGCATGATTGGCTCATAGTAGGTGCTAAAGAGATATTTTTTTCAATGAACCAATGAATGAATTCTATGTGTGTATAAAACAACCCAACACATGTCATCTTAATTATGGTTAAGCTTATAAAAAAGCAATGTCACAATAAGAGGTAGAACTACCTGCTTCCTAGGCAGTAAAAAACAAAACAACACAAGGCAAAACCAAAATCAAACACATCCGCATTAGCAGAAGAGTTAGATGAGGAATAGTCACAGTTAACTGTTACTAGCTTTTACTACTTCTCCACTTTCATCAGGTGATTGAGCAGGGAGAGGTGACAAAGATAGGGAGAAAAAGAAGTTTTAGAGAAAAAAATTGTTTTTCTGCTTTCTGCTTTGAAAGCTGCTCCTTCAAGTCTCATGAAGCAGCACTGCTGATCTGTCTCCCTTTTCTCTTATTTTCACCCTGGATACTTTGTTGCTTTGAAATCTTTTCAGGTCTCAAATACTTGAACTTAAAACAGAGTCCAAAAGTATAGTCACTTAAAAACAAAACCACAAACGTGAAAACAACCCAACTGTCCATCAACAGATGACAAGATAAAATATGGTATATCCATTCAGTGGAATATTATGCAAGCCTTAAAAATGAATGAAATTCTGCTACTATATGAATGACACTTGAAAGCATCACACTAAATGAAATAAGCCAGACACAAAGGACAAATATTGGATGATTCCACTTACATGAGATACCTAGACAGAAAGTAGAACAAGAGTTATCAGGAGTTGGAAGGAGCGGGGAATAGGGAGGGGGTATTTAGTGGATATACAGTTCTGGAGATGGATGACAGTATGACTACACAACATTGTGAATGTATTTAATGCCACTAAACTAGACACTTAAAAATAGTAAATTTTGTGTTATGTATATTTTACTATAAAAACAAAACAAGGCCACATGTAGTTTTTCAGTGTCATAAGAATTATGTTGGGATGACAATTTATAGTGGACTATCACCTTCCTGTACTATAAAAACAAAGCTGCCATTCATTCTGCGTGTCTACAGGCCAAAGAACGCATCTCTCCCGACGTTCCTCAATACCTGTTCTTCTGTATCAGGAAGAGCAACAACACTATTGTCTGCTTACCGCTGAAGACCCAAATAATAAAACAATTTAGATGAGGCTGAAACATAAAAAAAAGAAAAAAAACCAGTATCCATAACTCTGCCACCCAAGATCAAGTGTTATTAGCATTTTTATTTACATCCTTCCAGACGTTGTTACTGGGCACACACATGCAAATGCATTTTAAAGCAAGAACTGGATCACACGATCACCCGGAACATGAAATGTGGGTAGTACATACTATTTTGAGAGATGCTTTTTAAAAAACCTAGTGATGTTGTGGACGTGTTTCCATATATAGAACTATATCATTTTAAATATTCCCCAGTAATCCATAGTATGAATATATCACAATTTACTTAACAAATCTTCTGTTGATGAAGATTTGTTTCCAAACTTTCTAACAGGCTCTCTCTCTATGAAGCCCTCTCCATCATGATAGGACCTCCTTATCCTGCAGGAGATAGATTAAAAAGGAGCTGGATTTTACTAAGTGTGATAACAGCATCATGGTTATATAGAAAATTGCCTTTCTTTTTCTGTATTTATTTTTAATTTTTAGAGATAGGATCTTGCTCTGTCACCCAGGCTGGAGTGCAGTGGCATGATCATGGCTCACTGCAGCCACAAACTCCAGGGCTCAGGGGATCCACCCACCTCAACCTTGTGAGTAGCTGGGCTTATAGGCATGTGTCACAGTATCTGGCTAATTTTAAAATTTTTTATAGAGACAGGGTCTTGCTTATGTTGCCCAGACTGGTCTCAAACTTGTGGCCTCAAATGATGCTACTTGCTCGGCCTCCCAAACTGTTGGGATTGCAGGTGTGAGCCACTGTGCTAGGCCTTTTTTTTTTTTTTTAGAAAGAGTCTTGCTCTGTTGCCCAGGCTGGAGTGCAGTGGTGCGACCTCGGCTCACTGCAACCTCCACCTCCCAGGTTTGAGCAATTCTCCTGCCTTAGCATCCCGAGTAGCTGGGACTACAGGTGTGCGCCAACATGCCCAGCTAATTTTTGTATTTTAAGTAGAGACGGGGTTTCACCATGTTGGCCAGGCTGGTCTCGAACTCCTGACCTTAGGTGATCTGCCCTCCTCCACCTTCCAAAGTGGTGGGATTACAGGCATGAGCCACCACGCCCGGTCCTGTCTTTAGTTTTTTTTTTTTTTTTTTTTTGAGATGGAGTCTTGCTCTGTCACCCAGGCTGGAGTGCAGTGGCACAATCTTGGCTCACTGCAACGTCTGCCACCCGGGTTCAAGCGATTCTCCTGCCTCAGCCTCCTGAGTAGCTGGGATTACAGGTGTGTGCCACCATGCCCGGCTAATTTTTGTATTTTTAGTAGAGACGGGGTTTCAGCATCTTGGCCAGGCTGGTCTTGAACTCTTGACCTCGTGATCCACCCGTCTCGGCCTCCCAAAGTGTTGGGATTACAGGTGTGAGCCACTGTGCCCGGCCTGTCTTTACTTTTAAAAGATGCATTTGGAAGGCGTCTGAGGTGAAATGCCATGGTACTTGCAATTTACATCAAAACATATCATCAAAAAATGTAGATGAAGCAAATATAATTGCAAAATATTAATAAGTAACTGTTAAAGCAAGACCTGTAGGTGTTCAATATACTATTCTCTCTACTTTTCTATACATGGGAAAAATTTCATAATGAAAAATAGGAAAAACAAAAACAAGAAGAAAATAGAGTTAGTAGTACAGGTATATGTAAGAAAGTTATTAAAGAACTTCCTATTTTTTGGTATTTTATTTTTCTTCGGTTTTACTGAGGTATAACATCTTACACTTATAATACATAAATAAAATTGTGTGGCCGGGCGCAGTGGCTCACGTTTGTAATCCCAGCACTTTGGGAGGCCGAGGCAGTTGGATCACGAGGTCAGGAGATCGAGACCATCCTGGCTAACACAGTGAAACCCCGTCTCTACTAAAAATACAAAAAAAAAATTAGCCGGGCATGGTGGCGGGCACCTGTAGTCCCAGCTACTCGGGAGGCTGAGGCAGGAGAATGGCGTGAACCCGGGAGGCAGAGTTTGCAGTGAGCCGAGATCGCGCCACTGTACTCCAGCCGGGGCCACAGAGCGAGACTCCATCTCAAATAAATAAATAAATAAATAAATAAATAAATAAAT
This sequence comes from Homo sapiens, assembly GCF_000001405.40. Taxonomy (NCBI): domain Eukaryota; kingdom Metazoa; phylum Chordata; class Mammalia; order Primates; family Hominidae; genus Homo; species Homo sapiens. The sequence continues at coordinate 105,628,829 of NC_000007.14, forward strand.
AAATAAATAAAATTGTGTATATTTAAGGTATACAATGTGATTTGGTATATGTGTACACTGTAAAATGATTACCACAAGTTAGCTAACATATGTCACCTCACAGTTACCGGGTTTTTTTTTTTTCCCATGGTGAGAACACTTTTTATTTTTATTTTTTAGAGACACGGTCTCTCTCTGCCTCCCAAGCTGGAGTGCAGTGGAGCAATCACTCACTGTATTCACAGGAACTCCTGGGCCCACAGGATCTTCCCAGCTCAGCCTCCCTAGTAGCTGGGACTACAGGCATGAGCCACTGAGCCCAGTGAAATTTGCTTAAGATCTACTTATTTAGCAAATTTCAAGTACATAATACAGTATTATTAACTAGAGTCACCATGCTGGAGATTAGATCCCTTGAATGTATTCATCTTGTAACTGAAAGTTGTCTAGTATCTCCCCATTTCTCCCAACCCTTAGCCTCAAACAACTGGCACTCTACTCTCTCTGTGAATTTGGCTTTTTTAGATTCCACCTGTAACTGAAATCATACAGTAGTTGTCATTCTCTGTCTGATTTCACTTAGCATAATGCTCTCAAGTTCATCCATGTTGTTGAAGATGGCAGGATGTCCTTCTTCTTTTATTGTTAAATAATATATATAATTATATATTATTTTTTATATATATGTATTATTATTATTATTGTTACTTATTTATTTTTTTTTTGGAGATGGAGTCTCCCTCTGTCACCCAGGCTGGAGTGCAGTGGCGTGATCTTGGCTCAGTGCAACCTCCGCCTTCTGGGTTCAAGTGATTCTCCTGCCTCAGCCTCCTGCGTAGCTGGGACTACAGGCACCTGCCACCACGCCCGGCTAATTTTTTTGTATTTTTAGTAGAGATGGGATTAAGCCATGTTAACCAGGCTGGTCTCAAACTCCTGATCTCAAGTGAACCACCCACCTCAGCCTCCCAAAGTGCTGGGATTACAGGTGTAGGCCTCCGTGCCCGGTCTTATTATTATTTTTTTTTGAGACACAGTCTCACTCCTTCACCCAGGCTGGAGTACAGTGGTGTAGTCTTGGCTCACTGCAACCTCCACCTCCTGGGTTCAAGTGATTCTCCTGCCTCAGCCTCCCAAGTAGCTGGGATTACAGGCATGCACCACCACACCTGGCTAATTTTTTTATTTTTAGTAGAGAGGGGGTTTCACCATGTTGGCCAGGCTAGTCTTGAACTCTTGACTTCAAGTGATCCGCCCACCTCAGCCTCCCAAAGTTCTGGGATTACAGGTGTGAGCCACTGCACCAGGCTGAAATATTATATATATATATCTGCATTCATCCCTCAATGAACACTTAGGTTGTTTCCATATCTTGGCCATAATGCTGCCATGAGCATGGAAATGTGAAGAACTTCCTGTTAAACAGGGCAGATGGATCACACATATTTCTCTCTTCTCTCTTCCAAAATCTTACTAAAATAACAGTAAAGAGATAAAAAAGGCATTAGCTTTAAAGAACAATGAGATCAGCAGAAATGTGGTGATACTTACGACGATGACTTCCTAACATCCATTTAACTCCTAAACCAATAATAGGAATCTCTCATTTTGCTTGCTAATGATTGGTTTAGAAAAGGACATGAGAAATTTTTTAAAAAATATTTTTTGGCGTAGAGGGCTTTTGGAATGCTTTTCCTCACTTTTAAAAAGAGGCATCCAGTCTGGGCAACATGGTGAAGCCCCATCTCTACAAAAAATACAGAAATTAGCCAGGCATGGTGACAGGCACCTATAGTCCCAGCTACTCGGGAGGCTAAGGTGGGAGGATTGCTTGAGCCTGGGAAGCAGAGGTTGCACTGAGATCATGCCACTGCACTCTAGCCTGGGGGACAGAGTGAGACCCTGTCTCAAAAAATAAATAAATAAATAAATAAATAAATAAAAGAGACACAAGGCTCTGGTGGGGGATGTTGATAGTGGCGGAGGGAGGCTATGCATGTGTGGGCAGGAGGTATATAGGAAACGTGTACCTTCTGCTCAATTTTGCTGGGAAACTAAAACTCCTCTAAACATGAAGTTCATTAAGAAAAACAAAAACAAAAACAAAAGAGACACACAGGAAAGGTGGTCTTCAGCTTCATCTGGACCTTGTTATATCTGCATGTGCCTGGAATTGCTACAGTCATTTTGCTATAGGACTTTGAGGATGAAGCCAAAAGACTGAAGAGGGTGGAATAAAAGAAGGGCTGTGAAGGCGAGTCAATCTCTGATGGTTGGGGGCTGGTGCTCCTCCACCTCTGGACCTCATGTAGCATGCGGTAGTTTCCTAATTATTTAAATGTATGGTAATGTATGTTTTCTGCTACTTGCTCCTGAAGCATCCTAACTGATACAAGCATATGAGATTTTAACATTAAGAAAACAGGATGTGGCTGGAGAAGTATTAACTAACGGGAAAGGAACTGACCTACTATAGAACCTCCAAGAAGCTGGCCACCTCTAGGACATTCCTAGAGCTGCAAAAGTCATAGGTGAGGTGAGGACTAAATACAGCTCAAGAGTTAAAGGTCTTAATACATGGCAAGTGGACCTAAAGGTCATGTCTACCACCTTACACAACCAGATGATGAGTTATCACCATTTCTGCCAGGACACCCTCTTCTGTACCCCAGTAAACTTTCTGGAGTCTCGCTTTGTTGCCCAGGCTAGAGTGCAGCGGTGCCATCTCGGCTCATTGCAATCTTTGCCTCCTGGGTTCAAGCAATTCTCCTGCCTCAGCCTACTGAGTAGCTGGGATCACAGGTGTGTGCCACCACACCCAGCTAATTTTTGTATTTTTAGTAGAAGCAGGGTTTCACCATGTTGGCCAGGCTGGTCTCGAATTCCTGGCCTCAAGTGATCTGCCTCCCTGGGCCTTCCAAAGTGCTAGGATTACAGGCATGAGCCATTGCACCTGGCCAATGACAATAAAC